>NC_000019.10:30365874-30990874 GCF_000001405.40 Homo sapiens
CCAGTTATATATTTTTCATATGAAACATCAGAATAATTATATAAGCCTTCATTTTTTAAAAAAAATAGGAGTTTCTCTATGTATCATCTGAAATCTTGCTATGTGTCTGGTGATCTCTGTGCAACTTTGGGGCACTGTTTGGGATTTTCATATCTAGCTGGGTTCTTGGAATCTAGTGCAAGGAAGTCACCCCCGCCGAACCCCTGAGGAAGCCCCACGTGAACTCCTCCAGCCCACAGTAAGTTCTCCTCTGTCTTCATGGTCCTTCCCTTTGAATCCCTAATTGCCATTTAATCATATGCCGCTCTGGTCATATCTGACAACACTGTGAGCGGCTGCTGGGCAATGCTTTCTGGCTCTGTCACTTTCCCTTCTAAATTGCAAGACTCTTGAGAGTGGGCACCATGTTCTTCCGTGTCAGGCAAAGTGCCTGATCAATTGAGCTAGCTGTCAGTCTGTCTATCTGTCTATTATCTACCTATCATATCTCTATCTATCTATCTATCTATCTATCTATCTATCTATATCTATCTCCTTCCTTCCTTCTTTCCTTCCTTCCTTTATTCATTTCTTCCTTTCTCCTTCTCTCCTTCCCTTCCTTTTCTCTCTAGATCTATCATCTTATCTGTCAATCTATCTATGTATTTAGCATCTCTCTATATACAGATAGATCTATTTACCTTTCTTCCTCTCTAGATCTATCATTTGTCTATCTATCTATCTATCTATCTATCTATCTATCTATCTATCTATCATCTATCCATCTATCCCCTATTTTCCCTTTCCACTCCCTCTCTTCTCTTTCATCCTACTTGATGAGCCAGGTACTGTTTTTGGCCCTGAGAATGTAGCAGAGAACAAAATAGCCACAGTCCCTGCCCTCTTGTAGCTGACATTCCAGTTGGAGGAGTCAGGCAATAAATACATAAATACTATTCTATAGGAAGAAGCTAGAACACCATTTGTTAGGGCAAATGCCACACCAAGTGTTCAAACAGGGGGATCTGAAGCTGAGGGACTGAGGGCTGGCTGAGACTGTGTGATAAGGGAAGGCCCTCTGGGGAGGAGACACTGAGTCCCATGGAGATGGCAGCACCTGGACAGAGGACACAGCAGGTGTAAAGGCCCCAGGGCAGTGACAGCCTGGATGAGTTTGAGGAGCAGAAAGAAAATGCAATAAAAGGATGACACTTATTTGGTTTCAACTTCGACAAGGGTCAGTTTTTCCATTTCTCACTTGCTAGGGGCAGTGGCCCCTTTTCCATGGAAGAAAGTCTGACCTCTCACCTCTGAAAGACCCTCCGCCACATCCCTTCTGCTGGGGTGCTTGGGACGTTCCGTGCTGTTCCCTTGCAGGGTTGGAGGGTGGGAGGGGAGCGTGCCGTGGTGAGGCCACCGCTGACATGCTAATATTTCATTTTAATCTTGAGTGCCAGGTTACTTCCTGAATGAAGTGTCTCAGACAAGGCTCTAACTTACATGAAATAAAAGAGTTTAATGCTAATTACACATCATCTGACTACCAAAGCCATATTTATTGATGGCCTAAAAACACCATTGAGGTGGATGGACTGGGTATCTGTCTTGGCTAGAAATGCACCTGGAGTCCCTTTAGACTCCTTTGCAATTCACACCTGCACGCCCCATGCATGGCAAAGCCCAGGGCATGTGGATGTGGAGTGCGGGGAGCTGGAGCGATCCCTTTGGCTTTCTCTACCAGCTGGATAGATCAGAGCCTTCAATGCCCATTTGATTCAGGAAGTCTGGGGTGGAGCCTGAGCTGCTCACCTTTAGCCCCTGGGAAGTGCTGGTGATGCTGGTCGCGTGACAGCAGCGCAGTGAGACATGAGAGTCTGGAGTAGCTGAGGGGCGAGCGCTCTCTGATCTTGGCTCCTGGCCTCACAGATCACAGGGAATGACACCGATGAGTAGAGCCTTGCACTTCACCGTCTTGCCTACCACCTCGATCTCTCTCTTCTCCTTTTCCTTCTTCCTGTGTCCCAGTCCTTCCTCCTGCACCTTCCCATGTCGGTTTTGCTGTGGGCTCTCCAAGGCTAAGCACAGCATTTTCTCATACTTGTTAAAGTATCCATTGCACAGCTGGACCACCATCTCCCACCCTGTGCCTTGGTTCTGGTCGTCTGAACTTCATGCCTGGTCTCCCCACCTAGACTTTGAGCCACTGAAGGGCAGAGCCTCTGTCCCTCCCTCCTACTCCTGTCCCTCCTGGGTTCCCAGATTCTTCTTGTGATGACAAGGAAGAAGCATATACTCCCCCACTCTCTGCAAGGAGAGACTCATGGAGGGCAGAGCTGGCTGCAGCAGCTACATGTTGATTGAAACGTGGTGGGGTGGGGCCCGAAACACAAGTCGTGTTCTTCCAGTCCATCCTCCAGCTTCTCCTTAGCGTATCTTCTTTTGACCATATCTTTCCTCTCATCAGCATTCTCTGAATGGTGCACACTACGGCTGCAAAACTCTAGTTGCCAAATGTGAAGTGTCACCAAATCCTCTCCCTCCATCTGTCTACACAGAAACCTCACTACCTCGCTTGCCTTTGCCCTTTGCAACTGAAGTCACACGGACGTCCTGCTGATGTGCCTGCGAGGGCAACAGCATTTCCATCAGTGTCTGAGGTTGTGACCACCTGGAGAAGGCACCCTGGTGGCTGTCCATGGGGAATGTGGGTTTAATGTTGCTAGAGCTTTGGATTTTTCAAGCAAAAGCAGGAATCTCTATTTTTACATGAAACTCAACACGTTGATGACCCTTACATATCTTTGCTTAAATTGCCATGTGAGCCACACAAGTTATGAGTTGGTGGAATTCAGCGAGCAGACCTCAAGGTGTGGCCTCTGGTACAAACCAACTGTAGGGAGGATTCCATGGATTCGACAGCGGAGAATCTCACCGGGTCCAAGGGAGGGGACTGGTGGAGGCTGAGTCTTCAGCTGCTCCGCTTGCTTGGTGAAGGATTATCACATGGAAAGGGCTTTGAGGACTCAGGAGCCATTTTGCAAACGTAGACCCTGATGTGGCTCTCAGGCCTCAGGAAAACTCATTCTTTATACCAGCTTGTCTGTAGCCCACCTATAATTAGCATCTGAAATTTCTAAATGAACTGACTGATCCAGTAAATTTAGCAAACTTGTTGTGAAGTGTTACCAACTCGTCTCCCTCCAACTGTCCACGCAGACGCCACACTACCTTGCTTGCCTTTGCTCTTTGGAACTGAGGTGCTTATGTGCACTGTCTGGCAGCCACGCAGACATCCCATTTATGTGATCTATAATGAGTTTATTAGTGTTTCACTGCCTTGTTGCTATTAAGTTTTATCAGTTTCAGCTTCAAGAGCACAAGGTTAAATTTTCAATAGAGTTTTCGCAAAGTTTAAGTGGGATTAAGATTGTTAAAAATATGTCCAAATGGTGGAAACATGTATTTGGTTTGATGATACTATTTCTGCCCACTCAAGGATTTTGATCTCTTATTTATAAATGTAACACTTTTCTGAAAACCAGAATGGTAGCACAGGGCTCGGATTTTCTTTTTGCAAATGAAACATGAATGCATTAAATGTGGAGGATCACACTGAAGCTGTGTCAATTGAGTCCGACCCGTCTGCGATTGTGCAGTCTAGATGTTGCTGTCACTGTCCCGGGGTGTGGTTTTTGACTGGCTGTTGCTTTGACCTGGCAAATAAAAATTGTAAAGGAAAAGACAAAATTCTTCCACAAATTGCAAAGGGATGAATTATGACATTATTTTCTCCCTGTACCATAAGATAAGCAGGTTCTCCTCTGAAAATACATGTGTGCATAATTGAATATTGTTAACCTGGGTCTGTTCTGTAATTCTTGAGCAATTTTTTTTTAGAAGGAAACCAACTCAGGAGTTTCTTCAGTGGCTGCAATCAGAATAAAGTGTTTCCACTTTTAGATTAAGAGAAAAAAAAACAGTAATAGGCTGGGCTGTTATTATGGAAAGTTTATTATTATTGGTACATAAGCTAGCTGGGGGTTTAAGCACAGAGCAGTTGGATAATTTAGCTAGCTCCTGGATCCAATTAAAAAAAATATATGTTGTGTCCACAGTGGGGGGATGGCCATCGCTGAGAAAGCACTCTAACGTGGATGGTGACACACCTGTGGCATTCTCTTGGTTATACGCAGTTTGGGATGCAGAATGCTGTAAATCCTCTCATTACTGCCTTAGAGAAGGCAGACACTTCAAACAGTTCTCCATTTATCTGAGATTACCAGTTAAACTCGTTAAAAAGCAACTATGGCTTGTTCACTCAATTGGCTGTTGGGAAGATTTCTGTGTTCTGTAGCAATGGCGACAGCGTGGCTTTGATTAGTGGAGTGCTATACTTTTTAGGGGAGACCTTTTCTAACTTAATTTATGACTCTGGTTGAATGGCGTCTGTGCTGGGGTATTACGTATTTCCCCAACTATTGTACCTGATGTCAATAAAGGTGCATTTAGGGAAATTTGAACTAAAACCCCAGGGTGTTTTTGTTCTTTGGGGAACCAATGCGCCATAAACATTTTGAACTTGAGCCAACAACCTCCCCTGACCATGATTGCAAATTACTGTAGAATGTATGGATTGCTGGCGGAACACTATTTGAGGAAACCTGTATTTTATAGAATGTCACTTTTATGCACAATCCAGGCAAAACAGAGGGGAAAAAAACTAATTTAAACAGCAGACAGTGTTCTCTTGAATGAAGATTATGACAAAGAATGTTATAAAAATCAAGCTCTAAATATGGCTTTTTATTTAATCATTATTACATCAATCATCAATATCAATACTTAACAGCAAGCTGATAATGTAGCCAGTAGGTGAAACAGCTATTAAAAAGTGTAAAAAAATGATTAATCAGGTACGGGGGATATTAATGCCCTCCAATTATTAAATGATAAGTACGTATTTTTGGAAGTGTTTGTTTTTAATAATCAACTGTAATATTAGTTTGCAAAAACGTAATTGCTTCTTAATTTTGCATTTTAGCTTCTTTGTGCTGGGTACAAAGGTAGTATGTTTCTGTAGTTATTGTTTGCAGCACTCCGTGTAAAAAATCACGTTCATTTCAAGAAGCTGTTATGGTATTGATTGTGGTAAAGACTTCCATTAACTGACCAATCTAAATCTCATAAGTGATGTCAGGATAGTTATGCATTTGCTTGGTTCAAGTATTCAGCCATTATGTTAGAATGCAGGCAGTGTCTGAATATGGCTGTTAAATTATTTCTAAATACCGAACCAGAACAGCTTAACAGTTCTGCAGTTTGAGACTGACACAAAAATGACAATCTGCCACCTCTTTGTTTTTTAAATATTAACGCTGTATTGGGATAGTATTTTTGGAGTAAAAACCTGTGGCACGAGAGGATAAGTGACATAAACAAAGGCAGCTGGGCTTCATGAAATAATGGAACAATAAGGCCTTTGCAGCCGCTCTCATCACTCCAGTATGTTAATTAGCATTCTGTTGTGGCCGCAACACTGAAAACATGTAATCTGTATTGGTGTACAGTACAGCTGTGAACACACATTCTTTTTTGTGAGTCCCTGGAGTTAGCCTTGCCATTGGCATATGCGTTTGGGCCAAAAGTCAAGCCATCACCACTAAAATAGCACACCATAGCAGCAAAATGTCATTTGTCTTTTCTTGTTTTTTTTTTTTTGTTTTTTTTTTCTCTCCCCTCAATGCCACATGCTATCCAGTGATGTAATCTAGTATCACTGCATCTGCCTCCCTGCTGTATTTTTGCAGGAGGGTATCTGGATATCTGTAGGGGAAAGGAGGGGGCATTGCCAGCCAGCAGGAGATGGAAAAGGCAGCGGCCCCAAAAGAGTCAAATTAGAAAATAAATTATTTCTTTTTGCATTATATGTTTAAATGCATATATAGAGAATATATATATATATATGCATATATATGTGTGTGTGTATATATATAAAGAGAGAATATATATACATTGAAGAATCTATGCATTTAATATCTGCCACCTTTTTGCATAGATTCTTCCTTAAGTGTCATGAAACTAGAATCCGCTGCTTGTTTTCGTAAGGTAAAAGAAGGGCAGTTAATTTCAGCACCAAGGCTTGGAGGAAATGAGACCTAAGAAAAAAGAATCAGAGTAAAATTTACCCTTATTTATCATTTCTATTTAGAACTGGGTTGACAGTCTTTCATGCATGTACTTAGGATGGGATTGGCTCTTCCCATTTCAGAGCTGACAAAACTGAGGCTGAGGCATGGTCCAAAGATGGGCCCTAATTGCAGGGCCTTTCTGGCCTCTGTACAGAGAGAGTGAAAACAATTGGTCATTTTGAGGGAAAGGGGTTAGCACCAGTGAGCAGAGGCAGTTAGTAGCTGGGAGCAGTGACTCCAGCCTTCAGAGGCAGGACTCAGAAAGGCCTCTCTTGTGTGATTTTGCTGCTCACACGTGGCCTGCTGGGAGCCGCCCCTGGTACTGCCGGGACACGGCCCTGGGATTTTGCTGAGGCCAGCTTTGGAACAGGGGAGGTGAGTCTGGAGAAGAGAGTTTCCACGTTGTCATCATAGGATCTGGACTCAAGTGACCAAAACCTTGCTTGGATTTTTACCTGATGAAGTTTGTCTTGAAAAGTGAAAATGGTTCCATTTCCATTTTCCCTGTTCTCAAGGTAATTCAGCTTTCTTTGTGTGTGAGTGTGTGAGTGTGTGCAAGTGTGTGTGCGTGCAGTCTCCCCAGCATAGAACACCCACACATGCACCCACCCACATGCAGACACGCACATACTCATGCATGGATTCTTGTTCACGAAGTACACACCCTTTTGCAAAATAATTTTTGAATAAAAAATTATAGCCCTTTAAATTTATTATAATTTAGAAAGGGACCATCCGATGGTTAAAACTTTTCCTATAATTCCTACATTAATTCTCTCCATCACCCGCCCCCCCCATCTAATCTGACTGTACCAAAAGATTTGAAAACAAAGCAAAAACACCAACCAACCAAACAAAACAACCCACCTGCTTCTAAAGTAACTTTCAGACTCCCTGGGCAAAGATTCTTGTCTCTTTCTGAAAGATGAGCATGAATTCTGAGCTCCAAATTTTGCTTTTAATCTGTCTCCAACCTAATTGAAAAATTACCATACCACACAAAGAAAACTCCGCATCGGGATCACCATGCTGATCCAATTGGGTTCTGCTTTTTGACGTTAGAGAAATCAAATTGTCTGGCGATTTGGTGACATGCTTGAATGTCCACCTGGGAGAAGACTAGGTTAAAAGTTAATAGCACTTGTGCTTTTCTTCCCCCCGACCTTTTTTTAAACTCCAGTAGAACGGAACTCTTCCCCACTGGCCAGGCCCTCATCCTGAATCCCTTGTCCAGCCTGGAGGTCTTCTGAGAGTTCTCAGTTGGCACCTTTCCCCTGACTTGTCCCTGTGAGGTAAGGCAGGGCTGACACTGAGATTTTAGTTCTGTTGTTCTTTTTTTTTTCCTAGAAATTCACACCCCCCACCCCTTGGTTAATGGCTCTTTAAATATTGAAATGCCTGGAAAAACAAAACAAAATAAAATAAAATGCAGCCTGTCAAAGAAATAAGAACAACAACAACAAAAATGTTGGTATCTTTTAGAATGTGTCTTCCTAGTGGTAAAAGTATATAATTAATAGGAGAATTTTCCTCCAGATGTGGCTATACTATAATAGAGCCTTATAAATGCTACAGAAAGAAAAATTGCTTGGAACGAAGGCGTCCTCAATGAGAGCACACCTGGGTCTGACAAAGATTGCATTTAGGGACTGCTGTGCTATCACAACGCAGAGAAAGACCAAGTCTCTGGGAGCAGCTGGAGAGAAAGCCCCGGCAAATCTGCATGCAAATAGCAGCACATTGTTAACTTAATCAGATGCCGAGGAAAGATGTGCCAGAATTCCAGGATGATCTACACACACGGAGGAGGAGCGGCCTGAGCTGCAGTGGGAGCCGGGGCCAAGGTGGGCCTCAGCAAGGTGCACGCGGCCCGGCCCCAGCCCCAGGGCCGCAGCCCACCCGCCGCCCGCCTGTTTTCCGGGCCTGCAGTCAATTCACCACATAATGCCCGATTCGCTCTTTGCAAAGATAGAAACGATAGAGCGTATTTCAATGGGATGGAAGCTTTATTATTATTATTTTTTAATGGTGATATAGGTATGGGCATTATTTCGCCTGAGTCCGTAACTCCAATTAAATAATATTTCTGCTTAAATATCCGGGTGCATGAAGATAAGAAATATTGCCCTGGAGTGTATAAAGAAAGAGTTTTTTTTTCAATAAGAAAAGTAGTTCTCTATAGGTTGAAGTGCTGGGTATAAATTGCACCTTAAGAAGAAGTGGAAGACACCTGTTATTTATATTTTATATTAATATTAATGGAAATATATATATCTTAAATCTCCATCTTTTAGTCTAGCACCGTAAAAAATATAAAGTAATACTATTTAATCACCCACAGCTTAATAGTGCCTTAGTTGTTTACTGCCATTGCACTAATTGCTCTGTACTAATGTGTTTTTCTGTGATATCCAGTAGTGCTAAGAGAACAGAGATCCATAACCAATTAAATATAGTGTTTTTTTTTAATGTTAAAAATATATCTGGTGAGGCTAGAAAAGGAATAGAAACCGCCCTGAAGAAAGGCGCCTTGGCACCGCCTCGGTGCCCACCAGAAGGTGCCCGGATTGCCTCTTTTGCGCAAAGACAAAGGGGGTAATTTTTTGGCAAGAAAACAAACCCAAGGAAAACACAACAAACTGAGTGTTGTTTTTTTTTCTTTCCCTCCTGCAACTTCTCGGACCGTCTCTGCCCTCTCTCCTCCAGAGAGGGCGAGTTTCATCCTGGAGGGAGGCCGGGGGAGCTGCGAGGCCACCCCCAGCCGGCGCCCGGGCGGATTGCGAGCCCCCGCGGGTCCGGCCGGGGGAGCGGAGACTGGCCCCCCGCCCGGGCTGGGGCGCCTGCCGCCCGCGAGCCGGAAGAGCGCCCCATTCACGAGCAGGCAGCCCTGGCAGAGGGTTAATTGAGGATCATTGTTGTTGGTTCCAGGAGGAGCGAAGCGCCTGGAGATCGGGCGCGCGGGCGCGGCTCTGGGAGCGGGGGAAGGTGAGGGGAAATGGGACATGATGGCATTAATAATCGTTACCAAAGACGGTGGGAGTAACAAAGGAATGCGTCTCCGAGACGCCGCCCAGCCCCGGGGTGTTTTCTGGCGCGGTCGCGGTGCAGGAACGCGAGCCCCGCCGCCGAGCCTCCCGCCGCCTGCGTTCGTTGGCGCGGCGCCCGGCGGTAGTGCCACCCCGAGGCCGAGCGCTGCCCCCGCCGGCCCGCGGCTGCCAGCCGGCCCTGCCCGCGCCCGGGCCCCGCGAGCGGCCGCACTTCACCTTACGGAGGGGAGATAATGAGATCAATTAGAGGCGCCGTCACCGCGCCGGAGACAGCTGCCGCCGCATAGTAATCACCCGCGGGCTGGGTGCGCGGGGGCTCCCCGCTACCTGCGCGCCTGCTGCTCCCACCACGCGGCACCGACCCGGGCGCGCCCCCGGCCCCTGTCCGCAGCCCACAGCCACACCGCGCACCCTACACCCTCCTTGCGCCTCTGCTGGGGAGCTCACCCCCTCCACTCGCACAGTGCGCTGCGGCCCGGGGTGTGGGAGGTCCCGGGACTTGGGGTGTGAGTGCCTGTGTGGGGGTAGGGGCAGGTGTCCGCTTGTGCGCATATGGGCATGAGTGTACATGGCGTGTGCCTGGAGATGGGCGAGTGCAGGCTGGAATGTGCCGGCGTGGCACGTGTGTGGGCCCAAATAGATGCGTGTGTGATCACATGTTGTGTTCGTGTTTGCACCTCGTGTGCCTGTGTGTCCGTATTTGAGTGCTTACAGGAATGTGGGTGGTGAGTACCCGTATGTGGGTGCTATCTGCACTTGTATGCGTGTGTGTGTGTAGGCGCGTGTGTGTGCGTGTGTGTGTTAGGGATACGTGTAGATGTGCATTAGTGTGACTGTGTGTGCTCATGTGCCTGTGCACGTGTGTTTGAGGTTTGTGTGCATGGGTAGCGTCTGTGAGAGCCATGTGTATATCTGCATGGGTGATGAGTGTGTGAATGAGTGTGCGCGGGTGCCCACTCCATGTGAGTGTATGCCCATGTGTGTGCTTGATGTCTTGAGGGTGGGGACAGCTGCTGTAGCGCCCTCTCCCTCAACCCCTTGTCCTCTAGTGGCTCCATGGGTACCAAGGTTTCTTTGCCAGGCAGTTGTCCCTGAGGAAATTTCCAGTGCCCAGTCTCCCTGGTCCATACCTTGGCATCCCCTCTCCCCCAATCCCTATACACGCCTTTGTTGAGGGTGATGGTGATGGTGGCTCTTGACCTCCATCTGTGTCTTTGCCCTGGTGTATTTGCCTTTGTCGGCTGGCCCTGTTCCACCCCGCAGAGGGCGATGGTGTCTCTGACCTGAGCATAGAGGTGCCTTGCCATTTGCTCCACCCCAGCCCCCTGCCTCCCACTACTTATACCAGATAATGAGGCTGGGAACAGCCACCAGAGCCCTCACAGACCCAGGGTGGTGCAGCACCTGTCAATTTCACACAGATAGCACCCACTGGATACTCCGTGGGTCTGGGCAGGGCATCTGCTCACTTTCAGAAACAGAATGGGCCAGGGTCTGAAGAAGAGTGGGAAGCAGCTGTGGTGGGAGTGAGCTGTGGTGGGAGTGTCAGTGAGCTCAGGGCCTTTGCATGGGTTGTTTCCTGCCTGGAGGCACTTTTTTCCTGTGACTCTCAGCTCCATGGTGTGGGTTCCCTCTTCAGCACATCCTCCCTGACACTACCCAGCCAGTATTCCCATTCAGTCACTCACATTGTCCAGTTGACTCCCTTGACTGCCGCCTGGCTCCCCCATTAAAGCACATGTGCCTCCCCCTGCCCCGACCCCACCCCCAGGCTAGGACCTTACCTTCGGGTTCATTGCTGCGCCCAGCATCTGGCTGGTTCTGTGTGCACAGTGGGTACGGGGCAGATGGCCAACAGGTGTTTGCAGGCCTCTGCTACTTGGCTGCCCTGTGGGCTCATAGTCCATCAGGGGAGGCTGGCAGGCATGCTGGGCTAGGGACAGGGCCATCCTGACATGGGGACCCTGGAAGGGGATGGAGCTTCTCTGTCATCGAGAGAGCCAACGTGGCCTGACACTGGGGCAAAGATGTGAAGGAGAAAGAAAGGGGACAACTGTCTCCAGACTTGCCCACTAGACTGAAGGCCTCATGAGGGCAGGAGCCTGGCTCAGGTTCTCGGGAAAGCTGGCAGCCCCTCTGGTCTCAGAGCCTCGGGATGTGGTGGGAGTCCTGGATGTTACCCGTGTGGGCCGCGCTCACAGAACTCATTGTGTTACAGGACCCCACCACTCACCCAAAGTTAGCCTTTGGGCCAGGGGTTTCCACACTATAGTCGCTTCTGTGGTCGCCAGAATGATGTTACGGGAAAGAGGTACCGATCCAGACCCCAAGAGAGGCTTCCTGGATCTTGTGTAAGAAAGAATTCAGGGCGAGTCCGCAGTTCAAAGCAAAAGCAAGTTTATTAAGAAAGTAAAGTGGTGAAAGTACGGCTACTCGTAGACAGAGTAGGGCGTTCAGGAAAGTAAGAAAAGGAATGAGTCCACCCTAGGTCCAATGCTCGTATATATAGGATAAAAAAGATCATGGGGAGATGTGCTCTGCTACAAGGGTTTGTGAAAAGGGAGTAATTTTCTTAATTACTATATTTTGCAAGAATTGATTTTATTATCTTTAAAGCAAAATTAGGAATGCCTTTGTTCTCAAGATATTGGGATATTAGGATACTCCCAAATCTGGGTCTGTTGAGTAACCATTATCAATCTGCTCCCTTAACCATAAACATCTAGCAGCTAGGAATACCTCACTTTCTGGGAATGCAGTCCAGCAGGTCTCAGCCTCATTTTACCCAGCTCCTATTCAAGATGGAGTTGCTCTGGTTCACCTGCCTCTGACAGTTGGGTGGATTCTTTGTTGCCCAATAGGCTCCCAAGGCCACCCTCTCCAGCTGCTGGGAGTCTAATTTCAACCCTGTCTCCTCAAATCTTGTGCCCCTGAACAAGTGATTTGGCCTTGCTGATGGTCTCAACATGGTCTGAGAGTCCCTGTGCTGTCTTCCCTAATGCCAAAATGGACTTGGCAATGAGTGGAGGCTTCTTAGTCGCCCCAGCCTGGATGCCCTAACCAAGTTTGGGTCTACTTTTTATGTTTTTTTAAAGACAAATTTTCACTCAGTCACCCAGGCTGGAGTGAAGTGGCACAATCTTGGCTCACTGCAAACTGCCTCCGTGGTTCAAGCCATTCTTGTGCCTCAGCCTCTCAAGTAGCTGGGACTACAGGCATGAGCCACCATGCCTGGCTAATTTTTGTATTTTTAGTAGAAATAGGGTTTTGCCATGTTGGCTAGTCTGGTCTTCAACTCCTGACCTCAGGTGATCTGCCTGCCTTGGCCTCCCAAAGTAATGGGATTACGGATGTGAGCCACCATGTCTGGCTAATTTTTATATTTTTAGCAGAGATGGGGTTTTGCCAGGTTGGCCAGGTTGGTCTCGAACTCCTGCCACATTTGGGTCTTCCCACACATGCTAGTGGTGCTGAATCGGGGTGGTTTGGCTCCATCTGAGATAATGGGAACATCCTGGCTGCTCTTGAAAGTTCTGCCTTAGACCCAACTGCATCTCCCTTGAGGTCTCTGCCCTTCATTGTCTTCTTTCCATCTCCTGCATTGCTCCAGCCGAGGTCCCTTTTGCTCTAAAGGAGTGGGACAGGAACAAAAACTGGTGAACTTTCTTACAGGAAAGAAAAGCATGAAACCTTGAGTGCCCCTTAACAAGGTGGGAGATGGCTTGTCTCTGTTCTGGACCTCCCGAAGTTGTTCACTTCAAGTTTTGACCCCCTGAGGGCCTCCTGTGTGCAAAACGCTGTGCCAGTGCTGGAGGGACAAAGGTGTGGGCCTGTGTCTTGTCTCTCCCAAAGGATGTTGACAGGGGTCTGGATTTCCCAGAGTCCCAGGCATAAGGAGTGTGGGGAGGGGGTGATAGCTCCAGCCCTGTCCAATGCTTTGGTCCTGAAGATGGGCAGTTGGAAATAACACATGTGCCGTCACCTTGAAAACCTCGGTCAAATATTGTTTGAAATATGGAGGTGATGGTTATTATTTTTATGTCCCAAATGTGATTTGTTTTGAAGTTTGTGTATTCTCCTGACTAGAGCTTTCCTGACAATACCGTGGGAAGGTTTGAGTAAGGCATCCCTCTCCCACTTTTGTTTGTGAGGGTCCAGTTGGTCCTGGCCACTTCCTGAATGGCCTCTGTGTTGGGAGCTCCCGGTGAGGATAAGAAAGAGAAGCCAGCCTGAGCTCTGTGCTGCCCGGCATGATGACAGTGATGTGGTCTTGATTCTTTGAGCGTCAGTCATGGCTCCCAAGTCTGGCAAAATGGACTCCTGGCTGATGTCTTCTCCACTGAGCCTCTGCAACCCCAGTGCGTCATGGGGGTGTGTTGAATGCTTTCTGTGGGGTTGATTCCTGTCGCCATAAGGAGGATGGGGTGGGGCAGGGATGTATCATCGTTGCCAGGAGATCTGACAGGTGGAAGGGGTGAAGGGTGGAGAGGATCATGGGTGAGGACCAGAAAAGGAGGGGTGGGGCTTGAGGGTAGACAAGCAGAAGGGCTGGGGGGTGTAGTGGGTATGCGGTGGGAGGTGGGACGATGCCCAAGTAGGCTGCTCAGGGGTGGTGCAGGGTGGATGAAGGGAAGAGATGCCATAGGTGGGAGTACTCATTCCACTGGCTGCAGGGGATGCTGTAAGGGGTGCTGATGCAGCTTTGCAAAGCCACCAAGGCATGCCTGGGACCTCCTGTGACTGCCCGTCACTCAGGAGCTTTCTCTGTGCCAGGCACTGTGCTAAGTGCCCTACTTACCTTGCCTAATTTCATCTTCACTGGGGAAGTCCTGGCGAAGGAGCTGAGGCTTTTGATCTGTGAATGAGAGAGCTCAGATCCAGAGGGGTAAAAATTTGCCAGATGTCACAGAGCTGGCCAGTGATGGAGCAGGGACTTCTGAGCCCAGGCCACCACCGCCGAGGACATGGCCACTCTTCGTGTTTCCTGCACAGAGCAGCTCCAGCAGGGAGCTGAGCTGAAGACCCCAACAGAAGAAGTCAAGGCAAAATATAGCCCAAGTCCTAGTGCATTCTTCAGGGAGGGCCTTTCTGTGAAAACAGATTTTTTTTTTTGCCAGCCGTCAGCCTTTTGTCCCATTTTCACATGGCCCAATTAGACAATTGCACCCCCTAATTAGCCAGCCTTAGGCACTACTTGTTGCCTGCATAGAAATTCACACATGGGGTTAAACGTTGGCAGGAAACTTCGTCCTTGCAAATGGGAGCCGTGGTGTCAGTGTTGGAGACGGGCCACCCTGCAGTGCATGGCCCAGACCATGCTAAACCCAGCCAGGCCCACGAGCACCCCCGGAGAACCCACGGCTCGGCCCTGAGACACTGTGAGGCCACGTGAATCTGAGTTATCAGTGGCCAAAAAAGAGGGGAGACACAGAAGAGTCATAAATGTTAACTTTTTTAGCACTCTGTAATTCCAAAGTGATTCAACTGATTTGTTTCAAACTCTGCAGGAAAACCCAGCTGTGGCATCAGATGTGAGCCCTCTCAGACCAGAAGGAAATCTCTTGCCCTTCGATGCTTAGCCTTAAGGCAGTGAGAGGGAGGAAGCTGTGTTCTGATTTCCCTTAGAAGTGCAGCTTCCTGAAGGAGGAGTGTGTGGCATTTTCCAGAAGACTCAGGTCTGGCTGCTTCTCAGCAAGGAATGGTCCTGAGTCCACCCAGGTGCCCGATGCGTGTTTCTTATTTATTTTAAAATAAATTTATTTATCTAAATTTATATATTGTTACATATTTTTAATTTTTAATTTTAGAGACAGGGGCTCACTCTGTCACCCAGGCTGGAGTGCAGCCATGCAATCACCGCTCACTGCAGCCTCCAACTCCTGGGCTCAGGTGATCCTCTGGCCTCAGCCTCCTGAGTAGCTGGGACTGCAGGCATGCACCACCATACTCAGCTAATTTTAAAATTTTTTTGTAGAGACAGGGTCTTGCTATGTTGCCCAAGTTGGTCTTGAACTCCTGGCCTCAAGCTATCCTCCTACTTCAGCCTACCAAAGCACTGGGATTACAGGTGTGAGCCACCACCATGCCTGGTCTATATATATCTAATAATCAGCACAAACCATGCCCCCAGAGGGAGCTAATATCTCTTGATTAGATCAATGCTCCTTTGCATCTCCTATGTGCCAGGCACTGTGCTGGGGACTGGGTGACAGGCAAGTTCCTTGTTTAAGTTATGGGGAGGGAGAAGGCAGGGGTGGATAGAGGCTACACAGTCACCTCATACATGAACAGGATTATTCCCACTGGAAAAAAGTGGAATGTGGCAGGGACAGGGTGCCTCATTCAGATGGGGTGGTCTTGGGAGGCCTCTCTAAGGAAGTGACGCTTGATCTGGGACTGGCATGGGAAGATGGAGCCAGGCTTCCAGACAGTGGGATCTTGCAGGGCACAGGTCCCAAGGAAGGAACAGGCCTGGCACGCTGGAGGATTTGGGGCTGGAGCATGAGGGACCAGGGAGGTGAGATGGGAAATTAGGCCATAATGGCCCCAGGTCCCAGAGCCTTTGCACCATTGCAGGCTGGGGCAAGGGGCTAATTCCAAGGGCCATAGGAAGCCTCAAAGGGTATGGATGCGGGGTGGTTGATGGGGAACGTTGTAAACAGGCTTTCTTTCCATGGCAGGGGACAGTGCAAGGGACAGAAGCGTTCAGAGTCTGCAGGGAGGTGGAGCTGACCGGAGCGATCTATGTGGTTCTGTGTATTTCATCTCTTGGCCTGTGTGTCCCCATCCTAATATCCTTGAAGTATCAAAGCATTGCTAAATAAATACCCATGAAGTTTGCTACAGGGGAAGCCAGCAAAAAGTTCTTAATTTAAATTCTTGTTTTGGAAGAGAACAAGCAGAGAGAAGAGAATGCTTTCCATTCCCTGGTTTAAGTCTCAATGAAAATGGCCATGTGAGACATTTTGGGTAAAAATGACCTTCTTTGGCTCCCATTTTGGCTGATGTGTTCACTTCTTTTCCACGGATTGCTACCTCCCCTCCCTGCTGCCCCCGCCTGCAAAGAGACAGCTCTGCATCCATGTCCCATTTCCGTGTTATGGCTAGCGACAGACACAGTTATTAGAAGAAAGTTGTCCGATTTGAATTAAGCATAAACATGTCAGCTTAGTGGTCTGGACACCTTGTAAGTCCTTGTGCATCATCTGTGCAAAGCTCTTATTTGATGGTTTGATGAAGTTTCGGCAACTGCATGGTCTATCCAGTGCCTCCCGTGCTTTTTCTCCAAGACATTTGGGTGGAAAATCCACAAAACAATAATAGATCAATACATTTAAATTAGAACTTTCAAAAATTCAATAATGGTATTTACAAATTAATAAAGCACTGTAAAGAAAATATCTGCACTTCTTTATTTAGGGATACAGTTAATTTTTTCATTGATTAAGCATTCTTTTGGTGGATGGGATGTGGGCAGGGAATTTTTTTTTTTTCTAAGAAGGAAGTTCTGTGTGAAAACTAGAAGTATTTGCGTGTTTTTGGTCCCACTTGTAAGTTACTAATGCATCACCCAGACAAAGGCCGATAGTGAGGGAAGGAAGTATGGCTTGGCTTGGCAGAAGCTACCGCAGAGGTGGAATCCACTGGATCCCATGTGATCTACATGGTTGTGATGAGGATGGAGGGAAGGGCAGGTGTACAAATTCCTGCGGTGGGCGGCTCTGACTTCTGAAGCACACAGGTGTTAACTGTGTGAAGGAAATTTGGTATAGGAAATTATCATTTAGCAAACATAAACCAGGGAGCTACTCTTCTTTGTGCAAAAGAATTTCCCATAGAAATCCTTAAAATTAGCCCAGATAGTCTTGCACAATTAAAATCAAATATATTTCTTTTTCTCCTCCTAAAAACAACAAACGTGGCAGGTGTGGTGGTCCACGCCTGCAAGCCCAGCACTTTGGAAGGTCAAGGTGGGCGGATCACCTGAGGTCGGGAGTTCGAGACCAGTCTGGTTAACATGGTGAAACCCAGTCTCTACGAAATGTATAAAACTTAGCTGGGCATGGTGCTGGGCACCTGTAATCCCAGCTACTCGGGAGGCTGAGGCAGGAGAATTGCTTGAACCCAGGAGGCGGAGGTTGCAGTGAGCTGAGACCATGCCACTGCACTCCAGCCTGGGCAGCAGAATGAGACTCTGTCTCAAAAACAAAGAAACAAACAAACAAAAAAAACAAATGCAACTCAGGTTTTCAAGACTATGCCTCCTGTATCCAGGAAGGTAGATCTGTACCTTGCTAAGGTCTGGGGTCTGCCCAGTTCAGATGGTGAACAACTGAGAAAGAGTTGCTGACAAGTTCCAGGAGGCCCTGTGGAGGTGGCTGCACCCCACCAACCACTCTGCTAGCTGGATGTGGACACAGCCTAAACCACGTACACACCTGCATGCCTGTGGCCCAGGGCCTGCTACTCACTTACTCCTCCCCTTTATCCTCTCTTCTTCTGCCCACCTTCCTTCCTTTCTTTCTCTCTTTCTCTTTCTTTCTTCCTTTCTTCCTTCCTTTCTTTCTCTCTTTCTCTTTCTTTCTTCCTTTCTTCCTTCCTTTCTTTTCTTTCTCTTTCTTTCTTTCTTTCTTTCTTTCTTTCTTTCTTTCTTTCTCTTTCTTTCTTTCTCTTTCTTTCTTTCTTTTCTTTCTTTCTTTCTTTTCTTTCTTTTCTCTTTCTTTCTCTCTTTCTTTCTTTCTCCTTCTTTCCTTCCTTCCTTCCTTCCTTCCTTCCTTCCTTCCTCCCCCCTCCCTCCCTTCCTTCTTTCTTTCTTTCCTTTCTTCCTTTCCCTTCCCTTCCCTTCCCTTCCCTCCCCTCCCCTCCCCTCCCCTTCCCTTCCTTCTTCCACTCTGCCAGCTGGATGTGGACACAGCCTAAACCACATACACCACCTGCATGCCTGTGGCCCCACGGTCTGCTACTCACTTACTCCTCCCCTTTATCCTCTCTTCTTCTGCCCACCTCTTTCTCTTTCTTTCTTTCTTTCTTTCTTTCTTTCTTTCTTTCTTTCTTTCTTTCTTTCTTTCTTTCTTTCGTTTCCTTCTTTCTTTCTTTCTCCTTCCTTCCTTCCTTCCATCCTCCCTCCCTCCCTCCCTCCCTCCCTTCCTTCTTTCCTCCCTCCCTCCCTTTCTTCTTTCTTTCTTTCCTTTCCTCCCTTCCCTTTCCTTCCCCTCCCCTCCCCTCCCTTCCCCTCCCCTCCCCTCCCCTCCCCTCCCCTTCCCTTCCCTTCCTTCCTTTCTTTCTTTCCCAAAATATTGATTAAGGACCCATGGCAGACCACAGGCTGTGTTAATGCTGGGGGCCTGGTGGCGAAGAAGGTGTCATGGCCAAGACCCTCTTGTGGATGCACGATCCCAGTGGGCTGGCACAAAGTGGACACCCAGTGCTTTTCCTATTGAATCATGTCCTGGGTGGGACCCTGCTTTGGTTGCATGGGACCTTCAGGCATCGATGTGGGTCTGGACACAGGATTCTTCTTCCTGCATTGGATGGAAACCAGAAACCCCTGTGGAGCATGAGGGTCAAAGGTCATCCACTTCTTGCACCCTGAGGGTTGAGAGAGGAGGAATGGCTTGGAATAGGGGTACCAAATGGTGTTTAGAAAATATGTGTTCAGCCAGGCATGGTGGCTTACATCTTTAATCTCAGTGCTTTGGGAGGCCAAGGTGGGAGGATTGCTTAAGGCCAGGAGTTTGAGACTAGCCTGGGCAACAGAGCAAGACACTATCTCCACAAAAATAAAATAATTAGCCAGGCGTGGTGGCATAGCCTGTAATCCCAGCTACTCAGGAGGCTGAGGTGGGAGGATCCCTTGAGCCCAGGCAGTCGAGGCTGCAGTTTGATCACGTCACTGCCCTCCAGCCTGGGCGACAGAGTGAGATATTGTCTCTAAAACAAAAAAAAAAGCAAACAAAAAACCCAGCTCCACCTCCCATTGGTTGCCAGTCCTTGTCACCTGCAGGATAAAGGTCTAACACCCGGACTTGATGTTTGAGGCCTTCCCTGCAGCAGCTGCCCCAGGCATCCTTCTCTTTCATTCAGGGTAGGAAGGGCCTTTCCAGGAGCAGGAGCAGCCCTGAAATCGGGTGGAAATGGACATGAGGAAGGAAGAGCCGGTGGTGGAGTTTGTCTAGCAACCGCCCAGAGACTGAGGGAGGTGATGACCCGATGGGGGTCAGTGTGGGTTGTGGTGGCTGAAGCGGGACCAGGGGCCACCTGCCTGGGGCCTGGGTGCCCTGGGAAGCAGTGCTGGTTGCACTGGGGGGACAGCTGCCTGACGGGTGTCTCCCTGTGGGCTGGGTAACGACCGTTACCCTGGTTGCAGTGCTTCCTCTCTTCTCCTGGAGTTCCTGACTGTCCTCTGTGGCCTTGTCCTCATTGCTCTTCCCTGCTTCACCCACTGGTTCCAGTCCTTGTCACCTGCAGGATAAAGGTTAACATCCGGACTTGACATTCAAGGCATCTCCCCAGGCATCCTTCTCCTTCTTCCAGACCCTGCATGACAAGCTGCCATCTCCCAGGGAATGGGCAGGACACACCTGTCCACCCCTGCGTCTTGGCTTTTATTATTCCTTCTACCCATATTCCACCTACTTCTCCCCAACTTTTCAGACTTGATGGTTTACCCCAGGTGCAACTCCGCCTCCATCATGAATCTCCTGTCTTCTGAAATCTGCATGTGCGCACTGCCTGGAGGTCCCTTCAGTGATGCTGCTTTGGGTCCCCAGCTGGGTGGAGCCACAGCCACATAGAGCATCTGGTGCTTAGTGGGACCCCATGGAGTTATCTGAAGGAGTGGCAGTGCCTGGATCACTGAGCTGGCAGATGGACATCAGGGATCATGTGGCAATGTCCGTCTGTCTCACTCCTAACTTAAACTTCGATTTTAAAAAATGTGGCCCAGAACATTCTGATGTCAGCTGGTGTTGCATCCAAGGCCCCTCAATACTGGTCCCATCCCACCTTCCCAGCTTCATCTCAGGCAACATCCTCCCATCCCTCAGCCCTTTGCCTACGCTGTCTTAGAAAGCCAGCCACTTTTTCTCCTTCATCTCCACTCCAGAAAACTCCCTTTCATCCTGCAAGAGCCAGCTGAAAACTCACCTCACTACAGAAGCCAATTCTCACGCTGCTCTGAGTGGAGTTAGCCCCTCACTCAGCTGAGCTTTCATCTCTGTTACCTGTGACTCTTCTGACCATGTTATTGTCTCTCTACAGTCTCTCTTTATGAATGTCTGCCCCTCCTGTCTCTTACCTCCTTTTTTGAGATAGGGTCTCACTCTGTCACCCAGGCTGGAGTGCAGTGGAGTGATCATGGGTCACTGAAGAGTCGACCTCTCTGGGCTCAGGTGATCCTCCTACCTCAGCCTCTCAAGTAGCTGGTACTACAGATGCATGCCACAATGCCTGGCTATATTTTAAATGTTTGGTAGAGAGGGGGTCTCAGTATGTTCCCCAGGCTGTTCTTGAACTCCAGAGCTCGAGCAATCCTCCTGCCTTGGCCTCCCAAAATGTTGGGATTATAGGCGTGAGCCATGATGCCTGGCCTCTTGTCTCTTCTGACATGTAGTGGGTCTTTGGTCTACATTTGCCAACCTCAATATCTGTAGGTCCCTAGGGCAGGGCCTGGCGCACAGCCAGGGCTATAGGTATTAGGTATTTATTTGTGGCTTTCAGGAACCGATTTTTGGTGAAAGACACTTGGAAATTAGCCCTGCGTTTCACAGAACACTTCTATTACAGCGGAAACAGTGGCAGTGCTTGTCTGCGGGTCGCCGGCATGGACAGCAGGGGACTGCTTCCGAGGGCTTATCCAAAGTCACAGCCTATCAGCAATTTTTAAGATAACACATTGACATCTGTGTGTTTAAGATTCTGGTAAAAAGATGCTAGAGGAAGCAATGTGCAGACGAGAGTCGGTCTGTTTGATGTGTGATTGAAGTGTCAGTGGAGACACACAGAGAAAAGGTGTTTGGTCAAAGATGAAGCACCGTTTTCATGCTGAAGATCTGCCCTCACTCATGGGCTCCAATGTCCCTTGGCTAGAACCTGTCCAGGCCTCAGTATGGTACCAGAGGGAGGCCTGGATGTGGGGAGAAAGGCAGGTGCTTAGCTGATACTTGCAAAGGAAAATTTGCAAAAGGGGCTGTAACAGAGCTGTCGCTGGTTGCAGCCTGACTTTGAATCTTGCTCTGAGCAGGACCGTGGGGACCCGAGACTTCTGCAGCCCCTGGTTGCTGTGGGCTGGGCCCCAAAGACCCCATTCAGGGAGGCTGATGCAGGGGCCATGCTTGAGAGATGCCCAGAACCTGCCCTCCCATGGTTGACGGCGGTGAGGGACCCACTGCCTCTTTCCAAGCCATTTATTGCCACTTACCACGAGCTTGGCTTACATCTGCTGCTGAGAGCAGAGCGATCCCAATTTGGAAGCCGTGGAGGCCGTTTTTCACCCACACTGACATAAGCCATGACTCTCGAAGCTGATGACACACTTGAGATAAGGTCAAATGCTCAACAGAAAGGGACATTTGTTGCTTAATCCCTGTTTGCAGAGAGGCTGCAGACACTAATGGCTGGAGGAATATGTGGTCCTTGTCCCCAGGGGACCTGGCTGGAAGGCAGGGCCCTCTCCACTCCATCGCTTGGAAACTACTTACCCTACTGCACAGGATATCAGGGAAGAGGCTTGGAAAGCCCAGCCTAGAGAGGGGACTTAGACCCTGCTTGAGGGATGGGGTTGGGGAATGTTCTCGAGACGCAGGTGTCCAGGCTGGTTGGTCAGTGGGCTTTGGGCCCTGGAGGGGGCTGTGTGATGAGCCAGGCACCAGCTGGGTGTCTGTGTAGATAGGATGGTCCATAGGTGGAGCCCCTTAGAGGTCTTCTTCCTGCTTCCCATGTAATCTCCTGTGGCTCTCAGATTTTGAGGTCAGGTTTTGAGGCTGTAAGAGGTGCTGATTTGGCCAGGATATAAGTACTGGGAGAAACACGAGGGGAAAAGAAAAGACAAGGGTGTGTCTATAAGATTTCCCGGGGGAGTGAGTCAGAATGAACGGTGGCCTACTTCAGTCAACCTGAGTTAAGATAAAGAAGACCATGGATCGCCTTGGCCTGGGACCTCGGTCAAAGTATCCGTATGGATTTCCTTTCTGGGTCTTGGTGCTGTTGAGGGAGGTCATGTGACTTTGCCTAAATCAAGTTAGATCTTTCTACAATTATGGATACTCGGTGGGGTTAGGCAGGGGGCTTGGAGGCACCCTCCAGAAGCCTTAATGGGGGCGACCCCGCTCCTCCAGCCATTGTGACCACTTTGTAGGGTTTATTGCCCCAGCCCTCATGGTCCACTGGAAGGTGGGAGTTCCACCCCACAGAGACCACCCAGCGGTGGCCATGCCCGGGGCTTGCCATCCAGGTGCAGAGCCCTCCACGATCGCCTCGTCCCTCCTGTGCTTGGCAGGGCTTCTTCAACTTCTTCACTTGGGGGAATTTTCCAGGGCAAGCCAGTGTTGTAGGTCTAAACCCTCACGGTGTTTTCTTGCATGCCAAGGCTGTTGGGAGAAGCTGAATGTGCTGTTATCAAGAGACCAGTTCTTTAGAAACAAATGCTATGATTTTCAGAATTAGGATGGAGTGTAAGATTCCTTCTTTCTTGGTTAATTTATAGTAGCCAATGGGAAGACAGAGAGAGATTCCTTTATGGGCTTCCTCCACTTTCCAGGCTTAAAATCATGTGCTGGGCCCTTCTACATCTCATTCAGACAGCTGGCAATGGCCATTTATGTAGGGTGAGCTGACCAACTGCAGAGGGCTCTATTTCCTGGAATTCTCCCCTACAAAGCAAGTGTAGCCCCTTCAGGAGGTGTAAAGGCTTGACGACCTGTGAGGAAGGAGGGAGTCCCATGCCCCATCTCTCTTGATTTACCAGGCTCCTCTTACCATGAGCCAGAGAACACAAGACTGAGTGTCAGGCCTGCCTGTTTCCTTTCCTTGGGTGTGGGACCCCCCTAGTGTGAGTTCACCCAGTCCGCACACGTTCCACGTGCCTCCACGAAGCCAGGCCTGGTTCTCCAATTTCCAAGTAGAGTTCTGGTTTGCGCAGCTTTTCTACTCAAAGGGGGTATGCGGAAGGCCAACCATGTGGTTGGTGATACTCGTGTATAGGGTACATTTGGGGAGAGGTTTCCTGGGAGGGCGAGCACTTGCATAGAGGGTTATCTTAGTGCCCTTGAAAAATCTAGCGACCATAGATGGGACCTTGCCTCTCCTCTACTCTGGACACGAGACCCTTGTAAAAAAAAATTCCCTTTTTGCTCAAGATACATGCTCCTCACCCATGGATTTTTAAAAAATCTTGTCCATGCTTCACAGCTCAGAAATCTCTTAACCTGTTCAGTACAGATACGACTAGTAATGATTTGTCCCCAGGGGCTGTATTATGGTGACACTCATCATGGGCCATTCTCTGCCTTTCTCATTCATGAGAAAGTTCCAGACTGGGCTAAGCGAAGGCCAAGACCAGAACCCTTGAAGGTACTGGCCCAGAAAATGTCCTTTGGGTGAAGAAGTGGTGGTGCCCTTGGCTCCTGAATCCTAGCAGATTCTTTTTCTAGGGACTCCATTTCTGTCCCGCCTAATAGCATCCTGCTGGCCCAAGCAGATAGCAGAGAGCTGCTGTGGGCCCCTCCAGCTCCCTATCTTCCAGAAGGGCCACTTGGCTGCTGAGTGTGGCGCAGTGACATTTTCCAACTTGAGCTGCTAAGGTCTCTAGAAAAAGATTTTTCCAGCAGAATTAGAGAGGAAAGAAGGCTTGCTGTTTCTGATATGTTTTACCTAAGATTTCTCAAATGGCTGCTGGGATCCCAACTCCTCCCAGGGATTTCCCTCCTCAAAGATATCTTGGTAGATATTCAATGGGGGACCTCAGAGGTGTTCAAGGAAGGACTCCATCTCCATTGAGGCAGGTGCTGTGCAGGGGAAGGTTTTACTCCTTCCTAAGCACTTACTGTTGCCTGAATCTACTTCCTAGGGGTTAGCTGCAGGGGGGTTAAGGTTGTGTTGAGTAGAGAGAAGAGAAGAGAAGCCTGCTAATTTGCTTTTTTTCCTTTACTTTAATCTTTAGTTCAGCTGCCCTTAGTATAAACTGGAACTTATAAAATAAAAAAATGCTAGGGACTTCTCCTCTTTCTCTGTTAATAAGCTCGCATGCTGAAAAAGGTCTAGATGAGAAGAAAAGGAAGCCCAAGTGAGAGTAGCATTAAATAAAACTCTTTAGGGTGAGGTGGGACCAGGGTGGCAGGCAGCTGCAGGGGAGTTTCAGTGCTAGAAAGTGGAGTTGAACTCTCCAAAGGGAAAGGCTGGAGGGGCTGAAGTGAGTACAGGCTCCCCAGCCCCTATGCTGGTCCCCACTTGGCCATGCCAATCTTCCTAGCCAGGCTCTTTGAGAGCAAATCCCACATTCTGCCGGAGAGCTGGAAATCCAGTCTTCTTGAGGTCTGAAGGTGCTTTTATGTTTCCAAATCTATCGGAGCCTGGAGTGTCCTCTGTAGCCCTTAGAAACAGTCCATGGCAAAGTCAGGGATCCCCACTGGCAGAGCAGGAGGCAGGCAGCCCCGTGAGCTTACTGGAGGATTCTAATCAAGTGACTGGGAGGCCGGAGCTCTTGGCATCACCGCCAGCCCCCGCCCCCATGTTTACACTCAGCCCCCGTTGGCACCAATGGGGATCTCAAACCCAGCCTGGGACCTTGGGAGCATCTATTCCAATGTCAGAATAAACAGAAATCCCCACTTGAGAGTGTTATGAATCTTCTCAACACAGCACTTTATAAACCTCGGGGGCTACGTGCCCTTGAGTGCTGGCAGCATTAATATTTATTCACTAGGGACCAAGTTTTGCCTGCAGAAGCCCATGCTGGTGCCTGGAAATTCTCCTGTGATCAGAGCCAGAGGCAGAGTCCCAGCTCTTGCACTGCACATACCTGGGAAGGTGGTTAGGAGCAGGCCTGGAATCCCTCCCAACACGGCCAAATCACTCACTGCCACTTTGTCCCTGAGGAATTCCAAAACACAATACCACAGGATGTCTTGCCCATTTCTGATCCCAGGTCCAAAGGGCCCACCTTCTGCCCCACATCTGTCCCAGTAGACTTGACTTTAAACTGCTTTTGCTGGCTGGCTGCAGTGGTGCACACCTGTAATCCCAGCACTTTGGGAGGCCGAGGTGGGTCGATCATCTGAGGTCAGGAGTTTGAGACTGGTCTGACCAACATCGTGAAACCCCATCTCTACTAAATACAAAAAAATAGCCGGGCATGGTGGTGCATGCCTGTAATCTCAGCTACTTGGGAGGCTGAGGCAAGAGAATCTCTTGAAGCCGGGAGGCGGAGGTTGCAGTGAGCTGAGATCGCACCATTGCACTCCAGCCTGGGCAACAAGAGTGAAAGTCTGTCTCAAAAAACAAACAAACAAACAATCAAAAAAACTGCTTTTGTTCAGGGTGAACTTTATTCCTGGCGCTTAATTGTAAAGAATGATAAAGTCCAGGATAGACCACAGAGCGATCTGAGAAAGACCAAGAGAAAGAGAGAAAAAGGTAAAGGCACACACAGAAAAAGAAAAACATGCTTTCAAATTCACTGACAAACAGCATCTTCCACTAAACTTTCCCTTGTTCTGATTGTAACTCCCAGCCACCCCTTAGCTAGCTGTCTTTGAATTATAATTGCCTCTCAAACTCCTGGTACTGTAACCTTAAACCTTGTAATTGTGCCCCAGGACAAATCAGTACTAATTTAGCTAATGCAGTACGTCTTAGACATCTCTCTAGCCTCCACTTTGAATAAGGATATCCTCCCCCCTTCACCCCCGCCAAAAAAAGTGTATTTTAGGACCGATGAAGCAAGTGTGCATGGATTCTAGGTTGCGGTTCTCGGATGTCCGGAGCTGGGGGCCAGAGGAGAGGGGAGGTGCTCAGCTTCCAGGACTCTGAGGGGAGAAGGGAGTGAGTGTCTCCTCTTTCACAGCCCTGGGAGGACTCTCAGCCACACCCTTTCCCTTGGGAATTCCAGTCCTTCCTAGGGGAGGCCCAGCGCTCTCATGGGTCTCCTCTAGAATTTGCAGGAAACCAGTAGGAAACCACAGATCCCCTGGGGCGAGGGAGGTAGGGACAGAAAGATTGTGCGGTTGAATCTAAAATATGAAGGGAGGTTAGGAGCAGCCGCCAAAGGGATTCCATTAAGGAGACCACAGAATTTAGCCTTATGAAGTTCATGCCCATGTGGAGACAACGCCAGGGTAGCCAGAGAAGGGTTGGAAGGGCTGGGATGTAGAATCCGTGCCCTGCACCACCGCCCGGCAGCAATTATCTGCGGTTAGCTGGTTACTCCGAGCTGCCAACTCCTGAATGCCACGGCCTCCCAACTGAGCCTGAGACATGGCATTTTCTGAGCCAGTCCTCCTTCTTTCTGTGTGATTTCCATTTTTTCTAGGGTGTCTCTGTTCTTAGAAGTACATCAGATAACTGCTCTTAAGTGAGCTAAAATTAAGCTCCCAAACAAAGAGTTATGAGTGCTGTTTTATTTCTAGAGATGAAAATTGCACGAGTAACTTATTTATTTGACTACATTACATTACAGTAGAAGGAAGGAGAGGACTGTGGTGCAAAACAGTAATTAACTGTTTTTTCTCTGTCCTGAAAATTAGTGCATAGTTAGATCAAAATATGACAGGGTGCACGCTCATTTAATTTTTTAAATTGCTTGGTAACTTCAAATAAAACCACTGCTGTGGATCTGTAGGACTGTGTGAATGCTGAATACTCAATGGCATTTTGGAAACCACTTCTGTATGATCTGTATGGCACAAGATGATAGCATTCATTCATTTATCTGGTCAGCAAATATTAACGACACCTACTGTGTGAAGCTGTCTCTGGGGAGCAGTCATGCGCGCTGGGGAATTATGTGAGTCCAAGATGCTGAGGAACAAGAACAATCCCCTGTATCATTTATTCGTCCATCCACTCATTCATTCACTCAACAACCACTTAGGCAACTTCATTTCTGTGTTGAGGTTCCTGCTCACAGTTTAATGCGGTAGGATGGGGTTGGGGGCGGGGGAGAGGAAATGAGAACTACCAGGATACATATGAGTCACTGAGGCTTGTTTGCTGATCTGATCAAAAGAAGCACATGCAAAGCCATCCAAGAAGAGGGTCTGATTCATTCATTTCTTCCTATGCTCACTGATTAATTCACTCATTCCAAAGAGTTTATTGAAGACCTACTGTGCCCTGCAGATAGGATGATGAGTGAAATAGACTTGATCCCTCTCTTTATGGAGCTTACAGTCTGGAGAGAGGGGCAGATGTTCGTCAGAGAATCACATGAACCAATGTGAAATCATTAGTCTGGCAGGTGCCTTAAGGAGAGGTGTCTGGAGCTCACGGAGCCTCTGGTCCTAGGCTAGGGGCAGCGTCACATTCTCAGGCAGGGGTTACATGGAAACATCTCAGGGAAGAGCGTTCCAGGCAGAGGGAACAGCAAGTGCACAGACCCTGTGGCAGATGGAACTTGGTGAAGATGAAGGCTGAAAGGTGGGCAGAGTGAGGCTAGAGGCACAGAGGAAGGGGAAGCTGTGAGCTGAGCTGGAGAGAAAGATTGAGGCGACGCCACAGAGGCCTTGATGAAGGATTTTAGGCTTTATCTGAAAAGCAGTGGGTAAAGCCATCATGTAATGTGAATGTTGTTTAAGGGGCAATGTGGGCAGAATGGAAGCCTGGGTGTTTGGTGGTGTTGGACAGGGCAGTGGTGGAGGAGATAGAGAGAAAGCAGATGTGAAACATGTGTGGGAAGAGCTGCCTTTGGTCCAGAGATGGAAGCTGAAGGAGTCAGAGTCTGCAGGGCTAGATGGGCAGGCAGAGACAGTAGGGAAGGGCACGTGCAGATGGAAAAAGGGCAGCTCTCTATCAGATCAGTGAGCAAGCCTCAGTGACTCACACTGGAGGCCACAAGACCTGTAACAATGAACACACGGGACCCCCTTGGATGGTTCCTTAATTGGTGGTCCAAGACTTTTCCTTAAACGACTTTCCTTTTCTCCTTCTTGTGTTATAGAATTGCTGAAATTTTCTGAAGCCAGTCCAACAGGTGTGCCCACCTATTGCCTACTTATCCGTGATGAACCCTTACACATTGGGTAATTGTGTGTGCAAATGGGTAGTTAGGTATCTAACTATGATAGTGCATGTGTGGGTATGTAATTACTAGATTTGCATTTGCAAATGCTCATTTCCCTAAACAGCCCTCTCCCCACTCCCACTTCTCAGCTACCCTCCTACCCCACAACACACACATACCCAGGTGTAGGACTGGGCCAGGTGCATCTCTTACGTCTGCTCGGCTGCACCAGAGGAAGCTCCTTCTTCAGCGTCCCTTCCCCATTCTATGCACCACCATGCCCTCCACACTGAGAGGAAGAAACCAGTGACATGGCCCTGTCTTCTTCCATCTCTGGTGGTAATTGTTTGCCCCACCTGTAAATAGTACAGTCTGGAAATTACACATGAGCAGTTGCTTTTCTACTCCCAGTTCAGCCTCACCTTTCCAAGGGAGAATCACCATTTATGAACTGGACTTACACAATCTAGTGTGCAAGTAAGCTGCACACTGAGCTGAGCTCAAGAGAAAAGTTGAGGTGACACCATGGAGGCCTTGATGAAGGATTTTAGGCTTTACCTGAAAAGCAGTGGGTAAGCCATCATGCCATGTGAAGGGTTGTTTAAGGGGTCAACCCCTTAACACTGGTTTTGGAGCACTGGTTTCGGAGTCTTGCACATCTGCTTCCCCTTTCAGCTTGTGAGCTCGGTTACTCCTGAAAATAAATGTAATGTGTATTCAGGGTTTAGTGTAATCCTTATTTGCATTAATGCATTTGTGCTTCATGTCATTGTACTGAATGAAGTTCTAGTCTTCTTAGGGCTTTCGTTGTGTACAAAGGGACAATGCTTAGATTAATCTTAATTGCTACCAATTTTCATCTTATCTATGGTACAAGATTAATGAAAAGTGATAAAAGAAGGAACTGACAGGACAGGTAGTTTATGACTCTAAAATCAGATAGTCTACAAACAGACAAGGTGTCATTTTGGGTACCATAAAGGGGATGTCCAATAACTAGAACATAGAAGTGGCATTTTGTTGTTTTGTTTGCAGTATCTACAGTCAAACACCTAAGACACACATCTGGTTTGGGGTGGACCAGTTGCAGTTTAACGTTAAAACCCAGCCCTGCTGGTGGATGTAGAATGCTGGTCTGAATGTGTCAGAGTGATTGGTTAAGAACTGTGCCTCCTGCAGGAAGATGACTCAGGGTCACCCAGACCTTGGTTTATCTGCCAAAGAAGGGCCACCAGGATGCCTTTTCTGGGGAGGTTCCATATGTTGCGCCTAAATGTCTCAGTGATTGGATTTTAGTGGCATGTTCTCTTCTGACAACAAGCTTTGCTTCTGCCATGTTGAAATGCAACCTTAATAGCTGTGTACCTCTTCATGTGGCTGAGTCTGAGAGGCAGCAAAAGATCTACCTTTCTCCATAATTTTTGTTTAGTAAGGACTTTTTATCACTTTAATGCAAGTTAAGCTTTGTTTTGAATATAAGACTTATGATAACTAGGTCAGTTACATTTTTGTTTTCATTATGTTTTTTAAGTTAATAAACTTGATTTTTTAAGAGCAGTTTTAGGTTTGCAGCAAAATTGAGTGGGAAGTACAAAGGCTCATCCCCACAATTCCTCGCTATTAACATCCCCCACTACATCAGTACAATTGTTACCACTGATGAACTACATTGACACGTCAATATCACCCGAAGTCCATGTTTACATTAGGGTGCACTTGGCGTACATTCTGTGGGTTCTGACAAATGTATCATGACATGTATCCACCATTGCAGTATCATACAGAATCTTCTCCCTGCCCTAAAACTCCTCTCTGCTCTGCCTACTTCATTATGTTGTAAAAAAAATGACTTCTCACCAAATAACAAATGCCAGTCACCAAAAATCCCAGCCTTTTATTTAAGCAGAGGGTTGATTGGTACCTCTCTCCATCTCCTGATGGGATAATTTTGCCTGTAGATGGGAATTTGGAATGGAGAATCTCTTTCAAATAAGAGATCACATGATCTGTGTTCTAGAGTCTATAAAATAACCAATTGAAAAGGAAGTGTCCAACTTGACTTATATTTTCTGGATCAATTTGACTTTCTGGGAATTTGGGGTTTACTTTTGCTTTTGGCAATTTCTTTAGATTTGTCTCTTCCATCCATCTTTCTTTGAGAAGCTTGATGCAGACCTGCCAATTGTTACAGTGTAGCAGTTTCAGGGAAGAGAGTAAGGAAGTGATTCTAAGGACAGGAGGAGCTTTCTACAGATGTGTCCTGCCTCCATTTGCTATGAGAGGGCTCTCTCTTTTTTTTTTTTTTTTTTTTGAGACAAAGTCTCTCTCTGTCGCCCAGGCTGGAGTGCCACTGTAGTGGCATGATCTCGGCTCACTGCAACCTCTGCCCCGCCGCCAGGTTCAAGTGATTCTCCTGCCTCAGTCTCCCGAGTAGCTGAGATTACAGGCATGCACCACCATGCCTGGCTAATTTTTGTATTTTTAGTAGAGACGGGGTTTCACCATGCTGGCCAGGCTCGTCTCGAACTCCTGACCTCAGGTGATCTGCCCGCCTTGGCCTCCCAAAGTGCTGGGATTACAGGCGTGAACCACCGTGCCCAGCCAAGCAGGCTCTCTTTTAAAGGGCTTCCTGACCTCAGGCCAGCTAGGCACCTCCACCTTCCTGCAAACCTCTTCTTACACTCCAGCTTTTTGCTAGAGCCCAGAGCTCCCAGTTGGCCCTTCCACATCCTATAACTCTATGGCTGCAAACCTGGGCACTTAATACTTGTTAGAACTTGTTACTTCAGGTCTTGGATAATAGAGGCTGGGGTGACAATGGTTGTGGCTTGAGACTCAGGTGATAGGAAAAGCTGTACCTGTCCCTGAGTTTGTGTTCTTAATCTCATGATTCGTTAACAGATGGTGTTCAATGTCTAAAGCCACCTTTGCATTATAAATGGGAGAATTTTGCTGGAAAGACTCTCTCTGGCATGAGGACTCTCCACCTAGCCCTCATCTTTTGTTCATTTTGTCAAACAAATCTACATGTGTTAAAATTGCAAAGAACTAAATACACACACCACACTCACAGATGAGTGCATGTGAAACTGGTGAAGTCTGGGTAAAGCTGGAGGGATGTATCAACGTTAGTTTCCTGGCTGTGATGCCAAACTATCTATCATTATTCAGGATATTACTATTGGGAGAAACTGGGTGATGAGTAGACAAGATTCCTCAGTTATTTCTTACAACTGAGTGTGAATCTACAATTATCTCAAGACAAAAAGCTTAAAAAAACTCAGCTTTTACTTCTTTGTTTTATATTGCCATTTCCACCATACTCCTTACAGTTTGGTGTTCTGTGGATTCTTTACTAATCTGCCTCGTTTATTTAAATGTTAATTGGCGTCTGTTAATTTGATTTCAGTACTAGAAGCCAAACTCAACAATAAGACCCCTTAATGATTACAAGGTATTAGAGCTTGGACAAGGGGGTCTGAAAAGACCCTCATCCCTACAAGAAAGTAACCAGTGTTCAGAAATAAATAGGCATGAGAGAGATAGAAGGAGAGAGAGAAAGAGAGAATACCCTAACAGAAAGAATGACTGATTGGCAAATTTAAGAGCTCACAAAACAGACCAGGTCTAGGATGTTAGAAAGTACAAACAGAAAATAGCCCATGATTTTAAACATTAATTCTTTAGTTTCTTTTTCCCTTTTAAATTTTGAAATAATTATAGATTGATAAGAAGTTGCAAAGATAGTATGGAGAGGTCTTTGGTTTTCCCCATTGCTTGCATCTTCGATAACTGTAGTGCTGCATAATAGCAAAAGCAGGAAACCAACATCACTACAATGTACCTGGCCACTTCTGTGTCATTTGATCACGTCTGTAGATTCCGTAACCACTGCCTTTATTATGACACAGAAGTGCTCTTCACCACAAGATCTCCCTCATCTACCCATTTCCAGTTATATCCCCTCCGTGCCCCAACCATCCCTAGCCCTTGGTGCCTACCCATCTGTTTAATTTTCTCAATTTGGGAATGTTGTATAAATGGAACCATATGGTATATGACCTTTGGCATTGGCTTTTTCTTTTTCTTTTTTTTTTTTAAATTATAGTTTAAGTTATAGGGTACATGTGCAGAATGTGCAGTTTTGTTACATAGGTATACACACGCCATGGTGGTTTGCTGCACCCATCAACTCGTCACCTGCATGAGATATTTCTCCTAATGCTATCCCTCCCCTAGCCTCGCAATCCCGGACAGGCCCCAGTGTGTGATGTTCCCCTCCCTGTGTCCATGTGTTCTCATTGTTCAGCTCCCACTTATGAGTGAGAACATGCGGTGTTTGGTTTTCTGTTCTTCTGTTAGTTTGCTGAGAATGATGGTTTTCAGCTTCATCCATGTCCCTGCAAAGGACATGATCATCCATGTCCCTGCAAAGGACATGAAATTATCCTTTTTTATGGCTGCATAGTATTCCATGGTGTATATGTGCCACATTTTCTTTATCCAGTCTATCATTGATGGGCATTTGGGTTGGTTCCAAGTCTTTGCTATTGTGAATAGTGCTGCAATAAACATATGTGTGCATGTCTCTTTATAGTAGAATGATTTATAATCCTTTGGGTGTATATCCAGTAGTGGGATTGCTGGGTCAAATGGGATTTCTAGTTCTAGATCCTTGAGGAATCGCCACACTGTCTTCCACAATGATTGAACTAATTTACACTCCCACCAACAGTGTAAAAGCATTCCTATTTCTCCACATGCTCTCTAACGTGTGTTGTTTCCTGACTTTTTAATGATTGCCATTCTAACTGGCGTGAGATGGTATCTCATTGTGGTTTTGATTTGCATTTCTCTGATGACCAGTGATGATGAGCTTTTTTTCATATGTTTGTCAGCTGCATAAATGTCTTCTTTCGAGAAGTGTCTGTTCATATCCTTCACCCACTTTTTCATGGGGTTGTTTTTTTTTCTTGTAATTTTGTTTAAGTTCTTTGTAGATTCTGCCTATTAGCCCTTTGTCAGATGGATAGATTGCAAAAATTTTCTCCCATTCTGTAGGTTGCCTGTTCACTCTGATGATAGTTTCTTTTGCTGTGCAGAAGCTCTTTAGTTTAATTAGATCCCATTTGTCAATTTTGGCTTTTGTTGCCATTGCTTTTGGTATTTTAGACATGAAGTCTTTGCCCATGCTTATGTCCTGAATGGTATTGCCTAGGTTTTCTTCTAGGATTTTTATGGTTTTAGGTCTTAAGTTTAAATTTTTAATCCATCTTGAGTTAATTTTTGTATAAGGTATAAGGAAGGAGTCCAGTTTCAGTTTTCTGCATATGTCTAGCTAGCCAGTTTTCCCAACACCATTTATTAAATAAGAAATGTTTTTTTTTTTTTTTTTTGAGATGGAGTTTTGCTCTGTCACCTAGTCACCCAGGCTGGAGTGCAGTGGTGTGATCTTGGCACACTGCAATCTCCGCCTCCCGGGTTCAAGCGATTCTCCTGCCTCAGCCTCCCAAGTAGCTGGGATTACAGGCGCCCACCACCATGCCCAGCTCAATTTTGTATTTGTGGTAGAGACGGGATTTCACCATGTTGGTTAGGCTGGTCTTGAACTCCTGACCTCAAGCAGTCCACCTTCCTAGGCCTCCCAAACTGCTGGGATTACAGGCGTGAGCCACCGCACCCAGCCTTGGCATTGGCTTTTTAAAATTCAGCATAATGCCCTTGAGCGCCATCTATGTTTTGCATGTATTAAGAATTCATTCCTTTATATTTCTGAGTAGCACCTCATGGCATAGATGTACCACAATTCATTTCACTATTCTCCTATTGTAGGACTTTTTTTTTTTTCCAGAATTTGGCTGTTATAGCCAAAATTTCTGTGAACAATGGCATACAGGTTTTTGGGTGAACGTAAGTTTATTTTTCTAATATAAGGGCTCAGAAGTGCAATTGTTAGATCGTATGGTAAGGGTATGTTTTATTTTTTATTTTTTAAGAAAATGTCAAAGTTTTCCAGAGTGGCTGTACCATCCTACATTTGTACCAGCAATGCATGAGAGATCAGGTTGTTTGCATCCTCAGCAGCATTTAGTATCGTCATTTTGAACAGAATTTTAACTGTTTTAATCAGTATGTAGTGTTATGTTCCTGAACATATTTTCATGTGTTTATTTGCTATTCATATCTCTTTTTTGGTGAAATATCTGGCCATGTCTTTTGCCTGTTTTCTAATTATATTATTTATTGAGTTGAGTTTTGAGGGGTTTTGTTTTGTTGTTGAGACAAGGTCTCACTTTGTCGCCCAGGCTGCAGTGCAGTGGTGCTGTCATAGCTCATTGCAGCCTTCAACTCCTGGCCTCAAGTGATCCTCCCACTTCAGCCTCCTAAGTGAGCAGATGAGACTACAGGTGTGAGCTACCATGCCTGGCCTGAGAGTTCTTTCTACATATTAGATATGAGTCTTTGGTCAGATACATGGTTTGCAAACATTTTCCCCTAGTCTGTAGCTTGTCTTTTTATCTTCTTAGCAGGGTTTTCTGCAGAGCAAAAAATTTAATTTTGACAAAATCCAATTTATTAATTTTTCCTTTTGTGAATTTTACTTCCGGTATCATATTTAAGAACCATTTGCCCAGGACCTAGGTTCCTATGATTTTTTTCCTATATTATCTTCTAAAAGTTTCATAGTTTTATGCTTTATATTTACATTTGTAATCCATGTTTTGTGTAAGATATGAGATTTAGGTCAAGGTTCTCTTTTTGTTGTTGTTGTTGTTTGTTTATAGATATCCAGTTGTTCTAGCTCCATTTGCTGCAAAAAACTCTCCTTCCTTCATGGAATTGCTTTTGCATCCTTGTCAAAAATCAATTGGCCTTACCTGTGTGGGGGGCTACTTCTGAGTTGTCCATTCTGTTCCATTGATCTATCTATTTTTTTTCTTTTACGAGATGGAGTCTCACTCTGTCACCTAGGTTGGAGCTCACTGTAGCCTGGAATTCCTGGGCTCCAGCTATCCTCCTGCTTCAGTCTGGTCTACATATCTTGATATTTGAGAATAAGAAAGAAGGACTTCAAGATCCGGGTTAGACTCCCCATGTCCCAGTACCTCTGGCCTCCACCAAGAATGGATGTGAGCACTGGAACTGGGCTCACCACCCCAGTGGGGTTTGCTCTGCACAGGAGCACGTGTGAAGGACTTTACCCACTGCTTTCTCTACCACATTCCCCAGACACTACTGTTTTGGGTCTCTTTTCATTTCTTTTCCTTGCTTACACATGTTCTCAGATTAAAGTGGGATTTTCTGAAACAGATTTTTTCTATAATGGGGTAAAAACCGTAAGTAAACAGAATTATCATAACCATTTAAATAGTAATAAAATATGTTTTTCTATTTCTATTCAAAGAGGGGGAAAGGTAACTGGAGAAGATGAAAGGAAAAGCTAGATTTGTGGGTGGTAGGTGTGTTTTCTTCTTCTTCAACAACAGGTACAGAGTTTTAGTAAAGGACTTCAAGGGAAAAGGAAAAAAATAGCATATACTGTTATGGGGTTATTTTTATCTTTCATTTTTGTGACAACTTATTTGTACTTAAGAGAATCTTTCCAAAGAGTTAGAAGCATCATTAAATAAAGACTGTGAAATGTGCAATATGGCTTATTTATTTAAATGTTAATTGGTCCAACGAACACTTCTAATTAGCTCTATATTTGCTTAGCAAAAAGTTTTACAAATTCCAATTGTGAAAAGCAGCTATTTTGAGCTGGTAAGCATGTTGCAGCCTCAGCTATGATTTTTCTATAGTTCTCAGCCCTTGAAGGCACAATTTAATTTTTCATGTATGCATACTAGCAACGGTAAACACTTGCGAGTGTAAAGAACCTTCTTTAATTAGCTGCACAACAATTAAAGGATTCACAAACTAAATTGAACCCTGTCTCGGTGCTTACTAGCTGAATTCTACCACCTGTCACAACAGCACTTTGTTCAATCTGTTATGCAAAATCATTATAGCAATATAGTGGAGGGGAAAAAAAAAGAGAAAACAGCAATTATTTCTTACTTTTCTCTTGAATGGGTTATTTTGGGTTATACTGATGTCAGGTTCATTGAAGCTAACCTTTTGAAATCTGTAACAGCATAATACTTCTAAGGCAGTCTCAGAATGGCTGGAAGAATATTCCATTTTACGCTTTTAGGAGGAAGCAGCATTCATTTCTTTCCTCCTAAAAGTGCTGGAGACTCTGATCATTTGAAACAACCTGTTCTACCTCTCCCAGCCACCTTCCATTTGCCTTTTTTCACCGGGAACCCTGTACGGCTCGACAGGCTTCTGTGTTTTAAAAGCTTGCAAACCGCGGCCGACGTGGGTTTAAAGATGCAATTCTCAAACTGCCGCCTCCAGAGCATCTCGAGTCATATTACTTCATAAGCCCAGTGACTTACTGTAAAAACATGTGTGTTGCTTGCTTTTTAAACATTTTTTAAAATTAAAAAATATATATATATATATATATATATATAATTTTCAAAAATTTGATTTAAACTAAACTGCTCTCCTGTTTAGACTGGGTCGGAGGGGAATGTTACCCCCACCCCACCCTGGCCATTTGCAGAGACAAAGGCTTTATTGTGAGGCCCAAACCCAAAGCCTGACATGACAGACTTCTCCCTGGAGTCAAGGAATAAATGTTTACATTTGGTGTTGCCGTGCCCTGGCCCCCTGGTAGGAATGCCTGCAACTCTGGGCTTTCACATACAGAAGGGATGGGGAGGGATGCTTTGCGGAGGAGAACACCGCTGCTGACGAGCTGCACTTTGAGATGCTGCCTGGCATTGCTTAAAATGGCATCAATAACATATTGTTAGTCCCAGCCTCCAAAGCATATGTGATCTGGCCATTTCAGACGTCGGAGTGACTGTAGACAAACCGCTGAGCTCAGTCAGAGGGTCTGCATTCTCCCACATTACAATATTTTTTATAAGTTGTTCTTTACATCATTTCAGGAAAATGCACAACGCAGACAAGGCAGGCCTTTGAAAATCTAAACTCTTTCCCTGAAAAAATGCTGAAAGGAGGAAAGTGAGAGCCAAAGGTCAAAGGCTGCGCAAGAATGTGTTTCTCTATTTTTCCTATTTCTTAAGCAGAGGAAACTGTCATCGTTGTGGCATTTGGGTAAGAAGGACTATCTCCAATCAGGTCCAGGAGGGAGAATTTGAAGTCTACAGGGGCTTCTCTCTTCTTTCTGCTGAAATCCAACTCTTTGGCTGGTCCAGGGCTAGTGCATGGAAACTAAAGTGAGCTGCTATCCGCTTTATTGAAGTTGGTGAAATGCATACCTCCTGCAAACTTGCAGCTCTAGAAAGAAGACCCACTTGCTGTCTTCCACAGCCTCCCTGTCTGCTGCTGCACTCGGCTGCAGTTTTATTGCCAGAGTCTCCAAGTGCAAGGTCCAGCTGCTCTTTGTCCCTGGGCATGCTGTCCCCCTCGTTCTTCCTGTGCTCTTGACAACGGTGTCTGCACCAGGCTTTTGATGGGAGGCTGCTGTTGCCTTCAGGGATGGGATGGTCACATAGTAGGCTCTCAGTGAACATCTGGTGATGACCGTAAATGTAATCTCCACTTGGCCGAAGAACTCATGGGAATTGAAGGGTGGATTCAGGCAATTTAAGCCCTTCAGCATTCCCCTCTACATTTTTTTCTTTCCTTTCCTTTCCTCTTTTTTTTTTTTTTTTTTTTCTGCTGTTCATTTAGAATCTCCTCATCACGGTGCACTATTTGTTCCATCCCACGTTTCTTATTGCTAGTCTTGCAAGGGAAGATGGTAGGTAGAAGAACTGTAGCGTAAGGCCAGCGTTGCCCACGCAGGGCCTGCCTACCTTGTGCTCAGACCTGGGTTGGGCACAAAGGGGGCCATCCTGCCTTCAAGAGGCTTCTAGTCTGGGCGCAGAGCCCAGACTCCCCAAGGAAATGTGGAGACAGCCTTGGTGTAGATTCTGTATTTGGGGCAGGCCAGAGGGGGACACTGTTTTCTGGCACCCCAGCATCCCTGGAACTCCAGCATCCTCAACTGCAGGCCACTTGAGGTAGTGATGGCTTAGCAGTGAGGCGCATGGCATGTGGAGACAGGCAGTCTGGGGTTCAGTCCCAGCAATCTAGTGATCAGATGTGAAACTTTAGGCAAGTTATTTAACCTCTCTGTGCCTCAGTTTCCTCAACCATAAAACGAATATGATAGTAGTAAAACTCACTGATAGAGTTTGAGAATTATGTGAAGGCACTTAGAACAGGACTGAGTGCCCAGGAAGTACCACGTTAGTTACCATTGCTGTTTGTTTCTAGAAAACTCTCCAACCATGATTTTCCTCTTCTCTTATACTACAACCACAGTCATCAACACAGAAGAAGACTTCTGTGACCAAATGTCCGGAGGCGGGGGGGCTCCTCAACACACCCAGCAGTGGACACCAGCTGGGTGTCCCCAATTCAATTCTGCCACCATCTACCCAGAGATCCCACAGGTTGCGAGCTCAGTCCCCAAGACGGTCCTGCCCCAGGCACCAGTTGCAAGTCCAGGCCTCACGAACTTCTGACCAACAGGCTTCACGTTGGGGTTCCCATGACCCCCTCTTTGGGTCCTATTAATTTGCCGGAGCAGCTCATGGAAACATTTACTTATGTTTACCAGTTTATTATCAACAATATTACAAAGGATGTGGGTGAAGAGAGGCGTAGGGGAATGTATGGGGCATGGTGGGGAGCTTCCACGCCTTCCCTGGGCACCACTGTCCGGGAACCTCAAGGCATTCAGCTATCCCGAAGCTCCCAGAACCCAGTCCTCTTGGGTTTTTAGGGAAGCTTCATGATGTCATACATATCCTTCAGAATATAGGGTGAGACCCTCTTTGGGGAGGGTCTTAAGACCCCAAGTCAGAAAGATGGGGGAAGATTAGAGTCCTGCCTTGGGGCAGGTGAAAGGAGGTCAGAAAAAGATCAGAAATATTCTGTTTCCTGAGGCCTAATACTGCCAACATTACAACAAAAGACTCTGACAGGGACCATGGGAGTTATGAGCCAGGAACTGCAGACAAAACCTATGTATATATAATAACACCGCACTGCTACTTCCTGAACTTGGGGTCTCCCTGTGCCTGAACTCCATAGGTTCTGAGATTCAACAGAACCTTAGGAAACCATCTCCTAGCTCCTGGCTTCAGGCTTGATGGGTCTGATGAGCCATCAGACCAGAGTCTTCCAGGGAAAGCTTCTCCATGGGTACCAAACCATTTAAGACTGCACTTCTCCCTTGCCTCTTGATACTGTTTATGGGCGCAGTGTTGTAGTCTAGAAGGTGGATTTTCAGAACCGGTGTGATCAGTCGCCACACCCGAATCGTTTTCCACCTTTGCATCCTGCCTACTGGAAATTGGATTACTTACTGAAGAATGTGGAGGCCCTTGATGCAGAGGCACTGTTAACATTTTTTTTTTTTTTTGAGATAGAGTCTCACTCTGTATCCCAGGTTGGAGTGCACTGGCACAATCTCCACTCACTGCAACCTCCACCTCCTGGGTTCAAGCGATTCTCCTGCCTCAGCCTCCCGAGTAGCTGGGATTACAGGCACCCGCCAACACACCCAGATAATTTTTGTATTTTTCGTAGAGACGGGATTTACCATGTTGTCCAAGCTGGTCTTAAACTCCTGACCTCAGGAGATCCACCCACCTTGGCCTCCCAAAGTGGTGGGATTACAGGCGTGAGCCACCACGCCCAGCCACTGTTTCTATCTTATCAGACCTGAAGGATCTCTAAAGTCAGGAGTTCCTGAGTATCTTCCATGCTAGAAGTATGTGCATTGTTCCATGTGCAGGGCACATGGGAGAGACACAATCATTGTTAACATATGAATTTATAGCCTAGCAGGGGCACCAAGAAAAGGGAACAACTAGTCAACCGCGATGCATGCCCAGGGAGAAACAACCCAAGGAAGAGGAGTGGGAGACGAGAGAGCGGAGTGTGGTTAAGGACTAGGAAAGGATCAGGAGCAGGTGCCACCGAGCAAGAATCTTAATTTGCCATGGTCATGGGTTGGGGAAGGTTCTGAAGGTGTTTTCTTTGAAATCCACACCGCTTTACTCCAGGCCAACAGGGATTTTGGCCAGGAGACTGCAGGCTGATGTAGGAGAGCTCTGCTGTTGGGGAAGGATACATTGTAGGGCTATAAATACCTGAGATAGGAAATGCGTATTTTTAGCTCCAAGCATTGAGGAAACTTGGATTATCTAGCAGTGATTGGGGTCATCTCCCAGCTCTGTTTCTACACTGGGAAACTGTACGGCCAGTTTTCCTTTTAAGGGTTGAGCAACGTGCCGGGGCTGGCACAGCTTGGTGCCTGACACAGAGTGACCCCTGGAGACTGTCTGTGGAATGACTGTGTGACAGCCTCCAGTGAACAAGTTTTCTGTAGCGGGTGTGCTCCTTTAAAGCAGGGGCCACCACAACTTGTTGGCATTTCCCTGGGTGTTGCTATCATGTCAGTTTCTCATGGTGATAACCTTTTAAAAGATGTTTGATCCCTAAACAGTGTAGAAAGAGATGCGAGCAGAGGAGATCCACAGAGTAGACAGAGGGCATCCCCAACCTCTGTTGTCTCTGCTTTGGACCCTGGACTGACTGCAATCATGTCGGGTCCCACCAGTTACTTTAATGAGGGGGGATTTTGCTTTTGCAGAAGTTGCTGCCTTTCTTGTGCCTGTTACTTTGCTCACTTATTACTGGGGTCACAGCAGGTGGCTGGATAAAGGATCACCGGAACCAGGGAGCCAGCCCTACAACTCCACTTTGCTCCTCCCTGACCTACCCTGTCCTGTGTGGCCAACAGACTGACCTTATGATCCCCAGAAGGCTGAAAAATCTACAAAGGATGTTTCTTCCTTTTTGTTTATATTGACGTTTTGCTAGTTTTTCTAAACATTACATAATGAGCTGATTTCAAAATCAGCTTGCTGTTTCGAGAAAACTCTCCAACCATGATTTTCCTCTTCTCTCACACTACAACTATAGTCATCAACATAGAAGAAGACTTCTGTGACCAAATGTCAGGGTGGGGGGCTCCCCACACACCCAGCAGTGGACACCAGCTGGGTGTCCCCCAATTCAATTCTGCCACCATCTACCCGGAGATCCCACAGGGTGAGAGCTCAGTCCCCAAGATGGTCCCGCCCCAGACGACAGTCACAAGCCGGGGCCTCACGAACTTCTGACCAACAGGCTTCACTTTGGGGTTTCCAAAATCCCCTGTTTGTGTTCTGAGCAGCAGGAAGGGAATGGACATCCCTGGGTGATCACCAAGATGAGTTCTTTGCTGTCTCTCCTTTCAGGCCCTTATGCATATATATTCTCTCTTTTTGTTGTTGTACATAAAGTGGATTATGCTTGCATACCATTTTGTGAACAGCCACTGAATTTAATGTATTCTTCTGCACCCTTCTTGATGAGTGCAAAAACAATTGCATGACTCTACCATGATTGATTTATTTAATCCAGTCCCGTGGGTGGAAATACAGATGGTTTCCAATTTTCTTTTTCTCTCATTAGATCTGGGGACTGGGCTCCTTGTCTTTGGCTCACAGAGGATGACTGGGGTTTCCTTTGTTGAGAGGAAAGTGGCCGTCATGAAATCAGTTGGGTTTTCTCTGATGTGATGGGCACTATGAGTACCTGCCTTGGCCCACTCATCACCAACCCTGAAGGGGTCTCAGGCATATACTTTTGGATTGGAGGTGGGTTATGAGAAAGATGGGCTGTGTTTCTTTTTGTGTGAGTGGATGCATGTACCTGTGCACGAGTACATGTGTGCACAGAGGTGTAGAGGAAGTTCAACCTGTTTTTTGCTTTGGGTTTGTGGTGATTGAATCCAGGCCATTATAGACCATGGGGAGAAGGGTGGAAATCTGGGTGTTGCATTCTAGTAAAATTGGCCACTAGTATAATTGCCCTAACCTTCTGAGTGTCTGCTCACGGGTGTTAAGCATTTGTCTGTACCATTTTTGATTAGTGCATGGTATCCAGGGGATGCCCTTGTGAGCCAGCCTCCCCTCCCCATCACCACCTTTGTTCCTTGAGCTTCTTTCCTTCAGTACTCCATCTGCATTATTTGTCCAGGCCACAGCCTTTTCTCCAGGAATTAGAAAGTCATCACTGTTTTCTACTGCCATTCAATCTTCTTGACCTCTGGTGAGAGTTGTGAGCTGCTCTCTCTGCCAATTTCAGCAGCTGGGAGGGATATTGGTGAGGGCACAGGAAGTAAGTGGAAGAAGGGTATCAAGGTGGTCACATCGCAGTTGCAATCTGCTTTTGTTTTATTCCTTTGGTTGTTAGTAATTAGTTATTCATCCATCCATATGTCCATCCATCCATCAGCCATCATTGATCCATCGGTCCATCTGTCCATCATCCATCCATCTATCCTTCCATCTATTCATACATCTATCCTTCCATCTATTCATCCATCCATTATTCTCTATCATCCATCCATCTATATATTCATCCATCCTCCATCCATCGATCTTCTATCCATCCTTCATCTATCATCATCCATCTATTCATCTGTCTATTCATCCATTCATCCATCCACTCATCCATTCATCCATCTATCCACCCACAAATCCATCATTCATTCATTCATTCATTATCATCCATTGGTCCATCCATCCATCCATCCATCCATCCATCCACTCATTCATCCATCCATCCACTCATCCATCCATCCATCCATCCACCCACAAATCCATCATTAATCCATTATCATCCATTCGTCTATTCATCCATCCATTGATCCATTCATCCATCTATCCATATCTTTCTATCTAAACATTCATCTCTGGTATGTAGAATGGTGTCTGGCATAGAGTAGTTGCTCAATAAATATTTGTTGAATAAATGAATGAATAAATAAATAAAAGTCAGAGGTTTTGAACTTGGAGAGTGTATTTCCTGCCAATAGTCTGCAGCAGGCCTATGAGATTCAGACCACCTTGTTCTGCTAAAGGACATCTCAAGCCTCGCTAATCTTACAGAGCTCTCTTTTCTTATGTTGTTATCCTTGGGAGGCGCCCTGTCTAATTTTCTCCTTCCGAATCCCTGGCCCCCCTGCTCCCAGCTTCCTTGGCAGCAGACAAGGAAGAAGGGCAATCTAGGTGTACTTTTATAAATGACACTTTGATGAACATCATTTCAGCTAAATCTTTGTACACGTTCTTAATTATTTCCTTAGGTTTAATTGCTAGAAGTGGAATTGCCAGGTTAAAGAGAATGCACATTTAAAGATTTGAATACCTGTTGCCAAATTGCCCTTCAGGCATGTTATGTCAAATTACGTCCCCCGACCACCACAACTGCCATACAAATTATGACCCTGTCCCTTTCCTTATATTCCTTCAAGTCTGAATGTTATTTAACAAAGTGGTACACCGTACTAATTTTATATGCAAACTGTCTCATTTTGCTTTTTATTTCTCAAGCTTAATATGTATGTATATCTATATTTTATGTAGATATCTCTCTATATAGATGTAAAGATACATATCTTTAATGGAATGCCTCTAAGTCCCTTTGGTGAATTACCTGTTTATGCCTTCTGTCTGGTTTCCTTTTGGGTATTTGAATTTTTTTTTTTAACTGTAGCATCTCTTCATACATCAGAGATATTAACCCTTTGTCTTATACACATCTTCTAATTGTTTCTTCGAAGTATTTCACTTGGAAAAATAGTTCGTACATGGTGTTTTCTAATGAGATAAAGGGATTTAAGTGATTAAATCTTTTAATGTATTCCTTTACTTTTTAGTGCCATGCTTTGAAAATGATTTCCTACCCCATTAATAATACTCCTAAATTCACCTTAAGTATTTATGATTTTATTTTAAATATAAATTTCTAATCCATTAAGTGCTTATTTTGATGTATATCCTTAGGGTAAAATTTTGTATTCACACATTGCACACATATTCATAATTTTCTATTAAAGAGATTTTAAAATTACATTTTCCAACTGATATATAAGATATATAGGAAAACTCCATTTACTTTTTGTTCTTTGAAATTTATAAATAAAATAACTTTAAAAAATTATTTGAAATAAATAAACAATGAAAAGTGAAGGTCTTTTTTTTTTTTTTTTTTTTTTTTTTTGAGACGGAGTCTCGCTCTGTCGCCCAGGCTGGAGTGCAGTGGCGCGATCTCGGCTCACTGCAAGCTCCGCCTCCCGGGTTCACGCCATTCTCCTGCCTCAGCCTCCCGCGTAGCTGGGACTACAGGCGCCCGCCACCACGCCCGGCTAATTTTTTTTTGTGTTTTTTAGTAGAGACGGGGTTTCACCGTGTTAGCCAGGATGGTCTCGATCTCCTGACCTCGTGATCCGCCCGCCTCGGCCTCCCAAAGTGCTGGGATTACAGGCGTGAGCCACCGCGCCCGGCCAAGTGAAGGTCTTTTTAAAATCTCTCACCTTCACCTCAATTTCACCCTCTTCTCAAGAGGTAATAATTTTTCATGGATTGGCATTATCTCTGCACATGCACAAATGCATATAAATACAAAGGAGTTCTTGTTTTTCACAAACATGGCAAAACCGTATACACATTGCTTTGACACTAGCATTTATATACTTAAGAATATAGAGATCTATTTAATTCTCTTAAACTTGGACAAAATTCCATGATATGGATGTACCATAACTACTTAGGTATTTTCCAATGGGTCAATGATTGAATCATTTCCATTCTTTCTCCAATTAAAAAAATGCTGCAAAAAAATTTCTGGCACATACACATGTGAATATTTCTATAATATGGATACCTCCAAGTGGCATTGTTAGGTTGAACGGTATGCACATTTAAAATTTTCGTGGATATTGAAGAATTGCTTTCTAAACAGGGTGCACCAGTTTACTTTTCTGCAGATAGTGTGTGAGAATGGTCAGTTTCCCAAACCTGTACCAACAATATATACAAATAAAGCTTTTTAGTTTTTTTTTGCAATCTGATGCACCAAAATTTTAAAATTTTTATATGAATTTCCTTTGGAATATAGTTAAAGATACATTTTTATTTATACAACTTTATATGGCTTCATTTTAAAAAGTCTTTACCAAGGATTATAAAAAAATTCTCCTATGATTTCAGTGATGACTTCTTAGTTTTAAAACTTTTTGTGTGAAGTAATGTTGTGTAATGTATTTTTTAAATGCATAGACTATTATCTCAATATGTTTACTGATCAGTCTATTTTTATATCTGAATCATCACCTTTATCAAAACCACGTGTCACTTTCGGGCTTCTCTCTACCTGGTTCATTGACATATTTGTCTACTTCTGTATACTACCACATTATTTCAATTATTATAGTTTTACTGTATTTTGATTTGATAGTACACATGCTGTCTTTTTATTCTTTCTTAAAACTTGCTTGGCAATTATCACATTTTTTAATGATGAATTTTAGATTTCACTTGATAAGTTTGATAGATGATCTTATTGATAATTTGACTTGGATTTATAGATTAATTTTAAAAAAATTTATGTATTTATGATATCACCATTTCATCCATGAACATGGTATAGTTCTATTCAGGTCTTATTTTATGCCCTTTTGTAAAGTTTTCTGTTTTACTTTTATAGATTTTGCCCATGTCTTATTATATTTATTCTGGGTGTTTGAAATTTCCTCTGACAACTTACAATTGTTTTTTTTTATACAGGAAAGTGATCATTTTCAGTATATTGATTTTATCTTTGACATTTTACTACGATTTATTAGTACTAACAGTTTCATACTTTATTCTTTGGATCTTTTAGGTACAGTCATTTTCAACTGTGAATAATGACAGTTTTGCCTAGTCCTTGTAAATAATTACAACTCATAACTTCTTTTTTTTTCCAAAAATTTCACATTGTTTGTATTGACTAAGACTTCCAGGACAGAGTGTCTTGTTGCTAGCTTTAACAGAAATAATTCCAATGTTTTGCCATTAAACATAATGTGTGATTTGGCCATTTATCTTTTTATAAATCAGGAAGGAATGTTGAATTTTATCAAGTGATCTTGGGATGTTGTTGATATAATATGATTATTCTCTTGTAAGATATTAATATAGTGAATTAGTAGACTTTCTATTGTTGAATGAATCTTGAATTATTGGGGGTAAACTCTAGTTGTTCTTTAATAAATTATGTGAATATACCATATGGTTCATTTCACTAATATTTTATTTGATATTTATATTGCTGTTTATAAATGAGATTGCCTTATAGCTTCTAATAGAAAGTAGTAGTAATAGTAGTAACAGTAATTCTTGTCCTTCCTTTTCCCCTTCTCCTTCTTCTCCTCTTTCTCCTCCCTCCCTTCTTTCTTTTTGTCTTATATGCTATATCTAGTAGCACTATCCTAGTCTCAGAGAATGAAATGAGAAACTTTCTATCTTTTCTGTGTTCCGAGATGGTTTATATACAGAGACGATCTGTTTCTTTGAACTTCTGGTAAACTATGAACATAAAAGTGATGAGGCTTTTTTTTAAAATGTAAATGTTCGTTATCCTTAAATTTCTTCTATAGTTATTCTTTTATTCAAGTATGTTACTTCTCATTGTCATATCTGATAATTTTTTTAGACAATTCATTTATTTTAGTGTAGATTTTCAAATTTAATGGTATAAAGTTGTTCTGTATTTTATCATTATTTTAAAATGTGTTTTGTATCTGAATTTTTATTCCCTTCCTCAATCCCATGTTGTTTGTGTTTTCTCTTTTTATTCTCATCCATATTGCCACATTTATTTTCTTGGTCTTTTCAAAGAAACTGTTTTTAGTTGTATTGAATGAGCCTTTTGGGGGAAAGGGTGTGGAGCGGTTCTATTTAATTAGTGTCTGCTCTTATTTTTATGAATCCCTTCTTACTTTCATCAGGTGTATTTTTATTACCCCCCTCCCTAGTTTATGGAATTGAAGGCTTTGTTCATTTGTTTTCAATTCTTTTCACTTTCTATTCATTACATTAAAGGTTATAAAGTCTCATTTGACTACCCTCTTAACCACATCCTAGAATTTTTATTCGTTTGTTTTGCTATTGCTTTGTTTTTACTTTTAATTTGAACAGGTATTTAATAAGATTTATAGGTTTTGGAACTTTATTCAGGTATTTTTGAATGCTGTAATACATGTAACATTTTTGAGATGTTGCATGGATGTTTGTAAAGAATTCATATTTTCTGTTGGGTATGGGGTTCTGTCATTCTTATTTTTAAACATTTATTTTTAAAGTCTAATTTCCTATCTGAGGAAGGCATGATAACCTTTTCCATGATGAATTTGTTAGTTTTGCATTACATTACCCGCTTTTGCATTATGTATTTTATAGCTTTGTTGCTAGGTGCATAGAAGTTCATCACTATGATTGCTCCTTGAAGTTCTTTGATAGACTGTATTCTTTCTTGACATAAAAATTCCCTGTACTGGCTGGGCACGGTGGTTCACGCCTGTAATCTCAGCATTTTGGGAGGCCGAGGTGGGCAAATCATGAGGTCAGGAGTTCGAGACCAGCCTGGCTAACATGGTGAAACCCCCTGTCTCTACTAAAAATACAAAAAATTAGCTAGGCGTGGCGGCGGGTGCCTATAATCCCAGCTACTCAGGAGGCTGAGGCAGGAGAATCACTTGAATCTGGGAGGTGGAGGTTGCAGTGAGCCGAGATCATGCCACTGCACTCCAACCCCGGGCAACAGTGAGAGACTCTGTCTCAAAAAAAAAAAAAAAAAAAAAGTTTCCCTGTACCTATTTAATGTTTTGGCCTCAAATTATATTTTATATGATACTACTATTTCACTACTTACTTTTGTTTTATTGATGTTGCTTTGTATATATCTTTTCCATTCTTAAATTTTCAACCTTTATGTGAAACTGGTTCTCACATAAAGAATATAAAACTGGGGAATGGTGGGCATATATTTAACCTAATCCAATATTTGAAATTCTTTCTTTTTTATACATGATTTTAACCCATTAACATTTATTAAGTTTACTAATATGTTTAGTTTTTATTTTTGCTATCGTTTTTATGTTGTCTGTTAATCATGGCATATGAAGTTTTCTCTCTTTTATTGCATGGATGAAATTTTGTTTCATTTTTTTTCTTTTCTGATTTAAAAGTGTACACCTGGGGTTTGGTCACATAATGAGAATGCTTAATTTCTGACACATTTTAAATGTGTGTGTGTGTGCACATATGCATTCAGCATCCATATCCTCCCTTGAACAAGACAAAGCCTTATCTGTCATCCATCCCAGCCCCATGTCCTTTGCCTTTCCTTCATGTGAAAATGATCTGTGATTTTAATTCCAGACATTGTAAAAACCATTATGTACTACCCATTATTTGAACTTAAATATAAATATAAACTGACCTTTGGTTTACTTATTTTATTTCCTCTGTTGTATAAAACCTTTAATGATTTCAGAGTGAGTCTGAGTCCTTTTTTATCTGAAAATGTGTTATTTTATCTTGCACTTGATGCTACATATAGAATTCTAGGTTTAAAATAACTTCCCCCAGCCCTTTGAAAATATTACCTGACTATTTTGAAATATCCAGTGTTGTCATTGAGAAGTCTGATGACAGTCCAATTCTCATTCCTATGTGGGTAAGCTGTTGTCTTCTTCCTCTTCTTTTTCTTCTTCTTTTCCTCCTCCTCCTCCTTCTTCTTCCTGCTTCTGCTTCCCCTCCTCCTCCTGCTCTCTTCCTCCTTCTCCTTCTTCCTCCTTCTCCTTCTTCTCCTCCTCCTCCTTTTCCTTCTTCTCCTCCCCCTCCCCCTGCCCCCTGTCTCCCTCTCCCTCCCCCTCCTCCTCTTCTCCCTCCCCCTCCCCCTCCTCCTCTTCTCCCTCCCCCTCCTCCTCTTCTCCCTCCCCCTTCTCCTCCTCCTGCTCCTCCTCCTCCTTCTTCTTCTTCTTCTTCTTCTCCTTCTCCTTCTTCTTCTTCTTCCTCTTCTTCTTCTTCGTCCTCTTCCTCTTCCTTTTCCTTCTTCCTTCTTCTCCTTCTTCTTCTCCTCCTTCTCTTTTTTTTCCTTCTAGCATTGTTTTTTCCACTTTCTTTCTGGAGGTTGGAGGTCTCTTCTTGATGTGACAGTGTGTGAATTCTTTTTTCCAGAAATTTTCCCATCAGCTGGGGGATTCTTTCAAACGTAATTCTTTTTATTTTTCTCAGTCTACAGACTGAAAAATCATCATGATCATCATCATCGTCATCGTCATCATCATCATCATCATCTTTTTATTTGTGGGGGACAGAGTCTTGCTCTGTAGCCCGGGCTGGAGTGCAGTGGCATGATCTCGGCTCACTGCAAGCTCAGCCTCCTGGGTTCACACCATTCTCCTGCCTCAGCCTCCCAAGTAGCTGGGACTACAGGTGCCCACCACCGTGCCCGGCTAATTTTTTGTATTTTTAGTAGAGACAGGGTTTCACCGTGTTAGCCAGGTTGGTCTCGATCTCCTGACCTCGTGATCTGCCTACCTTGGCCTCCCAAAGTGCTGGGATTATAGGCATGAGCCATCATGCCCGGCCCATCATCATCATTTTTCAATCCTTAGCTCGCTTGTTCTTTCTGGAACTTCTACTTGATGGGTATTAGACACTTTGGATTGTATCTGCATGTCTTTTCATTTATCTCCTATACTTTCCATTTCATTATTTTTGTACTACTTTCACATGATCTTTCATGTCAGGAATTTGGCTGGGACCATGTCTATTCAGCTTTTAGATCTTCAACAGGGATTTAAAGAAAATATATGCAATCAAATTGTGAATTTCCAACACTTTTTTGTCTTTTCCTTCTCTGATGGCTCTATTTCCAATCAGTCCTTTCTCTCTTTATGGTTGCAATATTATCCTTTTTGTGAAGATACTAGTTAGAATTTTTTATTAAATTATCTTTGTCCTCTGAATTTTTTTTTTTTTTTTTTTTTGGTACATCTTGGTTCTTCTTTGTTGTGTTTTTAGCTTCCTTCACATTTGTAGTGAGCTATTTTGTCATTTGTTTTTGTGAAAAGAGGAGTAGTGGCTTAGTATTGGTGCCTGGCAGATATTCTTCTGTGGTTCTCTAGGTCTGTTACCCCATCAGGCTCTCCATGGCATGGGAGGGATGCTCATTGGCTCTTACTGTGGAGGGTTCTGGGACTGTCAGACTCACGTTAGGATGTGCAGTGTGGGGTGTGTGGGCAGGAAAATAGGCAGGCTGGGACTCACCCACCTCCTCCCTGCCCTCCCCATCCTCCCTGGGAAGAGGGCAGGCTTTCTCTCTGGCACTGGGAGACTCAGGTGCTCACCTTCCTAGTGGGTGGCCCTTTCATCTTTTTCCCCACCACGTTGATGAGGCAACTTTAAACTCTCTCCTGTGTCTTTCCAGGTCCCTGTCCTCACTCTAGAACATTTTTTTGGTTAGGTGATTCATATTCTTAGAGTGTTGGATAATACTTGGCACTTGGCTTTGAGGATGATGCTTCCCTCTACCACTGCACTTTCCATTTTGAGTTTTTGTGGATCAGCTCATTATTTTCAAGTTCTTTCCCCACAGTGTATTTGAGGCTGTTCTTTGGCCTATGTCTATTGATCTGATCCCATCTATATTATTTCTTTCTTTCTTTCTTGAGATGGAGTCTTGCTCTGTCATCCAGACTGGAGTGCAGTGACACAATCTTGGCTCACTGCAGCTTCTACCTCCTGGGTTCAAACAATTCTCCTGCCCCAGCCTCCTGAATAGCTGGGATTACAGGTGCATGCCACCACGCCAGGCTAATTTTTGTATTTTTTTTTTTTTTTTTTTTTTTTTTTTAGTAGAAACAGGGTTTCACTATGTTGGCCAGGCTGGTCTTGAACTCCTGACTTCAGGTGATCCGCCTGCCTTGGCCTCCCAAAGTGCTGGGATTATAAGCATGAGCCACTGTGCCCGGCCCTGATTTCATTTACTTTCCATCCTCAGGAATATCTCAACATTCCTGGCATGCCGATGACCTGCTTCTTGTTTATTTAGTGCCATTAGGGAATTATTCTATGTGAAAAAAACATCTTTTATGCCATTTCCAGGGATTTGAGGTGGCAGAGAAGGAGGGTGAATGTGTCCAGTTTTCCATCTTGATACAATCCACTGCAAATGTTATTTAAATTTCGACTTTCTGGGTTTTAAGATTTAATGGAATTCTCTAAATACAAACATACCATTAGAAAAAAAAGGATAAAGTTTTCTTATTTCCAATATTTATAGTTCTTATTTAATTTTCTTTGCTAATTGCATTAGTTAGAACTTCCATAACAATATTTAAGAATTGGGGTGATGGGGCATCTTTGCATCTTTAGTTTGCTTTTAATTTGATGAAAACGTCTCTAGTGTTTTATCACAAGGACATGTTTTGGGGGTCGGAATTTTTGTTTGTTTTTAGACAGGGTCTTGCTCTATTGCCCAGGTTGGATTGTAGTGGCACAATCATTGCTCACTGCAGCCTTGAACTCCTGGAATTAAGTGATCCTCCCACCTCAGCCTCCCAAATAGGTGACATGTCACTATGCCCAGCAATTTTTTTTTCTATTAGTAGAGACAAGCTCTTGCTATGTTGCCTAGGCTCGTCTTGAACTCCTGGGCTCAAGCAATCCTCCCCGCTTGGCCTTCCTTAGTGTTGGGAGTACAAGTGTGAGCCACCATGCCTGGCTTGGGTTGTTTTGATATAAGTATATTTTCATGATCTTATTTTTGTATTGCCAAGCATTTTTTTTTTTTAATCAGAAACGAATACCCAATTTTGCTGGAGGATTTTTGATGTCTATCAAAATGATCATGTAGATTTGTTCCCTGGCCTATTATGCTTGATTTTTAAATCTTGCATCATCATTTTTGACATTGATGGAGCATTCCTGGTGTCCTGTTCTAAAATGAAGGAGACATCTGTGACCTACTCACTGTATAGTTTCTTCTCTTCTCTGGAGAAGGCAGCCTTTCACAGGTGAAGTGCGTTCAGTCATTCCCACCGTGGGTGCAGCATGGATGACAGGAAATTAACTTAATGCTCTTTGTTTTGTTAAATCTAAATGATAGATGCTTAGTAATTGTTGGTTGAATTTAACAGAAATATTTAGACTTCTAGGGTTTTTTGTAAAATTTCAAATATCTGAGGAGAAAAAAATAAACTTGTGCATCCTTCCTCATAAGATGTTAAATAGCATCTTTACTCACTTCAATTACATTTTTGGAACACCTACATGTGTACTGGGCATTCTGCCTAGGGATCTGCAAAGATGGGACAGAGGTGGCTCCTCTGAAGGTGGGGTTGGCCGGGGTTGGAAGGGTGTCTATGATGATGTGCCCGTCTCAAGAGGTACCCATTTCCTTCATGCCACCATCACTAAACCTTCACCTCTGGGAGTCATTTTCTTCCAAATTATGCAATTAAGATACTTGAATTGTTATAATGGTTATTATTATTTTAAACTCTTATTTACATAATTCTGGTGCAGACTAGATATATGGCCAGTTACCAAAAATTTTCTTTTAAAAATTAAGTATTAAAGATTGGTCTCTGCTAAATGAGGATGGATTTTCTTTTATTTTAATTTTCCCTTCAGAAATAACTTTATATTTTCTGATTAGAGAAACGATGCGTGTCCATGAACTAATTTGGAAAATACACAATAGCATTCAGAAGAGTGTTGGTCCTGCCACCCAGAAATAACATTTTGTTATTTTTTCTTTCTTTATTTTCTATGCCTATATATTCTTTTCTTTTTCAGAATTGGTACCAAACTGTAGCCATAGCTGTATCTTTCACTTGAAATGTTATCATGGGCATGTTCCCATCCACTGAAACGTCTTTTGAAAGCCTGAGTTTTAAGGCAGAACGCTCCTTCATGGCTTTGATGTAACCATTCCCTTACTCTTGAACATTTGGGGTGTCTGAGTGTTTTTCTCACTATAAATAGCATTTCCGTACAGTTTTGTCTTTATTGCTGATAGCATTCTAGGTTTGTTCTAGGAGTGGAAAACTGAGTCATAGTTTATAAATGTTTTTGAGCCTTTTGATCTATAATGCCAAACTGCTTTCAGAAAAAATATACCAGTTTTCACTCCTTCCAGTACTTCCTAAGAATGCCCTTTCTCTGTAACCAGAAGCATATGTCATCATTACAAACACACACACATATGCGTGTGTATATTCACGTGTGTGTATGTGTGCATGGCTAATTTTACAAACGATAAATGTTGCTTCGCTATTTTAAATCAGATTCTACCCAAGACAGATAAAATAAAGGAAACGTGAGTTTTGTATAAGATGAGAGCTGAATGTGCAAATGGGCCAGCAGTGTGAGGAGCAGGAGGATTGGATGGGGTCTGAGAAGAGGCAGCACGCTCCGTCTCCTGATGTGCTCACATCTGGGGAGGCTTTGGCGTGAGGCTTCTCTCACCATGGCTCTCCCCATCCAGGCAGGACTCCCAACACGTCCTCTGCTCCACGGCATCCTTTCCAGGCACGGAGAAGCCATCAGCAACCCGGGAAGCTCAGTGAAGAGGAAAGGCAGCAAAGCAGGAGGGGACAGAGTTCCCATCCGGGTGCTGCTTCTGGAGGCTGGAGGAGAGGCCAGATTGTGGTGGCCGGTCCTGGGATGAGTCATGACCCAGTGCTTGCAGGAGTCACAGGCAGGCTGGGCGCTGGGCAGAAAGGGTGCAGGGCATCTGCAGGGACCCAGCCTGCATGTGACACTCCCAGGGATGTCACGGGGAACTGCTTGTGCGTGGCTGAGAACAGAATCTGGCTTAACTCTTTTAACAAGTTAATGTTTGTGCTCATGGGCCCTGTGCACATTTAAGAATTAATTAAATCCTTTAAGGAAGCCATTTATGTTTGAGACCAAAGAAGATACTTAGGGGCCAAAATACCCCCAAAGAAGAAGGCCTGATCACATCTCTTATGTCTTGGAAGACCCCACAAGACCAACTTCCTTATACCCCGATCCGCAGTGCGGTGTGTACAAATACCTTTAACCCATTCTTTCCGGAAAGCTCCTGGGGAGGCATATTAAACCTGAGTTATTTTCAATTTCATCTAAGGTGTCTCTATCCAATGCAGTTTCTTCAAAGTCTGCAATGTGGGATTCAAAATCTCTTAGCATCATCAAAGTCTTAGAAAAATATATTACTAGGAAGTAGAGCTGCTTCTTGTGTGTTAATTACAACAAGCCCGGCTGCCGCGCAGATAATCTCTAGCGTCAGAAGCATCAGCTCAGGCAATATCAGGAAAAACAAAATCTTTTTACAAAAGAAAATCCTAAATTCTCTTTTTTTTTGCCCTCTGAGGAAAAAAAAAGTGTGGTTCATTGTGAAGTTAAATCCCATCTATTTAGTTGTTCTTATAAAGATTTCACTGATATTTGAAATATTCCTCTCTTGAAAGGGAAAAACAAGGTAGGTTTTCAGGATCCAGCCTCAGAATTATGGTGCTATTTTCGGAGTCTTTATCTTCAGAGGAAAAGCTGTGAATCGTCCATTTGGGCCAGGTTCTGAGTACAACTAGAACTTTAGCCTGCCTGAGACGAATGCTTGGTTTGCATGTGTGTGTTTTTTGGTGGGTTTCACCGTTCACCTTCACTTACACGCTGAGGTTGAAGTTGTGCGGCAGACGGGGCTCTTCTTTCCCGTGGCTTTGAGGGAAGTAGGGATCTGTTACCAGCTGTCCCTCTGGGACATCTGTGCTCCCTGAAAGTAGAGCAGGCTCCTAACCAAGACAGGGTCCTTGGGCTTCGGAGGCAGTGAAGGTCAGGGATAGGTATGTAGAGGATCCAGCGTGCAGAGAAGGGAGAAGTCGGTAGATTTTAAAATTACTTTTTTTTCTTTAATGAGGAGGAAAACTCCATCGGTTCCCATTTATTCAGAACTTCTTAAGAAGATCCTAATCTACTGTGGCCTTAAGATCCAAGTTGGTTAAAGGAAGAGCTGAGTGACAGCCTGTCCTGACCAGGGAGAAGCAAGCCATTGGTGGTGCCCAGGGCGACTTCATTTTTTTTAAATTTTCTTTTTTAGAGACAGGGTCTCACTCTGTCACTCAGGCTGGAGTGCAGTGGCACAATCAGAGCTCACTGTAGCCTCCCAGTTCCTGGCCTCCTGGGTAGCTGGGATTACAGGCATGCCACCACGCCTGGTAATTTTTAAATTTTTTGTAGAGATGAGAGTCTCACCATGTTACCCAAGCTGTTCTCAAATGCCTGGACTCAAGTGATCCTCCCACCTCAGCCTCCCAAAGTACTGGGATTTCGGGCGTGAGCCACTGTCTCTGGCCCGGCAAGTTCAGAAGATACGGAGACCCCCGTGTAAAACAACCTAAGTCACAGGGTGAGAGATCTACCCTTGTCACGCTCCCTGGGATCTCCAGGAGAGAAGCCCCTTCCAGCCCCCAGTGTGTCTTTAACACCTTCTACCTCTGCCAGCCTCCCTCTGTACACGAGAGCAGGCCCCAGGCCAGGGCCGGCTGCAGGCAGCAGTATTCAGCCAGAATTTAATAACATTGTTCTCTTTTTATTTATTTTTATAATTACCTTTAATTTAGAGCAAGTGATACAAATTTCCATTTAGGGTAATGATATAGTTTCCTTTTAAATGCATTAAAGTAAAAAATAGTGAATTAATTAAAAAAATATTAGCAGGGGTACAAAAACATGGGAAAAAATGTGAAGGTAGTTTATTGCAGTACAACTCTATAGCAAAAAGCATCAGGAAGGTGATATGCGGGTGCCTGAAACTGGGAGCACAGATCTGTAAGGCCCTTTTAGACTATTTTTATTTTATTTATTTTCTGAAACACGTGAGGTGACCCTTAGCTACTGGAGAGTTTAGGATTTTAGGAAACAGGGCTCTACAGAAAACCTCCTGAAGACAAGACATATTGACCTAAGAGGTTTAGGATGGATTCCAGGCCCAAGGAAGTTGCATCAGAAAGATCCCAAGATAGAGTAGCCCCTCTCCTCTTTAGCATTAATTTTTCTAGAAAGGACTAAAGATATCTCCCTAAGTAAGCTAAGAACCCTACTGCCCAAGAAAAAGGTTACTAGATGTCAAGTAATATTATAATGGATGCTGAATTTTACCTTTTCCTTTCTCTGAATTCTCCTGCCACCTCCCTGCAAGAGTATAGCCCATGGGGGTGGCCTACTGTGTTCTTCCTGCTCTCAGTTTGGGTATCAGGTCTTGACCCTCTTCCTTTCTAGAGGAGACTTGTCCAGGCTTATCTCCACAGTTCTCATAACACCTAGCACATAGAAGGCATCATTTGCCCATTCCATCTATCCATCCATCCACACATCTACCCATCCTTCTATCCTTCTATTTAGCCCTTCTCTTTCTCTCTCTTCCTTTCTTCTTTTCTCTCTCTCTCCACCTACCCAACCATATAGCCATCGATCCATGTATCCATCCACCACCCACCCATCCCTCCCTTCATCTGCCTATCTACACATTCATCCATCCATCCATCCAACCATCCATCCATCCATCCATCCATCCATCCATGCGTCTACCCACCCACCCATCCCTCCCTTCATCTGCCTATCTACACATCCATCCATCCAACTCTCCATCCGTTCAACCATCCATCCATCCAACCAAACATCCATCCATCCATCCATCCATCCTCCCACCCACCCATCCCTCCCTTCATCTGCTCATCTACACATCCATCCATCCATCCTCCCACCCACCCATCCCTCCCTTCATCTGCTCATCTACACATCCATCCATCCATGCATCCATCCATCCATCCATCCATCCATCCAACCATCCATCCATCCATCTAACCATCTTCTATTTAGCCCTTCTCTTTCTCTCCCTTACTTTCTTCCTTTCTCCCTTCCTCCACCCGCCCATTCACATATCCATCCATCCATTCATCCATCTACCACCCATCTATTCATCTATGTATTTACTTCTTCATCCACTAAATAAATATTTTATTAAGAATATTCAGTATTAAACAATAGCACCAAAAATCTGTTGGGTGCCTCCAGCACTCAGGTATCCAATAGGGATACAGTAATAATAGAAGGAGACATTGTCACTGCTGTCACAGAGTTTATGGCTAATGAGAGACAGAAATGGAACAAGTGGCTATTCTATGCCCTTAATGAATGAAGAAGTGAATGAGTGGATTGGTAAATCCCTTTTCTCTGTCACTGCTGGGCACTGGGACCTGTGGAGTCCAAGAATGCTGGGGTGAACAAGCAGTTCCATAGATCAGAGGTTGCACTTGCCAGGCCTTCGCCAGCTGGGCTTCTGGAGTGAGATAACAGGCTCTGCACAGTCTGCTCAATGTGTCCCCAGCCGCTGAGGGCCTGCCCAGACTGTGCGAAGAGCATGCAAGGGCAGGGCTCCCTCCCGGGGGCTTCGGCAGGAGCAAGGCTGGCAGTGACAGCAGCTGTGGCGGGGAACGGGGGCCTGGGAGCGGTCGCTGCGAAGGACGTCAGGGAGGTGGGGGCAGGTGGGAGGGTGGATAAGTAGTAATATGATGGGGATTTCAGGGGGTCAGACACAGGCAGTCCCAGGCTCCCTGCCAGGGTCAAGCATGGTGTCTTGAAAAAAAGACAGGGGGCAAGTTTCCCAGGGTCTGGGCAGTGCCCTCTGCACCTACAGTCCCGGGTGCTTTGCTGGGGGCCTGGGCTGGCCCTGCTTGCTGTGAGTATGCAAGGGCGGCCACTCTGAAGCTCAGCTGATGCTGGCCAGGGGACACTTTGTTTCTGGGCCACAGGACCTGGATGTAGCTCATTTTCTTTCTCTCTGTAACTCTCCACCTGCTCTGGGTGCCCTGTTTCTGGTTCCAGATACCCTTACACTTCCTGCACTTTCCAAGGCACACACACAGTGGGCTGCAGGGGGGTCTGGACTTGGAGCAGGAGCACTAGGTGGGTGCCTGGTCACTCTGGGCTTCTGGGCTTTATAATGCTCACTGTGCAATAAAGAGGAGGCCAGGAATCCCTCTCTCCAGGGCAGGGCTGACCGAGGGAGCACAGGGAATGAACCTCAAACCTGTGCAACATCAAACACCCTGGGGCTCCCCTGTCATGGACAGCAGACTGGCTTCTTTACTGAGCACAGGTAACACAGTCTGCTGAGCACACAGGGATCTGAGTGTGGGTAACAGGGGAATCTCTGGGTTCTGGGGAGGCTGAGAGACATTCCTGGGACAGGGACGTTTGGCTGTAGATCAGAGAAGTTACCCAAGGAGGGGATGAGGAGGGGAGGATGGATGCAAAAAAAAATAATAGGGTGTGCAAGGCTCTCTGCTGAGAGGGAACTTATTAAATCCACACGGCCTTCTTTCCGGAAGACTCTGGAACATCATGCCTAACATAGCTAAAATCACTTCTCCTTGACACAGACAAGGAAAGCACTGGGGAAAGACCCATTAGTGGGATTTCAGACCCCTGGGCAAATGGCTAGGAGGCAGCTGGGCAGGGTGAGAAATGCATGCTTGGTGACCATGGTGGAGTGCCCATTCTGTCCAGGGCACACAGGAGAAGGTGCTGCCTGCCACCTTCTGCTTCCCACCCAACGCTTCTGGAAGAGCCCAAGCCAACGTATGGCTCAGGATCCCAGGGGTGTGCGTGGAGCCTTCTGGGCTTAGGATGGTCAAGATTTAAATGAGTTTGGTAGAAGAAAACAAAGATGGTGAGGACACAAAGGCATAAGAATGACACAATGGACTTTGGGGACTCAAGGGAAAGAGTAGGAAAGGGGTGAGGGATAAAAGAGTACACATTGGGTACAGTGTACACTGTTCTGGTGATGGGTGCACCAAAATCTCACAGTTCACCTCTAAATAACTTATTTATGTTACCAAACGCCACGTGTTCCCCAAAAACATGTTGGAAAAAAAAAAACAAAGATGGGAGTGCCTTAGTGTGATCATGGGCAGGGAGAAGGCTGGAAGGGCAGAGGAGTAACCGAGGGCCCCAGGGGGTGTCTGGAAGGGAGGGCATATTTGTTTATCAGCCAGGACTCCTTTCGTTTCCAGTGATTGAAAATTTAACCCAAACCAACTTAAACCACCAGGAGACCTGTATTGACTCATATCAGTGCAAATATGTAAATGGTTCAGCCTCAGGTGCTGTTTGATCCAGGGGCTCAAATGTCACCAAGCATCTGACGTCTCTCCTCCTTCACCTCCTCAGCACTGGCCTTGTCCCCAGTGCTGCATAACCCCACTGCCACCCGCTTAGACTCTTCTTGGTAGCAAAACAGCTGCCACAGCTCCAGATCTTACTGAGAGTGTCTGAACCATCCTTGTAGCTCCCTGGCAAGCCCTAGTTATCACTCTCGTTGGCCTGGAATAGGTCATATGATGATCCTTGAACCAATTACTGAGGCTGGGGCATGGAACATTCTGAATGGCTCAAACTGATTTTATAGTCAGAAGCAGGGAGCTGGCTACATCTCACCCAAGCTGCAGGACTGAGTAGGAAGAGGGGTTCTCCCATGTAGGGACTGTGGTGGGCATGGATGCAAGGATGTGAGTGTCCATGCAGGCATCTGTAGTTGGCTGTGGAGTCTGGACCTGATTAATAGGTGTGAGCGAGAGTGCAGGAAGTCCCAGACCCTACTAGGAACCCTGAGCATGGAGTGACATTTTCAGGGTTCCCCTCCCAGCAGAGCAGTGGTGGGTCGGGGCTGGTAGCACACCCCAACTGGGCATGACTGTGGGAGCCTCCCCAGAGGTGGTCTACTTTGGCAGGATCTCTGCAACCCCTGAGGAGCTACAAACAGGTAATGCTTGGCTTCCCCAGGCCTGCATTATGAAAAGCTTGAGTTACAAAATGCTCTGGCTATTAAAAACCTGCTACTGACTTTAACGGCAATAAAATATCTGCTGTTTATGAGTAATTAGCCACTTCTGGAAAAGAACTCTATTCCTTTAAATTTATGAGGTGCCTTGATTTATGCATTTCATGGTGGGGGGATGTCATGTTACATCACATCAACCTGATGTAATTTGATGCAAATCAAACACATGAAGGAGTGCATGGAAACGCTCTCTCCTGCCTCCTGAAGTGTGTTTTTATATGGGGGAAGGTTTTGGTCCTTATTCCATCTTTGTTCTTCTTGCTTGCTTTATCAGGAAAGTCTTAGGTGAATCTTTACCCTGAAGGTCCTTGGTCCTGAGTGCACTGGCTGCAGCCTCTGACCACCCTTCAGGTGCTTCCAAGGGGGACTTCACATCCCCGAGGGTGGCAGAGATGCAAATATCTGAAGCTATTTAATGAGCACCCACGCCTTGCCCTGGGTTGCAGGAGCCTGGGGAGGCCAACAGGGAGACGTGCTTCCTGATTTTAAGGACCCCAGGGTTGGTTCCTATACACAGGACATGATGTAATCAATGAGTCTGATTTCATATTGTCTGAGAGGTGAGCGTGGGGCCCGGCAGGGGGAAGGTATATTTTGGAAGTCTTTCATAGCTTCTGAACCTCTGTCTGACAGCTTAGAGGGTAGAGGTGAGGGCATTCAATAATTTGTTGGTGGGACTATGTATCTATTTGTCTGTGTGCATTATTTCTTCTTTAGTCCACCCACTCATCTATCTATCTGCTCATTGATCCATGCATCCATCCATCCATGTATCCATCCATCCATCCATCCAACATCCATCTGACACCTACTAAATTTCTTGAGTGAGGTAACAAAGAAAAGTAAGACACAGATGCATATCCACTAACTTGCTGTGGAACCATAGGTGAGTTATCCCCTACCATCTGGCCTCTGTTTACCTATCTGTAAAATGGGCACATCAGACCAAGTGTCAAGGAGCTAGATGATCTCAGATATTTCTCTTGCTCTGCCATCCTCTGTACCATTGTCCCTTTCCTCAAGGAACATCTCTGTGCAAGGACAGAAGGTGTGGACAACTCTCATTCATGGGATGCAGAGATGCTTGCCAAGTAGTTGAGGAGAATGTGGGGAAGAGTGATAGGAAGAGAGATAAGGTAGGATGCAGCAGTGGCCCTTTGGTGGAAGCTTTTGGCATGAATCTGGGTAGTTTGCCCTCAGGAAAAACAATGATTTTTGATCTTTGATCTCTGCACTTAAATGGAGTTATCCCAAGGGTGCAGGGGACAGCAAGTGGAAAAAGCCTGGCATTGGGCATGGAGCACCACCCCTAGTCAATGTGAACTTGTTGGTTGGCTGTAGATGTATCTCAGCCGGTTGGCTTTCTTGGCAGGATGGCTGGATGGGTTTTACTAGATTTCTCGGGGTCATGTAGAAAGCACACACCTTGGTCTTCTAGCATGAGGCCCTTTTCTGTTCCTTTTGGTCTCAGGCATACTAGCTTTCCAGAATGCCCAGCATCCTAGCCTGGCTTCCTCAAAGTGACAGTCAGTGGTGTTCAAGCATCATGTGTAATGTCTCTGGGCTCCTGACTTTAGAAGGGAAGTTACAGTTGAAACAAGGCCACTTGACCTCCTTCCCGGTTCCACCTTGGGTGTGACATGAGACGATGGAGGAAGTTTAGGGTTCTCACAAAGTCCAGGTTCAATCTGTAATATAATTATTTAAAAATGGAACCTTGCTATTGTTTTGATTTGAGTCTTCTTGCTTTCTGGTTAGGAGTGACATTTTTGTGGTCACGAGCCAAATTTTGTTGCTTTTGTGAATTCCCTGCTCACATGCCTTTTGTCCAGGTTTCTAATGGGGGTGTTTGACTTTTCCTTGTTAACTGCAAGTGCTCTTAAAAATACAAAAGGTAAAGTTATTAACTCCTTGCCTACCACGTATGCCTCTGAATGCTGGTCTTCCATGAGGCTTTGGAACAGGTGACTGTGAGCAGGACTGAGGGTGATTGCAGGCCTGATAGAGGCCGCATCAACATGCAGATGGTGACAGGGGAAGGAGGAGGAGAGGCAGGAGCAGACGCAGGCTTTGCAGAGCACCTGCCCTGTGCAGACGCTGCTTCAAGTACTTCCTAGCAGTGACCTCACTCATCTTCCCAGGTACATTAGCATTGCCACCGTAGCACACTCATAGAGCTGACAAGTTGCCCCTTGGGACTCAGTTCTTTTGGAGTAAGATACTGTACACCTTCTTGAAGCAGCAGCGAGTTTTCCTCTGTTACCCAGAGTCCCAGTAAAGAGATTCCTCATAGGAGCCCAGAGAGTAGCAGTGGCCACCCTGTGGGGACCACAGTGGCTGCTGAAGGCTGCTTGCAGCTTGGGTAGGTGATACTTCCACACCAAGCTACTGAAGTTACAGAACACCTTGGGGTTCTCTGAAGGCCTCTCCATAGGACATAACTTCTGGCACCTGGAGGTGGGGGTGGGGGAAGATGTTGATATCAAGACCCTGGTGAGATAGTACAGAGTGTCCAACATCAGATGGATGGTGCACTGAGGGTCCTGGACCAGCCCATGAATGGCATTTTCTCCCTTGTGCAGAGAGAAACATTAATTGCTTCATTTTAGAATATTTCTCTGTGTTCAGCATCAGCAAAGTTCAACTGCAGATGGGTGATGGTTCAAGATCAGGGTTTGGCTATGCGGTCCCTCCCTGTCAGGTGGGCCTCAGAGGCACCCACAGGGGGATAGAGAGAGGGGCTGAGTTCAGGGTCCAGCCTGACCCGCTTCCTTGTCTAACACATGGGAAGCCATGATTCAGAGAGGGGCCAGGGCACCTGAGGCCACATGGCTACCTGGATGACCATGCAGGTGTGGTTTAAGGGGGTGGAGGAGGCTATAGAGGGAGGATCCAGGCCCACTGATGTAGTGGTGGGGAGGCCGTTTGTCTTGGATCCTGGCCCTGGGGCTAGCTGGGAGAGGAGGTCAGTGCACCTGGGCTGGGGAGAGGAGTCATTAATTCAGTCAGCACTTCCTGAGCACACCTGCTAGTGTGAGGCTCTGCTCTTGGCACTTGGGAATGTTGCCCTGGTGGATGTGTCATCATCACAGAGAGGATGCCTTAGCTGCCCCTGAGGGCATCCTATTTGGTTCCAGTTGGCTGTCTTCTTCCTGACACTATGCAAGGATCTAGATCTTGGGGTGCAGTGAACTGAGATCAGGGAGAGAGGCAGCAGTAGAGGTTCAGAATGGAGGCTGTTGTCTCCAAGAACAACTCTAGGGAAGGGAGTGGCAGTGTCACCCCGCATCGTCAGCTCACCCCAAAGGCCTCCTCTGCACCAGGCACTAAGGAGACAAATGAACAAGATTGTTGTTCTCAAAAAAACTCCCAGTCACCTGATCCTTTTTCGAGTGAACAGTGCTCAAATATTTGCATCGTCTCTTTGGGTGGATGTTTCAGATCCATCTGTCCTTTAGATGATGAGTTTCAGGAGGGCAGGGTGTTTGAGATTCTCTCTGCAGAGCCAGGCACCGTGCCTGGTGTGCAGTGGAGAGTCAGAAGGGCTTACTGAATAAATGAATGAATGAGTATTTGCATGAGCAAGTACGAGAATGCTGAAAGTAGCTAGGGAGTCAACAGGAGAGTGGAGTTTGAAAAAGGCACGTTGAAGGACTTGGAATCCAAATTAGTTCAACCAGAATTTGTAGGTACTTGTCACCTGCAAAGCATTGGGTTTCAGTCACATGTGGGCCCCAGGAGGTCCTGGATAAGGGTACAGGGTGGTGAGGCACGGGCTGTGAAATCCACCATGAGACAGAGTGGGGTTAGCTCTTTATGGAGGGTGTGAAGGGTGGGGGAGGGGATTGGGAGTGGCTGTGTGGAAGAACTGTTCTCTTCTAAGTTTTCTGGGGTGACATTAAAGTAAAGTTCTAGTGACCAAACTTCTCACCTGGCTGTGCCTCCATGAGTAGAGGGCAGGGCTGGTCATGTTGTCTGAGTCTTCCTCCCGGCATCCCCGCTTTCTCCCCAAGGATAGATGTTATGCTGGAGGCCTGCAACTTGTTCATTCATTCATCCATTCATTCATTTGTTCCCTCATTTGATTATTTATTTATTTGCTTGTTCCTCTATTCAGTCACTCAGCAAATGTTCATCAAGTGCCTCCCCTGTGCCTGGCTCTGTGTTGGGTGCTGGGGGGGACCCTGGTGAAGCCGATGGTCACAGTGTGGCCCTCATGGGGTTTTGGACAGGCATACAAACAAACCCAACCTAATGTAGAAGACACTGTTCGGGGTGAGGCCAAGATACCGTGGAGATAGACGGAAGGGCTCTGGACCGGGACCTGACATATCAGGGAGGGCTTCCTGGAAGAAGTGGTATTTAATTTCTCCCAAGATTACTAGGCACAGGGGCAAGGAGGGATTGCAGAGAGGAGTTCCCAACAGGGGAAATGATATGCATAAAAGGATACCAAGTTGCCCCTCTCTGCTCCCTGAGAAAAGGGAGTCCTTTCTCTTTCACCCAGGCTAGAGTGCAGTGGTGCAATCTCAGCTCACTGCAATCTCCACCTCCCCAGTTCAAGCGATTCTCCTGCCTCAGCCTCCTGAGTAGCTGGGACTACAGGCATGCGCCACCATGCCTGGATAATTTTTTGTATTTTCAGTAGAAATGGGGTTTCACCATGCTGGCCAGGCTGGTCTCAAACTCCTAATCTCAAGTGATCCACCTGCCTTGGCCTCCCAAAGAGCTGGGATTATTGGCATGAGCCACCTCGCCTGCCCATTGGGAGTCCTTTTTCAAAACACTAATAGGTTGAAGCAAGATGAACTGGAGGGTTATCCATTCTCAAGTCACACTTTACTCCCCCTTCTTTCCTGATCACGGTTCGAAATTGGTCTTTGTCCCTGGAATCCATCTATGGCAGGAACACTCCCATATCTGAGACAGCAGCCCCCAGCAGCCCTGGTTCCATGAGATGGGCCACCTGCAGCCAGCTCCCCCAGAACCTGCGTTGAGGGGGTCAGAGTCAGTCTTCCCTCCTCTCCCAGGAGGCCAGCCCGGCAGAGGCTGGGCCAGTCTGGTGACCTGTGCAGGAGCTAGGGATGCTAAATTGGGGACCTCAAGACCAAAAAGGACCAAGGGCCCAGCCCAGCCCTGGCCAGCCTCCATCTGTTAGCCTCAGCGCAGAAATTGCAGGCAGCAGGGGACCCGATGGAGTGCCTGGATTTTCTCCTTAGTAATGATCGTGCTTACTTACCGGATGATGTGTATCTGAGCTTATGTCTTCGACAGGTGCCCCTGTGGACGAATCTCCCTGGGCCGACTTCTATAAATATTTCAAAATCAAGCCCCCTTTGATCACTCTTGCGTATGTGCATTTTACATTATATTTAGTTTTGCACCGAATCAAATCTGAGGCCTCTGTGAAATGAAAATAAACTGTTCGACACGATATCATAGTCCACAAGTGCTCAAATGTAAACGGCTTTAATCAGGGGTAAAGGAGCAGGGAGGTGTAGCCTGATGTCTATTCCCTGGCTGCTGCTGCCCCAGGGAGGGGTCCTGCGGAGGCCAGGGCCTCTGGTTCCCAGGGCAGGGGCTGTGCGCTGAGGCTGGTGCCAGGAGCCAAGGCGGGTTAATAGGGGATTAAATGTCTAACTTCCTGCCATGACCAAGTCTGCTTTAAAAAGGGAGCAAGAAAGCCAGCGAGAGGAGAGTAATCAATACACTCCTGACAACTGCTGGTATCTTTTTCAGTTTTGCATTATTATGTTAAAGATATACCATTCATTAAAAGCATATATATATATATACACACACACATACACACACACACACACAGGCACGCACAGAGAGAGAGAGTCAGAGAGAGAGAGAGTTCTTGTTGCTTTCCTTGGTGGGGTGGACACAATTCAGATAAAAATCCATTACAGAGAATTAGGGGGCTATCTCCTTCTCAAATCATCCCATCTGGGTGAAATGGGAGCCCTGCTTCATGGCCTAGATGCTGGGGTGTCAGGGCTGAGTTGCCATTCCCAAACTGCAGTCCGTGGATGTGACACCGTGGGCAACGTCCCCTCTCCGGCATGGTGACTGATCATAAGCTTAGAGGACCAGGGGGCTTGGAGGACTTTCCATAGGGTGGGATTCTCTATGAGCTGCAGACAGGAGGCTGGTAACCCACCTACTCTCACCAAGCTTCCATTCTGAGGAAGCAGGATCACTTCCAGCCCGGGTCAAATCCAGGAAGGTTTCCTGGAGCACGTGAAGCCAGGATGTAGCATGGAGGATGGAGTTGGGCTCACAGCTGTGGTGAGGTGGGGCTGGGCTGCTGGGAGATGTGGGGAAAGTTTCTGCTTCTACTTTTTCACCATTAAAAAGAAGGCAAGGGGAGACGAATGCCTTTTTCCAAACCCTACACTCTTCTTTCTCATGCACGCGGAGCCCTCATCACCACAAGAGCTTTGACCTTCCGATGTTTGGTTTGTGGTCCAGGAGTTTATTTTCATCCTTTACTGGTTTACCATCTTCTCTGACTCACATTGGATAGAACACTGCCTTTTCTAGCTGCGCATAGACAGAAGGTGTGTACAGTTTTGAAGCTGTTCTCTTGTAAGTTTTCTGGAGACAAGACTGTCACCCCTATAGTTGGTGGCTGCCCTAGTGGAAGCTCTGTGGGGCTGACTGGATAGTCTTAGGACCTCAGCCGTTGGCGTCTTTTTTATAGGAACCTGGTAGAAGGATGGATGAGGCTCTCCCTGGCAGTGTGAGGCGTGCATGTTATGTTCTTCCTCTGTTAAGAGCTTCTTGAGCCGCTGTTTTGCCCAAATATGAACTCCATTCTGCTCAGATTGACTTTCAAGTCTGCACCAGCCCATGCCTCTGCCCTATCTCCTCTCTGTCCCCTGAGCATTACAAGCTCCATATACATTTTGTACATGCTGATCCCTTGGGCACATGTGGCCTACTTCTCCTCTCTACCTGGTGACCTCCTCAAGGCTCGGCCAAGGCCTGTCTCCACCACTGCCTTCCTTCCCTTCTCTCTCCTGCACTCCCATCCCACTGTGACCAGCATGCTGAAGCTCTCTGCAATTCAGCAGGTGACCCAAGCTTCATGAGTCCATCCATCTTCCCCCCACTTCCCCAATTCAGCTTTTAAAGGCAAGGGTCTGGTCTTGCTTATAGATCTCTAGATGTACCCATGTCTTGCCACATGTAGGCATTACAAAATGTTATCAAAAGATGCCAGTCCCACTATATAGATCCTCTGATAAGACTGACAACAGGAGCATTTGTTTGTTTGTTTGTTTGTTTGATTTTGAGACAGAGTTCCGCTCTTGTTGCCCAGGCTGGAGTGCAATGGCGCGATCTCGGTTCACCACAACCTCCGCCTCCTAGGTTCAAGCGATTCTCCTGCTTCAGCCTCCCGAGTAGCTGGGATTACAGGCATGTGCCACCACACCTGGCTAATTTTGTGTTTTTAGTAGAGATGGGGTAACTCCATGTTGGTCAGGCTGGTCTCAGACTCCTGACCTCAGGTGATCTGCCTGCCTTGGCCTCCCAAAGTGCTGGGATTACAGGCGTGAGCCACCATGCCTGGCCAACAGGAGCATTTTTATTAACCACCTTTACATGCCTTGGTCATATCCTTCCCCTCTCAGCATGTCCTCTGCTACCAAATTAAGGGGGCTTCTGGATCTAAAAACTATGCTAACTGCTGCGGTCAGCATCTAAGAAGCATTACTGCACAGGTAGAAAATGCCTCATATTCTCTCCCACAACCCCCTGTGCCCTCTCAAAATCCCTTGAAGTGAATAGGACAGCCTATCAGTCTGTTAGAGCGATAAAGAAACTGAGGCTCTGGCAGGGGACCAAGGTCACACCGATTCTAGTGGGAGAGCAGGCAATTGGATTCATGTCAATGGAACTTCAGGTGTCATTCTCTTTCCATTACTCCAGTCTAGTTGGGGGAATAAGCCACCTGACTCTACAGGAGAATGTGGAATAATGTATCAGCCCTTCTATATATTAAGAAAATAGAAGAGTCTAAAGATAATTTTTAGGGGGTGACCCTCTGCTCTACCAGCCAGTGAGTAACAGACCTGCTACATTTCTCCGTCTGCAGTGCCTGCCATGTCTGCCCCACTTGATTTCACTGCCTGGCCTGTGTCTTTGTGCGTCTTCTGTTCCTTGGCCTCCTCAGAGCTTGCCCATGGCTGTGGCTTCCTTCTTTCCAGGCATTTCCCAAATGACTGAGCTGGGTTCCGACTGTCGTTATCCAGCCCAACAAGAATAAATGTGTTGCAAAAAGCCAGCCTGGCCACTGGCATGTCTTCATGACTTAACTTTCTGAGCCCCTATTTCCTCATCTTTTGTATTGGAATAACATAGCACCAATCATCTAAGATTGTATAAGGCTAACATGAGACAATGACTGTGATGTACCTAGCAGTGTTGGCAGGTGGTATTTTGATGGAGAGGAGGAAGATGATGAAGATGAGGATCCTGTTAATGTACATAGTGATGGTGGTGGCCATGATAGTGATGATGGTGGTGATATTGATGATAATGATGATGATGGTGGTGGTGATGACGACGATGATGATGGTGATGGTGATGATGGTGGTGATGGTGGTGATGGTAATGATAATGATGATGATGGTGATAATGATGATGATGGTGATGGTAGTGATGATGCTGCTGATGATGGTGATGATGCTGATGCTGATGCTGATGATGGTGATGATGGTGATAATGATGATGGTGATGATACTGGTGATGATGATCGTGGTGATGATGGTGATGGTGGTGATGCGGATGCTGGTGATGGTGATGATGATGGTGCTGGTGGTGATGATGATGCTGATGATGGTGATAATGCTGGTGATGATGATGATCATGATGGTGTGATGATGATGGTGATGGTGATGATGATGCTGATGATGATGGTGATTATGATGGTGATGGTGGTGATGCTGATGATGCTGCTGCTGATGATGATGCTGATGATGGTGATGATGATGGTGATGATGGTGATAGTGATGATGATGGTGATAATGGTGGTAATGATGGTGATGATGACGGTGATGATAATGGTGATGGTGGTGATGCTGATGCTGGTGATGGTGGTGATGATGATGGTGATGGTGGTGATGCTGATGCTGGTGATGGTGGTGATGATGATGATGATGGTGTGATGATGATGCTGTTGATGGTGATGATGCTGGTGATGCTGGTGATGATGTTGGTGAAGATGATGGTGATGGTAGTGATACTGCTGCTGCTGCTGATGATGACGATGGTGATGACAGTGATCATTATGGTGATGATGATGGTGATAGTGATGATGATGGTGATAATGGTGGTAATGATGGTGATGGTGATGATGGTGATGATGATGGTGATGATGGTGATGCTCTTGCTGCTGCTGCTGAGGGTTGTTGCTTTTTAATGAGAGGACAGTCCATAGTCTTAACAACTACCCCATGTGAACTTGTCTTCTTTCCATCCCCAGCAGCTACTTGCCTGGCTTTGTGTGGTATAGGCAGAAGGTGACCCAGGGATCCAGACCAGAAGTCTTCTCTACTCAGAGAAGATGACAGGAGAACCCCTTTGTTGCCATTTTTCTTTTCCATCTGATGTTGTTGTGCTCATTATCTGTCTTCATTTCTGGGCTGCAGTTTTAGCAGAGACTCCAAAAGCCACAGTGATGGAAGCTCTTTGCCTTTGAGAATTTTTTTTTCACCAAACCCAAACCAAAAATGGTCACGTCTTTGAGAATTTTGAAGTCATCCAAAGTTTCCAGGGAGAAGACATTCAAATTCTTTTCCCAAATTCTCCAACTCTTGTCCTACCAGCATGGAAGCTGCCTGGGGCTCCATGGGACCACATATTAAGCCAGCCCAGCCAAATCCTGCTCACTACTCAAGTCAGTGAGGGCCTTGACTTTGGCCAATGTTCCATCCCCAAGGGGACACTTGGGAATTTGACTACAGTCTGCAACTTGACTCTGTTGGTTACACAGTTGTCATTCTCCACAGCCTGATTTGAATGTGGTATTTTTGTTCATAAATTCAGCAAGGATTTAACTATTTCTGGCCCCATCTCATGGCACTGTCTACACATCAGTCAAAATGGAACAGGTCACCCGCGCTGCCCTCCTGTTCATCTATTAATCATCTGGCAAATAAACCACTCAGTATCCTGCCCACCCCAGTAATGTTTGTGATGTAATTTGTTTGGATGCCCAAATGTCACCAGTGTTGATTGTAAGAGATCAAAAAAAAAAAATGCACTTGCTCAGCATAGCAAGCTCTAGGCCAAAATGTAAGCATGAAATCTCTGGTTTATTTTTGTAATAATGTTTACAGCTGTTTAATGACCCTGAAAAGGTTCAGTAGTCTGATGTTCTGTATTTCAGAACAGGAGTGTATTATGCTTATAACAACCTTAGTTAAACAGTTTGAGCTACAACAATTGGAAAAATAGTATTTAATACGAAGCCATTGTATTCTAGGTGAAATTGTCTTAATTACTGTTTACTGTCAGCATAAGAAAGCAAGGTGGGCTTCAGGGACAGACTGAGGGTCACGTGAGCCTCCAGGAATGGGGTCTGCCTGTTACTAGAAGTGCATGTTATGAGAAGATTTTGAGTAAAATCCACAATGGTGTTTGGAAACCCCCTTGCTGTGAACCCGAGTCCTAGACCCTGCAGAGTAACTTGGAGGTCAGGGACTCCTACAAGGCTTCCGAGGTAGCAGTTTCACCCACGTCGATGAAAAAGGGAATATATTTAGTTGTGCTTGGCTAGACAACAATACTTGATTTTTTAAAATCCAGTGCAAATGGTTATTTTGAAAGCATTTTATTTTCCAATGATTCTTTTTCGTGGTATAAGGAAAAAGCTCTTTCATACAACTTACTGGCAAGATCTATATTTTTTTGGACTATTCATAAGATTACTTTTTTTTTTCTGTGCTAGCAAAATGAAACTGTGTTTTTGTGTAAAATTTATTTAGACTCGTAGCAGCTGGCATCTCTGGTGTCCTGATAGTTTTAAATTTCATTTTGAGTGAAAGATACAATTAGGTTCTCTATTGGAAGAGTTAAGTGAAAACTTTTGTCATTGATATCACAGGAAATAGTCTTGAAGGCAGAAATGCAAAATCAAAATAACCATTAGCACCATCAAAGGCAGCTGAATGGCTCACGGTACCTGCAATGATGGCAGTGATGAGACAGAATGTATTTTGATAATCTGTGCACCCAATGGTGGGTTTCATTTGCTGAGTGTGAAATTGCATTGTTCAAGAAGAAAACCTGTAATGTTTGGAAGCCTTCACCCGGGGCCCCTGCCTGTGTTTAGAGGTGCAGCACAGGGGTTTCCACACTGTCGTGAAGAATCCTGTGGCCACCGAGAGCCTAGCTTAGTTCTTCATCAATACTGACTGTGGAGTTGAGTCCCCAAGGTGCCCCACCATGACCCTGTGCTCAGAAAAGGTCAGGACTGGGGGGGAATGTTGCCATGTTTCTACATTGGGGGGATGATGCTGCAAACTCAAGAGTTTACAGTGGCCTTTAACTGTCCAGCCTCGGTAAGGACATCTGGCTGCCTTTGCAGAGTTAGGTAAATTATGCATTCATTTGTTCCTTCCATCAATCAGCCAGGGTTTATTGATCCTCTTCCTTATAGGTTTCAGGCTGGGGCAATGAACTGAAGGCCAGGGGCAAGCTGTTCTCACTGTTTAGTAGTTTGTTTGCTTGCTTTTAATTGTGCTAAGGGTTTTTCTGCCCAGGTGAGCTGGTTCGATGAGTTCTTGCAGAGGTTATTCAAAGTCCTGACTGCCCAGTTGCCTTAAGCCCAGGATCATGGCCTGCCCTCTGCTGGCCCCTGGCTTCCTTTTTTAAAATTTTAGACTCGGGGGTACATGTGTATGTTTGTTAAGTTACATGGGTATATTGCATAATGCTGGGGATTGGGCTTATAGTGCACCCATCAACCAAATAGCAAACATTGTACCCTATAGGTAATTTTATCAACCCTCCCTCCCCTCTCTCCCTCCCCACTTTTGGAGTCCCCAGGGTCTATTATCTCCATCTTTATGTCCGTGTATACCCATTATTGAGATTAGCTCAACATGGATTAAAGACTTAAACATAAGATGTGAAATTATAAAAAAAAATCCTAGAAACACCTAGAAAAACCTCTTCTGGACATCAGTCCAGGTGAATAATTTGTGACTCCAGCTCCTGGGTCACGCAGTGCTGAGTGAAGGGTCAGTGGGGCGTGTAGGCTAAAGTGCTCTGGCAGCAGGGTTGGGGGTGGGCTGTGGCAGGAGGCCCCTCCAGGGATATTCCCTATGGGGCCTGTAAGGGAGCAGCATGGTCTGAAAGGGAAGGCTCACTCCCTGGTGGGCTGGGAAAAGGGATAATAAGACCTTCCAGCAGGTCTTTTATTTGAAATTTTAAAAAATTATCTTTTAAATTATTTTTGTTTTTTGAGACAAGGTCTCATTCCCATCGCCCAGGCTGAAGTGCAGTGGTACGGATCATAGCTCACTGCAGCCTCGACTTCCCAAGGCTCAAGTGATCCTCCCACCTCAGCCTCCCATGTAGTTGGGACTACAGGCACGCATCACCATGCCTGGCTAATTATTTTATATTTTTAGTAGAGATGGGGCTTTGCCATGTTGCTTAGGGTGATCTCAAACTCCTGGGGCTCAGCCTCCCAAAGTGCTGGGATTACAGGTGTGAGCCGCTGCGTCTGGTCCCTTCCAACAGGTCTTATCGTTTGCAGGCAGCTCCACTTCCTCCAGCCCCATGAGCTCTTATGTCTGCAGCTGGATTCAATCCTTTAACAGTAGGATAAATGATGCCTTAGTTTCCCAGTGTAGGCATTTGTATACATTTCTAGAGGGCTATCAGGTAGGGACTCCCCACCCTTCCCTCAACACAGACATAATTATTGCACACACACGCACACACACACACACCCTTAGACACCAAAGCTGCGATGGTTTATCTTTTCCCCAGCTTTGCATTCAGCCTCGAAGGGACCTTTCATTGCTCCCTGTTACTTGTGGACACTCACTCACGCTGGCCCCTTAGATGAACAGGCCCTCGAGGGCAGGTACATGGAAGGTCCCTGGCAAATATTGACTGAATGGCTAAGGTAAGGAATAAACGCATTCTGGATGGGTGAAGTGTCAAGGCTGGAGAAATTGGGGCCGACCCAGGTTTTGTGAGTCCCAGGCCGGGCCTGGGGCCAGCTTGTCCTGCCTCGGCTGTTTTGGCGCAGAGACAGCACACCAATTACCCCATACTCTTTCCAGGAACTCGTGCTTCCCTTTCTTGCTCTAAGTCGAGCAGCAGGCATCAGTTATGACTGCCCCATTGCAGCGGCCTCGGCTGCACCTGCTCGAGGAATCACAGAGGATTCTAAGCTGACTGTCGTGGTCCTTTCTCCCAGTAAGGCTCTGTGCAGGCTTCTCCCAGGCTTATTCAAGGGCTGGGGACCAGTATCCTGGAAGCATCTCCTAGGGAGCTGGTCAGCTCCTCTGAAACCCTGGGGTCTCCCATGGGCAGTGACGGTCAGTTAAGTTCTAAAGGGAACCATTGCTGTGTCTCCTAGTATTCAGCAACTGGGCCATCAGGGGTGGTCCAAGCCTGGGGTGATAACCATGGACACCTAGACTGTGAGAGTTAGGGGTGTGGACAGCTTTTCCTTTCCTTTTGTTTCTTTCTTTCTTTTCTTTTTCTTTCTTTCTTTTTTTTTTTTTTTTTTTTTGACAGAGTCTCGCTCTGTTGCCCAGGCTGGAGTGCAATGGCATGATCTCAGCTCACTGGAACCTCCACTTCCCGGGTTCCAGTGATTCTCCTGCCTCAGCCTCCCGAGTAGCTGGGATTACAGGCACCCATCGCCACACCCAGCTAATTTTTGTATTTTTAGTAGAGACGAAGTTTCAACATGTTGTTCAGGCTGATCGCGAACTCCTGACTTCAAGTGATCCGCCCACCTCAGTCTCCCAAAGTGCTGGGATTACAGGCATAAGCCACCATGGCCGGCCAGAGGTGGCTTTCTCTTGGTGGTTTCTGAACCTTCAGCTTCTCAGTGGTAGCCAGGGACCCTTCCAACTCTGTCCGATTCGGATCGTAGGTGCTCATGGACTTGTGCGAAGGCTGAGGTTAGGTCACATGACTGATTTTAAGGGCTCTGGACTTGTGCAAAGGCCGAGGTTAGGCCACATCAAGTTGAGGTTAGAGTGAGTCTCTATTCACTCATTCATCCATTCACTTAGGACACACTGAACCTAAGATAAGCCAGCTCTGCCTTAGGACCCAAGGCTTCATCCTTGACCAAGACAGACATATCCTCTGCCTTCACGGGAATGAAGTATGTCTGTAAAAGGACCAATGACAAAATGTTGCCCCCATGGCAAATGCTATGTAGAAGAAAGTAACATGTTGGGACAGAGAGGGGCTGGGGTGTCAGCCTCAGACAGGGTGGGCACAGAGGGCTTTTGTGAGAAAGGATGTGTGAGCTCAGACCCACAAGAATAAGAACAGAGCCAACTATGAAAGAGCCGGGGCAGCATGCATGTTCTAGAACATTCTATCCTCAGCTGAGGATCTAGCAAAGGCATTTAAAGACCTTAAAGAGATTACAAATCTTTGTTAACTCTGGCCAGGATAGATAGATAGATAGATAGATAGATAGATAGATAGATAGATAGATAGATAGATAGATTTGAAAAAAATAAAAGAATTCCATACTCAAACCAAATCTGAAAACTCTCACATTCCTTATTTGACGAGTTGAGCTGTCACTTGCATAGCATGAATGGTGGTGGTGTTGGGGGACATGGTCTTCAACTCCATGCCCCTCATCCAAGCTGATTTGCAGTCTCGCCGCATTGCACATTCAGCCTTCTTTCCCTCCTGCTGAATTGGCGTCAGCTCATCAGCAGCAACCTGAAAATAGCCCGTCTTCCTGGATTCATGTCTTCTGAGCTGGCCAACTGGGCAGCCTTTGGAAGTGGGCCAGCCCTGTTGGCCTTGGACTTTCCAAACTTCCATGGAGCTGTTGGGTGGAATTCTGAGCAATCCTGTGTGGCTTCAGGGTCATGATCCCTGTTGGCTCAGAAGAGGAGCCAGTGCAGCTGTATGGGGCTTGAAGGTGGAGAGAGGGTGCCAGACAGGGCCCTGGGGCCACCAGTCTCTGCCTGGAGCCTCCAGCAACCTCTGTACACTGTGCCTGCTCCTCCCTGCTGGATAGTGGGTGTCATGAGTCCTGGGGCTGGTGGGTCTTGTCCACCATCATGTCTCCAGTGGCAAGGCTAGGGACTGGCACATGGAAGGATCTCGGTAAGTCTGTTGAATGAATGCAGCAACCTCCATGGGATATTAGCTTTTTTCTGACCAACCTCCAAAATGGGCCCGCGTATTTTAAAAAAATTTGAGTGTAGACTGCCCCCAGAAGCAAAAAGGAAAGATGACAAGCTGGAAGCCTTCTCCTATGGCAAGTGCCCATGCACCTTTACGCTTTGCACAGTTGTGCATATCTTTCATTCGTGGACAAAGTTGGCCCAGCACCACCACTGTAATCCCTCTGCCTCCTGGAAGTAAACATTCATGGCTCTTTCTTCCCTTCCCTTGCAAGATAGACTCCTCCTGCCAAGGAAGTCAGGTCTCCCATTGGAGACCCTCCATGCCACGCAGTCTCCTGGCGGGAGGCCCAGCAAGCAGCAGACCCTGCCGAGGCTGCCTGTGCTTCCTCCACAGTTGAGCTCTGTCCCCATAGGTCTCCCTGGTTAATCACTTAGCCCAGAAATCAGTCCCGGCTGGGGTTAAGCGCAGCTCCTGGACCACCTGGCTGCCCAACACATCTAAACAATGGGATGCAAGAGGAGAGGTGTGTGCAAAGATGATTCCAATGGCAGGAAACAAATTTGGACTCCTTCAGGTGGGAGACATAGCTGGAAATAGAAGGATCCCAGGCAGGGGTTCATTGCCTTGCAAAGCTGAGCTCCCCACGTGCTCCAATGTGGAAGGGGCTGTTTCCTCTGCCCTCCCTGGAGCCATCTGGCTTTAGCCATTCTGCACAGGCTGAAGAGGGGGCAGAGAGGACTATTAAAGACAATTATGCAGACCAGCTTTGAACGATAGTGTTTAACAAACAACTTTGAGTTCTAATTTTCTGCAAAACACATACTGCAGGTACAATTTGTACTCATTATTGTATATTGGGAAAGTTATTAAAAACACTCAAACTTGGTTGAGACTTCCTATGGCATCATTCCTGGATTTTAATGGGTTTTTATCTAGTTCTATAAAAGACCTCTTTAAACCCAATCAAAGTCCCTGCTTTGGATATCTTGCCATTGAAGGATGGGAAGAGCCCCATTATAAGGTATCGGTGTTTCCTTTGACCCAAATTTGAACAACTTCAACAATCTGCTAAGATTCCGTCAGGAGATAATTTATACTTCTTTTGATGGGCACAGTTACCAAATGATAAAATAACAGTGTTTCGTAACATAAGGGTTAAATCTTAATCTCTGAGGTTTGCAAAGCCGCTACTCGCAGTCTCCTTAAAATTTAATATACCTCGTTAATGCTTCCTTGCAAACACTGAAGGATTTTTATGATTATAATCATGTGTTACAGCACCTAGTACTGTTTCTAAGCAGCATACTAATCAGCTTAATGAGATATTACTGCACTTTTTGTTGACTAAAGCAAAATCCCTTTTATTATTCTAAAGCCTGTCCTTTACTTTATTTTTTCCCAAAACATTATCTTGTTTTATTATGTACCAGTAAATATCATGCCATTGAGTGTTTTTTGTTTGTTTTTTTTTTTTTTTTGGCCAAATCATAAAATGATCTCTTTCATCTCAGACTGGTGAATGTACTGAATATAGTAAACGGAAACAGAAGTTCCAAGTGGGTTTATTTGGTCTTACAGGGAAAGTCATTCTGCTCTCAGGCAAACTTTGGACGGAACCAACAGGTACAGGTGCGACAATGGGGCAACGGAGAAAAAGTTTCACACGTAGACCCTTGATTTGTTATTAGGTGTTGAAAGTGGTAAAACATTAATAATTTAAAGGTGAATGAATAATTGCAGTCTGTAAATAGAAAATACAAGGAAGACGATCTGTCGCCAAAACAAATTGGAGGAGCAATGCCATATTGCATAATTGGCATTTAATAATTCATTTTTTTATTATTGTTTTTGACAAGAATTCCTTAGCATGATTATGTGTAGGTAAGGCATGAAATGGAAATTCCCTGCCCGCCAATGCTGTTGATTCATGGCGCCACAGCCGCACCTGGCACGGATCTGAACTCTGCCTCTCTTTTCAGGGATGGAAGAAGCGAGCCTGTGCCTTGGAGTGTCTTCGGCGGAGCCGGAAGCTGAGCCCCACCTGAGTGGCCCCGTCCTCAACGGCCAGTATGCCATGAGTCAGAAGCTGCACCAGATCACCTCCCAGCTCAGCCATGCCTTCCCCGAGCTCCATCCCCGGCCCAACCCCGAGGAGAAGCCCCCCGCATCCCTGGAGGAGAAGGCCCACGTGCCCATGAGCGGCCAGCCCATGGGCAGTCAGATGGCGCTCCTGGCCAACCAGCTGGGCCGGGAGGTGGACACCAGCCTCAACGGGAGGGTGGACTTGCAGCAGTTCCTCAACGGGCAGAACCTGGGCATCATGTCCCAGATGAGCGACATCGAGGACGACGCCCGCAAGAACCGCAAGTACCCGTGCCCACTCTGCGGCAAGCGCTTCCGCTTCAACAGCATCCTCTCCCTGCACATGCGCACGCACACGGGCGAGAAGCCCTTCAAGTGCCCGTACTGCGACCACAGGGCGGCGCAGAAGGGGAACCTCAAGATTCACCTGCGGACCCACAAGCTGGGCAACCTGGGCAAGGGGCGTGGGCGTGTGCGCGAGGAGAACCGCCTGCTGCACGAGCTGGAGGAGCGCGCCATCCTGCGGGACAAGCAGCTGAAAGGCAGCCTGCTGCAGCCCCGGCCGGACCTGAAGCCCCCGCCGCACGCCCAGCAGGCCCCGCTGGCCGCCTGCACCCTGGCCCTGCAGGCTAACCACAGCGTTCCCGACGTGGCCCACCCGGTGCCCTCGCCCAAGCCTGCCAGCGTGCAGGAGGACGCGGTGGCCCCGGCGGCGGGCTTCCGCTGTACCTTCTGCAAGGGCAAGTTCAAGAAGCGCGAGGAGCTGGACCGCCACATCCGCATCTTGCACAAGCCCTACAAGTGCACGTTGTGCGACTTCGCGGCTTCGCAGGAGGAGGAGCTCATCAGCCACGTGGAGAAGGCACACATCACGGCCGAGTCGGCCCAGGGCCAGGGCCCCAACGGCGGTGGCGAGCAGTCGGCCAACGAGTTCCGCTGCGAGGTGTGCGGTCAGGTGTTCAGCCAGGCGTGGTTCCTCAAGGGTCACATGCGCAAGCACAAAGACTCCTTTGAGCACTGCTGCCAGATCTGCGGCCGGCGCTTCAAGGAGCCCTGGTTCCTCAAGAACCACATGAAGGTCCACCTCAACAAGCTGTCGGTGAAGAACAAGTCCCCCAGCGACCCCGAGGTGCCTGTGCCCATGGGCGGCATGTCCCAGGAGGCCCACGCCAACCTGTACTCCAGGTACCTCTCCTGCCTGCAGAGTGGCTTCATGACCCCGGACAAAGCCGGCCTGAGCGAGCCCAGCCAGCTCTATGGCAAGGGCGAGCTGCCCATGAAGGAGAAGGAAGCGCTGGGGAAGCTGCTGTCTCCCATCTCCAGCATGGCCCACGGCGTCCCGGAGGGGGACAAGCACTCCCTCCTGGGATGCCTCAATCTCGTGCCGCCGCTGAAATCCAGCTGCATCGAGCGGCTGCAGGCGGCTGCCAAGGCTGCGGAGATGGACCCCGTGAACAGCTACCAGGCTTGGCAGCTCATGGCCAGGGGCATGGCCATGGAACATGGCTTCTTGTCTAAAGAGCATCCGCTGCAGCGCAACCACGAAGACACTTTGGCAAACGCCGGGGTTCTGTTTGATAAGGAGAAGCGGGAGTACGTGTTAGTGGGAGCAGATGGCTCCAAGCAGAAAATGCCTGCTGATTTGGTTCACAGCACTAAAGTGGGCAGCCAGAGAGACCTGCCAAGTAAGCTCGACCCTTTAGAAAGCAGTCGGGATTTTTTGTCACACGGGCTGAACCAGACTCTCGAGTATAACCTGCAGGGTCCTGGGAACATGAAGGAGAAGCCCACCGAGTGCCCCGACTGCGGCCGGGTGTTCCGCACTTACCACCAGGTGGTCGTGCACTCCCGTGTCCACAAGCGGGACCGCAAGGGCGAGGAGGATGGGCTGCACGTGGGCCTGGATGAGCGGCGTGGCTCGGGCAGTGACCAGGAGTCCCAGTCGGTGAGCCGCTCCACCACGCCGGGCTCCTCTAACGTCACCGAGGAGAGCGGGGTCGGAGGCGGCCTCTCCCAGACCGGGAGTGCCCAGGAGGACAGCCCGCACCCCTCCTCGCCATCCTCCTCAGGTAGGTTAGCTGAGAAGCGGGGAGAAGCAGCTTGTACAGCAGCCCTGCTCAGGGCTGCCTGGTTCTGCTCCCAGGCCTCCAGTCAGTTCCAAGGCCAGTGGGTCTTGATTGAGGACAGGGGTGGGTTGGACACTGGGCCATGCCTTTCTTTCCCCCCCTGACTGGAGGGAAAGGGCCGTCCTTTCACCTCTTAGGCCTTCCCTTGAACACTGGCTACCAAGAAAGTAAGTTGAGGCCGGGTGTGGTGGCTCACGCCTGTAATCCCAGCACTTTGGGCGCCCGAGGCCGGTGGATCACTTGAGGCCAGGGATTCGAGGCCAGCCTGGCCAACATGGAGAAACCCCATCTCTACTAAAAATCCAAAAATTTAGGCAAATGTGGTGATGCATGCCTGTAATCCTAGCTATTCGGGAGGCTAAGGCAGGAGAATCGCTTGAGCCCGGGAGGGGGAGGCTGCAGTGAGCCAAGATCACACCACTGCACTCCAGCCTGAGCGACAGAGTGAGACACTGTCTCAAAAAAAAAAAAAAAAAAAAAAAAAAGAAAGAAAGAAAGAAAGAAAAAAGAAAGTTGTGCGGGAGATGGCCAGGTGGTACATTTTTCAGTGGGCATAATCTACCTTTTTCTTGCAATTGTCCAACCCCATTTCACCGCCTGACGCTGTCGGCCATCATCTGGTCTCTGGAACTCAGGAGCTGGCATTCTGCTCTATCCCTGGGTATGAATGTGTAAGTTCCAAACTTCACCATCTTTCTCTCCCCCTTAGCGTATTCCCATAATTCTCTCATGCAGGCACCGCAGTCTCCCTCCCCAAGCCAAACCTATCTTCTGGCCCCTTCCAAAATTACAACGTGGCTCACCTGCCAGATCCGTGTGACCTAAAGAGCCCCACCACTTTCCTCTGATGGTTTGGAAAAGTACAGGCATTTGAAACACAGACGCATGACTGTTCTGTCTTAAATTGTACTGTGTTACACGGCTGATACAGCTTTGGGGTCTAAAATAGCAAAGCAGAAAATCTGTCATCAAAATGTCTGTGAAATTATGAAGCTTCCTGGCCCAGTTTAAAAAAAAAACCAAAACAACAACAACAACAACAACAACAACAAAACACGCTAGCCTCAGACGGCTAAATTAAAATCACCACCTAACAGCAGGTAAGGCGTTGCCTTCATCCATATTTCCAAAGCCCCTTACTAATGGATAGTAAATTGAAAGTTATCTCTAGCCCTTTATAAAGAAAGCACCTCGCTAATACTGTAATCATTCTGCAGCCTAACAACAGAGGAAATCATGCCATAACAAATACCCTGTTACTAATGGCAACATTGATTTCTGCAATCAGCCATTAAGTCTAGAAAATGAAAGACAGTTTGAGGCACCTCGAGGCACTGCCTTGCCCACTGTTAAAGACGTAGCAGCACCCTGTTGAGGGTCATTTTTTAAAAGTTTTTTCTTCTTTCTTGATCCCCCCCACCCTCACTCTTTGGTTTAGATACCTATTTCGATCTTGGAGGCAATTCACTGCTGCACTTATTAAGTAGATGCCAGTTTTAGCTTTGCTGTTATAGTCTTGCTTAAGCATACTCTTCTTCTAGGACAAAATTAGTATTAAAATAAAGTGGGACTCTGCCGGCTTATTACAAACCAGTAAAGAATTGTTAAGACACATAAATCTGGTCTGCACATTCCAGAGATTCCGATAGCACTTAATGCCGCTGCTTAAATACCCATGAAACACACTGTCTACTCCTGGAGTCCTAGACTTGTTTGGGATTTATTACGGATGAGACACTTAGGAAGTGTCTAACCAGCAGCATGAGTGCCAAGGAGGCGTGAGGTCACACTACCTGGAGCGACTGTCACATGGAACATACTAAGATTCGAGGGAAGGGTTTTCACCATGTAAAGATAGATCCCTACTTGAGAGGCAGCCAAGTGCCAGGTGTCCCAATGTCAGGAGGAGCTCTTTCTGGCCTCCTAGGATGAGGTCTGCTCTTCTGGCATGTGTCGTTTCTGATTCTGGATTAGGACCTTTACAGGACAGGGTGCAGACAGCAAACTGGTTCCCCTAAGTTTTTAGAGTGACATGGAGTTAACATTGACAGATTTCCATCCCTCTCTCAGACCTCCTGAAATGTAAGGGTCTCGGCAGAATATTCTGACACCAAATGTTCAGCTTCATTAATGACGTGTTTACCGTGTTTTTCTCACCTTCTGGCCAAGTGATAGCCTCATGCTATTCCTATCTCTGTTGCTTGCCTATCTCTCAGTGCTTGGTTGAAAAAACCCATTTTGCTTAAAAAGAACCAACCGTGCTCATGACTCAAAAGAGAATTATACTTGAGTTGTGGTTATCTTCTCACTTTTATTTCCCCTCATTGAAGTATTTTACAATTGTGAATACTGATTCTTTCATTTCTGGTTGACTTCTTTGTTTTCTTCATATTCAAATTAGACCCTTTCATAATTTTCTGACTAAGTAGGAGAATTGAGGGCATACCAATATACAACCCGAATCAGCTGTGCGTCTGGGGCATTCAGGTTTCCCTGGGATTTAGGACTCTTAACCAAATCTGGTTAGTCCTCCCTCTTATTTCCAACAAGTTTGACTTGTATAGAAGTGCGATTAAAATAAGCATTTAAATAAAAATCTGGATACAATGGGTATTTTATTATTACCTGTTAAAGAGAAACCTGCAAGGTGAAGGAGAGAGAGAGAAAAAATCTTTAAGCCCTTAAGTAAAGAAAGAAGTACTTATTAAGGCTTCTATTAAGAAATAACTGCAAAACACGGTTTTACAAATTTCTCAGACTGCATAACAATGTCGCAAAACTTAATTTGCATCACTTGATTCTTTTTTTTGTTGAAAACTGGGTCAGTAGGGCCTGAGAAACTATTTTTTCAGATCTTAACCAATGAATTCTTCTTTATAAATCGCTGCTCTTAACATGATAGTAGTTCTGAATTCATCATAAAAAACCTTTTTACAGAGCCTCTTAGAACAGATCTCTAGAAGAAGGCTTACAATGAGTGGCAGAGACGTCCTTTGTTATCTGATGTAATTCTTTGCAAAGAAGGATTGGGAACGGAGTGGCTGTTTAAAAATGTCTTGCTCAGACCGAGATGAAGAAGGGGTCAAGTTTGCAATCAAACAGTTATTGCCGAGATGGGCGACTGTCACTGGCTAGGCTAATGTGGGATGCAGCTGTTTGTTATGTGAGCAAAAGAATGTTTGAATCAGTGAACATGTGAAAATGATTCCAGTGAACCAGAAAATGTGTTTGTTCTTTGGCTCTCCAAACTGCTGAGAACCAAGCTTAAGATCAACTGCGAAAACTAGGACCTCTGACAAATTGAGAGGTCATATTTTCTAACAGAAAATGGACAAAACTAGTCACACAGATCACTTCCCCATCTTCCCCCTTTGTTTTATTTTTGTTTTGTTGTTGTTTATTTGACTTACCAGTAATTTCACACCGTGGTCAATGTCATTCAATGTAGCCTCCGTGTACAATGCAAAGAGAAACTGTTTGGAAAGCAGCAGCTTATTAATTTTACTTTTATGGCATTTAGAAAGCGGGGTGGCTGTTTCGATGCCTCCTCATTTCTGGCTTGCATGCAAACACTCTTATGGCATTAATCTTTGCATCTTTCTCTAAAACCTCCTCTAGGGCTGAGCTCGAATCCTCGCTTTGCTCTGAGTCAGAACACAACCAAAGTTCTGTTTCTTCAGATTTTGCTTTGGAAATCACACTCAGAATAATTAAAACTTAATGTACTAAGAAATGATACTGTTCATTATATCCAACAGGGCAGTTACCTTCTGAATTCCACATAATTTTGGAGTGGGGATAATTGAAGTGTTGATGGTGGGAAGGGGGTAATTGAATGCATTGACCCTCTGTTCATTAAATAAAGTCGGCTAAGTTACAGGATCAATGGAAAGCCAGGGAGAGATGCGAAGATGAAAATATCGTTAACCCCTACTACTTCTGGTATAATATTTTGAGATGGACAAGGATTATTTGGTCAGCTGGGCTAAAAGCCTTGCGAGGTCTTCTTTTGTTGTTAGAGCTGCATTCCTGAAATGCTGGGTCTCCATCCCATTGACCACAGCATCAAAGGCCTTTATCTGGGGCGCTTTCGCATTTACATGGGGTGTATAGTGATATGATAGATTTTCTTTCTTTTCCACCTCTTTTTCTCATGTGGCTCCCCCTCCCTGCCCCCGTTCACGATAACCGGTGCCTGCTCCACACACAAACAAATCCAGGCACCCAAAAGAAGAAAAAGAAAAAGAAAAAGAAAAAAAATTTGAGTTTGAGGATTAAGATCTTCATTTTTTTTTTTTTTTTTGCTTGTGCATTCCAATTGTTCTTAAAATATTTGGCAATGTCAATTAGTAACTGAGCAGAGTTAGCTGATGAACACAATTTTCCAGTAGACTGAGCACCCTATTGTTGCCGAGCGAACAGCAGATTTCTGAGGTCATTATCATTCGCTGGTTGCTTGGCCCAGCTGCTTCCTGCTGCAAAAGCCAAACTTTATACCGGAGCTCGGGGAGGCTGCAGCAACAGGGGGCTGGAGGGGGGGAGAGGGGAGCTGGCTGCAGAGCCGAAGACAGTCATTATCAGCAGAGGAAACAGAAAGTAAAAGTTTCCAGGCAATTCCAGGAAAACTGCCGGAGCAGGCTTCTTCCTCCTGTTCCAGTCCAACCACCTTCCACCTCTAGGCAGGGAATTAAAAAGGACTTGGGGAGACCCCCCTGGGCATGGTGGCAGCTAATCTCTTTGTGGAGGAGAACTTTGGAAAACAATAATCCCATTTATAAATAATGCTTAAAAATTTTTTTAGCCCAGGCTCAAGCATGTGAGTGATGCCCTCTTAGATAGCCTCCTTCATTGTTATATATTTAAAAAATCATTTTAAAAATGATATTAGGAACTTGAAATTAGTCAATTTGGGGATGACAAATAGGCAACATTATTTAATTTTCCAGAGGGACCTTATGAACAGATCATAGTCTGAGATTCCTTTTAAAATCACATTTAGCCTTAAAGGTTCCCCCTACGCCTCCCCCTGTCCCCTGCTTCCTTATTTTTCTGCCCCCAGCCCACCCCAACTCCAGCCTTCCTTCCCCACCTCCTAATTTGGGAACTGGTTCAGTGAGATGAAAAGCTGCACTTTTTTTAAAGCTCAGCTGTGAAAGCCGAGCGCCATATGCAGCCCTTCGGTCTCTGCCGTGGAAGCGTGTGCAGGCGGCCGCCGTGTTTGCGGAGATTTACGGAGGATCGGCTCGTGTGTGCCGAAGCTGTGCCCAGGCGGACGCCGGCCAAGGCCCGTCCCCTGAGCTGAGAGCCGAGAGCTGAGGTGGCCGCCCGCCTAGGCGAATAAGCCGGCTGGTCAGGTGGCTCCTGGGGAATGTCAGATGGGGCACAGGGTCAGAGGCCCCCGTGTCTTCCCCTGGCGGCCACCTTTCCGCTGGGGCCCAAGGGTGGTCTGTCCACTTGGGACGCCCTGCTCGTGCCGGGATCGCCGTTGCTCTCAGATGCTGGTTCATGTGCGGCTGTCACATCATCCTCCTCCTTCCCCGGAGCCGGATGCCTACCAGCAGTTTCTTTTTATAAACTTCCCATTCACTTGGTAGACTTGTATCATCTCGTGCTTAGGAGCGATGATTTGGGAACAATCAGTAACACTTCGGGGCTTTTACCATCTTTCTGACCCCTTTACATGGAGCCATAAATCCCGCTTCTCCGGGGCTGCTTGATGCCAGTCCACCGTCACTTGGCATTTCAGAAAGAGGGTACTTGCACAGGCTCTGAAAGTCTTCAGACTAGGAGTGTAACATCAGAGATGTGTGGCATAAAATTGCAGAGGCAGAGCACCCTCTCTGCTCCAGCACTTAACAGGCAGGACATGGTTTTGCTTGTGAGGGATTAGATTCGAGGCCGCGGAGTCACTCAAATGTGTTTCTCTGGCGGCCTCACTTGGCCCATCTGTGGGATGGACACCGCTGTTGCCTGGGCTGCCCTTCTGTTTCCAACACTCCTGCCCACGGAGCTTCTGAGGAGCTCCATGAAGCTCTCCTCCCTATGCATGTTAGCGCAAGGGACGGAACAGTTCATTTAAACCTAAATTTAATGGAAATAAGGAAAACATAGATTAGCTAAGGACAGGTTACAATGAGGCAAGGAATTAAGCGGTCAATTTTCAAAACAGAGCTTGAAGCATTAGCTGCGTGATTTCCATTGACTCGAATGGGAGGTTCCAGGCTCAGGTCTTGACCACCACCTTGGGTGTGTTGGGGTGGGAGTTAGTAATTTGCTTTGCAGACAGCCACAAGGTGTCCCTTGATTGATGGTTTGGCCAGAAGCAGGTATCACGAGCTTCCAGGATCTGACTCTTACCCACTCCCATGCTTACCATGCACTCAGGTAGCTGGGAAATGATGCCCACTGTGTTATGTGAGCCCTGCCAGGGGCCACTTCTGCAGAGCTGGGGCAGCCTCTGCATAGAGGGCAGATTGGGGTCCTTCTGGCCGCCCAGATCCCTTCACTGCCAGGTTGCTTATCTTTCTAATTCTTTCTCTGGTTTGAAGCTTTGTGTCCTGTTCATAGGAAGTGCGTTCCCAGGAAGGGTAAGGTAAGACTTTCTTCCTCTACATCTCAGTGCATTTCCCACGTCTGCCCCTTCTCCCTGAGAAGTTTCTGGCAGGTAGCCCTGATGTCTCAAAGGGGTGGGGACAGGGCTGGCTTCAACAAGGCCTGTTATACTGGCCTCGATATTCCACTGGTTCTAGAGAGAGACCGTGGGTATACTTGGAGACCTAGAGATGGAGACAGTGAATTTCATGGGAAAGAACTGTGCAGGGAGCATTTGGAAGCCTTTTGAGCCTGGGAAGTCAGGGGAGTGAGTAGTTAACTCCTTTACCCGTAGAGCTGTTTTGGAGCATTGATGGCAGGGGTGGAGAAACACCTGCAGAGATCAGGAGATTGGATTTGTGCACACTTCCCAAATCCGTGATGATTGGACTGGAACCTTTGCCATCTGTGACCCTTGGGCCTGTTTGCTGCCCTTCTGGGTGTCTCACCTCCCTTCGTCTTCCTCTCCTCTGTCGGCATCTGATGGGTGCATCTCTCCACCCTTGTTGATGGTGCTGGCATGTGGAGGAAGGAGGCGGGGGCTGAGCGAGGCTTGCAAATGCAGAGGAAAGGGGCTCTCCAAGAGGGGTGCATGGTGTCGGGGGGGTGGGCAGGTGGTGGGGGGACTCTGATCTCCCCAGGAAGTGAGCTTTGCTGCAGCTGAGAGCGGCCATGGGTCCCCCTTGTCTTTTGCTGGCAGGATGGGGCGATGGCAACATTTACTTAAGCTGTGGAGTCTGGCACTGCCGCAGCCAGGCGCCATCTGGAAAGCCCTTTTCAGAAAGCTGTGTCCCCCCCACCCCCAAAAGGAACTTAGGGGAACAGGACTTGGGCAGAGCTGTGGGACTTGTTTCTTGGGCAGAACCTGCTCACTGAGGCACCTGAGCCGGGCTGGGTTTCCCTGGGAGCCAGGTAGATAAGACAGGTCTACCTCGGGGTGCATGTGGGCTCTTTGCTGTCTGTGGGGCCCTCGGTTCATCCTCGAGCCAGGTCTGGTTTAGGTTTACTAGGGCTGTATTTTCCATCTATTTGTTTTGTGTTGCATTTTGCTTACTCTCTTCACCTAAGTCCTTGTATATTGTGAGTATGATGGGGTGGCGCCAGCCGGGATTGGTCAGTGACTGTTCCTTCCCTGTAATAGCAGGGCTGATTAGCAGAATATAAGAAATGAATGCTGTGCCTCTGAAATGTGCCTGTGAGACAGGATCTAGAACTCAGCGGCTCAGCTTGCAACAAACAGGGCAAACTAAGCACAGAGATTTGCTACCATCCTTTCCCTGAGCCACATCTTCAAAAAAGACTGCAGAGTCCCAAAACAATGCGTGTCTGAACAAACACCATCTTCAGCTACCTGATGGGTGGGCCTGGGCAAAACGGGGGCCATGCCGAAAGCAAGGGCAGCAGTCCAGGCAGAATTCATTTGCCTCCTGTTTCCACCACCCCCAAGAGAAAGTTGTCCAGGGCTTAGCTTCTTGTGGGACCCATCTCTTTGTTGCTGTGAGCCTTGGGGTTTTTGTGTGACATGTGGCATGTGTCTGGGAGAAGCGAGAGGCACAGCACAAGCTGACTCCTTGGCTTGGCTGCCCACCACACCACATGGGAGGCCGGCCCTCCCCTTAACGGTGCCCAGCCAGGAGGCTGCCTCCAATGTGGGCATGAGGACGGGCTTGGCTTTAACACCTCCTCACTTGCTTCCAAAGGACAGGGTCATTTTCCAGCTTTTCTTGCAAGCAGTGTCTACCTTTAGGAACCTTTCAGTTTTACTCTGTGCCATGGGGCCCAGGGCATTTCACGGAGAAATCAGTCCTTTCCTTTACAGAGGCAACTTGTAGGACTAGACTTTTGGCCAACGCTAGTTTCTTTTCTTTTGTCTGACCTCAGTTCCAAAACCATTTGATGCACGATGAAACAGGATCGCGCCACAGTGCTCTCTTCTCTTCATTAAAGTAATGTCCAGAAACTCTTAGCACAGTGGTGGTCATCGTGGCTTTTGGACACTCTCAGTTGTCCTCAATCATCTTGAGAGGCATTCTGGAACATGTTCAACATGTTAACGTTGAGTTCAACATGAAGTGTATGCAGTGGTGGTTTTCTTGAAGATCAAGACAGATACATGCTTCTCTTTATTGCTAAATATGTATATTTTTAAATTTGTTGCTAAAATATGTGTTTTTATTTTCGTTTCATTTCATTTTTTAAAAACTCAGTAGTTTGCCCTGAAAAATTGGAGTGATCCTGCAGCAAAGCTGCTATGTGGCATCATAATCCCTGTTGAGAGAGAAGGCTTGGCAGTGTTCATGTCCGTCTCTGGCTGGGGCCAGACCCCTCGGAAATGTCCTTTTTAGTGACCTTCAAAACCTTTCCACTTGGGACCGGGTGTGGTGGCTCACTCCTGTAATCCCAGCACTTTGGGAGGCCGAGGCAGGTGGATCACATGAGGTCAGGAGTTCGAGACCAGCCTGGCCAACATGGCAAAACCTTGTCTCTACTAAAAATGCAAAAATTAACCGGGCTTGGTTGTGGGCGCCTGTAATCCCAGCTACTCGGGAGGCTGAGGCAGGAGAATCGCTTGAATCCGGGAGGAGGAGGTTGCGGTGAGCCGAGATCAAGCCATTGCACTCCAGCCTGGGCAACAAGAGCAAAACTCCATCTCAAAAACAAACAAACAAACAAACAAACAAACAAACAAAGTTTCTACTTGGTCTCGTCCACGAGTCCCGTTCACTGACTTTATGATGCTGTTGTTGTTCAATGACTTCACTATTCTTTTTTTCTTACTATAAAGTAATTCTTGTTCATCTTGGACATTTAAGAGATACAGATAAATAAAAAATAAAAAAAATTAAATGTGTATGCCTACCACCACTCAGGAATAATCACTGTGAACACTTTTTTTTTCACTAAACTAGTAAATATTTTGTTATCGATGCATAGTTTATGTATAGATTTTAGGGTACCTGTGCTAATTTGATACATTCATATAATGTGTAAAGATCGAATCAGGGTAATTGGGACCTTCATCACCTTAAATATTTATCTTGGCTGGATCCAGTGGCTCATGCCTGTATTCCAACACTTTGGGAGGCCGAGGTGGGCAGATCACTTGAACCCAGCAGTTTGAGACCAGCCTGGGCAATATAGCGAAACCCTGTCTCTACAAAAAATACAAAAATTAGCCAGAGCGGTGGCATATGCCTGTAGTCCCAGCTACTTGGGAGGGTGAGGTGAGAAGATCGCTTACGCCCAAGAGGCAGAGGTTGCAGTGAGATGAGATTGTGTCACTGCACTCCAGCCTGGGCAACAGAGCAAGACCCTGTCTCAAAAAGTATTATCTTTTCTCTATTCTAGAAACATTTGAATTATTCTCTTTTGGCTATTTTGAAATGTACAATAGATTATTGTTAACTCTCGTCACCCTACTGATCTATCAAACTCGAGGTGAACATTTTTAATTCATACTTTTCCAGTCCTTTTTATGCAACTAAAAATGTAGTTAGCCAAAAAGTACATACTTCTGTGTAAGTTCTTACTGAAATGTATGTCATATTTTTTCTTGTCATTGAACATTTCCCACCAGGATCAGCAAAGTTTTCCTGTAAAGAACCAGCTAATGAGTATTTTCGGCTTTGGGGGCCATGTGGTTTCTGTAGTAAACACTCAATTCTTTCATAAATAAGAGTGTGATGGTATTTCAATAAAACTTTATTGAAATTGCAAAAATTGGCAATGGTTCAGATTTGGACCCTGGGCTGTTGCTTGCAGATTCCTGTCCTAATAGTAATAGTTATACTTTTTTTTCCCCAAGCTTTACACAAGTAATATGCACATGGAGGAAATGCTAGAAAGATGGAGAATCCAAGAAAAACTCTATATCTATAAAATGGTTTAGCCAATCTCTGATTCGTGAACACGGGACTTGTTTCTTTTCTTTTTTTTTTTTTTTTTTTTGCCTGAGATGCAACCTCTGAGGTGTACGTTTCTGCAGCATTTGTGACCTCATCGATCATTCTGATCTTCTGCACCATTATTTCCTTAGGTGTGTTGCCTCGCAGTAGACTCTCTGGTCACAGGCTGGTGAGTCCGAGGTGGCAGAGCTAAACCACCCACTGTGTGCTGCGGCTCTAGACTGTTTGTTTTACGCTGGTGTTTGCACCATGAGAAAATCCCCTCGTAAGATTGTACTGAAGCCTGTCTCCCTGAAGCTAGGTAGTTCCCTATCACCACGCCACTCTGTGACTTATTTGTTCATTCATAAATACACTCATTTGTTTGTTCAATCATTAATTCACTTATTTATTCACTGAATGATGAAATGCTTATTAAGTGGCTTCTGAACACTGAGCAAGGCATCAGGTGCTGGAGATGCAAAGATGAGTAGAGGCCGGGCACGGTGGCTCATGCCTGTAATCCCAGCACTTTGGGAAGCCAAGGTGGGCAGATCACTTGAGGTCAGGAGTTCGAGACCAGCCTGGCCAACGTGGCAAAACCCCATCTCTACTAAAAATACAAAAATTAGCTGGGCGTGGTGGTGGGCGCCTGTAATCCCAGCTACTAGGGAGACTGAGGCAGGAGAATTGCTTGAATCCAGGAGGCAGAGGTTGTGGTAAGCTGTGATCACACCACTGCGCTCCAGCCTAGGCAACAGAGCAAGACTTCATCTCAAAAAAAAAAAAAAACAAAAAAAAAGATGAATAGAGATGCATCTCAGTGTCTGGAAGCCCACAGCCTCTAGGTGCTGGACAGGTAATTCACAGAGTGAGACAGACACATGGGAGGGTTTACCCTGGGGCCTGTGGGAGCACCTTGGTGCCCAGTTTGTTCTCAAAGGATCTGAAAGGGCAAGGAACCACTTCAATTAGCTCAGCGACTTCTTTGGCAAGGAGGAGTAACTCTTTCCCTCTGTAGAATTAGGCCAATCCTGGTGACTTCCTGGAGGAAGCAGACAAGTCTCTTTTAGCCACTGTGGCTGGCTGCTGTTCTTTCCCTGGCTGGGAGCCACAGTCTAAGTAAATGCCTTGTCACATACAGAAGAGGCCCTGGGAGAAGAGTCCAGTGGGTGCTTCCCAGGAAGGCATCCCAGGCTGGGAAGGGAGGGAGAGGGCCGGAGCAGGATGGGAGCTGCTGAGGCCCAGTGAAAGCTTTGTTGCACCCTACACACCACATAGGGGGCCTCCCCGAGGGAGAGCACTCTGGGGGACGCAGGACAGTTCTCCACACCAGAAAGTGAGAGGCAGGCTCCTGGCTCCAGCTCATGGCCCCCTGACCATGCTGTCCTTGGAGGCAGTGGCTCATGAATGGAGGAAGACACATCAGGTGGTCAGGGGTGTGAGGCTCCTACTGGGACCCTGCAGCTGGAGCGTGCAGAGAACCTGTGAGGCCCCACACTGGGAAGGAGGGCTCACATTTTATCCATTTCCCTGTCTGCCTTAGGAACTGTCCATACCTGCCCCACAGGGGCTCTGGGTGTCTCATGGGAGGGCTGCACCCCCAGTATGTCAGAACGTCCATCTGCAGCCTGCAGCAGAGGATTGCAGGCACTCGTGGATACGGCCCCTCTTCTTTTTGGGTGGTGGGTGGGACATGAACTGAACGAGGGCTTGCTATGAGAATGGGTGGAAGTGACTTCTAGTCAATTGCCCTTTATCTTCTGATGAAGCAAAACGTCATATACTTAGATATTAAGCCAGAGACAAACACATTTTCTCACGTTAAAGGAAAGGCTGAGGGCGGAACGTCCCCACTTCACTTTGGAGCCGGGCCCCACACACATTTTCGGGGCCATGCGTTTAGTCATCCTGCTGGACTATTTGGGCAGCTCGCTTTCCTTCTCTGGGCTTTGGCTTTTTCCTCCACATCATGGGAATTTGGGTGGGGAAGTGTAGAAGATTCGGAGACGCCTCTCAGCTTCCATTTTTCCTTCATCTTTCAATGTTTCCCCCACCTTTCTCTCCTCTCCCTTCCTAAATGTTTCCATGGCTTGGGGGTGATTTTAAAGGGTCTTACCTGCTGTTCCTTGAGTAGAGAATTAACGTTCCTAGGGTCCAAGTATTTCCTCAATTTCCTGCTGTTTTTTTTTTTTTTTTTTTTTTTGACCGAGTTTCACTCTTGTTGCCCGGGCTGGAGTGCAGTGGCGTGATCTCCGGTTCACTGCAACCTCCACCTCCCAGGTTCAAGAGATTTTCCTGCCTCAGCCTCCCGAGTAGCTGGGATTACAGGCATATGCCACCACACCAGGCTAATTTTGTATTTTTAGTAAAGATAGGGTTTCTCCATGTTGGTCACGATGGTCTCGAACTTCCAACCTCAGGTGATCCGGCCACCTCAGCCTCCCAAAGTGCTGGGATTACAGGCGTGAGCCACCACGCCTGGCTGATTTCCTGCTGATTTTTGCATCTGAGCTTCATCGTGTCGTCTCTGAGGGACCCATGTGCCTGGTGAGGGGCTGGGGAGACTCTCTTCTATCTCATTTCCCGTGGGCCCCCCTTCCACCTCCCATCTCTCCTGGATGCCATAGAGGCAGAGCCTTGCAGCTGGAGGGGCACTGCCAGGGCCCCTGCTTTACCCAGCACGTCTGTGAGTGTGTTAACTGTGGCCGAGGACTCTGGTGCTGGCCCTTAGGAGCTGTGTGGCCCAGCAAGGGCTCCTCAGCCTCTCTGTGCCTTGGTTTCCTCCATGTAAAAATGAGGACGATGGTAGTGTTTGCCTCTCTTTATAAAGCCCTTAGTGAAGACTCCAGTGCTCAATAGACGTCATCTGTTATGAGGTTTATTTCTACGCTATACAATACAAACACAAACAGGTGAAAATGGGCAACTTGGCCAGGGGAGTGGTTGGTTTTTCATTTTTATCATTTTCATTTTTTTTTTTTTTACCCCATTGAATGTTTATTTCATTTGGGTACATCTTTCTTTTTCTTTCTTTCTTTCTTTTCCTTTCCTTTTCTTTCTTTCTTTCTTTCCTTCTTTCTTTCTCTCTTTTTTTTTTTTTTTTGATGGAGTCTCTCCCTGTCACCCAGGCTGGAATGCCATGGCTCCGTCTTGGCTCACTGCAACCTCTGCTTTCCCGGTTCAAGTGATTCTCCCACTTCAGCCTCCCAAGTAGCTGGGACTCCAGGTGCATCCCATCAAGCCTGGCTAATTTTTGTATTTTTAGTAGAGACAGGGTTTCACCATATTGGCCAGGCTGGTCTCGAACTCCTGACCTCAAGTGACCCACCTGCCTTGGCCTCCCAAAGTGCTGGGATTACAGGCCTGTGCCACTGTACCTGGCCTGCAGAGTGACTGTTGGGAGGTGTGCAGCTCACGGGGTCGGCCTCACTGGTTTGTGTCATTGAATCTGGTAGCCATTTGTCTATATCCCTAGTGCGATGTTGGGACCAGTTGTTTGCATCAGGCTCTCTTCGCTGGAGGTTGATTAGGGTGCCCTTGTCGAGCAGTCACTGATGCTGTCCTAGGCAGGCAGCTTTCCTTCTCTGTGTGGAGCAAATTCAAGATGGTTTAGTTCCTGCCCAACATGCCACAGTGAGTCTCAATTCAAACTGACTTTAACTACAATTATAACCACAGAGGAGCAGTGAGATTCACGGAACTGGAAGGTCTGGACTCTAACTGAGGTGGAGTTAGCAGCTCAAACGGCAACCCCATGGACTTACCTCATAGTAGCAAAATGGCTGCCATAGCTCACACCTCACATCCCCATGCCACCAAACAGAGCAGCACTTTTTTCTAGAGGTCTAGCAATGATCTTCTTGCATCCTACTAGGTGTTTTTGTACTATTATGCCCATTCCTGAACCAGTCACTGCTGCCAGGGGAATGGGGTGTACCACTTGGTTCATGGCAAGGAAGTTAGTCCTTGGAGGAGTGGGAAAGAGAGAATGCCAGCTCATCCATCCCGTGGCCGAATGTGACAGAGAGAAGCTTTCTCACAGAGATTCAGACGGAGGAGGAGGCATGGAGCTTGGGCAACTAAATGGTGTCCAAAATGTCACCGCTCCGAGGTTCTTCTAGTAGCAGAGGCACTGGCCCTCCTGCTCAGGATACCTGAAGAGGTGTCCTGGCCTCCCTGAGCAAGGTGGTTTGGAGTCTGCACATGGTGACGAGGTTCTGTCCTCTCATTCTCCCATCACAGAGATATGACTGTGTTACATGGGTCAGCGAGTTCTTTGGCCACTTTCTCCAGGAGTCCATTCCTGCCTGTTCTCTTCTTTTTGGTAATACTGAGTCTCATCTCAGCTAGGAAGTGACAATGGACACCAGCAAAGCCAAATGACATATCCTTCCATGTGGCCACTGTGTGTGCAGGACTGTGTCCCTCATCATGTTAGTGGAGAAAGGGGTGGCACCCAAGAGGAAGGGAAGGTGGGATTCCCTGCTCTTGAGGAGAAGCTGGCCTGTCTTTGGGAATGGCCCACACATAAAAGAGAGTTGGGAAGCCACAGAAAAACAGTGGTTAGCTCAGGGATTGCGACTCAGGGTGCAGGGCCTGGGATGTCCTCTCAAGCACAAGGGAACAGCCTGGTCATCTTCCTTGCACCTCCTTCTCCTTCACTGCCTCTTCCCCAGGTAGAAACAAGATGCCTGCCCCCCAAACCTACATTTGTCCTCACTCTGAAAGGACACAGAAGGAGATAAGACTGCAGGGTCAGGCCGTGTGGGCGCGTCGGAGGGGTTGGGCATAGGGTGAGCCCAGGCCTCTGGCATGGGCTCCCATTTCCCTGTTTCCCAGGAGTGTTCCACAGAAGGTATCACTGGGAATCTGCCCTCCCAGAGATTCCCAGAGGTCTGGAGGGGACAGCGTATCAGCGGTTGTGTAAACTGAGGCATGGAGAGGTTGGATTGAGTTGTAAGGCTAGAAGTGGCAGAGCTGGCATTTGAACCCACCTCTGTGTGACCTCACGCCTTTTAACTCCACCTTTGGGCCATGCTGGGAGTTGTGTAAATGCAGCAGAAGGCAGAATGCAGCTCACCAGCAAACTCGGCTGCTGGTAGGACAGGCTGCAGGGAGGTCAGAGGTCACCACTTCCCTCTCTTTGCTTCTCAGTAGGAGTCATCCCGACATCCCTTCAGAGAAAGGAGCAGGGAAGGAGGATAGCCCAGCACTTACTCCCTTGGTGATGTCTGATGGGACCCCCCTGAGCCCCACACTTAGGCTTGAGGTGACCCCCCAGAGCTGTGGTTGTGAATATCCCCGAGCCCCTGCTCAAGGTCACACTTGTTCCCCTAGTGTCTAAGACAGGGAGGAGGAAAGGGGAAGAGGCCCTCTGAGGCCCCAGGAGCATGGGCTGGCAGACAGGCCAGCACAGCCTGACTTGGGCTGCCCGGCTCTCCGCCTGTGTGAGCTTGCCCCCGTCTCAGTTCCCCAGTCCCTTCTGACACTATGATGCTTCATGAGTGTCCTTTACATGCTCTAGCCCGCAGCTCCGTGTGGGGAGATGGCCTGCATGTGTGGCTGGTGGGAGAAGGGGCCTGCAGGTAGAAGAACGTTGCTGGCACCGCCGGTGCTGCCTTGTGCATGAGCTTGCAGACACCATCCGGAAGTCAGCTCTCCACCCCCACCCCTTCTCCAGAAGAGGAGAGACTCCCCCATCAGTAGACAAAGAGAAAGAGAAGAAGGAGATCTCTAATCCTCCGGCCTGGTCAGGGCAGTCCATGGGGTTGTAAATTAGGAGGGCTAGATGATTGTCTGGGAGGGCCTCCAGAGGAGGGGTGGCTGAGAGTTTTGTTGTTGTGGGCACAGAGGGCTGGAGCAAGCAGCCACTTTGCACTGGACACATGCAGCAGGAAGCTTGGGGCTGGCACGAGGCCCTGGCCCCACCTAAGATGCTCTTGGAGAAAGGGCCCAGGACTCAGTAGAGGGGCTGAGTCTGCTGTGATGGATGGGAGGAGGCCAGCAGGTTCTTTTCTTGTGATTTTGTGTGTGTGAGTGTGTGTGTGTGTGTGTGTGTGTTGAATGTGTGTTGTGCATGTGGGGATATGGATATATTGGTGGGTGTGCTTGTGCTGTCTTGGGGTGGTGATGCTGTATGTATATCTGCAAGTTACCTTAATTTTTCAGGTGTAGGTAGCTGCGGGTGCATGTATCCCTCTGTGCCTGTGTGTATGTGTTGGCGTGTGTGTCTTGGGCTATGGCTGTCTTGGTATGAGAGAGGATGTGCCTGTGTTGAGTATGTGTATTGATGTGTGCACAGGTGACAGTGACTTGGGATGTGAATGTCAGTATCTTTGTGGTTATTGGGAAGTGTTAGGATGTGGCATTTGGGTGTGCAATTATGTTGCTGTGTTGGCATGGGATGGGGTGTGTGTTGTGTGGATAAGGATGTGTGTGTTGTGATGGGTGTATCCATATGCATTTGCCTGTGTTGGAATGGGATAGGGTGTGTGTTGTGTGGATAAGGATGTGTGTGTTGGGATGCATGTATCCATATGCATTTGCCTGTGTTGGAATGGAATGGTGTGAGTGTTGTGTGGATAAGGATGTGTGTGTTGGGATGGGTGTATCCATATGTATTTGTCTGTGTTGGCATGGGATGGGTGTGTGTTGTGTGGATAAGGATGTGTTTGCTGGGATGGGCGTATCCGTATGCATTTGCCTGTGTTGGAATGGGATGGGGTGTGTGTTGTGTGGATAAGGATGTGTGTGTTGAGATGCCTGTATCCGTACGCATTTGCCTGTGTTGGAATGGGATGGGGTGTGTGTTGTGTGGATAAGGATGTGTGTGTTGGGATGCGTGTATCTGTATGCATTTGCCTGTGTTGGCATGGATTGGGGGTGCATGTGTGTTGCATATCATGATGGCTTATTATTACATAGGGTGGATTTGACCTCCCCCAAGGACTATGACCTTCAACTTTCCTTAGAGGAGAGGTATCTGGGTTCTGAGACTGTCCTTGCCCCTTTTTCCAAAACCTTCGCTCATCACTAGAGGGGTCTTCCCTCCCTAATGCTGGCTCAGCCTCAGGTGGAAGATCTGGCTTTTGGGGTGCAAGTTGGGAAATGCAGAAAGCCCTGCCTTCCAGTATGCAGCTGTGGCCTCTCCAGCCTCAAGCACCTCCTGGAAGAAGCTGGGGCTTGAGGCTCTGGGGTCCCCATTCAGGGAGCCTCTGTTCTGGAGCTCAGCCAGCCTTGTGCCCGGAGGAGGTCCGTGAGCTCCATGAGGCAGGGGTTGTGTTTTCTTCAGCCGTCTTTCCATCATGCTTCCCTGCACGGGGCATAGAGCACAGCAGATGTCAGGGAATGTGGTCAACTTATACAGAATGAAATGAAATGCCTTCTCTCAGCACAAAAGGCACTTTGCCCAGCAGCCAACTGGGATTTAGTCCTTCCCACCGCTCTTCCTGTAAGAACCTAAATTTACAGCACAGGGCCTGCCACCGTAGACTTTTGGTGGGGGTTATTGTGAGCTGGGCAGGTTACCAGGTGCATGAGGGAGCGTGGGGGTTTGAGATGGGGTGCAGGCATGGTGGTGTGGCTCGGGGATGAAACCTCATGGTGATGTGTTCTGTTTGCTGTCAGCATCCTCGGGACCCCCTCTCAGGGACAGTGGTGACCTTGGCTCCATGTCCAACTTCTCCCTGGATGATTATTCTCCTTCACGAGCCTAAGAGGCGGCTCTAGGAGTAGCTGTTTTCTCTCTTGCCTCCCTCCTGTTGAAGTTCACCAACAGAGTAGCTGCCTCATTCACTTGTGCCTGTTGGAAGCCAGGGGTACAACCTTCAACTGCGGTCACTGCCTCTTAGGTCTGCGGAGTGTTTAAGGCCTAAGCCCTGTGGCCAGCACCTGCAAAGTGATCACATCGCTGCTTACGGGTTTAGCTGACCAAGTTCTATGGACACGATGAAGGATTAGGGGTGCAGGCCTGGGGCGATGGGGGTGGAAGTGAGTCTGACTGAGTTTACCACAAGGCAGGGATTTCAGAAAGGCACCCACACATTCTGCAGCCAGCTGGGGGTGTCGACCAGAGCCTGGGGACCAGACGGCGCTGGGCCCTCGAGGGGTAAAGGTCAATCAGCTTTTCCTGACCTCTGCATGCACATAACATAGGAATCTCCCTTTCCTGAAATTCCAACACATCTTCTCCCAGCCATTTCATAAGGTCAGAAAGAACAAATTTCAAGAATAAGAAGGTAGTGGGTTAGGGGAGTCATGAATTGGATGAAAATCATGGGATCATGATTTTCCTGGAAATCACCAAGACCCCAAGTGGCAGCTCCGCCAGCTTCTGCTTGGAAATGTGTGCAGCCAGGTGCATTGGGGTCAATGGTCCTTTTTTGGTTAGTGGTTGATGACACGCTGTCATCTCCAGGAAGTAGGTCCCATGGGAAGAATGGCACATGGGTCCAGGAGACTATTCAGGGGAGAGAGAGCCTGAGCACAGGAGAAAGGGCAGAACATGAGTGCCCAGGAGGGAGAGGGCAAAGCGGGGTCCATCAGGGTGGGGCTCCTCCTCCTGCCCGAGTTCCTTACCAGGAAGCACAAGGTTCTGTGGAGGCCTAGAGGGCCCCTTTGATGGCTGTGGCTCTTCGGGGAATTTGGATGGAAAGTGGCTGGAACCCCCAAGGGATGCAGCACTCTGGAGAACAGGGACTGCCTGATGAGAACTGGGGCCGTCGGGGTTGATGAGAGAGCAGTGATGTCAGCCCAGGCAACAGAGTGGTCATTGGAACCATATTGTTTCCACGCTTAGAATCCCCCAGTGACTTCCCATTCATGAAGTACGGAGTTAAATCTGTGGCGGACAAGGCCCCATCACCTCCCACTCTCCCTGGTCTCACTCTGCTGAGGCCCTGCCACCTTGCCTCTATTCTCATTCCCTGAAGCCAGCCCTGTAGTGGCCTCAGCATTGCCTGCTGCTCTCTCAGGCCTGCTCTCCCCGCAGACCATCCTGTTACTGGCTTCATCTCACCTTCACCTCAACGCCACTTCCTCTGGGAGGCCTTTCCAGGGACCTTAGTAGGAACTATCCCTCCCCAGTCACCCCCTGAAGATGTTTCTCTGTAGGATTTGCATCTCTGAGGTGTTTGGAGGGCACCTTGTTCACTCTTCCTGGTTTTCTTCTTCACTCATTCATTCATTTTCTTTCTTGTGTATTTGTTGACTTGCCCCTGGTGTGAGCGCCAGGAGAGCAGGGTTGGTCCCTTATCACATCGCCAGCACCCACGGCAGTGCCTGGCACATAATACAGACTCAGTAAACACTTTTTTAAAATGTGTGGTAAAATACACGTAACAGGTTGGGTGTGGTGGCTTAGGCCTGGAATCCTGGTGCTTTGGGAGGCCAAGGCAGGAGGATCACTTGAGCCCAGGACTTTAAGACCAGCCTGGCCAACATGGCAAAATATCATGTCTATAAAAATTATTTTATTTTATTTTATTATTTTATTTTATTTTTGAGATGGAGTCTTGCTCTGTTGCCCAGGCTGGAGTGCAGTGGTGCGATCTCGGCTCACTGCAAGCTCCACCTCCCAGGTTCATGCCATTCTCCTGTCTCAGCCTCCCGAGTAGCTGGGACTACAGGCACCCGCCACCACACCCAGCTAATTTTTTATATTTTTATTAGAGATGGGGTTTCACCGCATTAGCCAGGATGGTCTCGATCTCCTGACCTTGTGATCCGACCACCTCGGCCTCCCAAAATGCTGGGATTACAGGCATGAGCCACCGTGCCTGGCAAAGAATTTTTTAAAAAATTAGCTGGGTCTGGTGGTGGGCACCTATGGTCTCAGCTACTCAGAAGGGAGGAGGCTGAGGTGGGAGGATCATTGGAGCCCAGGAGGTAGAGACTGCAGTGAGCAATGATCGTTCCACTGCATTCCAGCCTGGGCGACACAATGAGACCCTGTCTAAAAAAAAAATACATATAACATAGAATTTACCATTTTAGGCTGGACACCATGGCTCACGTCTGTAATCCCAGCACTCTGGGAGACTGAAGCAGGAGGATCACTTGATCCCAGGAGTTCAAGACCAGCTGGGGCAACAAAGCGAAACTCCATTGCTGCAAAAAAAAAAAAACCCAAACCAAACCAAAACAAAAATCAGCTGGGTGTGATGGTGCATGCCTGTAGTTGTAGCTACTCAGGAGGCTGAGGTAGGAGGATTGCTTGAGCCCAGGAGGTTGAGGCTGCAGTGAGCTGAGATATACCATTGCACTCCAGCTTTGGTGACAGAGTGAAACCCTGTTAGAAAGAAAGAAAGAAAGAAAGAAAGAGAGAGAGAGAGAGAGAAAGAAAAGAGAACTTACCATTTTAACTGTTTTTTTTTTGTTTTTTGTTTTGAGATGGAGTTTTGCTCTGTTGTCCAGTCTAAGAAAGAAAAAGAAGGAAAGGAAGGTAGGAAGGAAGGAAGGAAGGAGGGAGGGAGGGAAGGAAGAAAGGAGGGAAGGAAGGAAGGAAGGAAGGAAGGAAGGAAGGAAGGAAGGAAGGAAGGAAGGAAGGGAAGGAAACTTACCATTTTAACCATTTTTTTTGTTTTTTGTTTTGAGGTGGAGTTTTGCTCTTGTTGCCTAGGCTAGAGTGCAGTGGCACGATCTCGGCTCACTGCAAACTCTGCCTTCTGGTTTTAAGCGATTCTCTTGCCTCAGCCTCCCAAGTAGCTGGGATTACAGGTGCCCACCGCCACACCTGGCTAATTTTTGTATTTTTAGTAGAAATGGAGTTTCACCATGTTGGCCAGGCTGGTCTCGAACTCCTGACCTCGTGATCCTCCGCCTCTGCCTCCCAAAGTGCTGGGATTACAGGCATGAGCCACTGCACCCAGCCTTAACCATTTTTAAGAGCACGATTTGTGGTATGAGCTACATGCACATGGTTATGTTATCATCAATACCACCCATCCATAGAACCCTTCTCCTCTGGCAAAACTGACACTCTGTACCCATTCACCACAACTCCCCATTTCTCTCGCCCCCCAGCACTTGGCAACCACCCTTCTACTTTCCATGTATGGATTTGAGTACTCTAAGTACCACATATAAGTAGAATCACACAGTAATTGTCCTTCCATGTCTGGCTTATTTTGCTTAGCATGGCCTCCTCAAGATTCATTCATGTTGCAGCCTGTGACAGATTTCCTTCCTTTTTACGGCTGTATAGTATTCTATTGTATGCATATCCCGAATTTTCTTTATCCAATTCATCTGCTGATGGTGTGTCCTTTTGGCTGTTTCAGTACACACTTGAATAAATGAATGACGACAAGGAGGGTGGATCTCTGCCTCCCTTCCCCTGCACAAGACAGGAGTGGCAGCTTTGAACCCATGAAGGCCATTCATTCATGGATTGTATCCTATGCTACTGGCTCTCCAGAGGCCAGCGGGACCTCTTTCTGCAGTAATGTGCTGTGCTATGGGGTCTGGACCTTGGCCAAGATACTGAGCATTTCTGAGGGAGGGTTTTGGCGTCAGGAATGGGCCTCTGCTCAGACCTTAAGCCACTGGGTAGCTACTGTGTACCCTGAGGGGGTCACAGCCCTTTCCACAGCACCTGGAGCAGAGGCACCCTGGTATAGCTCCCTCTCCTAACCCTGCAAGGCAAGCTGTGCCACAGCCCTGGCCGCACAGCGGCCTGTGTGAGCCCAGTGCTCTGCCATCCGGGAAGGAGGTGAGGGAAGGGGAGGGTGTGACCCCACAGTGCCTGGAGCTCATGCTGGGAGTGAGTGAGCACAAACAGGCACCAGCGCCCCGTGAAAAATGTGTCACCGCCCACGACAAGATACGCTGCGTGGTTTCTGTAGGAAACTGAAATTCCAGAAAACAACCCCTGTGGTCCAGTGTGTTTTACTGGAAGTTCAGACCTCCCCTTCAAGCTTGCCTTGTGCCTTTTAGAAACAGAATCTCTGTCTCACTCCCCAACCCAGCCTAGGTTAATGCTGAGACCAGGGCAAAGAGGAGGACTTGGCGATAAGGCTTGGGGCTGGGAAGATGCTGTGATTCACTTTGATGTCTTGGAGGGGCAGGTTGTGAGGATGGAATGAGGAAGGGGAAGACCCCAGCTCGAACGCCAAGCTTCGGTGGGCCTGGTGGGCTGGCCAAGTGTCATAGCTGCTGCCTGCATGGGGTCCTGTGTGCCACGCCAGGCACAGGGCAGGTGCTGGCCAAGTGGATCTCCCCCGCCACTCTGGCAGTTCATAAACTGGGACCTGGGGCGAGGGGTCTGCATTGAGCTGGGAACACAAACCTCAAGGCCCGACTTGTCCAGATGTCACTTGGTGGTATGGACTCTGCAGGGGTTCGTGAGGGCTGTGGGGTTCTTGATGGTGGTTGGGAGAGCTGGGAAGGCACGGAGCAGCATGGAGGGATGGAGATATGGTCTTGGGGGAAGCTGGTATGCTGGACAGAAGCAGCAAATGTCGTGAGTGCAGAGTAGAGCAGCGCTTGGGAGGGCCTGGGCACCGATGCCCATCGACACCTAGGCAGAGATGGTGTGGACCCTGAGATCAACAGGGAGAAGAGGCATGGGGAGCTTTGGCTTTGGGGGTGCAGGTGCAGAGAGGGATTCCAGGCAGGAGTGTGCTCATCCCATTCCCACCTGAGAATGTCCAGAGGCGATGAGGATTGTCACACCCACCCCATAAAGGGGGGCCCCTCCAGGCCTCCTGGGGCTTTCTCCCTTCCCTGGCACCTGGAAGACCCAGATACCCATGACCCAGGGCCCTGGGGGACTGCTGCAGACCCACTCCCTGCAGCAGGATGTCCCCTGCAACATGGTGCTGTTGACCAAGCCAAGTCTCCAAACATAGACATAAAAGAAAGGAATGACCGGGCACGGTAGCTCACGCCTGTAATCCCAGCACTTTGGGAGGCCGAGGCAGGTGGATCACGAGGTCAGGAGGTCGAGACCATCCTGGCTAACATGGTGAAACCCCATCTCTACTAAAAGCACAAAAAATTAGCCGGGCGTGGTGGTGGGCCTGTAGTCCCAGTTACTCAGGAGGCTGAGGCAGGAGGATGGCATGAACCCAGAAGGCGGAGCTTGCAGTGAGCCGAGATCGTGCCACTGCACTCCAGCCTGGGCAACAGAGTGAGACTCCATCTCAAAAAAAAAGAGAGGAAGAGGAACATGGCAGGAGTCCCCAGCCTGCTGCAGGCTTTATCACACCTCTGCTTGCCCATTAGTTACCAGGAAAAATCTTCCTCCTCAAAGGGAGAGCATTACAAGCCAATACACCTGGATCCCTATTCTATTTCTGGGGTGCCCAACAACCCTTGGCTGATAGAGGCACATTCCCCAAAGGGTATTTGGTAGTTCTCAATTAATGGAATGAAGCCATGCACAGGTGTACCCATTCCACACCTGGGTATTCCACACCTGGGCACCCTGCTCCTCTGGGGACGCTCAGCCTGGCTTACAGCTCCCACCGCCCACCTGCCTATGTCCATCATGGGTGTGATAGGAGAGGGCACCTCAGAGCCAGCCAGGGATGCCAGAGGTGGATGGTGCCTGTCCTGGAATCTCGGTGCAGGTTGTAGAGGGGATAGAGTGAAGTCAGCTTCACCCAGACTGTCCCCAGCCCACCCCCACATCTTCCCCACATGCTATTCACTGCTAGAAACATAATATTTAGCTGACGGCAAGGAAGCCAGAGAAATCAGCAGCAACAGTGGTCTCCAGGGGGAGAGATGTAACCAAAAAACAAAGTGTACGAGTTAGAGTCAATTCCAGAGCCTGTGGCTGCTTCAAGCTGCCGTGGACAGCCTCCTCCCAGGTGAGTCCTGAGGGAGGGGTTTGGGGAGGAGGCTGTGCGATTCCAGGGGGAGCAGGAGGCTTTCTGTCTGCCATCTTCCCTATGATTTTTGGCTTGTTGGTACTAGTTTCTTTAGCTACACCCTTTTTTGAGGAAGGGAGGCTTAGAATAAATTTCTAATTTTTGAATAGTGTTAGATTTGCAGAAAAGTTGCAAGAAGAGTCCAAATCTTCTTATACTCCATGCCCAGCTTCCCCTGTTGTTAATATCACTGTGGTACTAATATCACAACACATGAAGCAATGTTGATGTTATCATTAACCAAAGCTTATACTTTACTCAGATTTCCTTAGTTTTTACCTAATGTCCTTTGGTCTAGGATCTCATCCATAATACCACATTACATTTAGTTTTTTTTTTTTTTTAATTAATAAACTTTGTTTTTTAAGAGAAGTTTCAGATTTACAGAAACATTGAGTGGAAAGTACAAGGGGTGGCCATATGCCTCCGACCCCACACCTCCCCCACTAATGGACAACCTGTGATAGTTTCTTAGACTTTCCTTGTTTTTGATGACCTCAAGACAGTCTTTGAGGAGTCCTGGACGGGTATTTTGTAGACTGTCTTTTTTTTTTTTTTTTTTGAGATGGAGTCTCGCTCTATCGCCCAGGCTGGAGTGCAGTGGTGTGGTCTCGGCTCACTGCAGCCTCCACCTCCCTGGTTCAAGCAATTCTCCTGCCTCAGTCTCCTGAGTAGCTGGGATTATAGGTGCATGCCACCACGTCCAGCTACTCTTTTTGTATTTTTAGTAGAGATGGGGTTTCACCATGTTGTCCAAACTGGTCTCAAACTCCTGACCTCAGACAATCTGCCTGCCTCAGCTTACCAAAGTGCTGGGAGTACAGGCATGAGCCACTGCGCCCGGCCTTTTTTTTTTTTTTTTAGAGATTGGGTCTCGCTATGTTGCCCAGGCTTATCTCAAACACCTGGGCTCAAGCAATCCTCCCACCTCGTCCTCCCAAAGTGCTGGGATTACAGGTGTACGCCACCAGGCCTGGCTTAGACCGTTTATCAGATGTTCTTCTCATGGTTAGACTGGAGTTATGGGAGGAAGTTTGTGAGGAAGGCCAGGGAGATAAAGGACCATTCTCATCACATCGTGTCCTATTAATCTGGCTTATCACTGATAATGTTGATCTTGGTCACCTGGCTGAGGTAGTGTCTGTCAGGTTTCTACGCAGGAAAGCCACAGCTGTTTTAAAGATAATTAACAGGCAGGACAAGCTAAATAATTTATAGAGCTCAGTGCAAAATGCAAATGTGGGGCCCACTGTTCAGTCACAAAGAATTTCAAGGCAGAAATAGAACATTAAACCAAATTCAGGGTGCTTTTAGGCAGGGGCTCCTGGGTGACGTGCACAGGTCGCAGTCCCATGAGACTGGTCTTGTTTGCAGGGCAATTGTCAGATCACCCAGATGCCCCTAGAGCTCTTTCTGCATGGAGAGAGAAGGCCTGTGCCAGCTGTCCTTGATCCCTGGACAGTTGGAAGGGGCAGATGGCTGAGGAGGATCCTAGGTACCCATAGCCATGTGGGCAAAACAGTATCACGGGCAGAGGATGTCATGAACATCACAGGTGTCTGCAGAGGCCCTGCTGAGGCACCTGCCTGGTAACATGAAAAACTTGACCGGAGGTCTGCCTGGATAGAGAGAGAATGGTTGGGTGTGTGCAGGAGCCAGTGGTTAGTAACAAACAGCAGCAACTCTGTAATTTTTTTTTAAATGCTACTTTTATTTTTAAGTTTTTTTAAAATTATTTTCTTCTTTTTCTCAGTGCTCAAAGCAGCATTTTTTTTTTCTGGAACACCTTAGAATAGCTTATTTACCAAATGCTACATGAGCCTTTATGCTGGGCAAACCGAGGAGCTCCATTAGAGGGGGACACCTGGCCTTGACCGCCCCCATCCCTACAGCTTTCTTGTTAGGAGAGGAGGGCATCGCGCTACCTGGTCTCAGGTGCATACCTGCGGAAGCAGAGTCCTCACGATAGCAGGGAGAAGAGTGTAGGGAGAAGAGTGTACAGCTGCCAACCGGCTTCTCCTTGCTATTATTCACCCAGCTGTTTAGAGAAGGAGAGAGTATTTCTAATCAGCCATATGGCATGGAGTTTTATTTGCCTTGGTAAGTTAAAATGTACATTATTGGTCAGCATCTTGCATGCAAATTTTGACATTGCATTCCAGGAGTACCTGCGGAAGAGAGTGGCGGCAGGTCGGATCTGTGTAATTACATTGCTTTGTAGGCTTGTAACATTGCCATCACTAACGATGCCCGGTATCTCACTGCGACGGCTGCCTGGGGATATTGCCGTGAGACTCCCGTAGCCAGAGAAAGATTATGTAAACATGTGTGATCTCAAAAGTGAGTAATGAAGTTGAGTACTTGTTGCAAAAATTAATAAATGGCTGGTTTACACGTGATGGAGGAGTCCCTTGTGTGAAAACTGAGTCACCCAGTGTAGTGATGGATAAACGCACTTCGAGGCACAGGTGACTTAAAGAAATTCATCCTTTTCTCTACTGATGTGATCAAATGGACAATTGCAGTCCACACCTTTCACTCCCTACTTGACTAATATGAAATCATCACGAATATATCTTTCTCCTGCTCTTGGCCTGTCAGAATCTTAACTCTTGCTTCAAAGGATGGCATGTCAGCTCTATGGGGTTACCTGCAGTTTCTGGAATGGTCTATGTTGTCCAATGCTGCAAGGAAGTGCTCCAAGGTGGCCTTGGACCGATCTGATTCTGCCCCCTTTCTCACTTGTAGTTCTCAAGAATAAGGGTAGAGGCCGGGTGAGGTGGCTCACACCTGTAATCCCAGCACCTTGGGAAGCTGAGGTGGGCAGATCACCTGAGGTCAGGAGTTCGAGACCAGCCTGGCCAACATGGTGTAAACCGATCTCTACTAAGAATACAAAAAAAAAAAAAAAAAAATTAGCCGGGCGTGGTGGCACACACCTATAGTTCCTGCTACTTGGGAGGCTAAGCCAGGAGAACTGCTTGAACCCAGGAGGTGGAGGTTGCAGTGAGCCAAGATCATGTCACTGCACTCCAGCCTGGGTGACAGAGTGAGACTCCATCTCATAATAATAATAGTAATAATAATAATAATAATGGTAGAATGTTCTGGGGATATAACATCTTGAGATTAGGGGGAGCTGGCCAAAACACCCTGGCCTCTGATACAGTTCCCCCTAGAAATTAGATATCCTTTGGTGTTTTAGCCCAGCGTGTCCCATGGCCCCAGAGTATGCAACCCTGGGGGCTGCTTTTCCAAGACCCTCAGTTGTAGTGCAAGTGGCTTATACAGACAAGACTACATCCACCCCAGGAAGCTTTCTTGAGCCTTAGGGGACCCACTTGCAATAAATCTTAGGCTTCTGTCCACCTTGCTGCCTATCTGTAAGTAACAAATCTGCTTCACATAACCTGTTGCATGTATTCTGTGTCATTGAACTTGGACAGGCTGGCACCCATCCTCACACATGCCTCCAGGCCTTTACACATGCAATTTGTTCACTCATATCCTTGGAGCCGCTACAATGTATCCTGAAGTTATTACTCACCTACTAAATGTCCTTTGAGTCACAGCTCAAGTGCCACCTGCTCAGAGGAGACGTCCCGCCCATCCTGTCTGGAAAATTAACCCCCTGCCCTTCTGGCCCATCCTTCCTTGATGATGCTTACCTTTCTGTTTTAGCTGTCTCTCCTCCAGGGATGAATGTTCGTGAAATCAAACTGACCAGGGTCCAGATCTCAGTTCCACCAGGCACCAGCTTGTGTGGCCTTCAGCAAGATACTTTCTGAACCTCAAATGTGCTGTCTGTACAATGGGAAAACACTAGTTTCTAGTTTGTAAAGCTGTTAGGATGAGATGATGTGCCTGGCCCATAGTAGCTGCTCAGTGAATATTTGTTCCGACATGGATGAAGGAAGTGAGACTTTTGTGATGTCTGACTATTTTTAGACTGGAGAGGAAGAGGGAGGCATATGGGAAAGAAGGCATGGCAGAGACAAAGGTGAAGCACATTGGTGAGCTAGGTGTGTTTAGTGGATGTTGACGCCATGTGGTTGGGAATGTGCTGGGAACCCTGGAAAAGGAGACTAGGGCCAGACTGTGGAAGGCCTTGGACGCCAGGCAAGGATGACATCCTGCAAGCTGGGACCAGCTAGAGGCTCATAAACCCTCTTTCTCTCTCTCTCTCTCTCTGTGTGTGTGTGTGTGAAATGATTAGGGGGTTTATAGCATGGCTACCCTGTGAGCACTGTGTAGGGCTCCATATTGTTATCTGGGTCTTGTTCCTCACGTTTTCCACTCCCTCAGACACCCGCCCTTTTCCCCACCTCCTCCAGCAGACATTTGTGGACCTCCTGGGTCCCAGACAGCAGTGTGGCCGGGTCCTGTGTGAACTCCCCCAACCCCTCCCCATCACTCTGTCGGGGTGAAAGCACTGATGTGTTGTCAAGGGAGGATATTACACGAAGCCCCTGAAGTGGTACATTAAAGCAGTTTGGATTTTCTCTTACTGCTAACATTGATTACTATTAATTAAGGTTGATATTTACAATCAGAGGGAGTACAGGAGCAGATCATTTTTTATTAATCACTATTCTGGATTCATCATCAGTCATCATTATCAAAATATTCAGACAGTGGACAGTGGCTGAGTTTTAAAACTCAAGTAAATGATAAAATTAAACTACATTAGAGAGTATATGTTCTCTGTGACCTCTGTCTTTCCTAGTTTTCCCTCTTGTCCCCCAATGGTCTCAGCCTCCTGCTGTGCATTCTCCCCCCACATCCCCCCTTTCCTCTCTCCTACCTGTCCCTTCCCTTCCTCTCTCTCTCCTTTCTTCCTTTTCTTCACTATAAACAGCACTACCCTATAATTCTGCAGTTTGCTTTTTTCTTTCAACCATGTGGCTTCAAGATAACCTTATTTTTGCGTTATTGTTGTTGTTTGGTTTTTTATTTTGAGATCAAGTCTTGCTCTGTCACCCAGGCTGGAGTGCAGTGGCACAATCTCAGCTCACTGCAACCTTCGTCTCCCAGGTTCAAGCGATTCTCCTGCCTCAGCCTCCCGAGTAGCTGGGATTACAGGCATGCACCATCATGCCCGGATAATTTTTTGTAGTTTTAGTAGAGACAGGGTTTGACTCAGATTTCTCTTAGCCCTGTTCCTGTCCGTGTAACATAGCCACTGGTCATGGTGGCTCACGTCTATAATCCCAGCACTTTGAAAAGCTGAGAGGGAGGATTCTTTGAGACCAGGAGTTCAAGAACAAGCCTGGACAACATAGTAAGACCCTATCTCTAGCAAAAAAATTAAAAAATATAAGAAGAAGTATAACAGGCCATAAAATAGATATGGCCTGGTATTTTGTATGTATTTTTAGCCATTCCCCAATTGGCGGGCATTTAAGTTATTCCCTCCCCTTTCTTCCCACTGCTGCCATAGTCAGTGCCACAGTAGGCATCTTGTCTGTGTCTTGGAGCAGGCAGGAAAGCAGTCTCTGGGGTAGGCATGAAGAAACGGGGGTACAGCCACAGCCCACTGGGCTCCCCAGCCCCTTCTCCATGTCCTTCCTGGACTCTAGCCAAACCCAACCCCACACGAGCCCCAGACATGGCCCCGTGTACTGGCTCTGCTGTGCTTTAGGACCAGCCGCTCCTGGAATGCTTGATGAGGGGTCCCCCTTTCTCCCCTGTCTCCCCATGTTCAGTTCCTGCCCACATCTAAAGGTATGGGGAGGTGCCTGCTCCTCCAGGGACTTAAGGTTACCTGCTTTCTCCTATGAAGCTCACCCAGGAACTTGTCACTGTAGAGTGAAATGCATTGGTAGCTTTGTTCTGATGATTTTTGAGCCCCATGAAGACGGCAACGGAGTCGAACTCATTTGTCTCTCCCCGGGTCATTACACATGACTACCAAGGGCTCGTCTTCTGAAGAACAAATGCGGCTGTTGGTTTTCCCACGTGTTAGTAAGAGAGTGAGTGGTTCTTGACATTCTTCAGCCTTTTCCTCCCTGGGGTTAGGGCTGGGGACTGGGGCTTCTCCCACCTTCTTCCCTCTGTGGCCCCAGTCATCATCCACTCCCCAGCGCACCTGGGACCCCTGAATTCGCTCTTACTGAGCTACATGAAGACTTTTGGCCAGCCGTGGTGTTAATCCGTGGACTCTGGCCATTAGCATCCTGGCATTTGGAATGAGAAAAGTGAAATTTAGGGGATCCTGGTCTTCCTTTTAGGAGTCTTTTTTTAAGTAGGTAAACAATTGTAGGTAATTTAATTTGTCTGTTAATGGCGCACATGGATTTACTAAGAGGGAAATGTCACTGGGTTGTGGACACACACTGCATATAATTCGATGAGAATCGGCCTCTGATGGGCAGCAATAAATGTCAAACTGTTCAACATTGATTGTTCGTGAAGGAATATTGCTTAACAATGAATAAAATACCTTTCTGAGTTTCCTCTATTGGCCTGACTTTAAAAGGAAATAGGGAGATGGACTCCCTCTGTGGCTCACGGCCGCTTAGGCTTGGAGGCAGGGAAGCTGCTGGGAAATAGACTGCTGGGCTTCTGTTCTCAAACAGGTCCATTTTAGTGGCTCCTCAAGCCCGCCTCCCAGAGCAGAGGGATGAATGCTTAGAGGCCCTAGTGGCTCCCCATGTGATTTGCGAACTTCTCCGGTCTCACTGGGCCTGCCTGCCTCTTGGACTCCAGGGCCTGTGGCTCTGTGGCACCCACTACTCTCCTGCTCTTTCTGTCACTCCTCAGAATGCTCCAGTGTGGTCCTGCCTTGGGGCCTTTGCACTTCCTATACTTGCTGGGTTTTTTTTTTTAATAGAGATGGGGTCTTGCTATGTTGTCCAGGCTGTACTGAAACTCCTGGCCTCAAATGATCCTTCTGCCTTGGCCTCCCAAACTACTGGGATTACAGGCATGAGCCATGGTAACTAGCCTATATTTTCTTTGTTAAGGTCCACTTGTCTTTACTTTTCCCTGACCACCCATCCAATGTCAAAGCTCATCTTGGTTGTGCCCTTATTCTGTCTGTCCCGAATCATGACATCACCCTTATGTATTTAACTATTTGGTATTCTTTTATTTCCATTGTACTGACACGTTCTCCATCTCCCCACTAGAATGCAGGTTCTATGAGGGCAGGAATGGTGTCTGTTTTGTCCAGTTAGGTAGCCCAGGGCCTAGAGTAGCTCATGATACAGGAATGATATACATTCTTCATGATATTCATACACAGCAGTAAGTACTGATGGACCCAGTGTGTTGAATGAATTTCTGCGGAGTCGTATGACATGCATGCATTTTATGAAACAGCAACCTCCCAAGACATGAAAAAAATATGCTTGAGGTTTCTTTCAAATGAATCTCCCTTTAAGCAGAAATTTCTGCTTTGTGGCGTGAAGAAAGCAGAGTATTCCAGCAGTGGTTGGTTCCTTCTACTTTTTAGACAACCCAGTAATTTGTTTGGAGTGTTGTTGGGTCAGGGGGTTCTCACTGACAGGGGCTGTGTCTGTCCCCTCTGGAAACTGAAATCTCCTCCACTGTGCTTTGCTGAAGACAGCAGTGGCTGGGCACAATGATGGCAAACTCTTGAGCTTATCAGAAGAATAAAAGGACTTAAGTGAAGTGGAGATTTCTTGGTAGTTATCACCTTCTAGAATAAAAAGAAAACCTGATTCTTTCCTTCATCTCAGGGGATCCTCTATTGTTATAAGTGACCTCGGTGAGGGAAGAGAGTTTTCTTACTCTACAGAAATAAAAATCTGTCTGCTTTCTCTAGCACTGAAGAAAAATAGTCCTTTTTTCCTTTTTCTTTTTAGAAAAGCACCTTGCAGCTTCTGATGATTGAGGACGGGGTGGGATCCTCCATTGCCCAACCCCTTAGCTCCACCACTCTGCAGACCTCGGCGTCCTTGAAGGAGCTCGGGAACAGAGATCAGCATGTGTGGGTCAGGCTGCTGATGGCTCACATTTAAGAAAGATGGTTCATGGATAATCCTTGGTGTTTTTTTTTTTTTTTTTCCAGGATAAAGTTTTATGTTTGACCCTGAGAACCAGATATTAAGAAATATATGCTATGAAGTCATTTTGGCTGATTTAATCTAAACTTCCTGTATGCTCTTAGGCAGAGGTTTCAAGGTTGGGAGGGTCTTACGATCTAACTCTGCCCCACGCGGGGTTGAGGAATGCTGTGGGGCTCCGCCAGCTTCTATTTGTATAAGTCCGGGGTAGGGGGCTTCCTGCTGTCTCTTGAGGGGGCCCATTCAGAGCCTGAGGAGCTCTGATCTTAGAAAGCCTTTCAGATGGGGGGATCCTAGTGAAGCTCATGGGTTTTGGGCTCAGTCAGGCATGGTCTGAGTCTCAGCTCTGTACACATAAACTGCTGGATCCCCAGCCAAGTCTGATCCCTTATGTGTATACCGGGGAATAATAGTACTTACCTTAGATGACTATTGTGAGAATTAAATGATGATTATCTTCCTTCTAAACAACAGCAGAGCACATAGCAGGCACTCAGTAAATGCTCTCTCTCTTTTTAATATTGCCCTGAAATGTGCATGGTCCCAGGATTCCTTGGGGTCCTGTAAGTCGAACTGGATTCTCCCAAGGCCAAGGGACAAAATGTGGTATAGCTTCGAGTCTTGAGCCTTGTCTGCTTTTCTTATTCTGTGCCCATCTGAACCAATGCACTTAGTGCACAGGACCTGCTGGGTTGACCAACGATGCATCATCTGTGTAGGCTCAGAGGGGCTCCCTCTCCTTTTGGAAACTCATCCTTCCGAGGCCATTTTTGCCTGTCTGGGGACCACGGATTCTCTGGTTCCCACTGAGTTACTCATCACTGTCCAATCCCTCAAGTCCTTTCTCAGAGGCCTGGTGAAGCCCTGCCCTCTCCCCAGTCCTGCATTGCCACTCTGGGATTGTGTATCCCATATCAGTTAGGACAACACTGACCGCTCTTATAAATACACCCTAACATCTCAGTATCAAGACACCACAGTTTACTTTTCTCTCTCTCATCCGGAGCTCAATCGGTGTTGGGCACAAGCAGCTTTTATTTAGGGACCAGGCCAGTGGAAGCCTCATCATTTTCAGTATACAGTTTCCTGGGTCACCCAGGACATTGAGATCCAGCTGTCAGGAAAAGAGAGCACCATGAGAATGGAGCAAGAGACTCTTCTAAGAAGTAGCAGCCTTCATTTTGTCCAAATTCCACCGGCTGAAAGTCAGTCACGTGGCCCCAGCTAAATCAGATAAGCCTGGAAAATATCTGCGGTTGGGAAACTGCTTCCAGCAACGACCCTAGGTCGTGGAAGGAGACAGGAATTGCTAGTTGGCTGCTGTTTCGACTACAGACCAGATGTGGAAAAGGTCAACAACTGTTTGTTTAATTGCATCACTCATTTTCCCCTTGGCCTGGTGGGTCAGGGTGCTGTGAGGGATTCCTTCATTCAGGGGCCCTCACGCACACCCCACTTCCCCAGCACTGGCCACCTGCGCTTGTTCCATTCATGCCTGTTGGGTTTTTGTCCCTGTCACTGATAAAAAGCAGTCCACGAGGCAGCCTCGGGACATGTGCCCTGCCACATCCCAGGGTGAGAGTCCCTCCCTTCCTTGTGACCTCAGCACTTGTTTCTGTACCCTTTGGGTATGGCTGGTTAACCAGCCACTGATCCACTTCTTTGCCTTGCTTCAGTTTCACATTTCTCTTTTTTATCTCCGTGGAAATCAAAATGCCCTGCTGAGATGCAGACACCTGATGTCTAATGCAGGTCTCGGTCCCCAGCCTTCAGGGCTGGTTCCAAGGGAGCCCGCGCTGGGCTCTGGGGATTGCTGTTCCCCCTTCTAGGCTTGCCTCAACTTTTGTGAAAAAGTAAGACCCATGCTGAAGTCAGTCTCAGGATCGATTGTCCATGACAATTAGCTTTCCCTTTCTCCACAGTTCCTCAGATATCACAGCAGCAGGTTTCAGCACTGCTTTCCCAAGCTCTCCCGGTTCCATGGTGCCAATTTCACGGGAGTGTGGAGATGAGGATTCTGCTGGAGCAGACATGTTCTTCCTGACAGTCTTTGTCATCCATCTCAGGCTCCCGTGGGTCAACAGGTCTCTCTTCCTTCCCCGGGACCTCTCCTTGCAGGGCAGACAGAACAATCCCTTCTCCTCTTCTCCTTCCCCAACGTGATGTCATTGCTTCCTGCACCAAACTATAGTTCCTTTCTCAGTCTGTTTGTTTTGCTCTGAATTGAACTTTTAAAAAGGGTTTTTTACCATCATTCTCAGCAAACTAATACAGGAACAGAAAACCAAACACCGGATGTTCTCACTCATAAGTGGGAGTTGAACAATGAGAACACATGGACACAGGGAGGGGAACATCACACACCGGGGCCTGTCGTGGGGTAGGGGGCAAGGGGAGGGAGAGCGTTAGGACAAATACCTAATGCATGCAGGGCTTAAAACCTAGATGACGGATTGATAGGTGCAGCAAACCACCATGGCACATGTATACCTATGTAACAAACCTGCACGTTCTGCACATGTATCCCAGAACTTAAAGTAAAATAAAAATAAATAAATAAATAAATAATAAATGGCTTTTTAGCCTGGGCACAGTGGCTCATGCCTGTAATCCCACCACTTTGGGAGGCCGAGGCAGGCAGATCACCTAAGGTCAGAAGTTCAAGACCAGCCTGGCCAACATGGCGAAACACCATCTCTACCAAAACTACAAAAATTAGCTGGGCATGGTGGATGCGGCTGTAATTCCAGATACTTGGGAGGCTGAGGCAGGAGAGTCGCCCGGGAGGCGGAGGCTGCAGTGAGCCGAGTTCATGTCACTGGACTCCAGCCTGGGCAACAGAGTTAGACCCTGTCTCAAAAAAAAAAAAAAAAGGGTGGGTTGGGGGGCTTTTTAGCTGCCCTTAATACTATATTTTTTCTTTCCTTGGCTTTCATTAAAGATAAGATCATTTCAAGTCCCAGTCACTTATGTCTGAGGTTCCCTAAGAACATGTTCCTTCTTGTTTCCATGTTTTATTCAAATCATCAATCAATTAATCTATTCACTTAACACATCTATGCATATGTGCATGTGTGTGTATACATGTACTTGTATGTACATACATGCGCATGAGTATGCTAGATGCCCACTATCGTCTTTTCAAATCTCATCTCTCTGGGGGAGTCACACTGGTTTTTCTGGACCCAGGCTTCTTCCCTGTCACTGGGATCTCTCTGGTTGCACAGTCGGCATTATGACACGTTTGAGAGCATCCTCATCTTTTTCTGGGTCATTTGCTTGACCAGCCTCTCGTGTCCTGGAATCCTACCTCTCTTTTCTGCAAGTATTTTGAACCCTGGTATGTTAAAATTTAGGATACACATTGGTTCGTGATGAATTACAAACATTTATTGAGTTTTTAAAAAATGCCAGGCAGTGTGCTAACTTATTAAATGGATTTAATCCTTGTAACAACTTTTTAGAATTGAGTTCTTTTTAAAAATTTTGTTGATTGATTTATTTTCATTTTTTATTTCTATAGTTTTTGGGGAACGGGTGGCTTTTGGTAACATGGGTAAGTTGTTTAGTGGTGATTTCTGAAATTGTGGTGCACCCATCACCCCAGCAGTGTACACTGTATCCAATATGTAGTCTTTTATCCCTCACCCCTCCCGCCCTCACCACCTCCCCAAAGTCCATCGTATCATTCTTACACCTTTGCCTCCTCATAACTTAGCTCCCACTGATAAGTGACAATATACGATATTTGGTTTTCCATTCCTGAGTTACTTCCCATAGAATAATGGCCTCCAACTTCATCCAAGTTGTTGCAAAAGACATTTGTTCCTTTTGATGACTGAGTAGTATTCCATGGTGTATATGTACCACATTACCTTTATACTTTCGTTGATCAGTGGGTACTTAGGTTGATTCCATATCTTTGCAATTGCAAATTGTGCTGCTATAAATGTGTGTGAATGTGTGTGTGTGTGTGTATTGTGTGTCTTTTTCATGTAATGACGTCTTTTCCTTTGGGTAGATATCCAGTATTGGGACTGCTAGGTCGAATGGTAGATCCACTTTCAGTTCTTTAAGGAATCTTCTGTTTTCCACAGTGGTTGTACTAGTTCTCGTAACAGGTAACAGCTTTCTGAGGTAGATACTGATTTTATCCTGCAGTAGAAAATGGGGATCTGAGGTTCTGAAATGTTAAGTAACTTCCCCAATGTCACACAGGAAGTGCTGGAGTCTGGATTTGAGCCGGTCTGTTTTATTCCTTCTCTGTGCTCCTAACCATTGTCCCATCACTGTGACCCCAACCTACCTAGCCTCACACACCTAGGATTTTGAGAACTCTAAGACAAACATAATTGTAGTTGTCCAAGATTCTTGCTTTTTTTTTTCTGCCTTAACTAATTCCTCCCTATTAGTTAGAACTAAATCTAGAGTTTTAAAAATATTCCTTCATTATATTCTCTACGGTCTGGAAAATGAAGTTATCATCAAGATAGGTCAAGGTCTTGTCAGATGAATGAAAACAACAGTAATGATGTATTTTCCTCCCCATTAGGTCTGATGCCTCGCTTTCCAGCCAGCTCAAAGTTCTAATGGACGGTCAGAGTGAAATGTTCTATCAGTCCCTTGTCCAGCCCCCCAGCTGGTTGAATTGGGAGTTTTGTGTTTGCAGGGGACCCTCTATTTCCCCATCTGTCTGGGTGGGCTTCAGCAAGCTTCTAGTATCAGCATCTCCATAGCGCCCTCCTCTGGGTCCACCCCTTGCTTGGTGCTGTATGCTTCTTGCTTTGGGCAGACAGGAGCCTGGGGACACCACTCCTTCACCATTTCTGTTAGGTCTGGCCTTTGGGGTCCAGAAGTCCTGGGGACAGGGGTGCCCCATGTTCTGACTCCCATCCTCCAGGCTCCAGCCCCACCCTCACTGTGAGGTTTATTTAGTGTTCTGTGTTGGCCCAGTGCCCACCTCATTGGAACTGGTGACCTCCTTGACAATTTGTTTTCTCCTGTGCATCTCCAGGCTCCTCCCACACTCTCTTCTCCTCTCTGGGTTGTACCTGTTGTACACTGTGTTCCTAGGGTGCCAGGTCAGTGAGCAAGGTGGCTCCCCTTGGCAGGTCAGCTGGCCTCCCGGAAAACATGGTCCTCTCCCCTTCTGGGAAATGCATCAGAGTCCCAGCTGGGACCTTTTCCAAGGCCTCAAGTTTCCTTCAGGTGTCCCATTGGCACCTCAAACTCAGCAGGTCCCAAATGCCGAGTCTTCCGAATGGGTGTCTCCTGCCATGCTGCCTGGCGGGGTGAACAGACCCCACCCCACCCCACCCCACCCCACCCATCCAACAACCAGAACACCCAGGGCATGGTCCAGGCGGTTCCTTCTCACACCCCTTGGAGACCCCTCTTTCTGCTTCTTAAACAATTCTTGCGTTTGTCCCCTTGTCTGTCACAGATCTGAATCTCCACATTTGAGGTCTTCATGGGTTTCCCTCTTAAACACAGTTTCCGTCTAGTTCGTTCCCGGTAGCTTGCTCCAAACCCTTTCCCCCAGATCTCTGGAAGGATCTACCTAAAAGCCAACCTGATCATGTCACTTCTCAGTTTAAAGCAACCCATGGGCCTTCAGAAAAAGGCCACAGTCTCATGAGAACCTTCAGGGTCCAGCCCTTGCCCACCTCTGCAGCTGTGCCTCTTGGTCCCCACAGTCTTTGTTCTGGGGTGGGGGTCTGACTCCTGCAAGTTTCCCCACCCTGTATTCCATCATTCCTCTGGGTCTCTGTGTGTTCAGCTCTCTCTACTGGAAATCCCCCTCTACCTCACCATCCCAATTCTTTGCCAGGCTGACTTCTGCCTTCCTTTGGAAGTCATCCCCCTGACCCCAAGTCTCTGTTAAACCCAGCCCATCCCCGCTGGTGCACCCTGCCCCATCGAATCACAGGTGTTCTCTCTCTCACTCCCTCCTACGCCTGACCACCTGGACACACTCCATATACTCTGTTGAATGGATGAATGTATGTCCCAGAAATTCAAATTCATCAGTGTGGGGTGTTTTCTCTCATTTTGATTTTTTTTTTTTTTTTTTTGAGATGGAGTCTAGCTCTGTCACCAGACTGGAGTTCAGTGGTGTGATCTCAGCTCACTGCAACCTCTGCCTCCTAGGTTCAAGTGATTCTTCTGCCTCAGCCTCCCGAGTAGCTGGGATTACAGGCACCCACCGTCATGCCCAGCTTTTTTTTTTTTTTTTTTTGTATTTTTAGTAGAGACAGGGTTTCACCATGTTGGCCAGGATGGTCTCAAACTCCTGACCTCGTGATCTGCCCACCTTGGCCTCCCAAAGTGTTGGGATTACAGGCGTGAGCCACCGCATGCAGCCTGATTCTTTAATATATCAAGTAAGTGTTTCGCCCCATCCTTGTTCTTTCTCTGTGCTCTTAGCCCATCTCTGTGCAGGACCCATGAGCTTCTTGTTTCGTTTCTTTGAGCAAGTAGCGCACTTTCTTTTTTCTTCTTCTTCTTCTTCTTCTTTTTTTTTTTTTGTCTTCTCTTGATCTTTTTTGGAAAGACTGTGGAACTCCGTGTGAGAGCTCTTAAATTTTCTGGGACTCAGGAAAGTGGGGGGACAACATCTCTTCTTTGTTATAAGGATTAATTACTTTGTAAAGTGCTATAAGCTTTGTAGAGTAGAAAATCAAACCTTGTTGCCGGGCGCGGTGGCTCACGCCTGTAATCCCAGCACTTTGGGAGGCCGAGGAGGGTGGATCACCAGGTCAGGAAATCAAGACCATCCTGGCTAACATGGTGAAACCCCGTCTCTACTAAAAAATACAAAAAATTAGTCGGGCGTGGTGGCAGGCACCTGTAGTCCCAGCTACTCGGGAGGCTGAGGCAGGAGAATGGTGTGAACCCGGAAGGCAGAGCTTTCAGTGAGCAGAGATCGCGCCACTGCACTCCAGCCTGGGCGACAGTGTGAGACTCTGTCTCAAAAACATAAATAAATAAATAAATAAATACATAAATACATAAATAAAATAAAATAAAAAAAGGAAATCAGACCTTGTTAAGGTTCCACCCCTGCACGTTTCCTTCTTCCCATGGTTTCCTTCAAGCCTCTAGCTATTTTTTTGGTAACAGCTTTATTGAGATATAATTCACATATCATACAGTTAATGCAAAGTGTAGAATTCAATGGTTTTTAGTCTATTCATAGAATTGTGCAACCATCACCACAATCAATTTTAGAACATTTCTATCATCCCAGAAAAGATACTCTGCAACCTTTAGCTAGCAACTCCCAGCCCAAGACAACCGCACATCTCTTTCCTGTCACTATAGATTTACTGATTCTGGACGTCTACTTGCTGTTCTTAAAGCTCATCTCTGTGCAGGACCCATGAGCTTCTTGTTTCATTTCCTTGAGCAAGCAGTGGATCTTTTTTTCTTCTTTTTTTTTTTGTCTTTTCTTGGCCTTTTAGCAAAGACTGTGGAATTCCGTGTAAAGGCTCTTAACTTTTCTTGAACTCAGGAAGCAGGCGGTGGGGTGGGGGGAAACATCTTTTCTTTGTTATAAGGATTAATTACTGTGTTTGTAAAGTGCTATAAGCTTTGTAAAGTAGAAAATCAAACTTTTGTTGATTTTCTAATTGTTCCAAATTAATGTCATTTTCTCAGGTTTTTTTCTTAATTTGGGATACCTCATTAGCAAAAAATATCAAATTTCAGAGAAAGATGTTCTAAGCCTGCTTTTATCATATCTCCAACCTGGAGAACCCATAGCAAGGGAAGATGAGCTCAGAGAGGCTGTGGAAGTTGCTCCGAGACCAGTAAAGGTGTGTTTCATTAGGTGGGGGTTGGCGTCACTATTATCCATCAGGAAAGGGAGAGGGTGCTCAGTCTGCCAGTGACACATGTATTTTCTTTCTTTTTTTTTCTTTTTAAAATTTATTTTGTTTAAGTTCCGGGATACATGTGCAGGATGTGCAGGTTTGTTACATAGGTAAACATGTGCCATGGTGCTTTGCTGCACCTATCAACCTATCACCTAGGTATTAAGCCCAGCATGCATTAGCTATTTATTCTGATGCTCTCCCTCCCAACCTCCCCGCTGACAAGCCCCAGTGTGTGTTGTTCCCCTCCCTGTGTCCATGTGTTCTTATCGTTCAGCTCCCACTTAAAAGTGAGAACATGCAGTGTTTGGCTTTCTGTTCCTGCATTAGTTTGCTAAGGGTAATGGCATCCAGCTCCATCCATGTCCATGCAAAGAACATGACCTCATTCCTTTTTATGGCTGCATAGTATTCCATGGTATACATGTACCACATTTTCTTTATCCAGTCTATCATTGATGGGCATTTAGGTTGATTCCATGTCTTTGCTATTGTGAATAGTGCTGCAGTGAACATACATGTGCATGTATCTTTATAATAGAATGATTTATATTCCTTTGGGTATATACCTAGTAATGAGATTGCTGGGTCAAATGGTACTTCTGGTTCTAGGTCTTTGAGGATTCTCCACACTGACTTCCTCAATGGGTGGACTAATTGACATTCCCACCAATGGTGTAAAAACGTTCCTATTTCTCCACAGCCTTGACAGCATCTGTTGTTTCTTAACTTCTTACATGTATTTTCTATAATAACTCATCTCATCTGTTTTTGGCCTACTTGGACTTGGTCCTAGTACTCCACAAACATTTCCTTGGCTCAGATAAAGGGCAAATGCTGATAATTCACCTAAGGAGGGAATAAAACTACTAAGTAGAAGGAACACAGTTCATCTGCTCTAGTATTTAAAAATTACAAACTTAAATAAAGAACCAGTGGCCATTTTGGTCTATTGAATGATAACAAATATTAAAAACTGAAACTCCTGCCTGCCAGGGATACAGGGAGCCAGGACTTCCAACAATGCTGGTAGCCTTCTAAGTGGTTGAAAGATCTGTAGAAGACAATTTGTCAATACCCATCAGGAGTAATGACACGTTAAACTCGTTGACCCAGTAATTCTGCTTCTGAGAATCTATTTTAAGAAATTTATCCAAAGTATGAAAAAAGTTACCTGCGTGGAAATGTTCATTATAACATCGTTTAAAATGCCAAAAATTAAAACAGGAATTGTGTTAAAATGTATGGCACTGGGGCATTCCATGGAGACAGAGCTCCTTGATGGACATGATGCAGCCATTTACAATGATGGTTTTCAGGAGTGTGCACAAGAACAAAAGAAGGAAACACAACTGAATGTGGACCAGGGGCCGGGCCATGTGAAAAGCTGTGCACAGTAAAGCAATGGGAGGGAGAAATGCCAAAATAATTACTGCAGGGGCTTTAAGGCATAGAACTGATGCCTTCTCAGTCTCTCTCTCTTTCTCTCTCTCTCCCTCCATTCCTCCCTCTTTCTTTTTCTTTTGTCCATATGTTTTATGATGTATGACATTACTTCCATAAAATTTTTTAAGAAAATTAGAAAACTCAACCCCCTGGTGCATGTTAAGAAGGTCAAACTTACTGTTTTGTTCTTCAAAAACCTGAAGTCCTGAAGTGAGGACCAAAGAGATAGTAGTAAACTAGCATAATGATCACATTCCCTGGCATTCTATAGAAAATGACAATTTCCCCCATTCCCTGAAACAAATCTTGACTAACTTTGATAGTTCAGCAATTAGAACTTTGGCATACAATCTTTCTTCTTCAACTCCTATAATTAGTGGTCTCCAATTATATGAATCAATTTCAATTTCTATAAATCAGATGATTTAGAGAGAAGGCTGTTCAATTTCCTTTTCAACTGTATGGTTTCAGCAGCAATAAAACTCTCAGCTTAAAATATCAGGATGCAACTTGCTCCAGAAATATTACCCAGCTCATTTAGGGCTTCTGCCGGCCGCCACAGCAGTTCCCAGGTTTCTAGGTGGTACCACTTATCTGTCTGCTCCTGAGCCCTGTTCAATTCTTCTTCATGGGATCTGACATCTACTTACAGATTTCCCTCCCAGTGTGGGATGACTATCCCTAGACCTTCCTGGTGTTCTAACAGAAAGACCCAGTTTGGACCCAGATGTATCTCTCTAATGCTAGTTAGCAGGCACTTTTAGTGTCTCCCTTTTTTTCAGTCCTGGGTTTTTCAATGTCAGTGGCCCTCTAAGGTGTTCTGCAGGATGTGAAACCTCCAGCCTGAATCTCCTCTAAGCCTGGCTTCGGGAAGTGCCCGTTGCACCCTGCTACTTTGTGAGGACTCTTCATGAATCAATTCCTGACTCATTCCCGGAATCTGGAGTTGTGGTTTCTTTTTCTCCTTTAGTCCTTTAATGTCTGAAATGTGATTTCTTTCATCTCACAAGGAGCAAGTCTTATTATTAATTTTAAAAATTCAAAAAGGAAAATTATTTAGCTATTTTTTTAATTAAAAAAAAAAAACAACCCTGAGAGTCTCAACAGACTCTTCTGAGCATCGAATCACATAGACACTTTCATGTGGCATTAACTCTTCCCCATTCGCTAAAAGGAAAGCAAGCCAGGGGCAGAGGGCGGGTTGAGGGGTCAGCTGGAGGAATCTGTGCCGAAGAGAGTTCTGGGTTGCAAATGCACAGCCTCCCTCCCCTTTCTTCTCCCCTTGGAGGAGATAAGTGGCCAAGGCTTCAGTTTGATGCTAATGTGGTTTTTAGCAAGATGTCTGCTTTTGGTTGAAGATTGGCCTATGGCTTTTATAGTATTCTTAAATTCAGCTTATGTTGAATTATTATTGTTCCTCATTTTGTGCATGACTTCCAGTTCCCGAAGCATTAGAGTCTCTTTAAGTGCTAGGGCTGCTGACTGAGGTTTCTTGACAAATAGATCATGGAAAATCAGGACGTTATATACTGGCCTGCCCAAGGTATCTGCAAGACCAGCCCCCTTGTGGAATCACTGGGGCAGAGAACCCACAGCTCAAGCTCTCTTTTGATACCTGGGGCTCTAAAGAAATGTGTCAGCAAGTCTTCCAAACCCAAAGGGGACAAGGCTTATCTTTCCTGGGGAGCTCAATTCAACAGGGAACAGAAAACAAAAGACAGAAACCAGCCATTTGTGACTTGTTTATTTGATTGTAGCCATTAACAATCATGCATTGAAGAATAACAGTTTCAAAACATACTCACAAGCTGAGGTGTGGTGCTCAGGCTTGCAGTCCCAACACTTTGGGAGGCCGAGGAGGGAGGATTCCTTGAGACCAGGAGTTCAATACCAGCCTGGGTAACATAGCAAGACCCCATCTCTACAAAAAATTTTTAAAAATTAGCGAGGTGTGGTGGTGCATGTATGTAGTACCAGCTGCTAGGGAAGGTGAGGTGGGAGGATCGCTTGAGCCCGGGAGGTCCAGAATGCAGTGAGCTATGATTGTGCCACTGCACTCCAGCCTGGGCAACAGAGTGAGACTCGGTCTCTAAAAATGAAAGTAAAAATAAGGAAAATAAAATAATAAAAACGTACAATATAATGTTGAGAAAAAATAAAATATAAAACTGTATGTAACTTGTTTTGTTTATATTCGAATAATACTTTAATCAGATTTAAATAAATATGATTAGAAAGAAGTCTATAAAAGTGATACTGACAGTCGTCGTCAGGTAGTAGAATCTGAAGTTATTTTCATTTCTTTTCATACCTTTCCATATGTTCCAGATTTCTGCAAATACAAACATGGAATACTTTGCTGAATAGAATGTGAAAGTTTGCTGAAAAGGCTGAAGAAGTAAAACAAATTCTGAATTTCCAATATGGTACTTGGTCATAGATTGCTCTGACCTGATTTGCAAGTTCTCAAAGGGTGCACACTCTGTTCTTGTCTGAGTCCTACCAGGGCCAAGCATGTGCTTCAAACCTACATGCTTCCATTGAGATCCTCCTATGTACCTAATGCATATTTCAATTGAGTTTGGTTTTGGAGGATCTGACTTAGTCCAAGTTCATGTGAACCTGCAGAGAAAAGTGCACATGATTGGAGGATAAAAGCCATTGCTAACTTTTTTTTTTAACCAAGTTGACCAGTTGTTAGACCAGAAAACAGTTTTGTTGTTGAATAAACATAATCTCTTCGTTCATCTCTTCTTGATAAGCCCTAGAATGGTGAGATGACTCCCTGTGGCTAGCAATAGAAGATCCTATTAGGCAAGTTTTCTTCAATCAGGATGAAAGAGTCATACATATTCAAAATGAACATTTTAGAATATATAGACCCTTTCATCTCCAGGAGGGGGTTGTGTATCCTTGTTTAGATCTTCATTTTACAGATGAGAACACAGGGGTCTGAGGAGGAAAGGGGCCAGCTCACATCCCTTGCTGAACTGGCAGTGGATACAGAATGTGAACCACTGAGTTTTTAGGGTCACTGTAGGCTCCCCCTTGCCACAGAGATAACAGCGTTCACCACTTAGATAAAGAAACTTCCATGCTGGCCAGCAGTGGGCATTTTCTTCCTTCTCCCACTCACTCTTCCTGTAAGCAGAAATAAGGCCCTATTGTTATCCAAAGGGCACTCTCTCCTAAGTATGTCCTAGGGCACCCCAAGATGATGATGTTGTTTGCTAGGGTCCACTACCAGGAAATGTCAAGTATTCGGGATTGCCCACGAAAGAGTTTATTTTGGTATAAGAAAAGATGGGCTTTTAAAACTTAAAGTGAAAACTTTGGGTTTGGAAGGGAAAATGTAAAAGTTGGTTATAATGAGGACTTTGTTTGCCAGGCGCCCCAGCCCGGTGACTAATGGCTGGCTGCTTGTTGGAGAAAGCTGTCTTTAGGGGCGTTGAGGGTGTTAGCAATGAACAGGAGTGGGCAGGCACTGAGGACCCGGGACCCAGGTTAGGAGGCGGGGGAAGGTGGGGTGAATGTGCAACTCCAATGAGAAAGTATTTAACTATGGCTCCAGTGTCTACCAAGGCCTGTCCAAGGACCTTGGTTGATGTCGCTAGAGACAATGTTGCCTATCTTCATGAAAACAAACGGCAAGTCCTATCCTGACTCAAGGAGCAGGGTGTTTTGGATAATTACAATTTTACTCCCCATAAACTCCTTTAAAATGGCATCTAAGAGAAGCGACTTTCAGAAAGAAAAGAATTCTGGGGACATTGTTCCTTTCACAGCACAAGGTGAACAAAATAAGACAGAAGGCCTTCTGTCTCCTGTTCAGTAAATTTTTCTGGGTTAAGATTGTTCTTCCAAGTTTGTCTTCCTGGAGTGCGTGAGCCTCTGCAGCCAATGACACCACAGTGTGTGTTGTGGGGAGTTCCAGAGTCCCTCTCCAGTTATCAGGTCGATACATGTACCTGGTAATACAATGCCAATCCATGGCTAAAAATAGCTTCCTTTTGTTGCGATCTCCCAGAACAAAGGGATCAGACCCACTTCATCTGTGTCCCCTGCCCTCCCCTCCCGGCAGTCCTAAGGCAAACAGTTTGTCTTTTCCCTCAAATGGATTTTTCATTTAAAAATGGGGGAGAATGAAACCTGAATAGCATGGAGACCTGTGCACTAACAAAAAATTCTTTTGAAATAATAGGTGCTAGAAATCACAATTTCAGCCTCCTGTGTCCCCCAAGCCAGTTTGGGTTGAACCAGATGCCAGGACTTAAGTCAAATGTGTGGGGACTCCTCTGTGGGTCCCTTGGGGGAAACTCAATGATTTCTTTTCCTTTCCTTTTCTTTTTTTTTTTTAAGTGTTCCTCAAAGATATACAAGACGTTACTCCTGATAAAATCCCGTTAGCCATAGTTCAACTTTATATTCCTTGATCAGTCTTGTGTTTTCTCACTGACTTTTGCTACAGTTTATGGCTCTAGATTAAGTACCAGAACACAGAGTTTTATTTTCCTTTGTCTAAGTCTATCTTCCTTTGCCTGGCTCACTAACTGGATATATGTACATAGGCGATGGGCACAGAATGTGGGTTGTATTTTGGGTGAGGGTGGGGGTGGGCAGGTCGGATCATGAAGGGACACAGAATATTAATTAGACAGAAAGTGCTCTCTGTGCCTTATCTGCATAAAGAAAGATAAAGCCCATGTAAATAATATGTGTGTTTCCCATAATGAATGTCCCCTTTCTCTCCATTTCTGCATAGTATTAGAAATTGCGTTTTTATTATATGAGACATTGGATGCATGCCAACAAGTTTTTCTTTTAACTTGATATTTTGGGCTCTGATCTTTGTTAGCACTACAATGGCATGTATCTCGTACAGTCAGAGGTCATTTCTATAGCTCCTTCCCCCTTCCCATCATTTCTGGGGAATGTTTGTTTTCAAAACAAAGAATTGGGTTAAAGCTGAGGTATCATATATCAGAACATATTTCAAGACAAAATTAAGAACACTCAAACCTTCCTTTGAAAGGTCAGATAGTATTTATTATTATTATAAAAATGATCTGTGATTTATGAATTTAACTTCTCATAAACCTTCTTTGTAACAGAATATGCAGTCAGAGGCTTAACATTACATTGTTTTCTTTTGACAACGTATCCACGAGACCACTGCAGCTGTTCCTGTACTCACAATAGCAGATTAATTAACACAATCATATGCTGTTGGCTCTTACTCAATGAGTGGGTCTGCAGCGGGATAGATAGGTAAATCCTTTAAATGCGGTGGAGATAAAGCATATACTATGGTAGTTTCATAACTAGCCAGTTTTGCTTCTGACTAGCCAGCCCTATCAGGACCAGGTTCACAGACCACAGACGCCCTGAGCTTGAATTTCAAAGTCAGCCACACCTATCGCCAACGCCATAATGCCCAACATTTGCAAGACACAAATATGTAAAAGCCGAAGACCTCTCGGAAATCAGCAGCTTTGGTTAAAATAGCAGTCAGTCTGCCGCCAGCATTTTGAGTCTGCAGTATTTTTTTAAAGTTCAATCATTGCTTTCCTTAAATATCTCTCTTGCAATATTACTCACTTTTTTTTTTTTTTTTTTTTTTTTTTTGCCCATCCCTCAGTGCACATAGTTCTGGGCAGCTGTCATGACTTTAGTTTTTTTAAGTACTAAAATATTTTTTTTTCTTCTGTAACTGTGCTAATGAAAACGTGTGTAATGAAACCTTCCTCCCCTGCCCAGTCACCAGCCATATTTATTGGCAACTTTAGCTGACATTTTAGGGAACGTCAAACCTTTGTTAGAGAAAATGTAAGGCTTTGCTTTAGAAACAGGCATGCCCATGCAGAGAACGAGGTAACAAGGCAGTAGGCTTAATAGAATTTCCTTCAGACTTTTTTTCTAATGTCCATTACATATGCAACACTAATTTACTTTTTGTTGTTTTACTTAGCACAGAAATTGAAAATGTGACAAGCTTTGCTGGATTAAAAGGCTCATTTCATAGACACATAGACCAAGAGAAAGAAGAAAAACAAATCCATAATTTGGAACCGTTTAGGGCATCCAGGTAGTAGAAATTCAGTCTTCCCCATCACTCGGGGCATTTGTCGTGGGCCTGAGATTTCTCTGGAACTGTCTCTGTCCTTTAGAAGTAGATAAAAGTTTGGCCATGTTTGGTCACAGAAGTCTTGAGTGCTTTGGGGAAAAAAATCGTATCATGATGTTGAGGTCTCTCACGTTCCACTTAGGGGCTGTTCCTCAGCACCAGGTCCTGGATAAGAGGTTCCTGCGGGGGCCAGAAAATTCTAGCTAGTGAGCATCAGGGAGATACGGTGTGTAAAGCATCTCTGTTATGGGTTGAGCTCAAGTTTTCTAGGGTGCTCCTCATACGTGGAGTGTTTGCAACTCTTCCGAGAAGCACAGAGAGCAATGGCTGCACAGATACAAGGCAGCAGGGTGGCTACTAAAATAACAACAATAGTTAAAATATTAATAGCAACCTGACCTTTCTTCTCAACCCTGCCCCTGTTTGCCCATCCCTCTCATTCAGCTATTTTACTAAAATAATAATAAAACTTCCTTAAAAAAAGGTTCAGAACATGTGAATAATTAGTTATATGTAGAAACATTGCTTAGAAAAACCTGAATACTTGATTCTGAGATCAGAACAGAATTGACTTGGAAATCTGCACAGACAGACAAGGCAGACAGAGACAAGGTAGGGGGACCGTAGGCCCCTGGGATGAGAAGTTATGACTGGTTCGTTACAGCTAAGGTCAGTGTCCCGACAAGTGGACACTTTGCACTACGGGAACAGCTATTGCCAGAAGCACTGGGCTCCTTGCAAAGTTGCAGGCGTCTTGCTTCGACTTCACTCCGCCATTCCTTTTACAACTTGCATTTTGAAGGCACCTGGTAAGGCTGGGATGAATCTGCTGTCTGAAGGGTGCGACAATGGACTTAACCAGACTTCCAATGTGCAGGCAGTGGCGATGCTTCTGACCCAGCTCACGTGGACTTTGGGCTCAGTTTCTAGTACTGGGTCAGCTCTATGGGTGCCCCATCCTGTCATCCCTCCTTCCTTCCATCTAACCTATGGCTCAAGAACAGGACCCAAGGACATTGCTCCAAATTAATGTCCGGGGCCTTTTTGAGGGTATTTCAGAACTTAAGACCCTGTAATCTCAGCACTTTGGGAGGCTAAGGTGGGCAGATCACTTAAGGTCAGGAGTTCAAGAACAGCCTGGCCAACATGGTGAAAACCCATCTCTACTAAAAATACAAAAATCAGCCGGGGGTGGTGGCGTGCACCTATAATCCCAGCTGCTTGGGAGGCTGAGGCAGGAGAATTGCCTGAACCTGGGAGGTGGAGGTTGCATTGAGCCAAGATCATACCACTACACTCCAGCCTGGGCAACAGAGTGAGACTCCGTCTCAAAAAAGAAAAAAAAAAAAAAAAAAGCCCCCTCAGCTGTTCTCTATGAAGCACATCAGATTGGTCTTTGTGAATATTTCCAAGATTACACATTATGGCCAAAAGCCTAACTGTGAGTTAGGCTAAGAGTCAGCAGACCCAGGTCTTGGCTTCACTATTGCTGTGGTATTGGGACACCAAGTAAACCTTGTAAACACTACCTTTCACATAGTACATTACTTAACTGGCCTTACCCATTTGTGATGCCTCCTCATAGAAAGATGTGAGAATGCAGTGAGATGTTGGCTATAAGGTATAGGCTGAGCTGCGTGAGACCCTGCAAGTGAAGACTCCAGTGCCAGAGCAAAGGACAGGCTAAGGTCCAGGAAGAAAAGGAAGTCTTGTGTGCTTGTGGTGTCTCTGAGCTTGCAGCAGTATCTGGTACTAAGTCAGCAGTTAATAAATATTTGTTGAATAAATGAATGAACAGACAAGTGTAGGATCCTTATGCTGTTCTAGGAAAGGAAAATGGGGAAGGAGACCTGGAAGGAGGCTAAGTCAGCCTCTGAACAAGCAGAGGCATGCTGGTGTTTCGAACAGAGAGAAAGTTGTCTACAGAATCATAGAATCATCTGATGGAGAGATAGCAGGCAAATACAACCTCTTATACACATGGAGCGTAGGCCCACAGGGCAGAAGGGATTTGTCCAAGGTTGCACATCCAAGACAGAACTTGGGACCAGTTTACCAACTCAGTCTCAGCCCAGCTGTTCTTTATGGGGGTATCTGAAGAAAATCCTTTTAGCCCCAAGTGTGCAGTCAGGCTGGGATTCAGTGTCAGGCAGTGGTTGGGGTCATGGCAAAGCAGGAAGGGTGTGACTCAGAGAAGAAAGACACAACGCAGGGAAAGTCACAGCAAGAGACTCCAGTAGAGGCCGGGGAGGGAGTCCAGACTTTGTAGCGGATGGTTTCAGTAATGGGCAGTGGATCTTATCTTTGTCAGGGTAGTCAAAAGCATCAGGATTCAGTTGCAATGATAATTTTGTTTCTTGCTTGTACTGCAACAGCCTCCATAATGATGCCAGGGTGTATTCAGTGCCTGGCACATAGTAGGTACTTTACAGATATTTGTTGGATGAATGTCTTGAAGGAATGTCCACTCTCCGGGCGTTCCTGGGGAATCTGGTCTCCAGGTGTAAGGAGGGCTTGAGACTTGGGTTGCCTTTTCCACTGCTCCTGGCTCTCTGTCCCCATACCCTGTACCATGCAATGATCCTGGGCCATCCTGGAAGTAGCTCAGTCCCTACAAACTTTCTGTTCTGTCTCTGGAATACCCTCTGAGTTCTCGACTTGTCAAACTTCCACCCATCTCTTAACACTCAGCCGGATTGCCAGCTCTTCCAGGAAGCTTTCCTTATTGAATCAGTCTCCACAAGCAGACATTGTCACTTCTGGGGATGCCATGGTCCTTTGAAATGTTGTTTTAAGGCTCTTAGTGTCTCCTGCCTGGGGACAAAGGAGGGCATATCTAATGATCCTTCTACTTGTTTGTCCTGTCCCATGCCAGAGCACTGAGCAGTGAGCTGAGATTTAATGAGTATCAGCAGAGGGAACTGCACAAAGTAGGTCTGCAGTGAAAGTCTGTTAACTGAAGGAACAAATGTCTTATTGCATTGCTGTCGGAATTACATATGGGGAAAGGCAGCAGAGGCAGTTGGGGGAAGGAAATGACATTCCGGAGGTAAAGCAGTAGTAGAGATGGGGGGGTTTGGGCAGCACCTGGGCCTTCTCAATGCACTGGATGCTCAAGGTCTCCAGGGATACAGGTGAGAGTGATGGTCCGGGGTTGGCCTCGAGTAGATGCTTTTTATGGTGAGCTAGTCGAGTAGGTGCTTTTTTTAATGATAAGCTAGGTCCACACAGCTACGAGGGGCGAGGGGCACTGTGCCACTATTCTGTGTAACGTGGTGCTGGCATGGCATCCTTCTGTAATAGGGCACAGGTGACAGTGTCCTGCCCCCATGCACAGCCTCAGCTCCAGAGAAAGGGGCTGGGAGCCCTCTGGGGGAGCTTGGCTCAGCAGTGTGATGCTCTTTACAAGAGAGATGATTATGGGCCAAACAGCAAGGTGCTCCTCCCCCTCTACTTTGCTCTCCTTAAATGCCAGAGGAGCGTCTGCAGGTGCTGACACACATACCGAGAGACACTGGCGGCCACAATGCCCATCGGCTGTGGGTGTGCCCCTGGGTGTGTGTATTTAAGGGCCCCGTGAGCGGCTTGAGTCATCAATGATGCTCTTGAATGGCAAATTGGTCAGAGTTCCACAATGGTAATGATCACTCTGCCGGTGACCTTTCTAGTGCATTTACATTTTATCACAACATGCACAAGCCACCTATAGGCTTCCCATTGGCTGGGTCATTCCTCATGCACAATAACCCAGCATGCAGGGACGCATCCAGTGTAGATGAGAAAGGGGTAGCTTCTGACACATCTCACTCTATTGTTGCATGGTAATCTTTAGCACCAAAGGAGACCTTTGAGTTAAGCCCATGTTTTCTTCCCTTTTATTTTTATTTTAAAAAGTGAAGGCACTCCAATGTGACATGCATCCCTCATGTTAACAGAGCCATAAAGATGAAGCATTGGACTCATTGCTGCTCCCACACATGTATGGAACTAAACCCACCTGAGTGGCCCAAAAGGAGAAAGCAAGGGGGTGCCCCAGGGAAGTCCCCGGATCCTGAATTCTTCGGAACTGTTGTACTTTAAGATATTACTTTCCAAAAAGAGATCACCTTCATGTGTGTGTGAAAGACTGTGTGAGTGTGTTTGGGTGTGGGAACATGAGTGTGTGAACGTGGGGTGTGTGTGTGTGTACATTCTCACGCTTGTCATGCAGAAATTCAGCCTGTAAGACCCAAGCAGGACCAGATTCCAGAGACACCCTCAGAAGCCTCACTTCCTGAAGTTTCAGCCCTGTCCCCATCAGCCATATGTAATCAATTAGCCATGTACCTCCATTTGCTCATTTACTCATGAATTTTGCATCACTGGAGAAATCGCAGTCCTCTTCAGCTTATAGAAAATTATTAAGACAGTGTGGTGATTCCTCAAAGATCTAGAACCAGAAATACCATTTGACCCAGCAATCCCTTTACTGGGTATATACCCAAAGGAATATAAATCATTCTATCATAAAGATACATGTATGTGTATGTTCATTGCATTACTATTCACAATAGCAAAGACATGGAATCAACACAAATGACCGTTAATGATAGACTGTATAAAGAAAATGTGGCACATATACAGCATGGAATACTATGCAGCCATAAAAAGGAAGGAGATTATGTTCTTTGCAGGGACATGGATGGAGCTGGAAGCCATTATCCTCAGCAAACTAATGCAGGAACAGAAAACCAAACACCGCATGTTCTCACTTATAAGTGGGAGCTGAACAGTGAGAACACATGGACACAGGGAGGGGAACAACACACACTGGGGCCTGTCAGGGAGTGGGGTGGGGGGACGGAGAGCATTAGGAAAAATAGCTAATGAATACTGGGCTTAATACCTAGGTGATGGGTTAACAGGTGCAGCAAACCACCATGGCACATGTTTGCCTATGTAACAAACCTGCACATCCTGCACATGTACCCCCAGAATTAAAAATTAAAAATAAAAAAAAGTTTCAAATAAAAGTCATAGAAACGTCAAAAAATAGAAAAAATATAACTGCTGAAGACAGAGAGGAATGCATTAAATAAGAGGCGGAGTGGCTGTCACATCCAGGGCTCTGGGACTCTCACTTGGTCCTTGTTGTCTGGGTGAGGTGACTGCGTGGGGACCCATTTCACAGTGGGGGACAGGAGCTCAGGGCTTTTGGGTCAGTCACTCCTAGGTCTGAGGCTGCAGTCCTCCGGGCACTCTACCGGGGGCGCAAGTAGGCAGCGAGCATGCAGCGAGGAGCCGAGGAGCCGTTCCAGCCCGTGCGATCCTGTTCAGCTGAATCGTCACTGCTGTTTCCATTTGAGCCTTTAGGTGACAGTGCCAAGAATAAAAATAAGCCCGGCTATTTTCACTCTTATTTGGTACTTCTTTTTCTTCTTTTTTTTTTTTTCAAATGCCATTGAAATAGAATTCTAATTTTTACTTAAAATATGTCATCTTAATAAATTGCTACATTATTGCAAGTTGCTTGATATATTTAAAGACCACCTCTTTTTCCAGAAGAGCTCATTTCCAATAATATAATCACAATCAATAGAAAAACATTATGTTTCTATATACAGTATCTGCTCTTTTTTGAGGGCCTATCTGTTCAGATAAAAGAAGTATTTATCTATTTATGTATGTATCTATCTTTGCATCTATGTATCTATGTGTGTAAGTATGAATGTACATATGTATCTATGTATGTATCTATGTATCTGTGTTTGTATGAATGTATGTATATGTCTATGTATGTATGTATGTATCTATCTGTGTTTGTGTGAACGTATGTCGGTATGTATCTTCTGTGTTTGTATCTATGTATCTGTGTATGTAGGTATCTATATGTATATCTACCTATGTATCTGTCTATGTATCCATATAGCTATCTATATTTATATGTATATGTGTGTGGACTCCTAGGATGTCATAATTTTAAAATAATATGACTTTATATTTTATCTTCAAACATCCAAATTGTAGACTTTGCATCAAACGTATTTACACATGAAGTGTCTTAATACGTTTCAAAATAAGTTTCGTGTGATTACCTTCTTTTCCTACAGCAGTTGTCTGGACTTCTCCAGACATCTGTCCTCTGTTGTTAGCACTCCTTAACCTCAAGGCCAGGAGGAGAAAGGTCTTGGTGACTCATATTCCTCTTAGCCTTGGTTAACTCTTATCCAGCAAGGGCTTGGTGGAAGTCCATGTTCTGGTGGCTGCATGGGTCAGGGGCAAGGGAGGGATGGTGGCAGATGAGGACGAAATGAAGTGTTCCTCCCCTTGGAGATGTGTGCAAGTCTAAGTGTGTGGCCCCACCCCACTCCCCCACCTACCAGGGACTTTTAGGATCCAAAGCCAAGATAGCATTCCCTCCAGAAGTACTCCCAAGCTCACCTTTATGCCAGCTCTTTTTACCAAAGAGGGTAATTTTTTCTAAATAATTTCTTAGATTATTTTAAATCGTTCTTCTGGGAACAGGTGTTTTCTTGGGATGGGCTTGAGTTCCAACTGACATAGAAGGTTCAGGAGAAGCTGCTTCTAATCCCAGGGTACCCCAGATTCTAGAATTTCACCAAGATGCAGTGGATGGACTTGGGTCTCACAATCCCAGTCTCACTCCTGGTTCTAGAATCTCAGCAGGATGCCATGGGATGAATGTGGGTCTCACAACCCTGGGCTCACTCCTGTGTCTAGAATCTCAGCAAGATGCAATGGATGGATTTGAGTTGCATAACTTCAGGCTCACTCCTGGTTCTAGAATCTCAGCAGGATGCAGTGGGATGGGTGTGGGTCTCACAACCCCGGGCTCATTCCTGGGTCTAGAATCTCAGCAAGATGCAGTGGATGGACTTGAGTTGCATAACCCCAGGCTCACTCCTGGTTCTAGACTCTCAGCAGCATGCTGTGGGATGAATGTGGGTCTCACACAACCCCAGGCTTGCTCCTGGTTCTAGACTCTCAGCAGCATGCTGTGGGATGAATGTGGGTCTCACACAACCCCAGGCTTGCTCCTGGTTCTAGAATCTCAGCAGGAGGCTGTGGGATGAATGTGGGTCTCACAACCCCAGGCTTGCTCCTGGTTCTAGAATCTCAGCAGGATGATGTGGGATGGACATGAGTCTTGCAAGCCAAGGCTTCTCTTGGTCTTTAAATCTCAGTGAAATACAGTGGGATTGGTGTCAGAGGCAAGGGCCACGAGTTCTTATCCCAGCAGTGCTACCTCCTGGCTTTCTCATTCAGACCCATGCTTTCTTCGTCAGTACAATAGGAGTGTACCAAGCTCTCTTCCAGGCTCCCTGTCAGCTCAGAGCTTTGTTGAGGCTCCTTCTGGTGCTGTTTGGGCATTGTTCAGGATTGGAGCGAGAAGGTTTGACCTGTCATGTAGAGTTTCAGCTTTCTTACCCTGGGTACAGAGTCTCAAACCTACAAAGTGGGTATCAGGGGCTGATTACTTTATGAAAAGGCTCCCATCTACCCCCACACCCTACTAATGGGATTAACCATTGAATACTAAATAAGAAGGACCACCACTGCCCATATTTACTAAAAGCTCAATATCATCATGCTAAGTTCTGTTCTTGTCTTGTCTCATGCCCTCCATGAGAACATCCCTCAGTTTCAAGCATGACTTCTCATTCCTGGTTCATGGAAAAGGAAGCCAAGGTTTGGAGAAGTTAAAACTTCAGGTCACTTGCTTGCAGTGGTGGATACTGGATTCAACCCAGCATTGTCTGACATCATAGCTCATGCTCTGAACCACTACACAAGCTGTACAGAATGGAAAATGTTGGCTGTTAAGTCCCTATGTGTTGGGAACCTGGTTTCCTAGCTTTTCTGGCATGGTGGGTTGCATTTCACTTGTTTTTATGCTGGTCTCCCAGCATAAATTTGACCTCCTTTCATGGGCCTAGACCCTGTTTCCTTCATTGGCTGAGCAGTCAGGAGCTCATCTGGTGAAAGTAAAGTGTTCGCAGATCTTGCTTCATAAAGACCAGTCCATACTGAGACTCACACACCTCTGAAATGTTCACGTAGGTCAGTGGGGAAATAGAATTTGGATTGCAATAATTATTTATCTTGCACAGAGCTCATGAGGACCACACAATGGCAGGGCATGAGGCACATCCTATTTGATCTCAGGTCCTTAACCCATTCATGCCTGAGGTTGCAATTTTTTGAATTTTTGCAATCAGACCTTGGCGATGACCTTGAGCAGTAGGATACAAATAACTCCCACATGCTTAGCATTCCAATAATGGAACACTAGGCATAAATGGGCTAAGGGAGGTAGCTCAAGTGCTGGGATCCCCAGGGATATAGCTCCAGGGGAGACACTTTGGGATACTGAGTATTCTGGCAGGGAAACAAGGTGAGGGAAAGCAAATTCTAAAAGGGTTGAATTTACTCAGTAAGTAATGTAGACTATGATATTTCAGCCCATGGACGAAGTTGACATACCCATATCTTTGCCTGAACGACCCATCTGGTCAAATGCCAGGGAAGGAACATCAGTCCTAGGTGTTATGTCTACTCCAGGGAGAACAGAGCCTCTTTACATGGGCACTTACAGATTAAATGGGAATGGAACTGCATGTTGAATTGCCTGTCTTGAGTCTATTAGACCTAGCTTTTCTGGACTACATTGTAACATGCATCTGCAAACTCTGGAACAAGGGTAGGGCTGGCTGGCAGTGTGGGTGGGAATGGTTTTTTTTAGCTAGCTAGCACCAGGGGCAGTGGAGTAGATATTTTTAAACTTGGGGTGGGATTGAGGTGACCAGGGGAAGAGGCCCTGGAAATGGTGAGTGATCGGAAAGATCGAACTGTGTATGTCCAGGACAAGTCCACTGAGGGGAGAGAGAGGGCAGCTGTGGCTGGAGACTCTGGGGAGCAGCCAGGGGGCTAATGGGAGGGCGTTACCCTAAGTAGGGGACTTATCATCGTCTCATCAACCTGGACATTTAAGCAAAGTAGCCATCAGGGACCCACATCTTCTCAAGATATTTTATTTTCTTAAGAAAAAGGACAAAAGTCCTGAGATGCCTCTATTGCCCCTCCAGCAAACTAAAAGAGCATAAGCTGTCCGCAGAGTTCTGTGTTGAAGGGTGTCACACAGCAAGGGAGTAGGGGACACCAGTGAGATGTCCCTGAGCCACGGGAAAGAGCTTGGGGACACTGCTGCCCCCTGTCCCATTTAAAGTTGGATTTCTACCTCACTCTTGAGGCCAAAATAAACCCCAGATGTGGCAAGGAGTTAAATGCAAAACACAAAATAAACAGAAACACAGGGAGACCTAAAAGAAAATAGAAGTATTTTTATAATTATGGGGAAGGGATACCCTCTCCAACCATAACATCTGAGCCAGAAATTCTAAGAGTAAAGGTTGACAGGTTTTACCTTTATTCATTTTACTTCTTCATTTAACACAGTACTGGCAAATTATGCTACTCAATAAATATTTGTTGAATGAATTTGACTGCATAAAAATTAAATATTTCTAAGCAGCATGTGTGTATGCACACACACACACACACACACACACTCCCAAACCTAACCATAACATGCAAAATACAGTATGACAACAAATGTTTGCTAAATACATGATAGATGAAGGGTTAATATTCCTGGTGCAAAGAAAAACAAAGCCTTTACAAATCAATAAGAAAAAGACAAATCCTCCAATAGAAAAATGGTCAAAGGACATGAGCAGGCGATTCAGAGAAGAAGAAATACAAATGGTCAATAATCAAAGAACAGTAATGGAAATCTTTGCAGCCATTAAATGTGTGAGACTGACCTGTATTTACTGACTTGGAAAAATGCCCATGACATATTGTTGAATGAAAGAAGTGGGCTACAAAACAGCAGGTAGAGTATGATTTCATTTACGGAAAATTATGTGAGAGTATCTTAGTCTACATCTTTTGTGCAAAAATAGAAACATTCTCAAAGTTGCTTAAGCAAAAAAGAGAATTTGAGGAAGATAAGAGTGCCTCATCATCCCCTTGCAAAGTCAGCAGACATGTGGCATCACCCTTGGGTGGGCTGGGGTCAAGCCCTCGTGGGAGTCCCTGGGCAGCCAGGCAGCCATTTCTCCATCCCCTATCTCCCTGGCGCCAGAGCATCTCAAAACTCTTTGCCTCCCTCTATTTTTCTGATTCCTTTTTCCCCTCTTTGCAGGCCACCTGGGTAGTGGGATTTTGGGTAATTTTTATTCATTTAGAAATATATTTCTGTATGGTTTGGGGTTTGTCTTTCTTTCTTTCTTTCTTCTCTCTCTTTTTTTTTAATGAACGCGTTATTTTTAAATTTGGAAAAAGTCTATATTTTTATTTTTAAAGATAAAAGAAACTCCAGTTGGGAAGTGTAACTGATAAGGAGTTAATATCCTTAGCATAGAGAATTTTAACAAATCAATAAAGAAAATAATACCACAAGCAAAAGGAAAAATATGGCCACTTAGGAGCTCTTATTTAGTGAGTGTTTACTAAGTGTGGAGAACTACAAAACTTTGTACACACATTCTCTCTTCAACAGCTTTAAGAGGTAGATACTATTCTTCCCTCCCTTCCTTCCCTTCTTCTTTCCCTTCCTTCCTTCCTTCTTGCCTGCCTGCCTTTCCTCCCTCCCTCCCTCTATCCCTCCCTCCCTCCTTCCTTCCTTCCTCCCTCCCACCAGCCTCCTTCCCTATTTTCCTTCCTTCCTTCCTACTTCCTTCTCCCATTCCCTCTCTCCTTTCCTCTCCTCCTTCCTCTCTCCCTCCTTCTCTCCTCCCTCTTTCCTTCCTTCCTTCCTTCCTTCCTCCCTTCCTTTCTCCCTTCCTCCCTCCCATCCTCTCTCCCTTCCTCCCTCCCACCTTCCCTCCCTTCCTCCCTCCTCCTGCCCCCCTCTGACCCACTCATCCTCCCACCCTTCCTCCTTCCCTCTCTCCCACCCTTCCTCCTTCCCTCTCTCCAACTCTTCCTCTCTCCCACCCTTCCTCCCTCCCACCCTCTCTCTGGCCCTCTCACTCTCCTGCCCTGTCTCCCTTCTTTCCATTCTTCCTCCCATGAGTACCCACCCACTGAGCATCTGCTTCTTGTCAGGTATGTTCTGGGCTCCTCGGATTCAGGCTGCTGCCCTCATGGGGTTTGCATGCCTACTCTCCCCATTTTACAGCAAGGAAGCCTGAGACCTAAAGAAGCTGTGACCTGGGGCGCCATTTCCGATGAGGATGTTATATGATCCGCAAAATAAGAACACACAGTTTCCAGAGAAAGAAAAACAAATGGCCCATATGCAGATGAAAATATTTTAACCTGACTAGTAATCAAAGAAAAAATTCAAAAGTTGTTTTGGTTTACTGATAGATTGATTTGCTCCTCCAACCCAACAACTTATGAGATTGATAACAATGAGTATTGTATATAAGGTTGGGAGAAACCAGACACTCTTAGTCCGCCCAGTAGCTGTTTATATTTATACAAAGTTGAAGAGTAATTTGGGAAACATGTCAAAAGCCCCCCAAATAAGTGTCTGCCCATTGTTTCAGCAATTCCCTTTTTATGAAATTATTCTCTCTATATATTATATTATTATGAGATATGTTAATATTTAATATATTTATTAATATATAATACATTACATATTATATACTAATAAATATTCTATAAATATATGTTATAAATTTTAATGAATATTATTATAATATATATTTTATGATAATAAATATATATTATAATGATATATGAATGTATACTATATATATGGTATAAGATATATTAAGATATGAAATATCTTATATAGTTATATTATCTCATACCTTATATAATAAGATGTATCATCAATAATCTATATTATTAATCTATATATAATATATCTAATGTATATTAGATAGCCAAAGATGTTTGACCAAGGATATTCACTGAGACTCAGTTTATAAAGAAAACATTTGGAAACAATTTAAATGTACTTCAGAAAAGAATCTGTTGAGGAAACTATGACTCCTTTACTGTGGAAGTCTGTAGTTTTTGAAAACGATAGCATAAGTCTGTATGTTTTTGACATAGAGTCTTACTTTGTCACTCATGCTGGAGTGCAGTGGCATGATCTCGGCTCACTGCAACCTCTGCCTCCCTGGTTCAAGTGATTCTCCTGCCTCAGCCTCCCGACTAGCTGGGATTACAGACATGCGCCAACGCACCCGGCTAATTTTTGTATTTTTAGTAGAGATGGGGTTTTGCCACGTTGGTCAGGCTGGTCTCAAACCCTTGACCTGAGGTGATCTGCCCTCCTCAACCTCCCAAAGTGCTGGGAGTACAGGTGTGAGCCACCATGCTCAGCCAAGATTCCCAATTTTTAATCTCTTCATCTGTTGATTTTTTTTAGAAAATTTTCTTTAATTTTGTTACTTTATCTTTATAAATAATATAAATATTATTTATATAATGAAATACAAATATTCCTATTTACAGCAGCAGGTAGAGTATGATTTCATTTATGGAAAATGAATATGGAATTATGGAATATAAATATTCCTATTTATATTTCATGATGTATTTTCCTTGTTTGTTTCATAAGCAGACAGGAAACCTGGCATAAAAGCTCTGGAGGGCATTGCCCTTCCCCTCCTGATGAGATTGGGTGGTTGATGACTTTTCTCTATGTCCCTAAAGTTGCCCCTCTAGTTTCTTTCAGAGGATGTTCATCTCCTTTGACAATGATTCTTGAAGAAACAAACAAACAACAAAATCTAAGCTAGTTGACTAGGAGAAGCCACAGGCAAGAAGTCCTTCTTGGTGTGGTAGTAACAAGCCCATCTCCACTCAGCTGCGCTGTTTGAATGATGCTGTTCCCCAGTTTCATATTTCTTTTAGGTCCCTTAACAGAGACTTCTAGGGCCCCCTTTGTGCTGAGGCGAGGGGAGGTTCTGCCCTGGGGAAAGACCTGCCTGGGAATGCCCCCACACTGTGGACATTGGCAGATCTTGCACAAAGCGGGCAGGTTGTGGGGGTGTGGGGTGCATGTGCGCTGGACCCATAAACCATCCTGCAGAGGAGAAACCTTTCTTTCCAAGGACGGTCTGCCGAGCTGATTGGGCCTCGAGTAATCCACAACTAGGTTTTATTTTGATCCCTTTCCCCACAACAAAAATAGCTTCCTTGTTTGGGCTTGGTTTAACCTGATTATAAAACTAATGTGTGATCATTGCAGAAGGGTATAAGCCAAAGATCCATGTAAGGAAGGAAAATATCAGTCTTAACTCTTTTGCCCTGAGATAATCATTCTTAACATTTTGCTTTATATCCCTTCAGGCTTTTCTATGAAAAAACTACTTATCTAAATATCTTTTCATTTTCACAAAAAGGGGGATCGTAGTATACAAATTGGTCTTGTGATCTGCTTTTGCCACTTAATACCCTGTTAGTGAATATTTTGCATGTCAAAAATACAGACCTGGCTGGGCGTGGTGGCTCACGCCTATAATCCCAGCACTTCAGGAGGTGGAGGCGGGTGGATCACCTGATGTCAGGAGTTTGAGACCAGCCTGGCCAATATGGCAAAACCCCGTCTCTACTAAAAATACAAAAATTCTCTGGTTGTGGTGATGCATGCCTGTAATCCCAGTTACTTGGGAGGCTGAGGCCTGAACCCGGATGGCAGAGGTTGCAGTGAGCCGAGATCCCACCACTGCACTCCAGCCTGGGTGACAGAGCGAGACTCCATCTCAAAAAAAAACCAAAAAACAAAAAACAAAAAACTGGGAAACTTGAGCTAGAAGTTTATGTAGAGAAAGTTGAGAAAAATAAGATTAAAAAGAATGCACTTTAAAATAAACTGTTAGGGATAGTAAGACAATGAAATACAATAAACCTTTTTAAAAGCAAACAAAAAAGCAACTTAAAATAGGGAGAGACAGAAACTTAGAGTTTGAAAAAGATTAAAACTTGACAGTGTTCTAGTTTTAAGGTGTAAAGAATAGAGAAAAAGGGTTCCAAAAACATATCTAAAAGGTATTTAAAAAGGGAAATGAAACATTATAAAAGAAGGTTAAGAGATTACTAGAAGATAAGGCAAGTCAAAGGAGAAACAATCAAGACACCTTAAGTTGGAGGAAGCTAAAATTATACCAAATATAAGTATCTAAAGCCAAAATATTATGACTATTTTAACCCAGTAGGCACAAATAAGAGACAATCAGGCAGGTTGTTCAAGTGTTTCATGCGCATACGTGATGAACCCAGAATTGCCCATGCTTTTTTCTTTCTCAGGTATTATCACATTTAGTTATCTGAGTAATTATTTGATTAATGGCTTTCTTCCCCACGAGACTTCAAGATCTGTGAGGGCAGGATCCTTGCCTGTTTAACTTAGGAGTGATGAATGGTAAATATATGTTCATTAAATGGAAGAATGAGTGAGGCCTCTCCCAGAACTCGTTTTCCATGGAACAGGGCCTGTGGCACTGTGCCCCAGCAGTCTGGAAAGGGAATTGCTCAGCAAAGGGGATGGGGCTGTCGGCTCCCCCTGCCTCACCAACCACTAGAGCCTTTTACCATTCACCGATTGCCCATGGAAGCTGAATTATGACCCCAGGCTTGCAGGGGCTTATGGGAAAAAGGGCTATGAGAGGTAGAAAGCCACCATCTAGGCATGGGGACACCCTTGGGCTGCCATTGCAGACCCCTGCCTGAGTGGCTTTGGAAGACATTCTGGAAGGGAAACAAGGGCTATGGCTGTAGAGGATGGGGAGGACCTTTCTTCTGGTCACTCTCCTTCATTCTTCAGTCCCACTGCCTGGGGTATGACTGGGACCAGGTCAGAAAAGGACCCCATTCTGCTGAAAAGGAAACTGAGCTGCCACATGGTGAATGACAGATGTGAGGCAGGTTTGATTTAATGATCCGGGCCATGAGACTGTGAGTCTTTGCGGCCCACAGAGAAGGCTGGAAGGCAGCAGAGGGGGGCCAGGTGGAGCAGGGAGCCCTGGTTTAATTTCTAAGAGGCCTACAACAGAGCACCTAGGTGCCCTAGAAAATGCGTTCACTGACAGCAGTGAGGGTACCTTCAAAATTCAAGTCCTATCTGCCCTACCTCACCACACCAACCAGGAAATTAAACAACCATGGTGCCCTTCCTTAGTGACTACATTTGTGGGTGTGGGCACCGTGGTTCTTTTCTCTTTTCTTTCTTTCTTTCTTTTTTTTTTTTTTTTTTTTTTTTTGCGTCAGGGTCTTGCTCTGTCACCCAGGCTGGAGTACAGTGGCATGATCATGGCTCACTGCAGCCTTGACCTCCTGGGCTCAAGCAATCCTCCCACCTTAACCTCCCAAGTATCTGGGAGCACAGTTGTGTGCCAGGCAACACAGGTGACTAATTTTTAAAAAATTTCTTGTTGAGATGGGGTCTCATTGTGTTGCCCATGCTGGTCTGGGGCTCCCGGGCTTGAGTGATCATCCTGCCTTGACTTCCCAAAATGCTGGGATTACAGGCATGAGCCACCATGCCTGGCCTCAACTGTGATTTTAAATGGTGGGATTGAGATTTTTTCCAAAAGTAACTGAACCAAGAAGGCCAGAGGGACAAAACTTGCAAATCGAGTTATATAATGTATACAATATGTATAATATATATAATATGTAATGTATATATTATGTATAATATACAATATGTAACATATATTATACATACATATATAACTACGTATGTATAAGATATGATTATAATTACATATGTATTACACATACATATATGATATATATTATATCTTATACATACATAATTATATGTATAACATATTATAATATATAATGTATGCATAGTATATAATTTATATATAATATCTGTATAATTTATGTATAATATATAGCTATATAATATATATTATTTGTGCATAATTTATATATAGTAACATATATTTATATATAATTTTACTGTGTATATTTAAGGCACACAACATGACATTATGGGACATATATAGATAGTAAAAAGGTTACTGTAGTGAAGCAAATTATTATATCCATCATCTCAAATAGTTATCCTTTTTTTGTGGCAAGAGCAGCTAAAATCTAAAATCTAAAATTCATTTAGCATGAATCCCACAATCAGTACACTTTTCTTACCTACAGTTCTCATGTTGCACATTTGACTTCTAGACTTGTTCACCCTACATATCTGATCCGAAGTACAATGGCTATTAACTACTTCATCAGGGGAAGAAGCAGAAGTTGGTGGAAACTGTTGAATCGTGAATTTCTTTCTTCGTTTTATAGCTGGTGAAATTCCATGTTCCTGTGGTGGGTAGTGCATGGCAGGAGCCGAGATCTTGTTTTATCAAGATGAGTGGGCCTCACAAACAAATGATTTCATTCTGTTGAAAGGCATTATCACTGCATCTGACATGAAAATATTGTGGGGGGAAATTAGAAGTGGAAGTTTATAAAATGGAAGTGTCCGGGGGCAGCCTGCATTCATATCACCGAAACTTCAGCATAGCTTTTTTTTTAAAGATAGAAATTTTGCCCACATATACACTAATAAAAATAAATCTGTTTCCGATTACTAACTATGCAGCCAGGTGCTTGTTTGTTATGAGAAAGGCATGTTCATTAATTTTCAGCTATGAAAAGTGCACTGTGCCATAAATATACAATTCAAAATGTACTGCTGATAAATGAATACGCAGATTGTTAATGTGCCAGAGAGGGGTATTAGGCATCCAGCACAAGGCAGACAGGTACCCAGGTGATGGGGCTGGCACTTTCAGACCTGGCGTTCCAGCAACCACCTAGCCAGCCTCTGACAGTCTGTGCTCCTGTCTTTGGGAGGAGTTTGCACAGCCCCTCTTTGGGAGGCTTCAACTTGCCCTGTTTTCTCTTTATTGTGGCAGATTGGGCAGTGATAGCTTTAGGGAGGAAGGCAGGTGGCAATGAGTTGCCCGCAGAGGCATTCTACAGAGACGCGGGGATCGCTGCTTCCCTCCTTCATGATGGGTCAGTGCTCCTCGATGTAGAGTGTTGGCCATTGACCTCTCCTCTATGGTTGCAAGGAAGCAGACATCAGAGCTTCCTGGAAAGCTAGAAGTAGGTGGCTCTCAGCCCAGATGCATCCTCACCTCTCTCCAAGGAGAAGGATATGTTCCCACTGTAGTTATCCTCATCGCCTTGGACTGGGAGACATGTCCTGCCTTCCCTCTTTGAATGCCGTCACATCAGAAGAGTGACATCTTCTTGTCCCCGACCTGAGATGCTGATCAGCATTGTAGCTTTGCATCCTTGGCAGGACCTGTGTCTGCTGCCATGAGTCTGTTGCCCGGGTCAGGCGTAGAGTGGGGATGGATATCATATCTCCCATTTGGCCTCCTCAGAGGCTGAGCCCTGGCTGGAGAACAAAGGAAATAACACTCTGAAGTGTGGGTGGAGTACAAGGATGACCATCACCACTTGAGATCGTTTCAAGCATCTTCAGTTTTCAGAGCCTGAATGGAGGGGAGCCGTGGGTAAGATGGGCTGCTCCTGGCAGAGCATCCGGAAGGTGATGTGGCTTGGCGAGGCTTTTTCCTTCCTTCCCCCACCAGACACCTTGCCCAGCTCTCAGCTCCTGCTCAAGAACTCTTTTCTCTGGTTCATCTCTCGCAGCTTGGGGCTCCTGACTCCTTCCCTTGTCTGATAGAATGTCACAGACCCCCAATATATTTTGTTTACATTAAAAGCTAATGCAGCTATGACGTGAAATTTTAATTTATACACAAACCATAAAAAAGCCTTCAGGTTCATGAATTCCTGATGAGGCAGAGACTAACAGTATATTTTGATATGTTTACAGTTTATGTTTTCCACTAAGAATATCTAGTTTGTGGGTCTGTCTGGGGTGCTAGTAAAAGAGGGGAAGGAATGGAACGAATTCAAGCAGTTGTCTCAGCCTTCATTGTGTCTGCGGCCATGGCAGGGTTTGAAAGCATTTTCGGGTATGAGCTGAAATTTGTTGTACTGCTTGGTGGTAAACAGACACGTAACTCACCCCCACAGCAGACATTAAAGTGTTACAAATTAACATACACATGTAAAATTTTAAATATAATTAATTTAGCAGATAGGACCTTGCAGTTGTCACATTATTATTTAAGTCGGATGCTTGGGGTGGCTCAGAGCTTACATGGGTGGGGTAAAATGCAAGGAGACCGTATGCACGTTAATGACAAGTTAACTTGTGTCTAGTTGAGACAATCACGAAGAATTAAACAAAGCTTTTAGAGGGTTTCTGGTGCTATTTATCCTTCCCCTCCCTAATTTTCATAACATAGATTTATAAAGGAAATTAGAAATGAGGCAGAGTCCATAAAGGGTCCTTGGAGGATAATCCATACATTTACATTAAGTATAATTCGATGTATCATCTACGTGCAAACTTTTGTCTGCAAAGCATATGGCAAAGCTTTTATGGATATACAGACTTTTATTTTAAACTTAAAATGATGAAAAGTTTCTGAGCTTCAGGATCCTCTTACTGGTGACTGGAGAAATTGTTGATCACATTTTTAAAATTCAGAGAATTAGAACCATAAAATATACTGCAAAACACAGAATTTAAAATGGTTGTTTTTCCAATGCCTGCAAAATTGTTTTATTAGGGGACTGCGGAACACCTGCCTTAAAATGTCGTTCAGAACATCTCCCGAATGTCGTTTTCCTTAATTGACTTGGAAATGGCCCAAATGTATTGCTGAATGCAGTCTAATTAATATTAATAATAAATGCCATTATTAACATCAAAGAACATCTGGTGCTCCTGTTTACTCTGAAGCCTTATATGTAACACATTTTGTGGCTGTTTCATCTTGCAAACATTGTGCAGTAAACAGTTTTTGCCATGCAGGTCAAAACAGACCCCTGTCCAAGCATAATGCATTATATTTAAAAAAAATCAAATATTTTCTTTGGGTCACATTCGTTGCTGTGATACGAGTGTGGGTTAGAGGTCCCTTGAGTAAACCATTTTGAAAAAAAAAAAAAGTGCTGCTCCCAGCATCTGTACATTGGCTACATTAGAGTTTTGTACAATAAATCAACCACTGAATAACTTTAATCTAAAATTTCATTAAGTAGTTCTTGTCAGGTAGTAAAGCTGGATAATGCAGTGCTGTTTAATGATAATTGGTGTTTGGTTAATAAATTCTGCAAGTTCGAATTACTTTCTAGCAATCTATAGAATGCAAGCCTCAGCAGTGTAACTAAACCTCAAATTGATTAACTTGCATGAACCAGGCGTTCACAAAGATGGCACTATTCCAAATAAAAAAGAGAACAGCGCATCAGCCGGATGGTGTTATGTTGCTCTGGAGTAAGGAAATAAATCCCCTCTGGGTGCATTTTTAAAAGCTTATGCCTTTGAAATGATGTCATCATATTTTATTTTTTTTTCTTTTCTTTCATATTTTCTTTATATGTACACACACTTAGGTCACCAGTTCACAAGACACGTGACACATTAGAATAATGGAAAGCATTTTTTTTATATCATAGAATCAAAACCACAAAACAATTTAGCTGGAAAGTATTATTGAAAGGGCGCCATTACCAGCAAGCTGCTGCTCTCTAGCAATTAATGGAAGCAGGGTGTGGCTAGATGAGGGTTTGCTGTTTCCTTCCTACATCTTGTGTGCGCAAGAAAATAAAATATAAGAGCCATTTGCAAGTGAAATCAGCGCCTAGGTTCTTGGAGTTGCGCTTAGGAGTCCTACATCCCAGGTGCAACGACCCTGCAGGACAGCAGGCACCTTTTTCTGGTGGGATTTGTATTTGGGATGGACATATTGGATTAAGTGCATGAATTATGTTGATCTTCTCTGTGCCCCCAACCCCGGTGACTCCTGTGACATTGGTGTCATTCAATCAGCAGTCTGTAATAGTTCCAAGTTAAAAATAACATTTATTAAATGTCTTGTAACACAAGAATCTGGTCTATGATGAAGAGAGGAAAACAAGGCATCTAATATCAGAAGAAATGAACCAGGCTACAACAGGGACAGACAGGGAGGTGTGTCTACCAGGTCCTCCACTCTAGACTAGAGTTGAAGGGTGGATGGAGGATTTACCCCAAATGTGGGACTCCAGAAACACAGCTCCCGGTGGTCACAACCAACTTGTTTTGGAGGTGGAGCAAGGTCCTGGTGGGAAGATTGGTGGAAGACCAGGTGCTTGGGATGTGTGAATGCTAGAACATTCTCCACCAAGCTGTTTCTTTCTCCCCTGCAGATGGGGGGATTTTGAAGGATTCTGAGACCCTCAAACTCAGGGCTGAGCAGTTTATCAGCATCTGTGTGCACTGACTGGTGAGGGGCACGTTGGGTGCTGTGTGGGACACACGAGAGCCCATTGGCTTTCTGTGTGGGGGAGCAATGCACCAGCTCAGTGAGACCTGGCGAGCCAGGTCCTGTTTCTACCTGCCTCAGAGTGGTCCTTGACCCGTGGCAGGCTTTGCTTTGCTTTTGAAGCTGAGCAGATTGTGCCAAATGGCGTATGTTTTCAAAGTGATTCCCCTAAGGAGAGGAGCACAGACCTCAGACACACCCCTTCTACTAGCCTCCATAGATTATTCAATTGAAGCAGTTTGTCCACATCCAACTGGGTGGTTAGGGAGAGGTTATTCAATTTACTCCCACCCTCAAAAAAATCAAAAAGTCTGTTTTCACCCTGAGCCTCCCCTTAATCTCGTTGATGTGGCAGGGGTGGCATGCTGGGTTTCGCATGCTCTCTTTCTGATTGGTTTTCTGGTAATTATTTTACAATGGTGGTGTCTGGAAGCCAGAACCCCTGGGTCCTGCAGGGGGGTCAAAGAGACTCACAGGGAGATGAGAAATGGTGTGACTGTGTTGGAGCAAAGAAAGATGACCAAGTAGAAGAGTGACCAGTAGACGGGAAGACCCAGTGTCCCAACCTGCAGGAGGACCTTACCTCTCTTTTCCAGGACTTTATGCAGCTCTTCTGGTGGCTTTTCTTGGGGCATCAAGACCAGCTTCTTCTGCTTGATTCCAGAGGGCACCACCCCTACCCCACCATACCTGCCCCTCCAGGCTGTGCTTCCATGCTGCATGCACAAAGCACCTGTCTTGGCCTCCACATCCAGAAACTCTTCTCATCCCTTCATCTCCATATTGTACTTGCAACGTGAGGACCCCTCATTGTTGACTCCGGCTCTGGGTAGCTTGCAGAGCTCAGTATCAGGAATCCAGTGACCTTGACTCCAGTCTGCTCTGTCCTTACTAGCTGTGTGAGCCTGGATTTGTAATTCAACCTCTGTAAGCCTCAGTTTTCTCATCTGTACATTGGAGATAATAAAACTCTGTGGCCCAGCGTGGTGGCTCACACCTGTAATCCCAGCACTTTGGGAGGCCGAGATGGGAGGATCATTTGATGAGCCCAGGCGTTTGAGACCAGCACGGGCAACATGGCAAGACCCCATCTCTACAAAAAACACCAGAAAAAACTAAAAATTAGTTGGGTGTGGTGACTCACACCTGTAGTCCCTGCTACTTGGGAGCCTGAGATGGGAGGATCACTTGAGCCCAGGAGTTCAAGGTTAGAGTGAGTTATGATCGTACCACTGCACTCCAGCCTGGGCACCAGAGTGAGACCCTGTCTCAAAAAATAACCCAAAATATAACAACAACTTCTGCCCCAAAGGGCTGTTGTGAGGATGGATTTAGACAATGCTTTGAAAGCACATAGAATGTGCTCGATTAATGTTAACTGCTATTGAAGTAGTTATCGTTTATGATAAGAGTTCAGATTTTATTATTATTATCACCATTACTTTTAGTATATTTATTTTGCTCTCCCTGGTGCATGTGAAGCGCCTTCAGGATAAAAACCTGAATCATCCTCATGGGAAGTGTCCCGTGCTGTTAGGACAGAGTAGGATCTCAGACAGCGCTCTATGATCACAGCAGCAGGAAGGCACCTCAGGAAGCCATTGGTAAAACACAGGGGCTTTCTCGGTCTTATACCTTAGCCAGAAATCCACAGTGGACAATATAGAAGCAGATACAAAATTGTTCCTGGCCTTCCTCTTCTTAATGGAATCTCCCAGAAGTAAAATAAGAATGCCCATTGCTCTAGGCCAGGCGTGGTGGCTCACCCCTATAATCTATAATCCCAGAACTTTGGGAGGCCAAGGTGCACAGATCACCCGAGGTCAGGAGTTCGAGACCAGCCTGGCCAACATGGTGAAACCCTATCTCTACTAAAAAATGCAAAAATTAGCAGGGCGTGGTGGGAGGTGCCTGTATTCCCAGCTACTCGTGGGGCTGAGGCAGGAGAATCGTTTGAACCCAGGAGGCGGAGGTTGTAGTGAGCCGAGTTCATGCCACTGCACTCCAGCCTGGGTGACAGAGTGAGACTCCATCTCAAAAAAAAAAAAAAAAGAAAAAAAAGCAATAAAGAAAGAAAAGAAAAAAGAATGCCCAGTGCTCAGTTGAGAATCCTACATAGGCCCAGAGATTTATCCACAGAGAGACAAGGGCAGAAGGGAAAATTGGGTGGACATGTTTGCTGTGGTCTAATTGCTCTAAGATGAATGAGGACCATAGAGAGAACTAGGTACCTCACCACAAGATGCAAACATCAGCCAGGAAGGACCCAGGTGCCTCCTTTGCCGTCCTCCGTCCTCCTGGGCAGCTTCTCCCTGCACGGACCAGCCGGCCTGGTGTGTGTCTCCACGGCACTGAACCTGTGCAGGGCAGGCTCTCCATGAATATTTGCTGGCTGAATGAATGAACTCAGGGGCAACAGGAAAAGGACAACGTTCAAGCCAACACTAGGGACATAAACTTAAGTGAGACAATGAGGCCAGAAAGTCTAAAGTGTTTTCTGTCACTTGGTCAGATCTTTCTTTCTCCTTGAAGAAGCCCTATGAAGAAAGCCCTGGAGGAGATGATAATGGCGCCTTTCACCACGGAAAGGTCAACCCACATGTGTTCATTGAGTGACTCTGTGGGCCAGCCCTTCGCTCGGCTCTGTTGATGATTACGAGACAGGCAAACCCACGGGGTACTCTTGGTAAGTAGGCTGGAATCAAAACACATGAGAAAAATTAGTGAGCATTCCAAAGCAGCATGTCATTGTATAGAAATGTTCAGAAAAGGTTTAGAGACGGAGTGTGCCGGGAGGCCAGGCGAGGCTTCGTGGCGGCAGTGGAAGTGCGAGGCTTCGTGGCGAGGCTTCGTGAAGTGGTGATGAGAAACGCTTGAAAGGCAGGGAGGAGAAGGTCGGGCCTTCTAAACTTGGAGAAGATAGGGGAAGGCCAGGTGTGGTGACAGATCCCAAGGCCAGTGCAGCAGTGAAGAAATGTGTCACTGTCCCCTTGGCTCAGGCCCAGCCACCGAGTCCTGGGACGTGATCTTTACATCGCCTGGTTCTCTGGTTGATCCATCTTTCCCTCTGATCACTGCCCTTCCTCCTGGGGCCTTTTTGAAATCTGACTCAGGTTCTGAGCACACGTTTCAGCATTTCTGGATGCAATTTGGTATCATAGCGAAGAATCAAAGGGTATTTGCTATCACTTGAAAGTCTGTTTCTCTCCCTCTTCCTCTGAGTACCTGACCCCACAATCATCACTGGCTTTGAAATAACAGACCCATCATAATTACGAGAATTAGTCTGGAGGCTTCTGCCTTATTTGCCTAACTGAGATTATTAAGGCCGTTTTTAGAGGTGGAAAGGGCTCCCAGGATCATCTCGGCTGAGATGGCAAATTCAGAGAGATGCCTGCAGGGTGGGGGCCAGCCAGGTAGTGAGGGTGGGGAAGGGGCCCGGTGGGGAGGACGCATCCACTGCCCAGCCCATCAACCCTTGCTCTTTGGGCCCATGGGCTCAGCATTGGGAGATAACACAGTTTCTCAGGAGAAGCTGGAAATGCTGACCATGTGTGAGTGAAATGTCCCAAATTTGTATATGTTAAAAACAAACTTATAGCCTGCGTGACATAGTGAAATCCTGTCTCTACAAAAAATTTACAAAATTAGCTGGGTGTGGCGGTGCATACGCCCCAGCTACTTGGGAGGCTGACACGGGAGGATTGTTGGAGCCCAGGAGGTCGAGGCTGCAGTGAGCCATGATCACACCACTGCATTCCAGCCTGGGCAACAGAGCAAGATCCTGTCTCAAAAAAATAATAAATACATACATACATACAAACAAAAAAACAAATTTAACACATGAAAACCCTGTGTGATTAAACCTTTGCATCTCAATTAGAGTCCTCTGCCCCCATTCCATGATTTGGGGGTGCAAACAGAAGCCCCGAAATAGGAAAGGACTTGGGCGAGGTCATTAACGTGGTGGGCACAGCGTGTACCTACCCCCTCCTTTGCCAGGTCCGCAGAGTTATCTACAGAGGTCAGTCTAGCACCCTCCCATTAGCCTGCTGCTTGAACTGTCTCCTTCTTTCCAGAAACTTCTGCATGCCAGTGACCAGATCAGCCTCTCTGTGGCTTTGAACCCAGGGTGCAGAAGCCTGATCCAGTCAATGCTCCAAGCACGGTCCAGCCATCACCTCGCAGCTGGCCCTGTCACCTCCTGTTGCAGGCGAAGGGGCAGCAGCAACCTGGCAGCCCTGGGCAGCTGGCAGGAAGGGCCAAGCACTTACGAAGGGTAGCTTCAGTGTTCTTACAGGGTATTAAAGGAATACAGCGAGAGTTAATGCAAAACTCCTTCTTTGACTTAATTTATTATAATATATGTGGCTAAAATGTAGATCACACTGCTGTGTTGGATCTCCGTTTTGATTCCCAAAATTGCAATCATGATAGTGGATTATAACCGTGCTCTAACACATAGATGAGGAAATGTATTCCTGTGCAATTTTCCCCGAAGGAGAAGTCAGAGGATAAGGGGCAGGAGTTTTGAATAACCTTGCAACATTTAGTTGTCTCTCTCAATTATAGGATAGAAATTAGCATCCCAGGATGATGTGCGTGTGTACGCAGCACCGCTTTGAATATTAGTGCAGAAGGACATCTGAGGGAATGGAGAAAATGATTTTCCATATGAAAGAAAAAGTCACTGGTATCGAATCGAGCAATGTGATGTTGCCTTTTATTCAGTAAGTGCCTACTATGTGCTGGGCACCTAGCTAAAGGTTGGGGGTGCCACCGTAAACCAGACAGACCACAGGTTTGCCATGGAAGTGAGCCTTAGCAGTCAGTGTTGGGTGATGCCCAAAAAGGAGTGAACCAGGGCAGAGGGATGGGGGTGCAGGGATGGGGGAGCTATGGGAGAGCCTGGATTGCAGGCTGAGGGAAAGAAACATCCCGGGAGCAGCACGCAGATGGGAAAGCCAAGTTTGCTTCCTTGTTCTGGTGGTGCGTGCAGAGCATCCGTGTGGCGGGATGCCCCCAAGAACATACATCTGGGCGGACTTTCTCCTCAGGCCCAGAGACTCAGCAGAAGTACCCAGGCAGAACGAACGGCCTGAGGTGCTGCCCCAGGGCCTGGACTCTGCAGTCTCCACCAGCAACGGTTCAAGGCCAACACCTGCGCAGCCTATCGCGTCCCAAGGTTCTGTTGGCCCAAATCAAGCCACCTGCCTCCCCCAGCCCAGCTCTGGGGTGGGGCTCCCAAGAGCCACCAGCCTTGCTGCAAAATAGGATTGAATTTCTGTGTGGATGTCGAGCCCTGGCTGGGGCAGGTGTGGACAGGGAAGGGCCCTGTGGCAGGAGGGACTGGAAGCTTTGCACAGCACCTTGGGGCAGGTGAGGCTGGGAAGACCAAGCTGACTTCTCCTTGCCCTCCACGGGGTTGTGCTCTGGCAGTGGGAGCCCTGCACTCTCTCAAGGAGAGCCTGGAGGAGCTGCAGTCTGCAGCTGCAAGAGGAGGGGGCTGGACTGATGGACCACAAGGGAATGGAGCCCTGGGATACCAGACACCAGATTCCCCACGTCCAGCTTTCCTTCCTGGAGAGAGCCTGTGGCAGCCTGTCCACTCACAGACACAGGCCACCTGGACCCACTGCCAGGCCCCACACCCTGGAAGGGCAGGTCAGAGGTGGCTAGTTATGTACTTAAAAGGAAAAGGCAGACTTCTTAGATTGCATGATCATGGAAGGGTGGCCAGCCCTCCCCAACACCATTCATTCATTCATTCATTCATTCGGCTGGTCACCAGTATTTATTGAACACACTGTGCCAGGAGGCTCTAAGGGACACAAGAGTGAGAAAAACAGACCCCATCCCAGCCTTCAAAGAGGTGGCAGTTTGGTGGCAGAGACAGATATTAATCACACATATACGCTCAGTGCAAACTCTGAGAAATGTCCTGAAGGTTAAATTCTGGGATGATTGGGCAGACCTGACTTAGTCTGGAAGATGAGAGCAAATGACATTGGAGCTGAACCCTCAAACATGAGTGGGATTAACCAGGCAAGATGCAGGTGGTGGGCCTGGGGCTGGTGTTTGGGGTTTGCATTTCAGGAAGAGGGAACAGTATGTGTTGAGATTCTGAGGTCCAACAGAGAGAGAAATTTCTGGCCCGGTGGGCCAGTAGGGCCAGCTCTGGGATTTTTAAGGCATTTCAGGATGAGAGGAAACATTTCTTAGATCTCATTGCAGTCCCAAGTTCCTGAAGCTCTTAAATTCTTTTTCAATATCAGGGCATGTGTTCTCGGGGTAGGGGATGAGCCAGCCAGGGGGCTTCCCGGGTGCAAGCCCCCAGCGTGTAGGACTGAAGGGCCCTGGGACCTGTGTAGTTGTGGATGAATGGGGAGCTCTTTGGAGATGTTGAGAGACCAATGGGATGCTGAGGCCTGAGCTTCTACCTGCTGTCTGCTTCTTTCTCCCTGTCATCCCAGTGCCCACATCCCCCCAGGTCCTCATACCCCCAACTCCTTCACCTACTCCCCTCAAAGGGGTGTTTGGAGGATAATACCAAGTAAGCTCTAATTTCTGGGTTAGACAATGTGGGAGAGAGTGAAGATGTGTTATGTCTACATGGAGTTCCTACTCAGGGCTCGGTGGTGCTTGGCATTAGGAAACCTTGTTGATCATGCAGGGGGAGGGGCTGACCATTTTGGAGGATCCTATGGTGACTCCATGACATGGATCACCACCTGCTGGTTTGCTGTTTTATGCTGGTTTACCTTTTTCATACTTTAGACCTTGTAGATGGTGGGGTTGGGAGGCTACCAATTGGGACTCTGCTGGATGACCTTTTGTCCACAGTAGGAGGCCTTATTCCCATGTCATAGGCAGTGTTTGGAGGCTGGGCGAAGGTAGGAGGCATTTACAAACACACAGCTCGGAAGTGGCCTCACCAGACGGAGCCCAGAGCCGGCCATTGCCTGGTCAGTGGCTTCCCCACTCTGCCACGCAGGGTTTAAAGTGCATGCAGCTTTGCAAGCCCATTGCCTCATGAAGCACTCAGACCCTCTGTGACTGGCACCATTCTCCAGTGATCCAACTTTACCAACAAGGAAATGAAGGCTCATGAAGCTTTGGCGCTTTGCTCAGGACCACAGAGCCAGTGCTAGCAGAGTTTAGATTCAGACTTGGCTCCCGGAGTCCCTTGGTGTTTTGAGGTGCTCGAATGCCCAGGCAAGCCTGTTCAGGCAGCATTAAAAGTGGCCCGTGTGTCTCCCTGTGTTGAGGAGGATTGGGCCATCTCTGTGCATGTCTGGGGGCTGTGGGGACACTTTGCTCAGCTACCTGCTGCTCCCCTTCCCTGAAAAGCAAGGGCTGCTATTCTTGCCTGCTTCTTCTGGGGGGCTTGTTGGAGGACACACTCATCTTGGGATCCTTGTCTCTGGTCTGAATTTCTTTGGACCAGTCTATGGGATTCCCAGACTTTGGGAAGTTCCCATTGAGAATTTGCCAGACTTGTTATTTTCATCTGTGATCACAAGAAAAACAAGCAAACTTGACCTTCCTCCTGGAAGCTGCTACCCAGGAGGCTAGTCCTGGAGCTAGGTCAGTTCATTTATTAAAGCATTCATTTATTCACCCCATTTGGGGTGAATATTGGCTGGACACCGGCCACGTGCAAAGTATGGAGGAGGAGGAACCTCAGCCCTTGTCCTTTGCACTTTACAGGCTAGAAGGAAAGCTGGTGTCAAAGAAGAACAAAATTCAAGCCCTGTATCTAGCCAGAGAAGCCAGCTGGGGGCCACTTGGGATGGGACCAGGTGCTAACCGCGGTGATAACTGGGAGTGACGTGGCCTGACTTATAATCAAGAAAGGTCACCCATGTGGATATATCAGAAGAAAACAAAGTTGCCTCTCAGGAACTACCAGGAATAAATTTACACTCCTCTCAGTCTCTACAAGGGGAAACACAGTGAAAACTTAGCTAAAAGTGTCACAGTTGTATTGTGTAAACTACACTGCCCTTCAAGCAGCATGGGACATCACACTGCCAGGGACACGAACACTGGACCGGGAGGGCCATTCGCAGGGCACCACCCAGGGCTTCTGTTGGTCTGCAGGTACCAAGACAATGGACAGTGGAGTGGCCTCAGCTGTCTCCTTGGCTCCTCTGCTCTGTGGCCTGAGCCAGACCTGAAGGTTTTGTCCTTTGGAAGTCCACCAGCTGGGAACAGGTCTCCAGAAAGATCCATGTGCCTGTGCCTGATTGGCAGAGCTGGATATATATACATATATATATACATATATATAATATATATATAATTTTTTGCTAATTTTAATGTCAACTGAAGTATTTATTACTACAAGATATTGAAGGGTTCAGCATTTATTCAAAAAAATTTTTTAAGCTGATCCAAGGATTGCGTTCATCTGATATGTTCTCAAATGAAAAGGGCTAGATAAGTCAGTGCAGCTCAAAAATGGCAGTAACTTCAGAGCTGGCAATTGACACTTGTTTTCTGCCACTGTTTACTCTTCAATAAAAAATGCATATTTACCATAGCAACCTCCTGATCACGTGGAGCCCTATCCTACATGCGACCCTCTAAAACAGAATAGCTTCTTAAAGGAACACACACATCCTAATAGGCATGCTTTTCAGATGCAAAAACGTGTTCTTTATAAGGAAGCCCTCTTTCCTGGGATTTAGTGCTAATAAACATGTCATCCTTGTAGAAATCATTTTGGTCCCCTGTCTTAAATTTTAAGATGTTCATTCTGGAAATCCAAATAAAATTACTCTTGGAGGGGCTTTCAATTATCTTAAGGATTTGTTGATTATTTATTTTAATATGGTTCTAAATATATATATTTGTGTTTATACATGCACATAGGTATATATATTTTAAACAGCAACCGTTAGTATCATCTGGAAGGGAGTTTGGTGCAGATTCTAACGACCTGCCGCTTCATCTGTGATTAAAGATTGTCATCTATGCGAAGCTCAGTGGCAGCCTGAATTGTTTTTTACTGTTAACTTGGGAGGATTGCCTGGGGTTTTAGAGCTTTGGAGGAGCTGCCCCAACTGGACTTTTCAGGGAAGGATCATGTCCCCTCATGCTGGCACTTTGTATGTGTCTGATTCCATAGCTTGGAGCTGGCTTGGGGTTGGCGCGGGGGCACTGCCAGGGACACGAACACTGAAAGCTGCTACTCAGGAGGCTAGTCCTGGAGCTAAAACCACAGATCTGCCCCCTCCCCATGCCATCTTTACATATGACGCGTTGCTTTGGCAATATTCATGTTGAAAGCCACTATTAATTGGAGCATAACCTCCATCAGGCACCATGCTAAGTGATTTATATACCTTAGACTCTACAATCCTTTGAGACATGAATTCTTGTGACTATTCCCGTTTTGCAGATAAGGAAACCAAGCCTCAGAGAGGTTATGTAATTTGCCCAGGATTACACGCCTAAGACCTGGGGAACTTGGTTTTGACCTGGGGCTTTTGGACTGCAAACCTCTCCGCTTATTCTGTCTTCTGAACCTGTCTGTCAGATTTAGCTCTGGAAGGACAAGTGGCGACAAGATGGAGAAGCCTTTGGAGATAGGGACAGTGACAGTGGCTTCCCTCTCAGAATGCTTCCTCCAGAGATTCCTGGGTACTCTCAGTTTCAGCAGAGATTTGTGGAACTCTTTTCATACTCTGATTTTTTTTTTTAATGCCTGCACCTGGCAGTCAGGCACCCTTCCCCTGTGCTGGGCTGAAGTCAGGGCTGGAGTGCCAAGGGTCTCTGGATGCCACAGCCCCAGGGAGAGGTGGTATGGCTGTGTGACCACAAGTGTGGTCAATGCCTCTCTGAGGCACCACTGTAGGCTAAGGAGGCATCCCAGCCGGGCCTGGTGGATTTTTAGTTTCTTTCAATGTGAGAAACAAGAACGTATTTGTGAGTCTGTTATGCTTAGTGGCTTTGGGGCAAAATCCGATTGTGAAGTGAAGCTGGGTTCTCCATGGCACAGAGGCATTGTGACCTGCACTCCACGGAGGGGCATTGCCCCCACCCCGTGCCCAGGCCAGCCAATCCGACGGCGGCAGGCTCACAAGCCATTTCATAATTATCCATCACGAATGCCTCCATGCCGCCCTAATAGATTATTTAAAATGGTGTGTGTGTCTCTCATGCAACCTCAAGTCAGCCCCAAACTGTACATGCGTACAGCCTGGGAGAGGTAATTGTTTATCATGTATCTCTTTGTTGCAGACACTTTTATAAAAGAGTATGTATTATGTATGGTGTGACCTTCAAATGTCAGGAATGTGTTTTGCAATAAACTGTCAATATTTGTGGTTATAAGGTACTAGATGACTTTTACAATAATTGGAACGGCTATATTAAAAGCTGGGATCACTCGGCTGGTTAAAGAGAAAGACACAGGCCAGCGTTCATCAGGGACTTGCCTTCTGCCAACTATTAAATGAAAGATAGTGCAAGGTGCTCAAGATGTCTTCTTTGTTTAAAAAAGAATATGGCAAGACACATCTCTAGGGGAGGCGTTATCTCCAAATCATCCCTTCTCCTTTCAGTGTGCTCAATTCCCAGGAGAAAACTCAACTCCGCAAGTTATAGTGACTGACCAAATACATTTTAAAAAAGATTGGTCCAGTTTGTTCCTGGTGTCATTTAGGTAAGAATTCCTGGAGTCAGATCTTCCATCTTCTCCCCTCCTCCACCCCCACCCAAACAGGAGGGGCTGTAAATTATCTTAAGAGGATCTTAAAAGCTATAGTGTTCTTTTTTTCTTTCTTAGTAAAATAAATTACGTAGACATCTTTTGGGAATTTATGCTTTAGTGAAAGTAGAGGCTTATACTATAATTTTCATTTTTTGTTTAAAGAAAGGAGTACTTAATTTAAATTATGAAGAAGCAAAGGCATAACAAATATTTTATTATAATTATTATAGTAATTGGATCATAGATTACATTAAAAATATCTGTTTCACTATGCTCTTCTATGGGTGAGTATCTCTTTATGCTTATGTGAAGTCGTTTCTCCTTATGATAGTCAGATCTTCGTTTTTAACCAGGAAGGAATTGAGTAAATGAAATGGGGAAAGGGGCCTCACACTTTAGTCTTCTAAGGAGCTCTCTTGTGGCCTTGCTGATTATAATTGTGTGTTTGTGGTTCCTTCCACCTGGATGGAGGGAGAACTGGGTGACACCCTGAGGCCCCTTCCTCCAGGAAGCCTCCCTGGACATCCCCAGGCCTCCTCACCCTGCAATCATCCAACTCCAGCACCTGCATGCGCTGAACACTCTGGAGCACTTCCGATGTTTTGACGGTGCCCTGGACTATTTCTCCCCACCAGCTGCTCAAAGTAGCTTCCCTCTCATAGTCAGGAACTGGTCTTAATATCTGAATTCCAACTTGCTTGCCTTCCCTGATGCTTTTATTTGTTGAAAAAGTATTTATAAAGCACCTGCTATGAGCTGAGGACGTCTCGCATGCTAGAAATGTCACGGCAGGCCATAGTGCCTGGCCCCTGTTCTCCTGGAGCTGACATTCTAGGAAGGGGACAGGCAGTGAGCAGTTTAATACACAGATCAGCTGACCATCTGTGAAGGGCGATGTGGAAGGTGACATGGGCTGAGAGCTGGGGGTTGGGAGATTTCCTTCCAACAGTGCGATCAGAGACAATCTCTCTCAGAGAGGTGACTTTTACACGAAAGTTAGAAGAGCATTCTAGGGGAAAGAGAATTCCAGGAGGAGGGGAAGCAGGACCAAAGCCTTACTGGAGAAGGGACGTAGCCTCAGAGGAGAACAGAAAGTTGGGAACCAGCCTCAGAGGAGAACAGAAAGGTGAGGGTTGGAGTGCAGGTGGGGAGTTGGGATGAAGTCAGAGCAGTAGGGAGGCCACCTGGACATATTGAGACACAGCTGGAGGTTATTCTAAAAAGCAATGAAATGAGTAGCTGGTCCCTGCCCTGCCCCCAACCAGAGGCTGTTCCCAGGAGATGGCAGCGGCCTGGGCTGAATCTCTCAGACTCATTCTCCTGCCTGGGTCTTCTCACCAAGGCCAGGTTCTTAGGTGACCCTGCTCAGCGACACGAATGGTCTCTGGGGTGGGCTCCAGCCCACAGTCCCTGTCCCACAGAGAAGAGACAGGTGTGCAGAGCCCAAAGAGACATGTCACACCTGATGTCTTGTCCCAGGTCAATTCTGTGAATCCCAAACCTTGCCCGCTGCATCCAGGGTTGCAGTCTCTAGCCTGGGGACTGAGAGTACCTGCCCACAGCCAGCCCATAGCCACCCCTTGGGGCCTTGGCAAGATGTGGCGGTCTGCGGATGACAGGGGATGTTGTCACAGCAGCATCACATGGTGCCAGAGGGCAGAGACCCCATGGGTGGCCTAATCCCCAGCAGGGAGTTTCACAGACTCCACCAACAATTAAGAACAGGTTCAGGGGCCGGGCGCGGTGGCTCACGCCTGTAATCCCAGCACTTTGGGAGGCCGAGGCGGGCGGATCACGAGGTCAGGAGATCGAGACCATCCCGGCTAAAACGGTGAAACCCCGTCTCTACTAAAAATACAAAAAATTAGCCGGGCGTAGTGGCGGGCGCCTGTAGTCCCAGCTACTTGGGAGGCTGAGGCAGGAGAATGGCGTGAACCCGGGAGGCGGAGCTTGCAGTGAGCCGAGATTGCGCCACTGCACTCCAGCCTGGGCGACAGAGCGAGACTCCGTCTCAAAAAAAAAAAAAAAAAAAAAAGAACGGGTTCAGGGCTTGGGAAAACCAGAAACACATTTGGCCCACAGTTCTTGATCTTGAAGCCCTGGTATATTTTAAGGAAAATGTAATCCATGTGTTTCTGATTCATTTTCACTTAACTCATCAAAATGTTGCTTTAGAGAAGGTATTTGAAATCCTAGTGTCTTATATTTCTCCCTTTTTCTTTTTTTGAGACGGATTTTCACTCTGTCACCCAGGCTGGAGTGCAGTGGTGTGAACTCGGCTCGCTGCAGCCTCCGCCTCCTGGGTTCAAGCGATTCTCTTATCTCAGCCTCCCGAATAGCCGGGACTACAGGTGCCTGCCACCACACCTGGCTAATTTTTGTATTCTTAGTAGAGATGGGGTTTCACCATATTGGCCAGGTTGGTCTCGAACTCCTGACCTTGTGGTCTGCCCACCTCAGCCTCCCAAAGTGCTGGGATTACAGGTGTGATCCACCACACCCAGCCTCCTTTTTTTTTTTTTTTTTTTTTTTTTTTTTTTAAGAAATTAGCCTTTTGATGACCTACTTCCCCAATTCCAGAAATCGTCTCTTGCCACCAGCAAATGGAACTCTGCCCAGTTTTGAGTTTGGGTAGAGGGTGAGACATGGCAACATGGAAAACATGCCACCTCTCTATCTCACGTGTCCCAGGGCTCACCAGTGAGGTCCAATCCCGACCCCGTTGGTAATAACCCACGAGCAAGCTGCCTGTTGCCTCCTCACAAGTGGACATCGTTTTCTAAAATAGCTCTTTATTTAAACAAATACTTTCACCAATCCATAAGAATACTTAACTGTTTAACATGACTATATATGGCCACCATAAAATTGAGCACTCTGATGCAACCACAGAGACACCAAGTTGATACTGACCCGAGGCATGAGTTATGTCTTCTAAGAGTTAGGTAGAATTGTTTACAGTAATGTTATAATTTTCATGCATACCATTAATTTTAAATAATTAAAAAAAATAAAAGGGCCAGTTGTGATTGCTTTATTTGAGTCTATTAAAGCTTTCAAAATAAGGGAAGTGTTAAGCTTTTAACAGTAGCTATACATTCCTTTGGACTTTCCCCAAGGTGTCGGTATTATCTTGCTCCTGAAAAGATCTTCAAGCCCTGGCATACGTGGGCAAGGACATTAAGAAAGATGTGATTTTTTTGTTGTTGTTGTGCCACTGAACTGCTTCTTCACCCCTTAGACTCCACAAATAGTTTTTTTTCTTCATTAATGAAGTGAGAGCTGTGATTTTGAGACGTTCTTTGCACAAAGCATACTTGCAGAATTAACTGACAACTCATCTGGGAAAATGTATTTACTGTTATACTAGAAGCTCCATAGAAATTAAAATATCATGGCATTTGATGCCATAAACGTAGTAAGCGCCAGGGTGTTCACAGAGTTAGTCACCTTACCCATGCGTGCTTGCTGGGGTAACTCTCCAGTCACCATCATCATTGCCAACAGCATCATCATTATAATTTTTTTTAATGGAAGTCTTTCCAAAATGTACTTCTGGGCATCTGAAGGGTAAGGCTGCCAGCGAGTTGGGATGAAGCGAGAACCAAGAATCCACATGCAATATAAGAAGAAGTCATTCTTTCCTTTCTCTTTGTCCTCTCACTCTGCCTCTTTTGGTTTCTATCTCTGGCTTCTCCCTTTCATTCTGTGAGTTAATTGGACTCCCTGGAAGATTGGATATAAACCCAGAAGACTTCACCAGTAGAGGATTGACTCTTCTTAGTCAATTTCTGACCTTTTCCCACAATGGCTACCCCCAACATCTCTATGGCTTAATATAACCAGGATTTGTTTCTCATTCATGCAAAGTGTGATGTGGGTCAGCTGTCATCCATCTGGTGACTCAGTGACCCAGGTGCCCTCTATTTTGTGATTCTGTTGTCTCAACCTTTGCGTTGCAAGGTCACTGTGGCCCAGGAGGAGAGGGCGGAGGAGGTGCAGGCACACTCTGTCTTCATTTCCTTCATCTGTTGGCCAAAACTGACCACCTGTCCTCAGCTTAGTGCAAGAGAAGTTGGGATACGTAGGGGTCCAGGGACTAGTTAGCAACCATTTGCCGTCCTTTTTACAGTCATTTCTTCTCGCCTCTTTAAGACCCAACATCAGTATCTTCTTTGGCTGTAGGGTGGGGTCAGCGGGGAGAATGAGAGGCCAAAAAAAAAAAAAAGCAGCGGGCAGAGACAGCCTGGGATAGGCTTGGAGCTCTTTCAGCATGGCGGGACCCGGAGGTCTAGTCCTCGTGGGTCAGATGGGAACCAAGGGCGAGGGGAGGGGTGAAGGGACTTGCTTGGGATAGTTGGATATTAGGGACCCGGGAGGAAAAGATTCTGCCTCCTAACGCCTGAGTCAGCATTTTTGGAAAACAACGCTATTTTATTATACAAAGAAGTTCAGTGTTTAGAGAGAATCTAGGGGGAAATCTACCCTTCAAGTACAAAATCATTTTATAAACAAAGTTTTAATATCCCAAACATATTATATATAAATAAGGTTAAGTGTGTGTTGAGGCACCCATCCATTCAAATCATGTTTGTATACAGCAAGATAGCCAACCTCAGGGGTGGTTTCAGACAGCTGGTGACAGTGTTTTCTAAGTATCGGGGCTTTAACTTTTGAGAAGTTGTTTGTCTTTCTGAGCATCCGTTTCTTTGTCTAACTGGTACTGCCGCTTTGTGGTCCAGTGGATGATGAGGATTCTAAAATGATCCGTAGCCATTTTAATCCCCCCAACTCCTTCAGCCCACATCCCCTCCTCTGAATACTTGGGGAAAGCATGCACCTTCATGTCACCTTGATCGAGGCCAACCTTGCTATAGACTCGGAGGATAAGAACAAGCGAATGGGCATGTAGACAACATTGCTGACCTTGAGAAGACAAAATTAGGAAGGTCTGTTGCCTGATGTCTCCTTGTTCCTGGTAACAGACCTTTAAAAAACTTGGATCCACCTCCTTTTTCTTTAGCAAGTCACTTTCAGCTTGTAGGCACGGGCAGAGGAGAAAGCTGGCAGAGCTTTTGATGCCTACTTCAACACATTTGCTCTTGGCTACAGTCTAGGAGGGTTGCAAATATGGCCTGTGTCTGCCTGGAATATTATTCGTTGTACCCATGCAAGGCACCCACATCTGAAGAAATAATCCCATATTATTCAGTGGAGTCAAGAAAAGAAACAAGGGCCACAGGAGCTGTTTCTCAGCTGTTTCTCCATCAAGTGGGAGCCCAGAGCACACCCAGGCTGAGGGTGCATTAGGCAAGAGAGGGCCTCCCCGCCTGCAGCCAAAGGTCCCCTCCAGGGACATCTCAGTCTCTAGGAGCTGGCAGGGGTCTGTCATTTCACAGATGAGCAGGGAGGAACAGATGGCAGCGTTGAGGCTGACCTCTGTCCACATGTCTGCCTTCAGTCTACCCAGCACATTAGAGAAAGTGTCACATAGGAGGGAAGGAATACCACTGGTTAGAGGAAAAGAAAATTAAAAAATTAAATAAATCTCAAACCAATGCACGAAAGGTTTAACAAAGGATCACAGATGCAATTTTTGTAATACCTCTCTCTCTGTCTTTTTGTTGTTGTTGTTGTTGTTGTTGTTGTTTTTGAGATGGAGTTTCGCTCTTGTTGCCCAGGCTGGAGTGCAGCAGTATGATCTCAGCTCACTTCAACCTCTGCCTCCCAGGTTCAAGCAATTCTCCTGCCTCAGTCTCCCAAGTAGCTGGGATTACAGGCACGCACCATCATGCCTGGCTAATTTTTGTATTTTTAGTAGAAATGGCGTTTTACCATGTTGGCCAGGCTCGTCTCAAACTCCTGACCTCAGATGATCTGCTGGCCTCGGCCTCCCAAAGTTCTGGGATTACAGGTGTGAGCCACCATGCCCAGCCAATACCTCTGTCTTTCTACTGCCTGCTTCCTGGAGTGGCTAGGAAAGGGCTGGTCTGTCTGCAACATAAACCAGTGACTGCTTTCTCCACCTGATGTTATGGGGTGCCAGGAGAAGTGATGGGACTCCCTCCTGCAGTTTGCAGAGGGGCAGACGCCAGTGCTTTTATACTCGGGGTAGAGAAGGAATCCAAGAGCAGATGCACGTTCCCCTCTGAATGACACTCTCAGGTTCTTGCTGGGGTTGGGCCAAGTTCAGCACACACATCCTCACCAGCACCCATCCTGGCACAGGCTGGGGCTCACGCACAGTGCCCTGCGGGTGTCCTGCCAGCACTTGCTCCCCCAGCCTTCACTGTGCTTGGCTTTCAGCCTCTCTGGACACTTCCTGGGACCACCCACGATAGCCCTTCATCTTCTCTCAGCATGATTTTCCAGTAGGATTAGTCTAACCATAAATGCCATAGGCCTTCTGGCCCTCCAAAAAAAATCCCTTTTCTTTGTGAAGTAATAATTAGACTCTTAAATCTGCAAAGAAAACTGTTTATCTTACAAATTTATTCTTTTTATTGGGCCACACATATCCAAGATAGAAAGATAAAAGGAAAACAGATACAGGCCATCACTTAGAGTGATGTATAGTGAGGCAGGGCTCATCCTCAAGTTCTGCAAAATGTTCCACAGTGCAGGGCGGCCGTATCGCTATTTTTATCTGTAATGTGGCCTGGGCAAGTCCTTCCCAAAAGCTCCAGGAGAAATATGCCCTCTCTCATTTCTCCTGCAGTGTCTTCTTTTTTGTGATTTTTTTTTTTTTGAAGATTCAGGGGGTACATGTGCAGGTGTGTGGCATGAGTATATTGCGTGATGCTGAGGTTTGAACTTCTAATGATCTTGCTGTCTAAGTAGTGAGCATAGCGGTCGATAGGTAATTTTTCAACCTTGCTCCCCTCCCTACCTCCCCTGCCCTTGGAATCCCCAGTGTCCATATATATTTTTTTGAGACAGGGTCTTGCTGTGTTACCCAGGCTGGAGTGCAGTGGCGTGATCCCGGCTCATTGCAGCCTCGACCTCTCGAGTTCAAGCAATTCTTGTGCCTCAGCCTCCCCGGTAGCTGGGACTACAGGCATGCCCCACCACACCCAGCTAATTTTTGTATTTTTAGTTTTGCCATGGTTTTGCCATGTTGCCCAGGCTGGTCTGGAACTCCTGACCTCAAGTGATCTACCCACCTCGGTGTCCCAAAGTGCCAGGATTACAGGTGTGCACCACCACACCTGGCCTCCAGTGTCTATTGTCCCCACCTCTGTGTCCATGGTACCCAATGCTTAGTTCCCCCTTATAAGAGAACATGAGGACATTCTCCTGCAGCTTTATTCCACAGTGGCTCCTTGCTACTGCTCTCTGGCGGGCTCCTCTGGAAGAAGCTTTATGGGAAGGTCCAGAGCATGCCACAGGAGGCCCCGCAGGAATTACCCTTCTTTTTTTTTTTATTTTTCATATTTTGAGACAGAGTCTCACTCTGTTGCCCAGGCTGGAGTATGGTGGTGCGATCTCAGCTCACCGCAACCTCCACCTCCCAGGCTCAAGCGATTCTCCTGCTTCAGCCTCCCGAGTAGCTGGGATTACAAGCACACATCACTACCACCTGGCTAGTTTTTGTATTTTTAGTAGGGATGGGGTTTCACCCTGTTGGCCAGGCTAGTCTTGAGCTCCTGACCTCAAATGATCCACCCGCCTCAGCCTCCCAAAGTGTTGGGATTACAGACATAAGCCACCATGCCCGGCCCAATAATTACACTTCTGAAACCTGCCCCTGCCTACCTTCATCCTGAAGCCAACATCCAGGACACCTTAGTCCTGCTTATAATTCAAATCAACAGTGATTGGCCTCCTAACTTAAATTAGGTATCTCGACTATGTTGCCAGGAGCACTTGGGCAGAATTTTAATCAGGCTCATCATTATTTGAAGCTGACCTTCATGATTCCAGCAAAAGGGAAGCTGAGGGAGGCCGGGAGGGCAAATGCAGCATGCTCAGGGTTGGGGTGGGTGGGAGTGGGAGAAGGGTAGAAGGAGATGGCCTTGCCACTGTCTAAAGCTAGGGTATGTGGTTGGCTGGAAATGACATCTAGCCATCACTCCTTCTGGCAGCAGCTCCTTGTAGATTCAACCTGCAGGACATAGAGCCACTGTGACCATATGTAGAGCATTTGTCTGATGGTGACTTTGCAACACTCTCTTGTGTCCATTTGCCCTGATCAATAAGCCATCTTTGGGGGCCTTTCCACATTCATTTGGGCAACCACAATCTAGGGCTTGGTGGAGTGACTTTGAGTTCTAGATGTGGATGAGCCTAACTTCCTACTTGTGCAAAATTATAGGAAAAAAAAGCTAGGTAATTATACCCTTTGAATAGCTCTCCAATGATGGTTAGAAGAGTTGGGGAGAATAGGATTAAAGTGAGATTTCAAATATAAATAACTGTGCCAGGGTGATGATATGGTCGTACACAGTCCAACTGCAGAGAGAATGCTCCAAGCCAAGAGTTTCCACAGTTGCTTAGAGCGAATACTCAAATAAGAATTAAATGTCTCGGACCCAGTGTAGTGGCTTATGCCTATAATCCTAGCTCTTTGGGAGGCTGAGGCGGAAAGATTGCTTGAGGCCAGGAGTTCAAGACCAGCCTGGGCAAGATAGCAAGACCCTGTCTGTGCAAAAAATAGAAACTTAGCAAGGCATGGTGGCCTGCACCTGTAATCCCAGCTACTTGGGAAGCTAAGGCAGGAGGATCCCTTGTGCCCAGGAGTTTGAAGTTGCAACAAGCTGTGATTGTGCCACTGCACTCTAGCTTGGGTGACAAAATGAGACGCTGTCTCAAAAAAAAAAAAAAAGAATTAAATGTGTTGTCCTTCATCTTTCTCATGGTCTACAAGTCTGCCGCTTTTGGCTGTTAGCAGAGAACACCAGGAACAGACGTTGAGGAATAAAAGCAGTTTGCATTTTCCATTGCTTGGAAGGCACAGATCTTATTTATTGTGATCTCTGCAGAACCCGCAGATCTCATTATCCCAGAAGGTTCCCTTGTTCTCCTAGTGGGATTTACCATGAGGCCTAGAGGGTGGGCTGGAAGCTACGGTGAGGATCACCCCGCTATCCTCAGGAGCTTAGATTCTGTGCCAGGCCTTCAGGCTCCTGCTCTGTGGGGATGTCCATGATTCTGGAAGAAAAGTGAGCCCAGAGAAGGTTCTCTTGCTTCTCCTCCTCGATTCCCCAATTGTGACCTCTTTGGCAGTGTGATGTCAGGCCTCGGGGGCTGCAATAACATATCCTCCAACCACTAGACATTTTTCCAGTTTTATTTACTATTATGTCCCACAATTTCTTTGCAGAAGGCAGCCATATGTAAATTTTATTCCGTTTTCTAATGGTTTGGGTTACATAACAAATAACAGCAGGAAGGAAAATTTGTATCGATACTTGACAGAGGAAGTTCTCAAGTCACTGCAAAAAGATGTGTCTGCAGTGCTGTAAGTTTATGGGAGTTTTGCAGCTGAGTCTCTGCATATGACTTTGAATATGTCACTATATGTTTATCATGGGCTAATTGTGGAATCACATTTCCATACTTTTTCTTCTCCCTTTCATGAGATTACACCAGCCAGTGATGGATACAAGACTCTACAAGGAAGAAATGATCAGTTTTGGATAATTTTCTTTCCTGTCCCAAAATAGCCATATGTCTGCATGTCTTAGGGACTCAGCTGACACACATTTTTTTTAATTTGTTGCTTGCTATAATGCAAATATGATTTCAGTCCCATAGTGAACTCTACAGTGAGTCCATATTATAAATTAATCAGATTCAACAAACACCAACATTTTTAAACTTTTGAAAAAAATATTTAATAGGAACTAAGCAAAAGAAGAAATCAAACCAGCTGCTGACACAGCTGTTTCTTTTCTTGTTTAATTCAGTTCAATATAAAGGTACCATATGCTGCTTAAAATGGTGATAGGAAAGATGAAATAATTTAAGAGAATAACAAGAAAATACATGAATTGTCAGCATTCTGTCAGATTTAAAGAATGAAATAGACAGGTGTAGTATTGACATGTTTAACTTTGTGTGGTGTTAGCAGTTTTGGTGCGAACAACTCCTGACATGTGCTGAAGTGATGTGAGAACGTTTCTCCTTCGCTGCAGACATTGGCGAGGAGGCTGGGAGATCTGCCGGCGTCCAGCAACCAGCGCTGCTTCGCGACAGAAGCCTGGGCTCGGCCATGAAGGACTGCCCGTACTGTGGGAAAACTTTCCGGACATCCCATCACCTTAAGGTGCACCTGAGGATACACACAGGTGAGAAGTCTGAGTGCATCCAGGGGCACAGCCCAGAGAAGGAGGAGGTCCCCGTCCTGCCTGCTTTCTGGCCCAGGTCCACAGCTGTGTGGGTCACTAACTCTGGAAGGTTCTCCCTGGGCCTGTCTAGCCACCATTGTATGGCTCAGAAGCGGCCCTCATTTCCTGATTCGTCACTTAACTAACATTCACCTCGCAAATGACTCAGGGACTCGTAAATGTAGACTTGGATGGTCCTGGCCTGGGATAACTGGGTCGCGTCTGAGCCTCTAGGGCGTTTTGCTAATGGTTTCCTTCTGCTGTATTGAAGGAGTCCCTCCCCAGGCGCCTGTATGAACCAGGAGTCTCCCAGGTGTCAGTGATGGGGTCTCAGCTCAAACCTTCCTAAGTGCAGAAGGGAATGAAGCCACTTCCCCAAGCATCCAGGTAGAATAGGCTTTAGCCCAGCCTGTGTTACATGCCCAGACCTGGGACAGGGCAGCTGGAGTCCATCCTCGTCACTCCATGTGGCGTGGTGGAAAAGTGACTCTTCCCTGTATCTCCTCAAAGAAGAAATTGAGATGCTCTTAGGCAAAGGGGGGCAAGTGGCTGCTGCACCCCTCTGGCCATTTCTCATGTTTTGGCGTCATACTGGACGAGGACTGGCTGGCAACAGGGAGTTCTGTGTGTCCCTCAGTCACCGTCCTTTTTAGCTTTCTGCTTGTTGCTTGCACATTGCCAATATAAAAAAAAAAATCTATCGGAGATATGGACACTTCCATTTTCTTTGATTTTCCTCCTGACACTTTATCTATTGGAGTATGAGCTGCTTCAGAGGCTAGACAAATATGCCATCTATTTTCAAAAATAATTGTGGTTTATTTCCCAAGGAATCAATAAGGCTCTGGGTTGCACAGGAATATTGAGTGCACGCGGGCTGCATGGGCATCGCGTGGGGGGAGACAAGAAACCCCTCACCTGGTGCCTCACCTGGTCCCCACAAATCTCCCTGACACCGAGGGAAGCCTGAGGACAGATGGGCACAGGAGGCCATGGGCCGAGTCACCAGCCCTGTTCATCCTGCATGCCTCTCTTGGAGTCATCTCAGGCCAAAGAGGTGTCTTTTAAAATGGTCCTCCAGGTCCCACCACTCTCCCAAAAGGCCTCATGCGACCTGCCCATGCCTTGCCCCGGCCCCATCCTGCCCCCTTCTTCATCCTTGGCACCTTTCTGAAACACCACCTGCATTCTCCCTGTTCTTCCAATGCAGAATGCCTGTTCCAGCTGCAGGACCTGTGTTCCTGCCCCTCCCTCCACCTGGAATCTTCCTCCAGGTGGTCCCTGGGGACTTAGCTTTACTGGGATCTATTCGGAGAGGCTGCCCCTGACTATCCCACCTAAAACAGCCCTCACATCCCCTGCAATTATCTTCTTTATAAACTTAACAATTTCAGAAATGACCCTGTTGGGCTCCATCGCTTATTTGTCTCCCACCAAACAGAGTCTAAGATTTGCACAGGTGGCAATATTGTCTATCTTTTGAATTGCTGTCATTTCTATAACCCCAGGGTCTGCAAGGGCACTTTACACCCAGTAGGGGCAGATGAATTTATCTGAAAGGTTGAATGACAGAAGAAATGCTCAAATAAGTGAGTGACTCCTCCTGTCTTCCCTGCATTGTTCAAGGTGGCGCAGAGGAGTCAAGGGCTGTAGGGAAAGTGGCCCCTTCCCCAGGGAACACAGGAACCTATCAGAAACCACAGCCTGACAGTCAGGCTGCAAGTGCTGGTTGCTTGGGCATAGACAAAGTGGAAGATCCTCTTCCCCGGGAGTTCAGGGAGGGGGCCTTGCATTCTGAACTCAGGGTCTTTGCCCTTTGAACTTCTCTGCCAGATAGTTGCATGGCTTGCTGCTTCCCCTTCAGAGTCTGGCTCTGATGCCCCCTTCTCTGTGAGGCCCACCCACATGGCAGTGGACCCCCCGCCCCACCAGGACTTTCTAGACCGCTTTCCTTCCCTGTGTCACTTCTCTCCATAGTGCTCACAGCATCTGACACACCATGCATTTGTATTTCGTTGTTGTTTCTCTCCATGCACTAGACTGTGAACTCCTTGAGAGCAAAGGCTGTGTCTGTTTGTCCAGCTGTGTCCCCAGCCTAGAACAGAGCCTGGCCCAGGTAGGCACTCAGAAAGTATTTGCTGACCCAGGCATTCCTGCGTCAATTCGTGAAAGTGACCAGGCTCGAAGGCAGTCAGCCCAGACATCTGGTTTTCTCAGATGATGCCAATGTCCATTTTCCTCCCCAGATTGGAGCCAGGGTTGTGGTGGTGGTTGGGCAGGGTGGGGACCCGCAGACTGCCAGGATACGGGAGGTGGTCCACAGGGCACCCATGCTTGAGCTGCCTGCAGGAGTGTGGAAACCAGGCTAGGCATGTCTTGTCTTGTGTATTTCATGTCGACACAGAACCCTGGACCACATTTCCCAGCCAGGTGGTAACTCTCCATGGGTAACGTCAGCCTTGCAGGGTGTAAGAGTCAGTGAGGAAAGGCGGTGCCTCTCAACGAGGGGCTCCACTAACCCTGTCGGCCCAAGACCAGTCAGCTTCCCGGGGGGTAAGAGAAGACACTCCACAGAATATTTCCAGGCAACTTAGGACCAAAGCTGACAGAAGTTCTGGATAACCTGGGAGAGAGCAAATGGTTATTGCTCTTCGCAGTTTTCAAGCTTGAGAAAGACTAATGTTTCTGAACTTCTGCTTCACAAACCTTGGAATACTCTTCGGAGACATTGAGAGAGACAACATAGGGCCATGGACAGAGGCATTCTGGAAACTTCCTAGAATCAGAGAGAAAATGAAAGAAGCCATGGAAACATCACACCACCTCCACCACCCCTCGGAAGCAGCATTCGCCGTATGTAAAAGGCAGAATGGTAACCAGATAAAGATCAATTACCTTTTTATCTAAGAACAAAGAAGCTGGAAAATGCTTACACTTGTGCATTTGAATAGAACAGAAAGTGTTACATGTTATAAATCACCCAAATAAACATCTATTATGACAATGTAAAAGTGTAGATTACACAAGTAATTAAAAATCACAATCAACGTATTTGTTAATAAGTGATTTCATGTGGGACTCAAGTTGGTGAGAGGCCCTGACTGCCTCTCTTTTGGCCCTGGTGTCTCTCCTTGCTCCAAATACCATACAGTTTTTGTATTTCTAAATGACATGGCCAGAGGACAGCAGTCTTATTACAAAACAAAAATACATGTACTCCAAAATGCCATCTTTTTGAAGTTTTTAAACCATGGACCCATATGAGCACATTTAAAAACCCAACGTGTAATATAAATATATTTTTAATTGGGATATCAGATGGCACCTTCTCTGTATTTTTTCTGTCCGACTGCATCTTTATTGGAAGTCTCGATCATGTAACATCAATGGATAAAACCTCTCTCCTTTTTCTCCCCACTGCATTAACTCAATTACTGTTTCTCTTCTCCTAACACCTGTTTGTTGGAGAGGTGCTGACTAGATGCACCAGTCAGGTTGTTCTGAACATCTGGGAGCCCGAGAGAGCCTATGGGTCACTAGGATGTTTCTGATGCACCCTAAGCTTCAGCCAGGTCCTCAGGGGACCAAGGGGAGGCTGCTGCAGGATCTCGGGAGTCCCTAAGGCCATCAGATCCTGGAGGCTGCCTCACTCTGGCTCCAGGCAGGGCAGACGTTGATGGCTGCTTGACCCAGAGGTGGCTGAACTTCTCTCCTCATGGAGACATTACCCTGGGCAGACTAGGGTCCAATAACTGGATATGGACAATTTTTATTCTACAGCACAGTGTCTGTGATTCAAATTCAGAGCCCATTATTGCAGGCTCAGAAAGGAGATTGCATCAGTCAGGGTTCTCCAGAGAAACAGCACCGATAGGAAATGTATATATGGCCAGGCACAGTGGCTCATACCTGTAATCCCAGCACTTTGGGAGGCCGAGGCGGGAGGATTGTTTGAGCCCAGGAGTTCAAGACCAGCCTGGGCCACATAGTGAGACCCCATCTCTATAAAAGGAAAGAAAGGAAAGAAAAGAAAAGGAAAGAAAGAAAAGAAAAGAAAAAGAAAAGAAAAGGAGATATGCACCCCCCCCACACACACACACGCACACAGGAGATTTATAAGAAATTGGCTCAAGTGATTATGGAGGCTGAGAAGTCCTAAGATCCAAGATCTGTAATTGGTGAGCTGGAGACTCAGGAGAGCTGATGGTGTAAATTCCAGTTCAAGTCTGAGCCAGAATGCAGATCAATGTCCCAGCTGAAAGACAGCCAGGCAAAGCGAGTGCACTCCCCCTTGCTCAGCCTTTTGTTCTATTCATGCCTTCAACGGATTGGACAAGGTGCACCCACATTGGAGAGGGCCACCTTCTTTACTCAGCCCACCCATTCAAACGTTCATCTCATCCAGAAACACCCCCATGGACACACCCAGAAGAATCCTTAACCAAATATCTGGGCACCCTGTGGCCCAGTCAAATTGACACACAAAAATTAACCATCACAGAAATACATCAGCAAACATCTAGTTGTAACATGCAATGGGGAGGGCGCATGTCCCCAGAGTCTCCTGAGAGGTTGGCAAATCATTTCAGGATTGGTCTCCATGCACCCATGCCATTCTTTTCCTCCATGTCCCCTCCCTGTGCACTACCTTGGGAAGCCAGGTGCCTGGGGGTACTCTGGAAGGTCTGATGTATCTGTTTTGTGTGTACAGGAAGCAGGCAGATGCTGACAGGTCCCTGAAAGCCTGGGGGAGGCGTGACCCCCTGGTGGGTGAGCACCTCATGCGTGGCTGCGGGACTCCTGGCTGGGTTCCCTACCGAGGCTCTCCCATGTGTGGGTTTTTCGGGATGGGGTTGTTGTCTCAAGGAATGACCATTGTAGAGAAATGTAATAAGCAACTTCACTCGTGAAAACTTGGAGGCATGAAAGTTCAGGGACTAATTAAAAATAAATCTCATTAGTTTCTTCTCCCTCTCGAGTTCTGTGAGTGGTTTATTAATCTGGTTTTGATGTGCCGCATGTTCCAGCCCCGAGTCGGGAACCTCTTTGTGGGAATGGATCCGCACAGGGAAGTCAGTGGTGGTTTCCCAGGGATTTCAGCTGTGGTCACGAGGGGTTCAGCATTGGGCTGAAGGGTACGCCCGGCACCCCCCAACTCCTGGCTGCTGTCTTCACGGCACAGCTCCTGGATGCTGGCTGGGCTCTCACCTGTATTCTTGTCCCTTTCCTATAGGACCAAGGAGGATTGTGGAAGGGAGGGCGTTCTCCCTTGCAGCCCCCAAAGGGCTGCACACCCAGTCGGGTGTAGGGAGGGAGACCTGGACATTATCTTGCCTTGTGACTACAAAGCCTGACAGCAACTGGCTGAACACAGAACTCAGCCCGCAGGGATGGAGTAACGGCACAATAACAGTGATGGTAGTTCCCACGTTCTATCCACGCCCATATGCAGGCTCTGTGCTAGACACTTTGCATTAACTCGCTCCTTCATCCCTACAGCACCTCAGTCACCAAGGCTCCATCCCCTGCCCCGCTTCAGGGGAGGGCGCTGAGCCTCAGAGACAGAGAGGTGAAGTTATCCCATCCCGGAGTTGTCCAGGCTTGGATTAAAGGTTATAATCAGATCTGCCTAATTCAGAATCTCATTCTCTTCACCGCTGCATTGTATTGCTACTTTTTACTTTTCTGAGTGAATTTCTGGCTTGTTTTAGGGAATTAATGCAACATTTCTTTGACAGTGTGTGTCCACACCATACCCAACAGGAAGGAAAGAAGTGACTTGTACTCACAAGTGGTGTTGGCGCAGCCTCCAGGGAATTTAAAAGGGAAGTACTGTGCACCCCAGCTCCTCCTTGACCCCTCCCTCAGACTGGCCCCAGGCCAGGCTTCCTTGGCCCCACGTGCTTGGGTTTCCCCACTAGCACAGCGAGGTTAGGGGTGAGGCATGGCCACTGTGGCATGTGGAGGCGCTCTGACCTCCTGGGATGGAAACGGGGTGGGGGTGAGTGGGAGTGGAATCACTTCCAGCATCACAGAGCTGATAAACTCATGCTATGGTGGAAACCACCTTTCATCTTCAAAGTGCTTCCCGAGCAGTGGCTGGTACATAAACATGGGTGGAAATGAAACTTCCAGCCGGCCCCATCCAGGTGCCTTATGGCTGGTGTCTACGTCTCTTACATTTGATGCTTCTATGTAAGGTATCTAGGCTGTTTTCACACACTGAGTAAATATAAAAGCACTTTGCATACATTTTCAAAAAGGAATCAGTTAAAATGGGTGTTCTTCTCATTTCCTTTTCCAAAAAGAGAGCATGCATTTTTGCCGTTAGTGGGGGACCAACCACCTGAGTAATGATGAAAAAAAAAAAAAAATCTCCAAAAGGAGATAAGTCTTTTTTTCTTTTTGTTTTGAATTAAAATTCCATCATTTTTCTATATCTGAGAGGAACTAAAAGCCCGGTTTATTCCTCCTCTGTTCCCTATCCTTGCTTTTCCTGCCTTAATGACATCCTAAACTTTTGTTGAAAATAATTGATTGAATTTAAATTTCCTTAAAAGTTGAAGAGGTAATGTTACAGTATAAATTTCCTACCAAACACTAAGTAGGGAAATATCCATTAGTGAAATTAACTACAGTTTCTAGGTAGCTAACAATGTGCTGTATACAGTAGGGCATGGCTAATGAACACTGCAGTGGGTGATATTTCATTATACAAATTAATGCTCACATTTTAATGGGAAAGTCACATAATGAATCTGGGCTTCAGTGACAGCAATTAGAGACACAGATTGTCCCCTTCTGGACAAGGCACTGTTTAGCAATAAGCAGCTGTGTGAAAAGTCTTCAGGTTTACAACATATATATGCTTTGGGGGAATTAGTGTACAATTTATATTAATGTACTGAAGCTTTGCTGCAAAGACACCACCATATTTATCTCTCCTGGTGTTAACTAAGTGAAGAGATGGAGAAGGACTAAATAAATATCAAATTGAGGATGCAAATACAGGAAAATATTCAGTTGCTCAACTTAAAAGTGAAACACTTTTGGAGATTTAGCAAAAAAAACAAAAACAAAATAAAAAAACGAGAAGCATGAATCACATCTTAAACCTTAAAATGGTTTCCAAAGAGAATATGAATCCACCTGTTATTTTTGGAGAGGTGCTGGTGGGAACTTGCTCTAAATAGCTCTAGAATAACTCCCTGGAACAGTGAGGGTTCCTTTGACATATCAACAGCAAAGTAGAGGCTCAGAATTATAAAAGATATGAGCATGTAAAAATAGGTACCGTGAACTAATTAAACCACCTGGTCGTATATTTCTAGAAATTGATGATACAGTGACTTGGGAGAGGTTATCAATGATATTCTAAAGCTAAATCTATATCTTATGCCATGTGTCAGTGGGAAGCTGGCTTACTGTACGACAGTGCCAATAATTTCATTAATCAATTGGAATGATGAACTGCGGCCTTTTAATTTCATTATGCCTTTTCTAGCAAAACTCTTCTTTCTAGAAATTCATTGTTTGGGCCCACATCTTACTCCTTAAAATATAGTGAGAGGTTTCCCCGCAGAAGGCTACCAGTGTTCGTAGCTGCTTCCTTTAGTGGGCAAAGAGCCCCATTCTGCACATTTCACAATGACTGCCTGCTCCAGACCCCATCTGTAAAATAGAGCACTGTGACCCTTCAGTGTTTGAAAAGTTTTGAGATAGGTACTAATATTTAAAAATTAAGATACTGCACACAGAAACCTCATAGATATGACACTTTTCTTTTTTCTAGAGACAGGGTCTCACTCTATCCCCCAGGTTGGTGTGCAGTGGTGCAATCATAGCTCATTGCAGCCTCCAACTCCTGGACTCAAGCGATCCTCCTGCCTCAGCCTCCCAAGTAGCTTAGACCACAGGTGTGTGACACCACACCTGCTTAATTTTTAAATTTTTTGTAGAAACGAGGTCTCCCTGTGTTGCCCATGCTGGTCTTAAACTCCTGGGCCCAAGTGATCTTCCTGCCTGGCCTCCCAAAGTGCTAGGGTTACAGGCCTGAGCCACCATGCCTGGCCGAGACTTTTCTTGGAAAATCAAAGGTTCTAGTGCCCACAGTTGGTTAGAGTTGAGTGACACTGTGCTCCAGGAGAGAACGGCTGTTTTGCATACTCATCTGATCTGTGTGGTTCTGCCTGCATGCAAGTGTGTGGCACATATAACAGATAAACACAAAGCAATGAACCACAAACATCATGGAGGTCACCATAGGACTCTTGACCCCCTGGAAACCTTGGGAGGCAGCCTGAGTGGTCCCCTCAGTAGATGGGACTCATTTATGGCCTAAGTGGCCAATCACTCAACTAGACAGAGCTGCTGGCAGGGTCTGGGGCTGCCTGTACCATGGGGCTGCCCAGGCAATGCAGACCTGAGTCTCAGGCAGAGTCCAGCCTTGGTTGGGCAGGGCTAGGCAGGCCCAATGCCTGGCTCTTTTGGCATGGATCTGGCCATGTCCGGAGGCCTGGGATTTGCTAGAGTTAGCCCAGAGCGCTTGGGTAGAAGAGCACATCCAGATGCAGAGGCCTTGGCTGGGAAGCGGTTCTCAGCTCAGGTAGACTCAGCATCTGCCTGTGCCGGCCAAATGAAAGAGCAGATGTAGACCGCACCCCGGAGCCTGTGAAATGTGCTGTTAGGCCTCTCCTTGTGGTTGCTGCCCCACCCCGTCTAGGCCAACGTTGTAAGTAGTTTGCCTCCTGAGCACTCTGAAATGGGCCCTCTGAGGAAAGAATGCCTGGGAAACAGCTGGGATGTTTCCAGTGGAGCACAAGACCCTGGGGCTGCTGGGGCTCTAAGGAGGTTCACAGCTCAACCTCTGGGTGTGCCTGGCTAGAAACATGCCCTGGCCGGGGCTCACTTTCATCTCCAAAGCCTTCCCCTGTGCCCCTTGTTGGATAGGAAGCCCGGAAAGGGAAGCGAGGGCTTTGAGATAGAGGGCAGGGGTGGTTCTTCCAATCATTTAGCGATTACGAGGAAATTAAAATTGAGCTTGTTTCTTTGTGAACATAAGTCCAAAGGGGAAGGGTTTATCCCCTGGAACAGCGTGCCCACCTGGAGCACTTAACTGAGGAACTGGGATGATCGGAAGAAACCACCCAAACCAAGCCCTTTAGCGACCCGGCAGGAGGTGGAACTGTATAGAGAAATGGACAGAAAGAGCAATGCAGCCCTTTCATCCCAGTGCAGAAGGCAGAGGAAGCATGGGTGGAGAACTTTCTAGAACCTTGCATAGCACGTGCATTCAGAAAACCCTTGAAAGCTCATGAAGCAGCCCCTAATTCACCAGGCCTGGGCCCGTGGAGACTCCAATGCTAGGAATTAGCCTTTCTTGTTTCTCAGCTCTGGCTTTTATTCTCTGGAGCAGTGAGGGCCAAGGCCTATTTTGAACTCTAAAGACAGTGGGTGGAGTGAAGGGATGCTATCTTCCTGTGCACTCGCATGCTGTGTGTGAGTGTGAGAGTGCGTGTGCGTGAACTCTGCTAGCCTGCTATATGATATGTCTCCTCCAAAAGCCATGAGAGCAGAGAACCTACCTCTTTGGTCTTTACTCAGTTTCCAGGGTCAAGAAGGGAGGTTTCAGGTGTTTATTCATTCATCCATTGGTTCACTCCATCAAAAAAATGTGTGTGAATCAAACTGAAGGTTTCTGAGTCAGTGGGTGACAAGTATGTGCACAAGTAGCACTGGCTCTATTCAGGAGACTTAGTTTACTCCTAAACGAGCTTAGGATTGGCGTGAGACCCCACAGAACATGTGCTTCAACATGTCTTATTACAGGTTGAGGAAGAAAAAGTCCCAAGACCAGGATTCTGTGTCCAGTGGAATTCAGAGTAGCGTGGGTGTCCAGTCCCTAGTCCAGATTCTCAAATACCTCCTGAGGTCTAGACTGTCTTCCCTGCTAAACCATTCATGGTTCCCACTTCAAAGGCACTTCCAAGGAAGGCTGCCTACAATGGTTCCCCACTCAGGATCCACAGAGGGCCACCTGGGAAAGTCCCGAAAGATCCCGAAACCAAGTTTGCATCTTTGGCCAATTAACTCAGAATGTGGGGAGGTGGGACCAGGTATCAGCACTTCATCAAGCCCCCAAGGCAATTCCAGGATGGTTTTTCAAGGGATTGTCTTTACATGTCTGCACCAGAATCATAGGGACGCTTACAAGGCCAACTTCTGCGCCGACCCCAGACCCAGGGAATCAGAACTGCTGTGCCTTAGGGCCAGAACTGGTGTCTTACCACACTCCCCTGGTGGTTCTAATGCACAATACAGTTTAAGTACTACCCGCTCCCATATGTCTTTTTTTTTTTTTTTTTTTTTTTTTTTTTTGAGATGGAGTCTTGCTCTGTCGCCCAGGCTGGAGTGCAGTGGCGCCATCTCGGCTCACTGCAAGCTCCGCCTCCCGGGTTTACGCCATTCTCCTGCCTCAGCCTCCCAAGTAGCTGGGACTACAGGCACCCACCACCACGCCCGGCTAATTGTTTGTATTTTTAGTAGAGACGGGGTTTCATCATGTTAGCCAGGATGGTCTCGATCTCCTGACCTTGTGATCCTCTTGCCTCGGCCTCCCAAAGTACTGGGATTACAGGTGTGAGCCACTGCGCTTGGCCTCCTGTGTGCCTTTCAAACATGTATCCATTGGAAATAGACACACACATCCTCTGTGCATCCCCACAGTCCCCACCCAGAAAGGCAGCCCTCCACATTCCCAGGCTTGAGAGGAAAGTCCACCTTCCCCCTCTTTAGCTCCGCTAATGAATGCCCGTGCTTTCTCTATGGCCCCTTTGCCTGCCAGATGCACATAATCATTTCCAGGTGCATTTCTAAAACACAGCCTGAGTCCCACCAGGCACCTGCGGGCCTCACCTCTGCAGGCTTTCATCGCCTGGCCCTCCCGCAGGGCTTGCTCTCACTCGTAGGGCAGGATCTTGAGTTTCTAGGTAGGCTTGCCTGCTGTGGGCCCCATCACAACCCCTCTAAGTTTCGGGGACTGCCTCTGTTACACCTGATCACTGGGCTTCCAGATAAGCTGAATCAGCCATGACATCCTGCTGCCCAGAAGTGCCCCATCCCAGCCTGGCCTGCGATGGGATGTCTACATAGCAGTAGCTCAATGAGTCTGAGTCTAACCTGGGACTGACTCCAAGAAGGGGGAAATTACTGCCTGAAATTCTCTGTGCCTTTACCCCAAAGGGGATAGAGACTTCCTCCTAGATTCCTGTCATTGGTCTAGCTAGAGATGACTGTGACCTTTACGTTTAGAGAAACAGATTCCCTGCTGGGTTCCCTTCCTAGACCTAAGGGCCACCTCTGAAAAAGTGTCCAGGAGAGATCTCAGCTGCTCATAGCAACTGGCACCCTTGTTCTGATAAGGCAGGCAGGGTAACCACGGTTCTGGCACGTGATCTGGAGATGACATGGCATCTCCTGCTCAGAACCAGGCTGGTGGCCCTCTTGCTCACAAAGTCCACGCCCCCAAATGCCCTGTGCCTGGAGAACTGGGACTCATGCCTTCCGCTGAGACTAGACACAGTGAAATGTCTTCAGAAGACACCATTCACTGACGATTTGTTGTTACTTTTTAGATCAGTCTATTTTACAATAGAACAGAGGAAGGGGAGGGGGAATAGTTGAGGTTCCTGGAAGAAATAATTGTGGATATTGACAGGGCACCATTGTGAATAAGAGAGCGGGGACTGTCACAGTCCCCATTCCTTCCAGAGAGCCTTTTGATTGCAAAGTCTGGAAAAGACCTGGGATTGCTAACAAATTCTTGGAATATATTTAAATCTGCAGTCGTTTACCTTCTTCCCCTTCTCTATCCCACAATGCCAGCAAATGTAAGTTGTCTCTTCTGGTATCTTTTTCCACCGTGGAAAGAACAATAGAAGTTGGGGGTGTTGAATTTAAATAAATATTTAATTCATGAAAATTATCTTATATGTTTTAAAACACTCTTTAAAGCTATTTTTATTCTCTAGAAAGCGCTTATTATAGGTAAATTACACATTTTACTACCGGAGCATTAGGTTTGCCATTAGTACAAATTTAAGGCACTACAAAGACCAGTAGATAATGTTAATTTCAAATACAGAAACTAAATATATTTTGTGCCTTTTTATTACTCATTTTCTTTTAAGTTTTATTGACTGCTTTTTATCTTAACTATATGTCTTTACATGCTGCAATCATAATGCACTGTAATGGTATTAATATTTTATAGAATATGTATTTATAGTTCTTTATTTAGAAACAGTGCAGTAGGTCTGCAGATATCTGAGCCCGTCTGGAATGGTGCCCTCCAAATAATGATAAATTACTTGTGCAGTATGCCATTTGCTAATTATATCCATGATTTACTGCAGAGCAAGACTTAAATCATTCATTTCAGTCTTGCGTAACAGTGCCATAAAATTTTTAGGTTTAAAAATGGTTTCCATGTGTATAATTTAAACAAATTTTAGATCTATTGTATACACAAAATATTGCAACCACCCATTTGTTACATACTTTCTCTTTTTAAACTTCTACTTTTAATGATCACTGTGGCTGAAATTATTATGCTTAATTTTCATAATCATAGCTTTTAAATCTACAGCCGTTTTCACATGTTAGATAAAGAAAAAGATAGCTAATTGTGTGTAGATAGTATGTCATTCCTGAATAGTCCCAAATGGTACAAAATCATTAAAAAAGCTTAAGAGTACGAATTATTCTTCTATTAAAAAACAGTTGTTCTCTAATTATTAGTTTGAGCTGCTTTGTTTCAAAGAACAAATGTTGATCCTTCCAGCCTCGTTCAGCACACCAAAATGAGATAAACGCCTCTTTTTTTTCTTATATCAAAATCTTGCAGGTGAGAAACCCTACAAGTGTCCGCACTGTGACTATGCCGGCACGCAGTCAGCATCCTTAAAATACCACTTAGAGCGACACCATCGGGAGCGGCAGAACGGGGCTGGGCCGCTGTCTGGGCAACCCCCAAATCAAGACCACAAGGATGAGATGTCAAGCAAAGCTTCTCTGTTCATCAGGCCAGACATCCTGAGGGGGGCCTTCAAGGGTCTCCCTGGAATCGACTTCAGAGGAGGCCCTGCATCTCAGCAGTGGACATCAGGGGTTCTCTCCTCTGGAGATCACTCGGGGCAGGCCACGGGCATGTCTTCGGAGGTCCCCTCAGATGCTCTGAAAGGCACTGACCTTCCTTCCAAAAGCACCCACTTCTCTGAGATCGGAAGAGCTTATCAAAGCATTGTGAGCAACGGTGTGAATTTCCAAGGGTCCTTGCAAGCTTTCATGGACAGTTTTGTCCTCAGTTCCTTGAAGAAGGAGAAGGACATGAAGGACAAAGCCCTGGCTGACCCCCCTTCCATGAAAGTCCACGGAGTGGATGGTGGTGAGGAGAAACCCAGTGGCAAGTCCTCCCAGAGGAAGTCCGAGAAATCTCAGTATGAACCCCTGGACTTGTCTGTGCGGCCAGATGCCGCCTCCCTCCCGGGCTCCTCGGTAACTGTGCAGGACAGCATTGCATGGCACGGCTGCTTGTTTTGTGCTTTCACAACGTCCTCCATGGAGCTCATGGCCCTTCATCTCCAGGCCAACCACCTGGGCAAAGCGAAACGCAAAGATAACACCATCGGGGTCACAGTCAACTGCAAAGACCAAGCCCGGGAGGCGAGTAAGATGGCCCTGCTGCCCTCGTTACAATCAAACAAAGACCTGGGCCTCTCCAATATGATCAGCTCTCTAGACTCTGCTTCTGAGAAGATGGCCCAAGGTCAGCTCAAGGAGACTCTGGGAGAGCAGAAGAGCGGTGCATGGACCGGCCACGTGGACCCTGCATTTTGTAACTTCCCATCAGACTTCTACAAGCAGTTTGGTGTTTACCCAGGCATGGTTGGCTCAGGGGCCTCCAGTTCCTGCCCCAACAAGGAGCCTGATGGAAAGGCCCACTCTGAAGAGGATGTCCCCATCCTGATCCCCGAAACCACGAGTAAGAACACTACTGATGACCTCTCTGACATTGCCTCCTCAGAGGACATGGACTCCTCCAAGGGGGAGAACAACGATGAAGAGGATGTTGAAACCGAACCGGAAATGATGACCAAGCCACTGTCTGCCCTCAGCAAAGACAGCAGCAGCGATGGCGGGGACAGCCTGCAGCCCACAGGCACCTCCCAGCCCGTCCAGGGACTGGTCTCACCTTTATCCCAAGCACCGGAGAAGCAGTGGCACAGCCAGGGTCTTCTCCAAGCCCAGGACCCCTTGGCGGGCCTGCCAAAGCCGGAGCGGGGGCCCCAGAGCCTGGACAAGCCGATGAACATGCTGTCGGTCCTCAGGGCCTACAGTTCTGATGGCTTAGCAGCCTTTAACGGACTTGCAAGTAGCACAGCAAATTCTGGATGTATCAAGAGGCCAGACTTGTGTGGTAAGTTTTAGAATCCTCTTCCTATAGTTCATTTCCCAAAACATCAGTGCTGAATTGTGCATTTAAAAAAATGAGGTAGACTTATCCATGAGCAACTTTTGAATGAAATATTTGAAAAAACCCTCAATGCTGTATCTGCAATGTAGACAATCATAAAAGTCCATTTTGTTTAGAAGTTTTAGAACTCATACTTTTGTGTTCTAATTTGCATTATAATGTACTAAAATGCCTGTACAGAAGGCATGGAAAAGGGGGTGGTCGCTCACCATGTGAACTACTCCTGTTTGCCATCTAGAACTTGAAGGGGGGAAAATCGACTTACAAAACAAAAATGAAAAGAGACATGGTAACTTGCAAATTCTTCAGTATTTTCAATTTATGCAAAAGATGCCTAAAGACAATTCCTTACTGCTTTGCTAAGCCAAATCTGCTTTCTTAAACTTTTCTTTTATTGACTTAGAGGATACTAAAATCATATCACACTAACAACAGTATGGAAATAAAGCGACCTTCTCTCCAAAGAGGGAGATGGTTTCTGGGTGTTTGTGACTCATTTTTAGACAAACCAAATGGCAGTTACTGTGACTTTGGCCTTCTGCGCTTGCCTTCTGTTTGTCTGTCTGTTCACCTGTCTGTCTGTTGCTCTAACAAGACATGTACATTGTGAAGTCCCTGAACAGTAGTGGTGTGACCCTGTGCATCTTGGATTCATGCTTGTCTGATCCTGTAGCAAACTGACACTTCTTTATCTCCTTAAAGCATATGGGTACCCCAAAGGAATTCCAGATTTCCGAACATCATTGTAAGTTTAAGGACTAGGTTTGGATCAAATGAATGTTTGGGTGGGCAGGGGGAATCAAAGTCATTGTCTTGGCACCCTGATATCTGTATTTGGAAGCCTTTCTCCGAAAAGAAGCTCCATGCATTCTTCCCTTTGAAACCAGCTCCAAATATCCTCACCAGAGACAAATGACCATGATACATTTCCAACTGTAATTTATGAATGGATTTCTGTAATTTTACTTCACCTGTGGAAGGAAGGCAGGAAGGCAGGAAGGCAGGAAGGGAGGAGGGCAGGATGGAAAGAAGGAAGGAAGGAAGGGAAGGGAAGGAAAGAAAAGGGAAGGAAGGGGGGGAAATAGAAGAGAGTATTTTTGAACCTCAACATCCTGTTGTTCGTTTAAGCACAGAGAAGAATTCAGGAAGCTAGACTCTGGGTTCATAATTTAGATTGATATATTTCTTTTATTCCTCTTCTTCCCTAATTCACTAGGAACTGAATCAAGCGGTCAGAAATATTTTTTTGAATTGTCGAAAATCACTAAATGGATTTCTGACAGCTCAAAAAAATATTGACAGTTCCTTATGCTGAATGATTCACAAGGCCCCATTAACCACTACCCCCAGATCTATTTTTAGCCACATACAATTCATTACTTTTGAAGCTGTTAAAAACAATATTTAAAAGAAGGGAAAAAAGCGTTTTATGTTAGTCCAAATTTTTTCCCCTTTTTTTTTTAAACTGGGGGAGCAATGTTGAAGGCTTTTTTTTCTTTTTTTCATTGTTGTTTTAGGTTTGTGATCGGGGTGGTTTCTTTTTTATTGTTGTTTAGAGTCTTTTTTTTTTTTAAGTCTATTTTCAGTTCTTTCAACTACCTACGTAGGACCATAGTCCCTGCCAGGAATCCATGCATCAGAAAAGATCAAAACCTGGCATGTTCATGAGCTCATTATTATTGAAATGAGCTCATATTACCCCTATTAATTTTCCCATCTTCCTATCAGTAATGAAGGAAGGCTGCCTGGCTCGAGGAAGTTTGCCCAGTGGTATCCTTTCGCACCAGGCGAGGTTGAATGGGAAGCCAACGTCAGGGAGCCTGCCGGGTCTTGAGAGCCTTTTATCTCTGGGCTGCAAGCTCCTAGGAACTTCTCACCTTTTCCCAAAACAGCAGCACACGACACGTCCCTGACATTTCCCCGCTATGTGCAAACCGTGTTGCCCAGTCCACCCTTCAGCCTTTGGGCAGCAGATCCTGGGATGTAAGTTGTGCCCCCCACCCCTCGCCTCTTTCATGGGGCTTGGGGACCCTCATGTCAGCCAAGCTTGAAGGCTTCCTGGTTGCTTCTGCAGCAGAGGGTTCAGGCCCCTTGTTCCGCCTTCCACTCCTGGGAAGATGCTGAAATTGACTCTGGCCACGAGCTGCCTATTTTTAGAGAGTGTGAGTTCTGCATTCCATTTGGCCCCATTTCTTCTGTGTCCTCTTGCTTTAGTTTGGAAGTAGGCAGGAAAAGACCCTCCCTGGCTCTTGCATTTGCTTGGGGGTGGGGCCACTGCCCTCTTGCCTCTAGGATGGGCCTGACTCTGCCAGTTCTCATCCCACTCCCCCCATATCTGGCCCACCATAATTGCAGTCCTCTTCTTATTTTCTTGCGGGCTACTGTGATATCCCAGAAGGTCCAGACATATTCATCCTTTCTAAAAGTTACAACCTAGGAGGAACACAAATCCAAATGGGCTGTTTTTTTTTTCTTAAATAGTGTAATTCACTCTCTTTTTAGCATGGCAAGAAGCACAAGTGACATTTGTAAGCTTCAAACCCCCACTAGCTTCCCTTTGCAAGGGTAGAAGTGATATTAGCACAATGAATAAAATATTTCTAATGTTTATTCCTCCTTCTCTTCTTCACTCAAAGTAGGTATGGGTTTCTAAATCCGCCTACCAGGCTGATCACTATTTCTCCTTAAGAATCTGGGCTTTGTCAGACCAAAGCATCATTCCTAGATTTCTCATCTCAGATGGATAAAGTTGAGGGCTGGTTTTGTCTGGTTAGTAGACCTAAATCCCCACTTTCATGATTATAGAAACAGGCTTATAGGAGGAGCTAATGTTCCCATGTTTCTTAAGGAAGGGCTCTGTTCTCAAGGGGTGTAAAAGTGTTTGAACAAGCATCAGAAATACCTAGTTCAAATCATATAAACTCCCCACAGATCTCAGCAGCTCCTCCAACCCTTGCTGTTGATTTGGAGAAGGTGGCATCTCACCCTATTCTGTGGGTGATACTCATATTGCAGGCTGTACTTTCAGGATCTTCCATCATTTCTGCATGCCTTCTTCCTAACTTTTAAAACTCTGGTCCTAAATTCCTTGGTGCCATAGAGCCAGGGTCCTGGCCAGTGTGCCCTGCCCATCCTAACAGCCAATGGATTCCTAACTCTGGTGCAGAAGGAGAGCCACCGAGGGGAGAAGCCGACCCAGCCAGTTGGGTGGGGAGACGCCTGTTGCATATGACAGTGTCGAGAGCTTCAGTGGGAATTTTCTAAAGCTCTTTCCACAGAGGACAGCACACGGCCTGTCAGAGACATATTACAATAATCCCAAGGAAGAGGTTAAGCCATCTTGGATTAAGCCAGAGGACAGGCATCTTTGCTTCCACAGTGGGTCAGATCCCACTAGGGGTCTGATCTCATTATAGGAAATCCCACTCCAATCAAATCCTTAGTTTCTTGAGGTGACTTCCAGTCTCCAGGCATGGGTCACATGTCTTTATTCTGTCAAAGAGCATAATGTACAAGGGTACTCCAGTGCCATCGGAGAATTTGGATATGCCCTTGGTTTTATTGGAATGTTTGACCTTGGTTTTGTAATGGGATAGACTCCACATGAGTATTTAAAGGTGGAGAGGGGAAGACCAGAGCAGTGTTTGCATCCATGGACAAAGCAAGGCAGATAAGCCCAGTCTAGTCTGAGAAATGCTAATGCACTGTTGGGTCGGCACTTGGCTGGGAAGGGGCAGGCTTCCCTGTGCACACAGCACCAAGGCTGGTCTGCACAGCACCCATGGGGCCCACTGCATGGAACGGTTAAAAAGTGTGTTTCATCTGGGAGTTTGTGGATTTGGACAGCAACCAGATCACCCTTACTCCTTGCCTTTCAAACCTAAGAGAGATGGCCAGGGTGTGGAGTTGTTGTGTGCCAGGTCTCCCAGTCAGGCTTTGCACTGTGTCCTTTGGTGGACCCAGGGGTAGGCAGGACAGAGAAGAATGAATGACAGATGAACGGGAAAGCAGGGAAAAGAGCACACTCCCCTTTGCCCCAAGGAGCTCTGCTCTGTAGTGACTGCCACTCAGGGAAGGCTGGCTGAACTGGTAGCATCTGTAAGCAGGCTGAGGGCAGGCACTGCGGCTCACACCTGTAATCCCAGCACTCTGGGAGGCTGAGGCAGGGGCGTTGCATAAGCCCAGGAGTTCAAGGCCACTGTGAGCTAGGATCATGACATTGCACTCGAGCCTGGGTGACAGAGTGAAACCCCTTCTGTAAAATAAACATGAAATAAATATCAGCAAGTTGATTGTGGGCACGAGGCCCTATGTGCAGTGGCTACCAGACCTAGTGACCCAGTGGGCCTGGGAGGAAGTGAGGGAGAATGCAAGCCCATTAACAGCAGTCATCCTAACATCCCCAGCTTATCATCCTCAGGTTATTGGGCAACTGGCTTCCCCAACCCAAATTATACCTGAGACTATGGAATAAAGGTCTTCTGGGCTTCCACATTAGTGAAATAATTGGGACCCCCCCCCCTCCCAAGAATTCGGGTCCATTGAAACCTATTCAAATTACATATTTTTATGTGTGATGAGATGAACCAGGACAACCAAAGCTGAACTCTCTTAAAATGTGACTTATCTTTTCCCTAAGCCTTATAGATTTCTTGGCATAGGCAGTCGGAGAATACCTACTTTTTTTTTTTTTTTTTTTTTTTTGGAGATGGAGTTTTGCTCTGTTGCCTGGGCTGGAGTGCAGTGTGCGATCTCGGCTCACGGCAACTTCCGTCTCCTGGGTTCAAGCGATTCTCCTGCCTGTCTCCCAAGTAGCTGGGATTACAGGTGCACGCCACCACACCTGGCTAATTTTGTATTTTTAGTAGAGACAGGGTTTCATCATGTTGGTCAGGCTGGTCTTGAACTTCTGACCTCAGGTGATCCGCCCACCTCAGCCTCCCAAAGTGCTGGGATTATAGGCATGAGCCACCGCGCCTGGCCAATACCTACCCTTTTACGAGCTACTCAGTCTAAAGCAACAGGCAGCAAATATTTTCTTAAAGGGCCAGAGAATAAAAGTGTTGGCTCACAGGCCATGGGGTGTCTGTGGCGACCACCCAACTCCGCTTTGGAAGTAGCACCACAGCTACCATAGACAATAGGAAAATGATGGCTGTGGTTGCGTTCTATTACAACTTTAGGTACTGACAGGCGATGCACTGGAATTGGCCCACAGGGTCTTATTTGGTCAACCCCTGCTCTGGTGTAAAGAGGGATGTGTTCCCGTGGTCATCCCTAGGGAATGAGTGGTGCAAACACTGGTCCTCTGTTATTCTGCTGGACAGTGAGATGGTGATGGGAGACCCCTCATCATCAGTGGCAGGGCCCCATCCATTGTCTGGTAATGCCAAAGCCAGAGATGTGAGAGAGACTTTACAGTGGTAGAGGACTTGTTGACCCAGATGGGCCGATGCCTTGTTTCTGGGAAGCCACACCTCTGTCTATGCATTAAAGACTTCCAGGAGAACACCCCAGCACAGTGCAACCCAGAGCTGCCCCCTCATAGCCAGCACACACAGAAGAGGAAGCGGGCAGTGGCTGTGTGTTGTCTCTGATGCAAGCTTGCTCTGTGAAAGCCTGTTTCCTCACTGATGGAAGGAAGCGTAGGGATGAAATAGATGATAGAGATAAAAGAGCTTGGATCAGTGCTTCTCAGTTGAGTTTGCATGACGTCGTGGAGCTCAGCATCCACGTGAAACTGTTGCAAGGAAATGATGTCAGTGTGCAAACATCTTCGGGTCACAATCGTCCCTTAAGCACGGCAGGCATCAACCTTACCTCCATCAGTGTTAGAGAGGCACGTTTCATTTCCTCACTTCTGCCGTGATGCATGGTTGATAGCTCTTTCTTGGTATGTGGAGAAGTTTGCTTTGAAGATGATTCTGGCAATTTTGTGATGACCTCCCATCCCAATGGTTACACTATTTCTGTGTCCACTCCATTCTCTTCCTGATACCAGGCAAGTGCTTGGGGGTAGGAAATGAGTCCTGCCCTGCCTCAGTCTTTGACCAAGAAACGGCAAAGGTCTGCAGTCAATTAGAGACTTGGAAGGAAGCCATGGCTGGGGTATGAAATACACAGTGAGGGCCGCATATGTGCAGACACCCTGAGTATAGGCTGTGATACACAGGCTATGGCCATTGGTACATTTTTCATCTTGTGCAAGAGTCTACAGTGTGGCCCAGAAGCCAGCAGGTTCTAATGAAGAAGGGAGGTGAAGGTAGGAAAATGGCATAGGAAGACAACCACAAAATCCCAATCTGCCGAGTGTGTGGGAGTGCAGGCTGTACCCAGCCAGCACAAGAAGGCAATTGGCTTGAGGGTGTGGGAGACCTGGGGCATCTCCACTGCAAGATCTTTTTGTCTCTGTTGCTGCCTTACTTTATTCAAAGACAAATGTGCTCTCATACCTCTTCCTTCTCTTTTTTGTGAGCTGATTCTCACATGGATTGGCCTCAGAGACTATGGATAAAGCACACCTTTGCATTCACCTCCTTTGCCCAATTGGATAATTTACAGATTAGCTATTGACCTCTATGGTCTGGCCTGCTCTCATTTGTACTGTGTGTCCGGGGCCTGACATTAGACCCCAGGAGGGAGGACCATTTGGCCTGCCTTGAAGTCCAAGGGCAGAACCTTGTGAGTTAATGCAAATCACCGCCCTGTTCTGCCCCTGCTGGCTGCCTCACAACCTGCTGCAGAGCTTTTCTGTTTGACTCTGGAGGGACAAACACAGGCGATGTCCCCTAGGATCTCTTGCAGAAATCAGCACCTGGAGTGGGCTCTCCCCAGCCCTCATCCTGAGCCCTGCTGTGTGCACTGTGTCTGATGGAGAGGCAGCCTCTCTGGATGGCAGCTCTCTCCATATTCCAAAGGCATTCTTCTCCTGTTCTCCTTCCCTCTTTTTAAATTAAATGGGAATGCCACTGACGTGATGTCGTTTGCACTGCAGGATGACAGAACTGTTGTGTGAATACCATTGTATTTGCCAAATGGTCCACTCGTCATTTCAGAACAAACAAATGGATGGTGTCTGTAAGTCGGCAAACACTGGTGACATTTAGCCTTGTTTATGTTCCTTTCCTTTTGCTGCATATTTTTGGCTCCAAAAGCTACTGGCTGAATCAACAGGGCCTCTGAATCAGGAGAGAAGTCTGGTAGCATTAATTTTAGTTGCTATGTCCATATTCTCTTCAGACTGCATGAATCCTACTGCTCAGGACCAAGTCTAGGTGAGAGGAGAGGGCAATCAACCTCTTTGGTTTCGGATGTTGTGTGCAAAGCCCAGGGTTCAAATAAGCAGTAATTATCTCCTATTACTTAGTGCTGATCAACAGCACCTCTACGTCTAATTGCCAACCTGCCCTAATCATGTTGACTATTCTTGCTTTAGCCAGAGACAGAAGGACCAAATTTTATAAATAACACTTTATTGTCATTATTCCATTAAACGATTAGGGGATGTGGCCCTGCCCTTGCTTTCAAATGCCTCTAGCCCTGATGGTTTCTGGATTATTTAATAAATCTGCACATTTTCTTGCAGGTAAGTGACACTCCCTGTCCTAGTCGGTCTATCTGGACTTGCCCTTGTCTGTTCGTGGTCCTCGGTGGTTATCTGCAGCTTGTTAATCGTGTAAAGTCAAGAGAAGAATGTATACACATATGTGTGTTGAATAATTACTATTGGCATAGGTATGTGTATACACACGGTGCACCAATCTACAGTATATATAGCAGAGAATCAGAGGCTAAAAATATTACCCCATATGTTCCAGTATTAGTCATGGATTGCAAAGGCTTAGTAACTTGAGCAGGAGAGAAAACTCCCTCAAAGTCATAAATCCTGAGTGACAACTGCTGCTGGATGACAGATCCCTTCACCTGTGGACAACCTGGCTGGGGGTGGGGGGCTGTTCCACCAGCTCACCTGAGCATGTAGAGGTGGGTCCTGCAGTGGTCTCGTGGGTATTACTGCTTGTGTCTGATTGTCCTGTATTTTGTAACACTTTAGAAGAATACAGAAAAGTGCAGTAATTCTCTTTCTCCATAGTATTTAAGCAGAAATATTGCTAGTTTAATATTGTGTCAGGTCGTCCTATTAACCAGGAGCAGATGACAGTAAAATTTCAGTGAATAGCACCTTGACATCTACAACTTAAAAATGGTGATTGAAGCAAAATATGTAAACTTGTACGGGGTGATCGTGTGCTTTGGAACAGAGTATTGTTGAAGTAATTAGAAGATATATTAAGGTGTTCCTGGTAATGAAGGCATGTAAGTTATAATAATTGTAGCTTTCTGAATAAGTGTCAAACTATATCTTTAAGTGTGCTGTATGCTGAGTTACAAGTTAGGTCATTTATGAATGGAATGTAAAATAATACTAAAAATGCTTCAATAACTTATCTTGGTATTGCTAATAAAAAAAAAAAGCTGTGAAACATTAGTGCAGTTTGGAGTCATTATGTTAATTCATTCCGCAACATCCCCCTCACCCCGACATTCTTCTCACTGTTGGAAGCCTCAACAGGACATTCAGGGAATGCCATTGACCCTGCTTCTTGGGCTGTTTGCCGGGGCAGATCATTGCATTTTTCTATCCACTCTTAGGTGGGCCCTGTGAGTAACAATTCATAAACATGCAAGTGGAAAAGGACCTTCCAATTTGGGTGGATGACTGTGGGGGGTGGGGGAGAGCCAGGCGACACGGGCCCGTTTCTCTGTACAAGTGACTTTTAGGTGTCTAGACCCCACAACCGCCCAGAGGAACTGTGGCTGGGGTGGTGGGGGTGGAGGGTACTTGGGCACGGAGTATGCCGGCCATCATGCCCCATCCCAGATGTGGAAACGCTGACACCCAGCCTCCCTTCAGCAAATCTGAACATGTTCTTTTCATCCTGCGAAGGGGTAGTTTGTAATGAAGAGACTCAGGATTCGCGGAGGTGGGAATCTTTATGTTCTGCTGACCTTTTCGGACTGTACTTGTGTTTGCTGTAACAGGCTTTTGCCTGTTGTTCCACTTTGCCTCCTGGTGGGGAGAGAGGTGTGGGAAGAACCGATTTTGCTTTTTGCTTGTGTTGCTTGGTTTTGTGGTCCGTGAGCTGGACTTGAGGGTCCTGCCATTTCAACGGTGTTTCCAAGCTTCTTTGCTTGGATGTGTTTTGTAAATTTCTAAATTCAATGACCATCCCTGAGCCCTTGTCTAACTGGTCCTTTTGGGGGACTGGGGGTAGGACACAATCTCATAGGACACAATCTCAAGCTCCAAGTCCGTTCTTCACAACCCCAAATAAATAAAGTGTCCTCTGTGTAACAAGGGAATGGAAACCCAGAAATGCTCATTGAACAACCCTGGCCTCCGCAACAGGACAATTGCATCACCCTAGCTGGTTGAAACATTTCTTCCGGTATTTCTCATAAAACCTTTTCAAGTGACTCTGACTCCAAAGACCACAGTATGGCATTAGGTTGTCTTTTATTTTGGGAAAGAGGTAAAAAGTGAGAGATTCGGAGTCTGAGAAGACACGATAAAAGCTTCAAAGAGAAAATGTCGATTGTGAAGAAGGTTGTCAGATTTCCTGGTGGTCAGTGCCCACGACTGTTGCCTGATTCCCTTCATATGAAGCTGGGAGCACATACCATGGGTTCCTTTGGAAACTGTGATGGATCCCTAAATGCCTAGCAAAGGTAAAGTGAATGACCCTAACCTCCAGGCCCCAGGTCTGTGTGGCCACATTTAGGCAGGGCCAGTTTCCACTGCCAGTGTATATAGGCCAAGCCTGTACAAGAAGTAGGGCCCCAGGAGAGGTTTTTCTTTATTTGCAATGTCCCCTGAGTCTAAGGACCTGCCCCAAGGGGAATGGGGTGCACATCGAGGGAAAAATTCCTCCAAGCCTTTTTCTCGGGGCCTCTGTCCAGGGCTGAGCACACTGTTCCTGGCGTTGCCGGTCATGTACACCCCGCTGCCCACTTCCTGCAAACCTGGGGCACCATAGCACCTGTGGGTTTTGCCAGTCCTCCTGGGATGGGGCCCAGAGGGGTATAGATGGCATGTGGGGGGCTGGGCTTTGGAGGCAGAGGGAGTGCAAAGCCAGTGAGGGAGAGGCTGCTGAAGGGAACGGATCTTCCCAGCCCTTTGCATTGACAGCCTGGAAGGCTCCCTGGAGCCGTGTATTCAGGCGTCTGCTGTTCTCTCTTCCTTTCCATGGGGGCCCAATCCCCCTAACGGGATCTCCAAGCTGGAAGACTCGGAAGCATTTCCGTTTCTAAAGCAGGGGGTATTTCCTGAGTTGCTCCCCGGTGGAAACTTCTCAAGCTTAGAGGGGGCCTTTGTGGATTCTCATTCTCCTGCTTTTATGAAGCCAGCTCCGTCCTGCTCCCCATCTTCTCATTTCAGGGCACTCACGCCGTACACTCCCCCTGCTTCCCATCCACCTCCTCCTCATCATCCCCATCCCTGGTTAACAACTTCCTTCTCAACAGTTGCGTGTTCTTGGGAATATCCCGTCTTCTGCCTGCCGGGGAGCTGGGTGGATTCAGTTCTGTGGAATGAGCCAACTTCATTTTACAGCTCTGCAAGGGGGTCAGGAATTCTGTTTCCTGTGTGTTCCTTCCCCCTAAGCCACCTTCCATCCCCAAGTGGGATTATAACAAGCCCACCATCCCCATATACCACCATCCATCCCCACATGGGAATATAACAAGCCCACCTCCCCCATAAACCATCATCCATCCCTACGTGGATATATAACAAGCCCACCTCCCCTGTAAACCACCATCCATCCCCATGTGGAAATATAACAAGCCCACCTTCCCCCAAGCCACCACCCATCCACATGTGGGATTATAACAAACCCCACCTGTTTGAATTCAGACCTGAAGCAAATGTAAACATCATCCATTGGATCTACCCTCAGCCTGAGACCTGGACCCTTCCTAACACGAACACCCTGGTCTGGATAAGAGACCACCCCCCCGCCCCATTGTATATGGAGCAGAGTTCCAAGGAGACATCTGTGACTTAAGATGAGAGAGGCCAAGGAAGGGCAGAGTGCCTTGCAGTAAGAGAGTCTTCAGATCCACTTTTCTATTTACACATGTTCGGAAGTGTGTTTGCTTTGATGAGATTGTAGATATTCTGGTTGGAGAAAAAGAATCTAAATGTTGGGAGATGATTATTCCATAAGTATAGTCACTTTTTCTCAAAGAAACTTCGCGATGATTAAATTACATCCCCAAATCGGCAGCAGTGCATTGGCAATATTGTCTCTGCGTAAGCAGATTCTGCCTCTGGAGCAAGGGATGCGCATTTTCAAGGTTAAAGTTGGGGAACTCTGCACAGCTATTTCATTAGCAAAAATAGCCATTTGTGCATCCAGACATTGGCTGGCTTCACGAGGGGTTTGTCTTTCATGTTCTTTGTGGAGTTGTCCAGACACACCCATCTAATGGTAACTCACTGCTCACAAGGTTAAGTTTTCTTTTTGAACTTCTGTTGTTGTCAAATTAACATAATATGCTCTCAATTATCCACATAAAAGGAGAAAGGCAACCAAGCGGGGAAAGCAAATTTGCAATTAATTTACCAAATTATTGCTCTTTTTATATGATGGACAAGTTGCTTTTTTCTTGAGTTGGGATTTGTCTCTACTGGGAAGAGAGCTGGGGTTGACCACGAGGACAGGCCACTCCAAGGTGTGCCCTGCACCTGGGGAAGGGCTGAAGGTGGTTTTGCTGAGGTGCACAGTGGCCCCAGTGGATAATTAGGGACTCACACTAGGATTAGCTCTTTCTTGTCAAGTAGAGGGGTCGTTAGTCCTCTCAATCCCCTAAGACTTCCTTGGTGACCTAGTTGGGTCTCCCTAGAGCAGATCCTGAGGTAAGGACCTGGATGCAGGCAGTAGATATGGGAGGTGACCCAGGAAGCATGAGTGAGGGAGCAGGGAAGGGAGACAGAGAAGGCAGGTAAATCAACAAGCACAGGTGCACTCATGAGAGGGTCAGTACTGCAGGACCATGGGGGCTCAGCCCCTTTGGGGGTCCTCTAAGGTACTACGTGGAGCTCCTCTTGGAACAGTCTCTTCAAGGATTGAAGGAGCCGGGGTATTTACACACCAGCTTTTCCTCTCCCAGCAGCTGAGGGTCCCTCCAGCCCACCTGATGGCCAACCATTCTTCCCATAGTGAGAGAAAGCCCTCAGGCAGAATGAAGCAAGAGGCCATTGGTATTGCCAGATAATCAGATAATCAGAAGGGAAGGAATGAGGAACCAACAGTATCTGCTTCAAGTGAGAACACCCTCTTGGGTACCCAGTAGAAAGTCGCAGACCTACCAGAGCCACAGATGAGAACAGATGTGCAGGTCATGGCTCCTGTGGAGAGGGAAGTGCATGGCCTCTCAGCTTAGGGGCCAGGTTACTGGAGGAAAGACTGGCGGGCTGGTCTGGGGGAGACCTTGAAGCAATCATGTTCCAAGGAGCTTAGATAACTCACGTGTCCTCTTTGGGCACCATTTTCCTCTCAGCCAAAGGAGGGAGCATTCCAGATGTCTGCTCCGGACCCTCTTAGGTCTTAAACTCTATAGTCTCCACCACCCTTTTCCAGTCCTCACTTTTCAGATGACTCCTCCGGACCCTGTCAGTCCTGGAGTCCCCATACCAGTAGGGCCCCTGGGATATGTTCTGGTTTCCCACAAGCATAAGAGCATGCAGGCTTTCTATTTGGGCAAGGCCATCTGCCATTCCAGTGCACGGGCATATGAAACTTGCCTTATCCTGAAGATATTTCTGTTAAATTAGAAGAAGACCATTGAGGATTTTCTTTTAATTGTGGAAGTCTGTTAAAATAGCAAAAGAAAAGAAAAGAAAGGAGATCAATGAAACTGGATTTTCAGCTCATGGAAATGCAAGAAAAACCTGATTATCTGACTTTTTTCTCTTTTATTTTTCAACCTGTCGAGCTCACAGTTGAGCTTGAGAAGACTGTATTTTTTATGATGATCAGGTTATCTTTGAGTGCTTTACAGATACCAGTGTGTGAATCCAGGAGTTCCCTTTTGGATAAAAGTGCCTCCTGCTTTCTTTCAATACATGTATCCATCACACTTAGAGGGTGGGAACCCAGGCACCGAGAGATACGGGCTCAGGCTCTCATCTTGCACTCACGGGGCACGGAAGCAGTTCACATTCACTTCCTTCTGTGCCTGTGACCATCCCACTTTTCCATCCTGAGAATTCCCTTGGTCACTCAAAATCACTCTGAGCTTGCAAGCCCGGGGTAGTTTGGAACAGTATGCTCTGTCTCTACATGGGAAAGCTTTTTGCTTTCAATTGGATATCTTGTCATAGGCATTTCTTAATCCAATTGCCTCAGTGTTATCACCCATCAAATGAGGCACTCGTGTATCCCTTAAGAGAATAAAGTGAATATGAAGAACTTGGAGGTTGTCGAGTCACCCTCATTTCAATTATTTTAGGCTTTCTGCAGCCATGTAGGCTCCAGGCAGAGCTTCGATGAAGACCGAGAACCCGCTAAAACCCCGCTGAGTGGCTGGAGAATCTGGGCAGGTTATTATAAATCATGGTGCCCCACCCTCATCCTTGCCAATTTGTACTCACCGCTGGAAGGTCTCTTTCTGGATGGCCCATCTGGGATTCTTCCCATCCCTGGGGTGAACACATCTGGAGGTCTGTTGGGGAACCTATATGATAATTCAACAAGCCCATTCTTGCGATGGACAGACACACCCCCATTGGCTCCAACTGAGCTGTTTTCACTGTTTTCTAGTGGTAAAAAGTATTTACCATTAGGAAATTTTTAAAAATCATCTCTCGTGGCCAATCGGTGGCCCAGATTCTTGTATCAGTGGTTTTTGGGTTTCATTAAGACTTTGGGCTCTACAACTGTCCTTTCTAAATGATACCCAGTAATTTAATTTTAAATCACAAAGGGAATGTTCTTGAAGCCTTTGAGGTAAATGCCGCTGCAAAGTGAATGATCACCTCTAATTTGCACAGGTTAAACACCTGGATGTCATGTTGGGGTGGTTTTGTGAAGTTCCCAGTTTTCTTTCGTGACAGTGGGTTTTGCAACAGGAGCTGTTGTGTGAGGTGGGTGATGGGACTGGGGTTTGCCAGGCAGGCTGACCTCACATCCCAGAAGACACAGGAGGGAGAGGTGCTGGGCGTGACGGATGCTCTAGTGGTGGGAAGAGGGATTCCTAAGGGCCCCTTGCCCAGCCTGACAACCCCTGCGGATGAGCCCAAGGACAGGCTGGGGCACACAGGCCTGGAACCTCCAGATGGACACACACAATTCCCACTATGTCAAGGTGTCTCTGGGATGGGACAGCAGGGAGGCCTAGCCCCAGGGGCCTGGGATGGGGGGACCAAGGGAGAGGGAGAGTGCCACAGAGGACCCAAGGGCTAAGGGGACCAGAAAACAAGAGGGGGTGAATGGCTGAAAGGAAGAGAAATGCATGAAGATAGAGGGAGAGAAGTGCAAATGCAGTTCAAAGAGAAGAAGGAGGAGGATTAAAGAGAACCTGGAGACCTGGGAAGATAAAATTAAATGAAAGAGTCGGGTGTGTTGGCACATGCCTGTGCTCCCAGCTACTCAGGAGGCTGAGGCAGGAGGATCACTTGAGCCCAGGAGGTGGAGGCCAGACTGGGCAACAGAGCAAGATCTAAAAAAAAGAAAAAAGGAAAGGAGAAGGTAAGAGAGAAAACAAGTAAGAAGAGAGTAGAAGAGAAATGGTGGAGGTTGCATCTGGAGGAGAGGAAAGAGTGGAAGAAATGGGTAAAGAGGAGAGAGAGAGAGAAGGCCAGCAGAAATGAAAGGATCCTGGCAGGGAACCTTTTCCGAAGCCTCCTGGGGCTGTAGGTGCCCAGGCTGATGGGATGGGCCATCCCACTGCTGGTGGTCCTGGTGGTCAGGCTGGGGAGAAGGGTGCTCAGTGGCTGTGGGTAGGGATGTTGGGGAGGCTTCGAGGGTCAGGGAGACCCCCAAGCGCAGCCCCTGGCGCTCGGGCTGGAGCTCCAGCAGTGCCTCCTCCCGCTTGCTCCACTCCCACCGCCAGTTTCAGGAGGAAATGCTGCAGCTTAATCAGAATTATTTACAAGATAATGGTCCATTGTTTGCACTGAGACAGATGTTGTCTGTGGGAACTTTGTGTTTTATGCTCTTTTCCCTGCTCTGCCTTCACTGGGTGCAGATGGGATGGAAGTAATGTGAGTTATGACTCCAAGGATTGGAAACGGGGAGATGCTCCACTCCTGCCTGGGCTCGGCGGGGCCACAGAGCTGGGCTGGCACCTGGTAGGCAGGGGTGGAGAACAGCCACTGTGGCTGCAGGGCTGTGATTAAGAAGGTCTTATTTCCTAGAGGGGCGGGTCCGTGCCATCGCCTTGTCCGGGAAGAACTCTGATTAAGATGCACTTCTGTTTGTTGCGTTGAGAGGTCACCGTTGACATCTCAAACGAGGGTGACCATCTGCTCCTCTTTTTGCCAAAAGGAAAGCTCAACCCCTCTGGGGTGGGGAATGTGTAGACCCCTTTCCTTTTTTTTTTTTTTTTAACTTATCAGAGAGCTTCTTCTTGGTCTTCTGGAGTCAGTTAGGAAGCCAAATCTGGGCTTGTGACTGCCTGCCCTGCTTCTTCAAGGGTAAGGTCAGCTGAGTGAATGACGGCTCCATCTACTTACCCGGGGAGAGAGCATGTTGCAGAGGAGGAAAGATGGGGTGATCTGGGGAGACTTGGCCTGCTACCGGACTTGTTCCGAGCCTTGCCCCGGTGGGGGCCCACCCTCCTGTGAAGCCCGCAGGTCTGCCAGGCCTTCAGCACTTCTGGACCCCAGCCACTTCTGCGTAACCAGAAACCCTCTGTCATTATCAGAACCCATTTTATGAATGAGGAAACTGAGGCCAAGAGATGCTAGATGGCTTGCCCACAGTCTTTTTTCTTTTTCTTTTTAAATTTTTGTTTTTATATCATTGCATGTGGTGAAGTTTGGACTTTTAGTGTACCCGTCACCTGAATAGTGAACGCTGTACACAACAGGTGATTTTTAAACCCTCACCCCCTCCCACATCCCCACCTTCTGTCATCTCCAATGCCTGCTGTCTGCTCTTGCTGTCATTTTCTACTCTTCCAGCGCCTCAGGTTATGACCTTCCCACTCCAGGGGGCCCCTCTGAGCCTCAGCTTGGCCAGCTGAACACCAGGAGTGAGGATAGCTGTTGCAGAGTCAGGGAGGGGAATTCCCTGAGACACACACCTCCAATGCCAAGCACCGAACCTGATAGCCCATCTCACAGATGACAGCAATCAGTGTCATCAACCGCATCACACCAGTCCTCCAAGACACAGCATTTATAACGTCAGGCTGTGACCACCAACAAACAGAAAAAAACAAAGTAATAAAATATCCCAGGTCACGCTTGGATGCTAAAATCAAGCAGTCGTGGAATAAAGAAAGTCACTTTCAGGGCAACTATGTAAAATCAGTCGTGGCCTTTGGGCAGCCTAGAGGAGAACTCAGTCAGCCACGGCTCCTAACCCTGCCCCACACCCTGAGTGTCTATGAGGGGTCACCCAGAAATCAGTTACCACCGGGACGTTTTGTTCCGTTCAAAAACCAGCCGTGTGGGGGCATCCTGGGTCTGGGGCAGATGACTGTTTCCCCAAAATATCTCCATGCCCAAGGAACAGCTCCCTTTATCCCAGCAGCAGGATCTGGTCCTCCGAACTCACCCACTAACCTTCCAAGCAAAGTTGTAAATAATAAAGACTTCCTCTGTGGCAAGTCCTGTTCTAAGCTCTGTACAGATGAGAGTACAAATTAGCTTCTTACATTTCATCCTCATGAAAACCCAAGGATGTGGATGGAGTATTTATTATTCTCATTTTAAGTATGGGGAAACTGAGGCACCGAGCAGCATCTTGTCACACCTAAGATCACTCGCATGTAAACAACGGGGCTGAGATTCAGAGCTGGACAGTGGAGGTCCCTGGGAGTGGCCTCTCCGGGCAGTGGGGGGATCCCTGCCTGTGGCCTCTCCGGACAGTGGAAGTCCCTGTATGTGGCCCCTCTGGACAGTGGAGGTCCCTGTGTGTGGCCTTTCCGGACAGTGGAGGTTCCTGGGAGTGGCCTCTCCGGGCAGTGGAGGGATCCCTGCCTGTGGCCTCTCCGGACAGTGGAGGTCCCCACATGTGGCCTCTCCGGGTAGTGGGGGTCCCTGCATGTGGCCTCTTTGGGTAGTGGAAGTCCCCGGGAGTGGCTTGTCCAGGTAGTGAGGGTCCCCGCATGTGGCCTCTCTGGGCAGTGGAGGGATCCCTGCCTGTGGCCTTTCCATGCAGTGGAGGTCCCTGTGTGTGGCCTCTCTGGGTAGTGGCGGTCCCCGCGTGTGGCCTCTCCGGGTAGTGGCGGTTCCTGGGAGTGGCTTCTCTGGGCAGTGGAGGTCCCTGGGAGTGGCCACTCAGCTGCCTCACCTTGCGGGTGCTTTTCTGTGCCTTTAATACACATTTGAGATGCGTCAAAAATAAAGAAACCAACCAAAAGTACATAACAACAGCCAGTTCCTGCCAGCCCGCCAGGCTCATGTCAGGAGAGAATGGGGCATTTCTGAGCCACGATTCTGCGATTTGGCGATCCTAACCTGAGACAGGGCCTGGGGAGCACCGTCTTGGAGCGCGTGGGCGGGGCACTGGGTAGGGACCAGGTGTTTGGGTTGTGACCAGAGTGGCTTTGAACCTGCCACGTGACCCTGAGGAGCTCTCCTCCTATCCCCTCAGTGTCCTCACCTCTCCATAAATGACAAAGTCGCAGTGATAACCCTGAGTCCTTCCATGTCACAGTCTGTGAATCAGTTCTTTTTAGGGCTATATTTATTCAGTCATTTTCCAGCCTCAGGGAAAAAAAGCAAAAATCTGTCATCTCCCTCCTTCCCCCGCAGCGAGAGGGCCCCGAGGAAACCTGACCCCCACCTTGCAATTGTTCCCTGAGGTCCAGGTCTGAGGGAGCATAGAGAGTGGGTGGCCCAGGGCTCCAGCTGCCCCTCCCTGCCCCCAACCGCGACAGCAGCGGAGGTCAGACCAGGATAATATTTATCAACCTTATTCTCATTGTGCCGGACTCTGACCAAAACCCGGCGTCACTGGAGATCCCAGATTATGTCTTTTAAGGTCCCACAGAGCCGCTTCACATGTGCCCAATTACCTCTGTCAGGCAGGGGGAAGGAGGTCTCCCTCGGTGGGTGGGATCTGAACTTGAGCTTCCAGAGGTCGATGGCTGGGATCTTAGGCCTTTGAGGCTGTCACTCCCCGATAGCCAGACCTTTTCTGTTAAAACTGTTTAAATTACAAACCAGTAATAAAAGGATCATATGTGTTTCCCACAGAACAGGTTCTTTAGGGCTATTATGATAATTAAAAACATATGGTGCCTGTACCAGTCTGAAGGAAACCGCAGATGTACAAATTAGGTATTATATAAGGGTTTTCTGCTTTTGCCCTTTTAGAAACGTCAAGCTGGAGAAGTTTAAAGAGATAAAAATGGCAATTGTGCAGACAGTAGGTAGCATTTTGGTTTTAGAATCATTAAATACATAAACCCAATTTGGTTTTTAGACTTTTTAGGAATAAACAGCTCCTGATATGTGAAGAAGGTGAGGAAAGTACCCAGAGGTTGGGAGTTTCCGGGGGAAGAGGCATCATTTTCCACCTCACGAGACCTTGGATACCATGAAATCTTTTGCATTTTCTATGACATTGTTCTGCACAAAGAGGAGTATATTTATTAAATATTGAATTATGTTAAAATTGAATTGATGGGAGCAAAGATGAGGATTTCTTTACATTAAACTTTTTACTTTTTAAAAGGCAAAGGTGCAAGTATTGATTAGTCTAGAAATAGTCATTTGTTTTAATTTAAAATATGCAATTGATTTTGAGAAGGTGATAAATACTGCTAATAAAAAAAAAACTCAGGAGGATTTCTATGACTCCCTGTCAATGGTTTTCCAAGGCAGACATACAGGGCAGGTCCAATCTGCTGAGCTTTTCATTGGAAAGGGACGTCAGCCTGGCTGGGGACACTGGCAATGCCCAGCCATGCTCTGGGGCAGCCGAGATGACAGGCCCTTAGTTCTGGCACAGTGGGACCCCGGTGATGGGGGCAAAGATTTAGGGCTTTGTCAGTGCATGTCTGGTGCAGAAAAGCAACTGGGCTGCTCTGAAGGGGAAGGGATGGGCAGCAGGTCACAGGACCATGGTCTTCACCAGCCCTGCCTCTCAGGGCCCCTGCTTTTACTGCTCCTCCTGAAAATAAGTTGGGCCCTCTCTGAGACAATCCACCTAGAACCAGGATGGTCTTGCCTCATCCTGCATCTTTTCCTTAATGCGATGAGCTGGTAGCTGCATAAGGAAGTTAAATGGAGAACTAAATGATGAATCCATAGGAATCAATGAGCAGAGAGGACACACCACATATCCAGAAGCAAAGCCCCTGGAGTGCTCAGATAACCAGAATTTTTCTAAGCCTAGTGTGCAATTGTTGAAATCCCTAATAATGAGTAGAGATGAATTTTGTTCAACTTTTTTTTTGTGTTGAGGTATATATCACGTAATAAATTTTATGATACCCTGGTGAGGTTAGAAGACCCCATAGCCATTTTTTGATCATCCTAGCTAGAGGAAAGTCTGGGCTACCCTGGAGATGCATCCATTCTTTGAAATGGGCTCTGCAGCCGTGTTCTTGGGGGAGGTGTTTGGTTTCTCTCTTCCTCCATTCTCCTTTGCCACACCTTCTTGATGGTACAAGAGGTCTGTCATCCTCCTGTGCCCTTTCCTGTGGGGGCTATGATGGGACCTACCTTGCCACTCAGTCTCTGGGTTAGGTGAGGAAGCCAACCTCCTCAGGGAGCTTGAGATGGAATCGAAGCCAGATAAACGTTCTTTTTTTTTTTTTTTTTTTTTTTTTTTTTTGAGACAGAGTTTGCTCTGTCACCCAGTCTGGAGTGCAGTGGCATGATCTCCACTCACTGCAACTTCTGCCTCCTGGGTTCAAGTGATTCTCTTGCCTCCGCCTCTGCAGTAGCTGGGATTGCAGGCATGCACCACCACGCCTGGCTAATTTTTGTATTTTCTAGTAGAGACGGGGTTTCACCATGTTGGCCAGGCTGGTCTCCAATGCCTGGCCTCAAGTGATCTACCCACCTCGGCCTCCTAAAGAGCTGGGATTACAGAGCCACTGTACCCGGCCCAGAGAAGCATTCTTGAACCCTCTGTCCACAACACAGCAAATAGCCCCGGGGGCTGTGGATAGCAGTGGTTCTCAGCTAGGGGCAATGTTCTCCCCTGGGGGACACTTAGCAATGTCTGGAGATATTGGGGAGGGGAGTGCTTCTGGCATCCAGGGGCCAGAGATGCTGCTAAATGCCTACAATGCACAGGACAGCCCCTACCACAATTATCTATCCCCAGATATCAGTAGCAATAGTGCCAAGGTTGAGATACCTTGGTGCACAGAGGGGAGAACCAGGCCTCTCAGTGAAACTCCGAGTTGGACTCATGGTGACAAGGCAAGTGGCGTGCCCTGCCATGCAGCTCACACCACGGCATTTGGCGTGCCCCCTGGACACCCTCCCTCCACATCCTGTCACCTTCAGACCTCAGGCGTTGATGAAAAACTTTGTAAGAAGCCGGGTGGGCTGGAAGGCAGGAACTTCAAGTGGAGTAACCCGGCACGTTCCTCCCAACTCAAACTGGCACGTGGGGTACGGAGAGGGTGGCAGGTGCAGAGGCAGCCGGGAGCCAGCCTTTTCTTCTCCCTGTGAGTGATAGCAAGCCCACGTTGTTATTGTGCACGTAGATATTACCACTTTAACTTTTACGGAGGTAAAATAACACCTTGTCACTCAGCATAAGTACCAATCACAAAATGAATTAATTGTAATAACCGTTGTCAACAGAACAAAGGACTTGTTGCTTTCCTAAGCAGATTTCAGCGCCACTGAGAACTATATACAAACGTTCCCATTGGACAGGCTGGCGGAAAACAGTCAGAACATAATTGTATCTGTCTATCTCTTTACTTTGTTTTTAAGGGTGAAGGAATTGAGTTAAAAACCTATATTTTAAGCATATCAATAAATATACCCCTTTTTGTGTTGGTGAAGTCTCCTCAAAAAACATGGAGTCTCTAATAAATTGGCCATGAAAATAGCGTTCGCTGCTGATAGCACCTAGAAGGGCCAGCTGTAGGGGCTGCCTGTTGACTTCAAGTCATGGAGGGAATATGCCCAATTACTCCCCAATAAAACACCCTCTTATTTCTGGGAGTTATCAAAACACATCCTCTGGACAGGTGGTCAGCTGCCCCCCAGCTCCTCAAAGGAAGATAAGTGGGCCTCACGCAGGGCCTGTGGAGTGTCTAACTGGCCCCACATCGACACAGGCAGGCTTGTTTGCAGTCAGTCTCTTTACAGTTACATTTTATCCCCTTTTTTTTTGATTCTAGTTTTTCATATCTTAGCACATTTTCCTCTTTAAGAAGCACTGTGGGTACTCTTCTGACAAAAGGGTCATTCCTGGGAGAGGTGGTCGGCTTCAGTGGGCTGGTTCGCTCAAAAGTCTAGTTCAAGCTGTGTCCCCAGTAGAGGTGAGGCCATTCTACTGGGGGTCTTTGAGGCTTGAGAGGGGCCAAAAGGCAGAGGATGGCTTTTGCAGGTCTGCTCGGGACTTCAGTGAAATATAAAGTTGGGAATCTCCCAAAGAACTCCAAGGCAAGTGTGTCTGACACACAGGCTAAGTAGGGGTCAAGATGCCCAAAGCCCTCTTCAGTGAGGATCATGAGCAATCATGCCCCCTTCATTGAACAAAGATGTAAAAGGCAACCTGGGAAGCTTTATCTGCTTTCATGCCATGGCAGCAAAGCAGAGAAAGTAACTTGGAAGACTCAGAGGGATAGAACGACTCTTTGCAGTCCATGCCCCCTTCTTGGTGCTGGCCCTACATGTTTCTCATTTCTTCCAGGCCCACTTCCTGCTCCTGCTTCTCTGTGACCTTTGGCCAGTGTGATCCCAACATCCGGCTTCCTCCCACGGTCTCAGGCCCCTCTCACCACAGGCATGAGTCTCCCCCACAGCATCTCTGGTGCCTTGTTAGACAGCCTGCTTTATTTTTAGGGCTCATTGAGGCCTACATTGGGCCCTCCATGATGAAATGAAAGAATCTTAGGCTATCAGAGATAGAAGTCATCTTAGAGGTCACATTTGATAGGGAGGTTGGAGAGAGGACTTGCCCTTGGTTGTAGAAGCAGAGACAAGGGGTGGTCTTGTTTTCACGCATCCAAATTGATCCCTCTGAGTGCTGTCACTGTACATCCAAGCAAGGAAGGTGTTTGTGTGGCTTGTCCCTGCAGCTTTGGGGCATCTTTTCCTGCAGAAGGACTGGCCACTTGGAAACATGGGTAAGAGGTGGGCATCTTGGTTTAATGCGGCCCTAACTGTCATGGTAGCCCATGCCTTTGGATTTGTGTAGTTATCTCTAGCTAGGACCAGGTACTACTTGCAGAAAAAGTACTGAAAGAGCCCTTCTCTGGAAAAGGAACTCTCCCTACTGCTTCCTGAGGCTGGTGTCTGTGTGCTGCGTCTCACGGGAAGGCAGGCTTATCCCTCGCACATTCATGGGAGAGGGGTGTTCATCACACTAAGGTCCCAGGCCCCCGTCCTAAGAGCAGAATGTGAAGTGGGGGCACCCAAGGGGGGCAGCTGTGGGATATGGAGAGAGGAGAGGTGGGGGCAGATCTTGTGCTGTGTGGACGGCCATTCTGGAAACACTGTGACCCCTCTACCCTCCACTCCCTAACCTCACCTGCCATCCAGCAGCCTTGTCCTGGGGAACGAGGAAACAGCATTCTCTCCAAATTTGTCAGAAAGGAGATGATTCCATCATGGGGAAGGTGCATGGTTACTTGTCCATGTACTTTAGCACATGTGGCATTCTTGCACAGCGTTGGCAGATGGTCGCCAACAGAGTAATCAAGATGACATCTCTCGTGGGGCTTACCTTCTATGGGGACACTGACAAACAAACAAACAAATAAGTTCGGCATAGGATGAGTGATATGAAGATGCTGAGGCAGGAGGAAGAGCTGGACCTTCACATGAGAAGGTCAGGATTCTATACCCCAGAGGGCAGGGAAGGCCTCTTTGTTGAAGGGGGACATTGGAGAGAGACTAGAGACAGTATCACATGTATCACATGGATAGAGAGCTAGAGCTCATCAGGACTTTTAATGGCCATATACAACAAATTCACCTGGAAAACGTGGCCCAACCCTTAGACATGTGAGTTAAGCCACCTTGGAGAGAGGCAGATGGTTGCTCAGACCCACCTGCACCAGACGCACCAGTGTGCAGAAATCTGAGGGGGGCACATATTCTAAGGAGAGGGTACAGGAAAGACAAAGACCCTCAGATGAGAGAGGAACAGAGTTTTGGAGGGCTTTTAGACCTCAGGACCCAGAGATCCCTGTGTAAGTGAACAGGATTTCCAAGGTTTTTCCAGATGTTGATATTTCATCCAAGCTTCTCGAGGGCCCTGTGTGGTCAACAGAGCTGGGACTTGGGGCTGTTTTTCCCATTTTTATAGATGGGGAAGCTGATGTTCAAAGAGAAAATAATGACTTGCATTAGTAATAGTTTGTGGTAGTGAAAGGCAGGGCTAGGGCCCCAGGTCTCCTGACTCCCAATACCAGGCTCATTCTGCTACCCTGGAATACTTCTGCCTGTTCCTGGGACTCTGATGTGTCTTTTGAGGCTGACCAGTTGTACGGTAGGACTACTGGGCCTAGGGGAGGCATCATAACTCATTCTTTGCACATTCCCCCCATTCCTGGTGAAAAGAAAGGTTGAAACTTAGAAGATTGGTCATAGACTTTGGAAACATGATACTATGAGAAACACAGCCATCCTCCAACTCCCCCAAGATGAAGGTCTTTTGTCCTCACGGACCAAGACTGTCCATGACAGAGTCCATGGATTGAACTACACCCACCCGGTTTCCTTTTAGGTATCACATGGATAGAGAGCAGGAGCTCGTCAGGACTTTTGATGGCCATACACAACAAATTCACCTGGAAAACGTGGGCCAATCCTTGGACATCTGAGTTAAGCCACCTTGGAGAGAGGCAGATGGTTGCTCAGACCTGCCTGCACCATGAAGTTTCACTCCATGCTGACCGTGACCAGCAGGGGTTCAGCCCCTCCTGGACACCTTCCAACATGATGGCCATGACAGTGGTGGTGCCACCCAAGGTGCAGAGGAGCTATTGCCAGGACGGGCAGCTGTCTTTCCAAAATCCCAGTTTTTGTCAGGGAAAACTGCTTTCAAATAAATAGCTGTTTCTGGATGATTCTTTTTAGTATTTCTTCTCCCAGCTGGCTGTTATATTGTTTGCATTGCATACCATTCTGGGAGGCAAAAGGTAGCCCACCTTTCATACTAGCTGCAATAGTATCTATTTCCCAAAATTAAAAGGTCAAATTAGGAACTATAGCAGCCTTAAAATACTTTATCTGCTCTCAACTTGAGAAGACATGTAGAAAGGCTTCTTTTGTACCCTAAAACTATTTGTGATGTTCTCCATGCATGGGGGTGAATTTGCAATGGGATCAGAGAACCAGGGTAAGCATGAAAGACTGGGGGAAGAGACCCTTCAAGAAAAGAAGCCAGGATCCCAGGTGGGTTCCTCTGCAAAGAAAGGCCCAGAGGTGCAACTCCCAAGCCCACTGCCTCCTGCTGCTGAGCTATACCTTGCCTTGGGGAAGTTGGCTTGTGGGTGGCCCCCATTAGGTGCTCAACTGATGCTAACGGTTGGTCACAATAGCAATGACCTCTTTCCCTCACTGATGCCCAAGGTCCAGCCAAAGACATTGGGCTTGAATAGCAAGGGCAGGATTCAGCAGAGACAGGCGTTGCCTTAAGGCCTTTCTGGCTTCCGGTCAATCCAGCATTCTTCTTACAGGGGAGCTTGCATGCTCACTTAGCTTGAAGCCCATGTAATCCCATGCTGTGAAGAGCTCATGCCAGGCCAGGCCATGTCACAGCAACAAAACTGAAGGTATGCACTTCATCATGATCAAGTGTATAGATCTATCTGTTTGTATACTATAATATCTATGTATTTGTTATAAAATAAAACTAAAAATACATTTTTTAATCAATGAGTTTTTCCCTCCTGACTTCTGCTAAATCCTATTCGATTTTTTTTTAAAGGTGAGAGGCTAAGGTCTAGCGTGGCTTGAATTTAGTCTAGTGCAGCCATGCATCGGAAAGTGATGGCAGGAAGGCTGTGGGCTGTAGTTCGTCATCTGGGTTTGTCAGTCTACACTGGGACAGGTCTACACAGCCTGTCTCTGCTCATGTAGTCCTTACCTCCACTCCTTGTTGTCTGTGCAGGGGATTACTGAGTTGTCAGGAAACATGGTCAGGAGGTACTCTGCAGCAGAATTTATCCATTCATTCATTCATTCATTCATTCATTCAGCAAGCAAGCATTGATGGAACATCTCTCCTATGCCAGGCACTCTTCTCAACATTAGGGCATGGAAATGCACAAAAACAGCCAGAAGCCCTAGACCTGTGAACCTGTTTCTCCTTTGCTATGCCCCGCCGGGCACTTCCCTCCATGGACAGCCCCTCCATGGGATAGGACTTTGTTGGCATGGTATGGTCCCCTACTCCCAGGACCTCTCAGTCAGTGGTGGCTGGACACCACCCCTCCCATCCAGAGCCTTGCTCTGTTGGCCTCCTGAAGATGATCCTGCCCGCCCAGGTGGCCACCACCATCTATTGCAGCAAGAGGAGCGAGACTGAGGGAGTAGCGACATCTGTCTTGCTCAGTCATCCAGCAAATATTTCCTGATGGTTCCTGTGCACCAGATCCTTTCCTAGGTATCAGAGACCCAGCGGTCCAGAAAGGAGGCAAAAACTCCTCCCTGCCTTCAGGCAGCTCACAGTCTAGAGGGCAGTGGGCAAATGGAATAACGGGTAGGTTAGATGGTGAGAAGGCTATGGAGAGAAATAAGGCAAACCAGGAGTTAGGGAGTGCCGGGGGTGCTGCTACTTTCCAGAGGTGGACAGAGACAAGGCCTGTGCAGTGACACCCAGGGATTTGAAGGAAGCCAGTGCGTTCCTCGGAGGATGTGGGGCGCACACTTGGGTGAGGCCCTGAGGACAGCAGCATGTACAGTTCAGAGAACTTTGGAGAGAGAATATGTAGAAGAGGGGGAGGGACGGGTCACAGAAATGGCCTAGGCCTTGTGGCCACAAGAGCGACTCCGGCAGAGGCCAGCTTCATGGGGTGTGCGCCCCATGCAGTCCCTTAAGGCCTACACTGAGAAGGGCTCGGCTCATGGTATAAGGGTCAAGTGTGCCCACATTGGAATTCTTAATGATGTTTGAGCCAAGGGTCCTGCATTTCTCTTTTGCAGTGGGTCCCACAGATGCCATAGTGCCTCTGACCCTGGCTTTTCCACCAGGCAGGAAGGAAAGCCTCTGCAGAGCATGAGACGATTTGGAGAGAGCAGGCTGCTGGGCGTGGGGGACCCATGGGTGGGAAGGTAGGAGGCCGGGAAGGAGGCTGTTGTGGTGACTGAGCCCAGGATGGAGGTCCTTGTTCCGGTGTCAGTGACGATGCAGATAGGACACTCTGTTCCAAGCCTGCGTCTCCCGCTCTGTCTCCTTCCCCCATCGTTCCTCCATCTCCACTGCTATCTCAAGCCCCACCTGGGTCCTCCTTCTCCAGAGCCCCACCCCTGTCCTTGACATCTTGGGAGCCCCAGTTTCATGGTTGAACTTCAATCTTTTCCCTCTGTCTTCTTTATTGACTTCTTTCTGACCTCCTGGGGAATTGACAGCTGTCCAGAAGCTGCAGATAGGCTGTGCTCTTCTACGCTAGTGGCGCTCATGTCTGATACTGTGGGCTGGACAGCCAGGTTCTGTTCCTGGTCATGGGGACCCACTGCCATGCACCATCCATACCCCCTGCCTCACTTTCCTCTGCAGCCCACAGTGTCCAGTCCCAGGGGACTGGGTGCTCACAGTGAGGCTTGTGGAGTTTTCTTCCTGCAAATCCACCTGGTCCACGTGGGGACTGGAGGCTTTCTTGTCCTGGGCAATGCTTTCAGCAACTCAGCCGTCTTCCAAGGGGAACAGTCAGACAAGAGGATCCGGCCTTTCCTGGAGTTGCATGTCTCTTTAGGGAGGCACTCTGCAAGCCGGCACATCCCTGCCTCAGTTTCCCTGGTTCACATGCTCCTCACAGTTGTACTTTAAATACTCTTTTGCCTGGTTTTATTTGTTTGGGATTTGAAGTCTGTTTTTTGTTGTTGTTGTTGTTTTGTTTCTTAAACACCTTGATAGGTTTTGCAAACAGCATCTTGAAAAGTAGCTTTTTGATTTGAATAAGAAATGAAAGCAAAAGCCACCAACTCTTCAACGATTATTTATTGTGCATGTTTTTTTCTCCTTCATTTTAATACCCCGGCTCTTTAATACCAAAATATCACACATAGAAGAAAGCTTTAAAAAATTAGATGGGGGTGGAGTGGCAGTTGTGGTGTAAATTTGCTTCATGGTTAAGGCCTTGTATGCCAAGTTTTAGTCTGAATTACATATTTACAGCTGAGTTATAAACCCCCGAAAAACAGGATTTATCATGGAAATAGTGACACAACTTCAGCCAGCCTGGTGTTCTTGGGGGTTGGGGTAATATACTGTGCAGAGAAGTCAGTTCATTAGTTAGTTATAAACAAAGGACAGAGATAGTAAATTAGAGTAGGTATTTCAGCAGTTTTCTGTGTATTTACGACACCAAGATATGCAGCTGCATTTTATTCCTTGAGATAGTATTTAAGTATTGCAGATTTAAAGCGCGTTTTTAGATATGGCCATGGTACATTTTTAGCCTGGGTCATTCTAGTTCTTCTGTAGTTTTATTCGTGGTATTTTCTTCTTTCTCTGTTGCTCATTAGAAAAATGTTAAAAATCCATTTTCGTCTGATTAATAATAAAGCTGATCACATGTAACCTAATTTTCATTCAGTGCTGCCCCTGTCTGTGGAGTCATATACAAAGTGACCTTTGAATCGCCAGTGGACTCATAAAGTACAATAAGCACCATTGTCCTGTCAAAAATTGAAGATGTTTTACATCATTACAAAATTTAATGTTCCATCTTTTCAAATGCACTACTTTTCAAAGGCCACATTCCAATTGAAGCTCATTAAAATCAGACTCAAGTTTCCTGTGGTGGGGATGAAGAGAGTTTCGCAGGCAATGGGAGGAAAATGAATCACTCTTTTAAAACAGATATGGTTACATATTAGTTTTGAAAGGTACAGGGATGGGAGAGCCTCTGTTGCCGGCAACAGTGCGGCTTTTGTGCTGATAAATCCAATAACTGCCTCCTGGTTCTTTTTACTTCACCCACCCTGTATCCTATTTACTTGCAAATAAATCAGCTCTCTAAATAAAATTGTTGTTTTAAAGTTCAGAGGTGGAATCTGAAGGGGTTTCTGGAGAGATGCTGTAAAGTCAGCCCGGCAATTTCAGATTAAAGAAAAAAATGTTCCTCTGACTCAGAGACCTGATATTATAGAAACCTGGTCACTAGAGAGGGTTTCCTAGTTCCTGGGGAAGGTTGGCCCGCGAAGCGCAGTGTTTTAACTAAGAGCCAGCTCAGTCACCCACTGGGGATGGGCCACAGTAGGGACCCTGGAATTCTGAGCCCAGGCATAATGCCTGCCTTGGCAAAGCAAACATCCACAGGTCTTCCTGTTCCAGTTCTTTTTCGGTTGTCATGCTGGACATCTTGGCTTTTTCTTGGCTGCATCTGAGCACGGAATCTCTGGCCTGGTCTCTATGTAAGTTTTTCTGGCTGGTCCTTGGGTTATACGACATGAGGAATGAGCTCTTCCCATATTGGGCACTGCTCATGCAATGGAATTGTTTAGGTCTAGTTTTTTGCAGAATACTCACGTGCATCTTTTGAGCTCTTGAAATACTGGCCTCTTCAAGAAACATCTAGGTTGGAAAGTTGTTCACTTTGCAGAGCAGGAAGGACAACTTGAGGCCCGACACTGCTCACCGTAGGCTTGACACCCAGCTCCACTTACCAGGCCATAGGGCTCTCATGGGCCATTTATCAGGCATTGGGATTTAGTCAAAAGAGAGTTATCCAGGTTCTGGGCAGGCTCATTTGTACCTTAGGGGACCATTTCAGAGTACAAGCTTTGGCATCCGCTGGAATTGAGTTTGTGGCCCAGTTCTACTGCTGGAGGCTGTGACCTTGGTCAGGCTGCTTAGCTTTTCTGGGCTCCAGATTCCTCATAGAAATAATAATAGTATCTACCTGACATAACTATATAAGATTACACATGTAAAGTCTTTAACCCTGTTTCTAAGACTTAGTTATTGATCATTAACTGTGAGTTACAGGCTAGTTGTTCTTTTACTTATAGCTAGAAAATCACTATCTGTGTTCTATCTTTGGAGTGTAAGAGAGTTTAGAGAGGTAAAACAAGAAGAAGAAAATGGCTTGCACCTGATCGAATGACTAATGGGTTTTCCATGACAGCTATAGCAGTTAGCTACTGCCGTGTTACAAACTTAGTGGGTAAAACAACAGCAATTTATGTTTTCTCACAGGTCTTTGGGTCAGCTGGGTGATCCTGCTGATCCTGGCTAGGCTCAACTGATCTTCACTGGACTTCCTCATGATTCAGTAGGTGGCTAGGTCAGCTGGAGGATGGCTGGTCTAGGATGGCTTTGACTGGGGTTCCTTAGTTCTGTTCTGTGTGGTCTCTCATCTCCAGCAGGTTAGCCTGGGCTCGTTCTCATGATGGAGGCTCTTCCAAGAGAGCAAATGGAAACGCAGAGGCACTTCTGCCCAATTCTGCTTGCAAAGTTACCATCAATCATCCCACCGGCCACAGTCACATGGCCACACCCAGAGTCAGTGTGGGAGGAACCTAGCAGAGGGCATGGATGAAGGAGGCATGAGCCTTGTAGGTACTAATGCAATCAATCTCTTTCTGTCCCCACATCCCCAAGGGGCACATTGAGTTATATGGACAGTGGTGTGGCAGGGTGAATCTAATACTTTAGAAGATGTTTTAATTCCTTCAGTCTCAGGACAGCACTCTGGTGAGATGTTCCATTATGTTTTTCTGGTATGCTCTGAGGTCTTTCCTACAACCACCTGCTTTACCACCACTGAACCCATTCTTCCCACAAGGAAAACTTCCTTTCTTCTTTCTGCTGGTAGACTCTTTTTAAGAAAGCTGTCTTGAAAGATTGTATGGCTTCTTCACAATGTCCTAGTTCCAAAGGCCCATGGCTGGGATTGAGCAGACGCAGTTGCTGAGTCTGAAAGCCCCTGGCCTCCCTCTCCCTGTCACCCCTTGCTGGCTCCCTCCCTCATCTTCAAGGTCCTCTCCTGCTCTCTTGCCCTCAGGGGATCCATGTTCACCCAGTGGTTCTGGTATTGGCAATGCACCTGAGCTGCCCCAATGGCCAACATTGGGTCCAGGCCACAGAGAGCCCCGGGCTGGGGACCCCTTCCCTGCTGTACCCTACTCGGAGTTCTAGGTCCCCCTTATGCTTTCTGGTTTGTGCTACAGGGAAGGGCCCATGCTGAAGAGACCTATGGTCTTGCAGCGAGTTTCTCAAATGCTCCTCCTGCCCTTGATGGATGGGAAATGGTGTCTTTCAAGGCACTGGCATCCAGAGTCTGACCCTAGTAGGTGTGGGTGTACTCAGCACAACTGTGGTCAGGTGCCCGAGAAGCCAAGATTAGTGAGGCACACCTCCACATGCAAAAGCAGGGGCTCTGTCTGTGGAGTGGGGTACCTGTGTGTTTCTGCGGGCATGCCAGGGAGGGTATGCTGTAGTGGTGCTGGGAGCAAGACTCTCCCAGCCCCTCTTCCAAAGGAGGCTGAGGAGCTGCTGTGTCTCAGCCAATGGATGCTCTGGCCCAGACGTCATCTAAGCCCTCTGGGTTCAGGCTCCTATGATCCTGTGTGGAGCTGCAGAAACAATAGGGTCTCGAGGAAATTCCAGCTCATCCTACTCTTTTCTTCCTCCCCTTTGGGCCCGTTTCTCACCAGGGTCTCCACAGTGGTCAGAGCAACTCCAGCTCCTGGCTGCTTGGAACTCTCCCTGCTGGTGACCCCACTGACATCCTCCATGGATCAGATGGGGGCAGCAGAGACTGTGTCCACAGGAAGTGGACAGCTGTGACTGCAGGTGGCCCCAGCATTTTCCAAGACCTGTAGGAGCCCATCGGTCCTCATTCGATCTGGAAGTGATTTTCCTAGAAGAATTGGGTATTAGCTTCTGGAATTATGAGCAGGAAAAGCTTGCTTTAGAAACTCCAAAATCTGATATTCCATCTGAATTTAGAAAAGCAGACCTGATCAAATTCACTATGTAAGTAAAACTACTTATTTAGAAAAAGAAATAATAGTCAACTAATAAGTTCAACTACTTCTCCTGCCTCTAAATTTATGATGGAAAGTTAGAGTTGCTGGAGACAGTGGCTCCCGCCTGTAATCCCAGCACTTTGAGAGGCAAGGCGGGAGAATCACTTGAGGTCAGGAGTTTGAGACCAGTCTGGCCAACACAGTGAAACTCTTTCTCTACTAAAAATACAAAAATTAGCTGGGCATGGTGGTGGGCGCCTGTAGTCCCAGCTACTCAGGTGGCTGAGGCACAAGAATCACTTGAACCCGGGAGGTCGAGGTTGCAGTGAGCTGAGATTGTGCCACTGCATTCCAGCCTAGGCAACAGAGCCAGGGTCCATCTCAAAAAGAAAAGAAAAAAAAAGTTACAGTTGCTTGTGGTGGTTGAAGATTTGGCTTTGAGGACTGGAAACAGCTCTTGCAGGGGACAGAGAGAGGCCGAGATCAGCTGATGGCTGTGTCCTTTCTTGGGAGGACTTTCTGGATGTCTGTGGCTGGAAGCAGGACAGTAAAGAAAAGGAGTGGGCCAGCGCAATGGCTCACCCCTGTAATCTCAGCACTTTGGGAGGCCGAGGTGGGCGGATCACGAGGTCAGGAGTTCAAGACCAGCCTGGCCAACATGGTGAAACCCCATCTCTACTAAAAATACTAAAATTAGCCGGGCATGGTGGTGCACCTATTATCCCAGCTACTCGGGAAGCTGAGGCAGGAGAATTGCTTGAACCCAGGAGGCAGAGGTTGCAGTAAGCTGAGATCGTGCCACTGCACTCCAGCCTGGTGACAGAGCCAGAGCGAGACTCCTCTGTGTAAAACAAAACAAAAACAAAACAAAACAAAAAAGAAGGAGTTATGTCCAAGAGTCAGGAAGACACTGAATGTCGCAGGATTCCCAGTGGAATCCTCTGAGGGAAAAAAGAGAGGTGAGGGTCCGCGGTCCTGCTTCCCCAGAGGTGAGGCAGCTTTTGGCCATGTTGTTGGTAGCAAAGACTCACTTTCAGCTCTGGAAGCTTTGGCTGGCAGCTGGGAAAACAATGTAATCTGGAAGTTCAGGGAGACCGAGGCAGTGACACACAATGGGCAGACGTGCACCAAAGGGAGGAGGCCGAAGCTCTATAGGGTGCCTACTGCCAAGGGAGCCTGTGGGTGTGATTCTACTGCTCACACAGTTGAAAACAATTCTCTACATGCTGCAGCTTCCAATTCTCTACACAGCTGATGTCCTGGCTTCTCTTCCTAGTTTCTCTTTTTTTTTTTTTTTTTTTTTTTTCAGACAGGGTCTAATTCTCTCACCCAGGTGCAAATGACCAGTGGTGTGATCATAGCTCATAGCTCACTGCAGCCTCAAACTCCTGGGCTCAAGTGATCCTCCTGCCTCAGCCTCCTGAGTACCTGGGACTACAGGTGCATGCCATTATGCCAGGCTAATTTTTTTATTTTTTATAGAGACGATGTATTAGTCTGTTCTCACACTGCTGATAAAGACATACCCAAGACTAGGTTATTTATAAAGAAAAAGAGGTTTAATGGACTCACAGTTCTTTGTGACTGGGGAGGCCTCACAATCATGGCTGGTGGAAGGTGAAAGGCACGTCTTACATGGCAGCAGACAAGAGAGGGAATGACAGCCAAGTGGAAAGGGAAACCCCTCATAGAACCATCAGATGTCGTGGGACTTATTTGCTACCATGAAAACAGTGTGGGGGAAACCATCCCCATGATTCAATGATCTCCCACTGGGTCCCTCCCACAACACGTGGGAATTATGGGAGCTACAATTCAAGATGAGATTTGGATGGGGACACAGCCAAACCATATCAGATGTGGTCTCACTATGTTACTCAGACTGGTCCTGAACCCCTGGCCTTAGGGATCCTCCTAACTCAGCCTCCCAAAGTCCTGGGATTACAAGCATGAGACACCTGTCTGGCCTCTCACTAGCTCCTTGATTGACTTTAAGTAAGCCCCAGACCTCTGTAGGCCTAAGGTTCCTCATCTGTGCCATGAGGGGTAGCACTAGGTAGTCCCCATGGGCCTTATCAACACTGACAGTCATGAGACCTGTTGGAAGGAGTTCCTGGTCTCTGAGTGGTATTTCTAAGAAAAGTGTGGGAGTCACAGGAGGACAGTCCCTGAGCAGAACAGGGCCATGCTGTGTGATGCTGTTGAAAGGACCCTCAGCCCCTTTGGCCTTTCTCCAGGCTGGTGGGGAGATGCCCCGGGTGGCTCCAACAGAGATCTTTCTGTCTGGCTGCAGTGCAGGGAGCAACTGTTCTGAGAGGCAGAGAGGCCATTGGCAAGCCAGGGTGACTAGCAGGCACTACACTTTATTGGGAGAAGGGCTTCCTCGGCAGCTGGAATGGGTGTGCTTTTGGTGTGTGTGTATGTATGGGTCCTGGCCTGCAGCTCCACCCAGATGCTTAAGAAGTGCCCCACACTTGAACACTTCCTTCCAGAATCAAGGCTCCGGATGGGGCTGACCCCTAGCCCCTGAGTGTCAGTAGGAACAGAAAGCAGTGCTTTCTGTACATGGACCCTTGAAGGGGCTGTAGTCCTCATGAGGGCAGCAATCAATGCATTCCTAGCTACTGGCACAGTGACTAGCACAGAGTAGGTCCTCAAGATATTGTAGAATAGTGAATGAAGGGATGAAATAACAGACAGATGGATGAATGGATGAACAAATGAATGAAGTAAACAACTCTTCAAGCTTGACGAGCTCGGCTATTGATGGAGACCCGAGAGCCGTGATTCTGGCCCTGGTGGTCAGAAAGGGTTAATAGATCTTGGGAGTATTAGCTGGACACTGAGAAAGTGGTTCTCTCACTCAGGGAAACTGCCCATTGGCTCAGGGTGGGATGCTACTGCTTGGGGTTACCAAGCCTTTTATGCATCTAGAATCAACAGTCAGCCCTGGCCAACCACAATCCCTGTGTGTTCCAAGCAACCCAGTCTCATCCCTGCTACTTTTCTCATCTCCAACGCTGCATCTTCCTATCTCCCCTGATGTCCTTCCCTCCTGCCCTCCTATCCATCATTCCAGGCCCATGTTAAGCCTCACATCCCCCAGCAAGTCTGGGCTCCACCTCCTGTATCCTGCTGCAAGTGGTGAGCAGCAGCTGGAAGGACCTCCTCTCCCCTGCTCCTTGTGGGACTCAGGCAGATAACGCCTCTTAGCTGTCGTGTTATTTACACTTTCAAATCCCCCAGCAGCGGGAGGATAAGGGATCAGTGGTAAGAAAGCTGTTAGTGAAGGTGCTGTGTGTTTAGTCTGGGTGTAGTGGAAAGTGTGGCTCCCCCGATGGCCCTGCGGTTACGCTTTCTTTCCCTGCGGTGCTACAGCACTCCTGATTAAATAAAAGTGTGTGACTCTCTCTCCACATGGATATATATCTATGCAAAGTACAGTTCAGAGAATGTGTGAAGACCCTGGAGACACAGCCCAAAATGCCCTCCAGCTTCTCTCTGCCAATCCATGTCCAGCCTTCGGGATTAGCTCTCTTTTTCTGTTCTTTAATAAAGCCTTCCAGAGCAACACAGGTCTCCCTCCTCCCTGATTCATCATCATTTCTCAAGTCTGCACCTTGCAGAACTTTCCTCTTTGTTTGTATGTTCTAATTTAGCCTTCTGCAGCTTAGGAAATTGTCTTTTCTCTCAGATCAAAACTACTTTAGAGACAGTCTTGGTTGGGTGTGGTGGCTCACGCCTGCAATCCCTGCACTTTGGGAGGCCGAGGCAGGAGAATTGCTTGAGGCCAGGAGTTCAAGACCAGCCTAGGAAACATAGCCAGACCCCCTCTCTACAAAAATACTTAAAAATTAGCTGGGCATGTTGGTATGTGCCTCTAGTCCCAGCTACTTGGGAGGCTGAGGTGGGAGGATTGCTTGAGCCCAGCAGGCAAGTGTCTCACTCTGTTGCCCTGGCTGGAATTCAGTGGCCATGATTGTGCCACTGCACTCCAGCCTGGGCAACAGAACTTGCCACTCAAAAAAAAAAAGAAAAAGAAAAAGAAGAAAAGAAGATACAGTCTTAAGCATTTTGAGAAGGCCCAAGAAATAGGCTAAGTTGATTCATTTTCAGCTTTTCAGCAATCTTGACGTTGGTAGGAACAGAAAGTGCTTTCTGTACATGGACACTTAAAGGGACTGTAATCCTCATGAGGGCAGCAACCAATGTATTTCTAGGTCCTGGCACAGTGCCTGGCACAGAGTAGATTCTCAAAATATTGTAGAATACTGAATGAAGGGATGAATAGTAGATGGATGGATGAATGGATGGATGAACAGATGAACAAATGAATGAAGTAAACAACTCTTCAAGCTTGACAAGCTCGGCTATTGATGGAGACCCTAGAGCCATGACTGTGGCCCTGGTGGTCAGAAAGGGTTAATAGATCTTGGGAGTATTAGCTGGGCACTGAGAAAGTGGTTCTCTCATCCAGGGAAGCTGCCCATTGGCTCAGGGTGGGATGCCACTGCTTGGGGTTACCAAGCCTTTTATGCATCTAGAATCAACAGCCAGCCCCAGCCAACCATAAGCCTTCTGTCTCAAGCAGCCCAGTCTCATCCCTGCTATCTTTCTCATCTCCAACTCTGCATCTTCCCATCTCCCCTGATGACCTTCCCTCCTGCCCTCCTACCCGTCATTTCAGGGCTGTGTCAAGCCTCACGTCCCCCAACAAGCCTTTCCTGTTGACACTAGGTAATACAAGTCTTCTCCCACTTGATGTCCAAGGAACTTTCATTGTCTGTACCACATAACTTGATGTCTGAAATATCAGTATTTGTCACACTGCAGTGGAAAGGTGTTTGAGCTAATATTTTCTTTTATCCCAGAAACATACACTGAGCTCATACGTATCAGTCAATCAGACAAGATCCTCTATATACTTCCTCTAATCCCCCAATCACCCCTGCCCTCCTGGAGCTTACACTTAGTCTGTTTGGATCCCACCTCTGCCACTTAATAGCTATGTATATTTGGGCAAGTTACAAGCTATTTCTAAGACTGAGTTTTATCATCCGTAACATCTAGCTGACAACAACTTCTCTGAAACAGGTTGCCCAAGTCTCGTTAATGTGAATACCCTCTGCTTATCCTGGTTCCGTCGCTGGATGGAAGAAATTTTGATGGACAACTAGGTTGCTTCATTGTTCTATAGAGGCAAAAAGGGGAGTGGAAATCCCATAAATGGGTCCCAGCATGCGCTGGTTAGTGAGAATGTGCGGCCACCATGTTCTATTGCATGTTAGTCACGTAAGTCCTAAGGTCAACCTTCTGGAGAGGAAGACAAATGAATTCAGAATCAGGTGGACAAATGCATGTAACTGAAGGAGTAACTGACATAAGAGCACCTTTTGAAAATCAACTCAAAAAGCCATGGAGTTTCCTTCCTTCCTTCTTTTTCTGCCTTCCTTTCCCCTTCTGGTACTTGATATAATTTCCACTATTGACTATCATTTTTAAAAAGGCTCTCCTGGCCAGCCAACTTCTAGAGGATGGTCATAAGCTGGTAAGCAATGAAGCAACTGTACCTTCTGGAAATTAATTACAGGTTCAACACAGCCTGCTTTTTGCCCACCTGTAAAATAGTGTGTGGATGGAGAGTACCATGAGTATTGCATAGTATTTAATATGCAGTCTTGTAGTCCAAGAAACACTTGTCAACATTATGTAATAATCTATGATCAAAAACTAAAACTTGTCAACTTCAAGAATCAGTTGCATTCTAACTCTACAACTGAAACTCATTTAAAAGTATATGAAAATCATGAGGAAGAGATTCAATTAAAATTAATTGAAAGTATGGAAAAATGATTTGCAGTGATATAAATCAGTACTTATTGCTTACTTTAGCTTATTCTATAAGGGACTCTCTAAGAACAACTAAAAAGATTTCTAAATGTGTAAAGGACAAATAACATGACTCTGTCCACACATATCTTGAAGATTTAAGAGGAGCTATGATACCTTTTTCCTTCTAGATCCTCAACCAGCCTTTCCCATCATTGCTACTTTTCTGGACTGAGAGACATAGCAGAAATCCAATTGCAAAGATTTTTCTTTTTATTTTTTTAACTTTTGAGTGTGCATGCAATTTCACTGATAGCAGGATCTCAGCAGAGAAATTAACTTCAATAATCTATGGATTACAAGACATATCAAACCTTCAAAGCAGTCCAATGTTAGATCTATTCTCAGAAGGGTTTAAATGGCTTTAATAGTTAACAACAAATGATAGAATGCATTTTCCCAACTAAATCAAGATCAGTTGGTATTACTCTCCCATTCTCCGAGCCACTTAATTATGGCAAGCATGGTCTCCATCACCCATGGTGAAGCCCTTGAAGTGCTCATCCCCCGGGGGTGCCTGGTTTTGCTTCCTGGCCTAGCAGACATGGCAGGATCCAGGCAATACTGAAGGGCCTGGTTAGACTGTCCTGGGCAGCCTGCTCCAGCATGCCATCACTCATACCCTTCATTGTCAGTCGAACTATTGATCTTCAGCCTCCTAAACTGGAGACTTCATTCCCTGAAAGGATTAACAAGGACATGTTTTAGGTGGCAGACTTCTGGGGAAAAGCTCCATCCCTGGAAGACTGGCCATGGGAGTGGTGCTTGCAGAGCTAAACGAGTCGAGGCATGCTTTATGAGAGACGAGGGAGAAGCCCGGAGCCTGCATGCATGCAAACCCTTTCTGACCTGCTTATTCCCCATTAAATTTGCAGCCTGTAGCAGTGCTCAGTCTGAGGTCCAGAAGGTTAAGTTGAAGTTGCTTCTGTAATTGGTGCATTAAAAAGGCACTTCTGTTTACTAACGTCTTGCAATCAGTTGGTGCATGCATGGCCTTGCCACTTGTGGCACTCTTCTTCCTCTTGTGGGAGTCCCTCTAGATCTCATAGGCCCCAGCTGCAAAGTGCACTCAGTCTTCATCCCAGAGCAACACGTGGCTTCCCAGTGAGCTCCCTCAGGCGGCAGCTGTGCTTTGAATCACAGATGCACCTGCTGGGCTGGAGGTCACATTGTTAGGCGCTGATCTTTACTGGCTCATATGGTGGTCTGGGGTCATTTTGGCAGACAGCACCCTAGCAGAAAAAGCAGAGTGTTCTGTCACCTAACTGTTGAGCATCACCACGGCAGTGGCATGCCAGGTACAGCCCTGAGCCCAGAGTCTCTTTAGATACATATGTGGTCATGACTGCATTAGTAGGAATTGAGGGTCCTGATCACCATGGTCAGTGAGGGGGACAAGGTCCTACCTGTTTGGCCCCAGTTGACCCCTTTGAGGAGGAGATTGGCAGACTAAGGCCAGCCAATGGGGAGAAGCAAGAGGATGGGAGGTCCTGAAGCACATGAGGTGGCAGTTTCCCTGTGTGAGGGGACCACTCACACAGGGAGTTGCACACAAACATCATGGGAAATGCATTCCTGTTTCCATTTTTTTTCTAATTTTTCTGATCCAAACCAAGAAGAAAGTATCAGTTTGGTGCTGCTCTGCCTTTAACACCTCTCCAACATTTGCTCATCACAGTTTTTAACCCAGAGAGAGAAGGTCTTAGGCCCAGAACCTTTTCAGGCAATTGCTTCTAGCTGGTGTTTAATAACACTCTCATGTTTTCATTGTTTTATTTGTGTGAATATTTTCTAATTATGTTGAGTACTCCTGGGCTTCCGTTTATGGTTCAGTTATAGAGCTTCCTTTTGGAATAAATTTTCTTAAAAAATAAAAAAGAATTAGTTATTTTTTTAAGTAAGGAAATAATAGTACAGGTGACATGCGAATATGGCAAGCGTCATAGAAGCATTCTAAAGACAAGCATGTTTTGGAAACATTGGGATGTGAGGTGTGGCCAAAAGAATAGAGCTATTCAGACTTGGTGAAAGGGAGCTGGGGTGTTTCTGAATGTGCTGGAGAATCCCCAAGAGACCTGAGAAGAGGGATTTAGAGAAAGTTAGAGGACATTAGATTTTGGTTCTCAATAGGAAGGAACCTCCTATTAATTATCACCTTCCAACCCTAGGGCCATGCTTGGGAGGGCTCTTTGCATCGGTTACCACCATCTGTATTTGCATCTGCTCTTTGTGTTGGTTGCAACCATCTGCATGGTTTCCATGGAAGAAAGGCTCTGCATTGCCCGAGGTCCCTCTGATTCCAGGATTCTGTGCCCTAGACCCTCTGTTGGCTCTTACAGGCCATGAAAGGCAGCGATGTTGACTCTTCCTGCTGGAGATAGCAACAATAGAGCCACACTTTGGTTTAAGAGGTTGCTTGAACAATGAGAAGAGGGTTTTCTTTTCTTTTGATTATTTTCTTTTGAAGTTGAGGAGTCCACCCACAACCATGTTTTTCTTGAACTGTTGTTGCTGTTGAAACCGATTACCTCCTTCTACTGGCAGCCCTCAGGTTATGGATGTTTGAGAATGGAGTGCAAACTGTTTATTTGGGGGTGATCTCAGGAAGCACAGGTAGGGGATAAAGAAATGAAGCAAGGACAAAAAGCAAAGCAAAAAGAAGGGTGTGTTACCAAGCTGGTCACCATAGTGAGCAGCACTGGGGGACAAGGTAGAGCTGGGCTTAGAGTCCACCCAGTGGAGCAGCAAGGAAGCTGGGGTGTTCATTCTTCAACTCTGTATCCATCATTGATGGAGGGTTGCTTGTAGTGGAATTAACCCTCTGGCACTTCCAGCCTGCCCTGTGTGCAGCCTGAGTGTATTTTCATCACTAGAAAAATGTCTGCAGACAGAAATTCCCAGGGGTTCCCTCTATGCAGACTTTGGTGTCTAGGGGTGCCATGTGGAGGGGGATATGAGCATGACACTTCTAGCATCTATCCCCAGAGGATCATCTTTAAAGATAGTAAAATGTTGATTATATTTAGAACCAGCCCACTGGGCTCCATCCAGATGATCCTCTTTTGTTCTGGTGACTCACAAAGTGTGATGGCTGGAGAGAGCTGGGCCTGTGCCTCCTTCTCTCCAGCAGGCCTGGGCGGTGTTGATGTTGGCCATGTCAACCCATGGAGGTTCTTCATGGGCTCTGATCTGGTGAGTGTGAGCCTTGACCCCCTCAGTGGAGGGATACTTGGTGGGCGTCCTTCTGGCATCCATCAATGTTGGACATGGAATTGAAGAATAAACACCCAAGTGCTGTTGTCCTCACATTCTGGCTGACTTGTGGTGAGGGGTAGCTTGGCAGCTGCCTTATGGTCAAGCTTGTTCCTCCTGGGGCCTCTCTTCCTAGGGCACTTGGGCCCTGGTGTCTTGGGCAAAGGAGAGTGGGTGACATGCACATTTTCTGTGGCTTCCAATGCCTTTCAGCAAGGCTTTCTTGGCCTTCAAAGCCTTTGTCTTTCCTTTGTTTGGGGAAAGCAAGAGCTTCTTTCTTTGTGTTTCACCCTGTCTCTGTAAAAAGGTCCTATGGATTTTAACCTCTTTTTTCTCTGTGTGTGCTATGAGCTTGCATCACAGCCTGCAGCCCACTTGCAGAGCTGGAAGTAAGCACCCATTGTTTCAGTTCCAGGAGGAGTGGAGATGTGGGGCAGAAGACTGGAGTCCAGGTCTCACTGTACTGTGACCTCACAGAGCCCCTTTCAGTCTCTGGGGCCAGTTCCTCCAGCTGCAGAGTGAGAGGCTTGGACTTGATTGCTTCAGAGGATGCTTCCAGTTCTGGTGTTTGTTTTCTGTGGTTCCCATTTATAAAACAAAGCCTCTTAGATGTCCAGCTGTTGAAGGGAAGGCCAGTCCTTGGGAAGGATGGTTGCTAACCTTCCCAGGTGGCAAGAAACTGGCAAGGGGCAAAGGGCACCTGCAGAAAGGAGAAGACCAAGGACTTCTGGTGTGGCCTGAATCACACTGGCCTGTGCATGGCCCAGATGTGTATGGTTGGGAGAGCCCAGCACAGCTGGCCTGCTTCCCAGACTGTTGGATCAATGTCAACAGACAACTGATAATTCAAAGGGATGATGAAGACAAATGCCACCCACTCATTTGGTGGAAGAGAATTCAGACCAGAAGTAGATACTAGCAGAGGAAAAGTGGCCATTTTTCTTATATAGCAATGGTTATGTTTGAGATGTCAGGGCAGGGATCCGAGGGTGTCCTTACTGTTCACACTTGTGCAGGACTGCCACTGCCTTCTCTCCCAGGCTGTTTGTATTAGTCTGTTCTCATGCTGCTAATAAAGACATACCCAAGACTGGGTAATTTATAAAGGCAAGAGGTTTAATGGACTCACAGTTCTACATGGCTGGGGAGGCCTCACAATCATGGCAGAAGGCAAAGGAGAAGCAAAGGCATGTCTTCCATGGCGGCAGGTGAGAGAGCTTGTGCAGGGGAACTCCTGTTCATAAAATCATCAGATCTTGTGAGATTTATTCACTACCATGAGAACAGTATGGGGGAAATTGCCCCCACGATTCAATTATCTCCACCTGGCCCTGCTCTTGACATGAGGGGATTATTACAATTCAAGGTGAGATTTGGGTGGGGACACAGCCAAATCCTATCACTGTTCCTTGGCCACCCCATTCCACTGTTTCACAGTGTCCTTTCTCTCTGAGTCACAGCCAGCTTTGATGGGTTGCTGGAGCAGTTTGAGGAAAGAAAATAGTTTGTGTTGGACTTTCAATTGCCAACTATAATTTTATTGAAGGACAAGAGAAACACATCCCTTGGAGAGGGGCACCACCCTTCAGAATTCCTTTTCAACTCTACGAAGGTGGCCTTGGAAAACTTTCTCAGTGCAGTTTGGAAAGCTTAGTACTCACATACTGACTAGGTATGGATATGTTTCTCCTGCACTTTGGAAATCTTTTGAATATTTATAAATTTAAGTATTTATTTTCATATTAAAATTAAAGGTCTATTGTCTTGCAACTAACCTGCCTTGTTCTGCCACTCCAAAACAAAACCTTCTCTAGTGTGATAACCTTTATTTATAGATGGCAACAAGCATATTTAGCAATATTATTATTCATGACCCTTGCACTAAATATCATAATCAGAATACAGATGTGCAGAGTAATTTCCATGCACAAGTCACTATGCATCAAATTCTTGCAAAGCAAAAATAGCATCCATTTTGGGATAAATTATCCATTGGTGTTGTATAAAGGTATCGAGGCAGCACAAAGGGTTTCAAGTAGTAGGATATGGAGAGACTGTTTAAATTAAGGGGTACCCAACACCCCAGGAATGCAGTGGGATTTTTTTTCCATTTTTCCCCTTCCGGCAACTTATTTGATCACCTTCTTTTGTTAGACCCATTTTTAGGATGTGGAAAGAAAATGGGTCAGGCATGTGGGTGTCTGGATACAAAGTGTGGCTGGATGAACCAAGGCCTCCTTTGCTCTAAACCCCATCTCTGAATATTTTCTTTATTTTTGTCAAGCTAAAGATGCAGATTATCAGATAAGCAGCACACCCGGGCTCAGCTCACTAATTGACTGAACAAGACGTGGTCACAGTTTATACACCATTCCATAATGGATTTTCATGTTTGTGAATCCTAACTGGCTGTGGAAATGAAAAGCAAATGTCTCATAATCACAAATATCTTCTGGGTTTTTTTTTTTTTCTAAGCCCAAAGATTAAATCAACTTTACCCCCCATTTGCCAGCAAGTTCACGGTTATAGAAGGAAGATAAATGATCGGGTGATGGACATATCCGCTGTGCTACTGTTTAGCAAATTCTTGTAAGTGATTGCTAGATATAGCGCATTTCTCACTTAGGTGTTACATGAATAATTGGTATATTAAAGAAAGTGTGAAATAAACAGGTATAACGCTTGAAATGTGTTTATTATTTTCTGAGGTTTTTCACATTCATACCATTTAGAAGCCATCATCAAGTCCAGCATCTTCTCCCATATACCTGGAGCCGAACCCTTCATTAGACCTGTTGTAAAAAGATCCTTTCGTGCAAACGCTGTCAGGTATTTATAATGAAAGTGTGGCAGATCAGAGAGGAGAGGCTGTGTGAAAACCATCAAACTGGTCAGAAATACCCACAACTGGAGGCCTACCTCGCTCCGGCCTCTTTCTCGCTGCTCTCTTCCATCTCGCAGCTCCTCCTGGTTTTCTGCTTGTCAGTATCAGATGCAATTTCAGGCCAACCCCAGCTTCCTTGCGCTGTGACCAAAACCCTTTGTGGGCAGTGGGTCTCTGAGCAGTGAGGGAGGAACCTCATGAGGCTGACTTCAGGGTCTTCACTAAGAGGCCATCCACTGTGCTGGGGATAAATTGCCCGATTTTTCAGAGAGGAAGAGATTTGGGGCAGGTTCTCCAAACCTTCTGGCTAGCTCTTGTGAATTCAGCAGCAGACAGGCCACACCCAGCCAGCAGCCCTCAGGCCTGGCTCTTATGAATGACTTCTACTTTCTGAAATGGAGCATTTCCTAAAAAGGTAGGCAGGCCCAGCACACCCGGCTGTGACTCTTTGGCAAAGCAAAACTCTTCTAGTCTTTGGCGAGGCAGCCTTGGCTCTGACCCCACCTGGCAAGAGTCCGCGGGCAACAGAGTTTTGCTGTCTTTGTTTCTCCCTCTCCTCCCTGCCCCTCACCCACCCCCTTGGAAATTTAGGACTCTAAGAACAGAGAAAAGCTATCAGGACAAGGGCTGGTCATTCACCCAACTGACAGAGACCTCCAAGGTATCAAGGCTATCTCCTTGGCCTTGAGAGCTGGGGTCTGCCAGCCTGGCTGGTCTTCAGGCACTTTGGAGAGGATGAGATGGCTAGATTGCTAGATGGAGTGGACTTTTCAAAGTAGAGCCTTGTAGACACTGAGAAGAAGAGGAAAAAAGAGTCTAGACTTAAAGATCTCATTGATTGTCCTTGGAGACAAGCCAGCCTCAGAGTCTGTCCCATGTCCCCTTTTCTTAGTCTCATCCTCTCTATGCCACGTGGAATGTCTTCCATGGGGCTACCAAGAGCTGCACTGCATATATAATATCAAACACCAAAGTTCAATGAGTGATCCAGGGACCTTTCTCTGCATTCCCCAGAAGCACAATCAATAGGCGTTCAATCCTGGAGTGCGCAGAGTCACTTGCCCTGGACCTCATCTTACGTATAGCTGTCACCATGCCCAGGAACAGGAAATGCCTATTTGACCCAGCATCTGTCCATACACGGCCAGCAGCCAGGTTCTCCTTGTGCACCTCTGTGTACTTTCTGAGGGCATGTGCAGAAAGGCAGGGGCCAGGCCACAGGGCCTGTCCCAGGCTGGTTTCCAGGGCTGCTTTCTAGGCTGGGGACCCTGGGAGTCAGGCCACAGGTCCTCCCCTCTTCTTTCCCTCCTCAGTCTCCCCCTGCTCCCCGTGTGAAAGTGGTGACCTGCCTGCCGCCTTTCTCCCTACCTCCCTCCAGCACTAGCTGCTGCCTTTTTTGCATAACTGGTAACAAATTGCTTGACTCACCACATGACATTGACTATGATGGATTAAATAGCTGCCTTGACCAGATCATTAGGCGCTCGTCTGCAGGACACCCCCGTGGAGCCTGCTGGAGAGAGGCAGGGGGCACACCAGGGCACCCCCTGGGTGAGGGGTCCTGCTCCCCTCCCTGGCTGCAGCTAGCCGGCCTGTGCTGCCTCCTCCCTCCCCACTCTTCTCCTGTTTCCCCTGCGAGAAGCCGCTGCTTGGATCCTGCATTCCATTTAGTGACAGCCGAGGCCAACGTCTGAGCCACGCTGGCACAGAGGAGCAGTGCAGGAGGACCGGGTGTGGATGTAAGGTGTGGGATTCGAGGCACCCCCTCTCCTGGAAACCTCTGTCCCCCAGCTGCCCCGAAGGCCAACCCAGGGGAGCCATGCCTGTGTGCTCAGTGCTGCCCTGGCAGCACTGAGTTCTTCCAGGAGGAGGCTCTTCTGCATCCTGCTTGGGCAGGAGGGACCCAAGGTGCAGGTGGCTGCAGTGGGCACCGCACAGAGGTAGGTCTCAAAGTGTGGCCAAGGAAGCCAGAGCCAGGAGAGGCACAATGAAGTTGGGCCAGCCAGGCCAGAGTAGTTCAGCTAGTCTGAATTCCAGGCCTGGCCCTCTGCTTTCACTGTGATTGGAGACCTTCGTTTCCCCATGTGGAGCTCAGGGGTTGGCCATTGCCTTATTACCCTCCCTCCATCACTTGGGAGCTGGCAACAGTGGTGAAAATCACGGTTCTTTTTTTTAATTATTTTTTAAGAGATAGAGTCTCTCTCTCTTGCCCAGACTGGAGTACAGTGTTGACATCATAGTTCACTGCAGCCTTGATCTCCTCAGTTCAAGCTGTCTTCTGGCCTCAGCCTCCCGAGTAGCTGGCATTACAGGCTTATGACCCCATGCCTGGCTATTTTTTAATTTTTTTGTAGATATGGGGTCTCTCTATGTTGCCCAGGCTGGTCTCAAACTCCTGGCCTTAAGCAATCCTCCCACCTTGGCCTCCCAAAGCACTGGGATTACAGTGGTGAGCCACCATGCCTGGCCAGAACTCAATGTTCTTGAACTGTGGTTATTTGTACCTCGAACTGCTCTCCCACCCAAACCACCACCTGCTTTCTCCAAGCAGTTTTTGTGGATAGAATCTTCTCTCTGGCTCTTTCAAGACCCCAACTCTGTAGGGGACCATTGACTTGCATAGTTCTAGTTGGGTGGGCCCAGGGCCTTTCCCTGACTTCCTGGAGTGTGGAGACCTGTCTGCCTCAAGAGTTGAAGTCTCTGAAACAAGCCTTTCTAGTGTCAGGACATAAGAGGCAGGGAAAGGGGAAAGCAAGCATGAGAGTCCCAGGGGAGGAAGAGGGACAACTCCTGGGAAAGGAGAGGGGGTGCAGTGGGGAGCAGGGTGAAGACAGGGCAGCCCCACTTCTATAGGACCCAGAGAAGCCCCCATGGACCCCTCACTTTAAGGCTCCAAGAGCATCCAAAAGGGTTTGTTCTTTGCTTTCTGTGACCATGGGCTAATTCCCACCAGGGCCAAAGCAAAGATCGTCTGCGGGACATACTGTTCTTTCTTCTTATAGACCTAATGTGGCAGAGCTATTTTGGGCAACAATTAAATAAAAGCCAATTTGACTAAAAAGCAAAATATATTCCACTGAATGACAGCAAAAGGGCAGAGCTTGGAAAGGGAAAGGAGAAAAAAAAATACAGAGAGAGAGGGAGAGGGGAAAAAAAAAGAAAATGCAAGGCATTCATTTTTCCTTTGTATTTTTTAATAAAAGAACGTCTCTGGCTGCTTAAAGTGACACATTAAAAGATGTATGTATCGTGGCTTTTAAAAACACAATTAGATAACACCTTGTCAAATACTTATATTCTTTGTTGACAGCCTTGAGCACAGTGACAATCGCGGCACAGCCATTGGGGCAGGTGTCTCCCCTGACACGCCAGCAGCGGAGTCAGCCATTTTACAGAAATGTTACTGTTTACCACTTTAATCATCAATCCACATCTAGTCACAACAATAAGTCAGAAGGAGCAGTAAATTATACTTGTTCAGCCCTGATGAGTTTGAACTGTTTTGCTGAAATTAACTGAAGTAATTATCTATTTTTCTAAAGCTGCAAAAAGGGAAAAAAAAAAGTAGTAATGTTCCATGGGGATAAAGAATCTTTGCAAAGTAGTCGGCCGTGCAATATTTAAGGAAACTTTTTTTGCGAGTGTGTGTGTGTGTGGGAGGGGGGTTCTGATGACCACATAGGTTAGATGAGGCTGTGAGATGAGGCAGATTTCATCTGCTGCAATCTCTTTTTTTAGCTAAAAAAAAAAAAAGTCCTTCCTGCGAAAGGAGGCTCTCTTATTACTGGACTAGCTTCTCTCTCCACCTGATCTGACCTTTTCGGGGAGCCCATCGCTTTCTGGGGCTGTTTTCTTTTGCAATGCTAATAGCGAATTCCCAGGTTCTGAGGCTTTCTGGCTTCCTGTGATGTTAAGTAAAAGAGGAGGGAACCTTTCAATTGTTACTTAATCCCTTAAATGTGCTAGGCTGACCAGTCTAGGCATTTAGTCTTGAAAGATCTCTGTCCCTGGGAAAGATCCCTGCACCAGTGCGCAAGCATGCATGCCCAGTTCTCAGGTTCCCCCAACTTCTGTGGGATGGTCCCCCTAGGACCCTGACTGAGTCGCTGCTATTTAGGTCTAGTCTAAATATATATATATAGGTCTACTCTCCTCAAGTTTACAACAGGACACACAGGGCATTTGTCTACTTGTGCAATAGAATGCCACGTGCTTGGCAAACAGACAGATGGCCTGACCCGGGCCATCATGGGCATCCCCCTCTAGAAAACACGGCCAATAGCACCCACCTGGCAGGGTTAGCCCGAGAAGTGAATGGGCTTCTATGGGCTGATGGGAGTGCAGGACATCACAGAAGTCAGCCTATAGGTGATGCTCTGTAAATCTCAGTCTACTGTGCCTTTGGCTACACACGAAGGCATAGTAGGGTTATAATTAAGAGCACAATCTGAAACCTGGCTCTTCTGCTTTGTAGCTGTGTGATCTCCAGCAATTTGCTTGCTGTCTTGGTTTCTAAATTAGGGATAATAGTTACTCATGAGTGCAAAGCAACCTCTATGTAAAATACACAGTAAGCGCTCAGTAATATAGCTACTGTCAGTATTATTGTATGTATATGGTTGCTATTGTGGTATGCATAGTTTTGTTGTTGTTTTATGCATATTGTATGCATATTTTTGTTGTTGTATGCATATAGTTGTTACTATTGTTGCATGCATTTGTTATTATTGTCGTATGCATGTTGTTATTGATATGTGTATTGTTGTTGTGTATACATTATTTTGACATTGTTGTTGTATGCATATAGTTATTGTTGTATGCATATAGTTATTGTTGTATGCATGTTATTGTTGCATGCATGTTGTTATTATTGCTATGTGTGTTGTTGTTGTATATACATTGTTGTTGATGGTGTTGTTGTATGCACATGTACACAGTACTTAGAGCAACAGACACAGAGTAGGCATGCATCGTGAATCCAGCTGCTGAAATATCCCGCCAGCTTCTTGACTTGAAGAATAAAGGAGGGCCCTGAGCCGTGTCCTCCTGGTCTTGCTTCTGGTTGTCCTATCTTCCAGCAACTCAGCAATAGAGCAGGAGAAACTTCAAAGCACCTTCCAGCTCTATCATCTGTGAGAGTAGCCTCCCCAGGCAACCCAACTTAGCTACAGAAGCTGCAGTTTTGCTGTAACATGCCCTTGTCTTCCCTAACTTACCTTTACAGAAGGAAGGCTTGGTACCAAGTCTGCATCTAGGGAGAGTCTCTGCAGAGACCTGGGTGCCCACGAAATCCCCTCCACTCTGAGCCACATAAATAATTTTGAAAGCGCCTCTATAAAGCCACACCAAATATATATCATTGTCTAGATTATTCAAAAACCTAGGGACTCCACTTTCTTCTTAATTTTCTGTGTAATTAAGACAAAATTAAAGCAAAACAAATGGCGAGGTGTGGGGGAGGGAGAATGAAGCATAATTATCCACTCCATCTATCTAGACAACTCCTATCCACAGAAAAATTGTTCACTCTACCATGTTTTGATCTGGATAAACATGGTGATTTTACCCCATGGAACATTATTTTCTATGATTCATTGTGAAAAACCAACAGGCTCTAATCTGAAGTTCTAACTAAAAAAATACTATAGTTTATATTTAAATTTGGGGATAGCAGTGGTTTGTTTCCTTAGTTTACTAGTCAATTTCTTGGGAAAAATTTCTTCTCTCTTTTCTTTTCTTCCTTCCCTTCTTCCTCACTATTTTTTCCTCCTTCCCTTGTGTGCCTGCCTCTCTCACTCCTTCTTCCCTTTCTCCCTCCCTCCCTCCCTTTCTTCCTTCCTTCCTCCTTCCCTCCTTCCCTCCCTCCCTTCCTTCCTCCCTTCCTCCTTCCCTCTTCCTTCCTCCCTCCCTCCCTCCCTTCCTTCCCTCTTTCCCCATCTCTCCTCCCTCCCTCCCTGTTTCCTCTTTCCCTCCTCTCTCTCTCCTTTCCTCCCTCCCTCCCTCTCTCCCTTCCTCTTCTCTCTCTCCTCCCTCCCTCACCCTTCCCTCTTTCCCTCCTCTCTGTCTCGTTTCCTCTCTCCCTTCCTCCCTCCCTTCTTCCTCCCTCCCCCTCCCTCCACCCCTCCCCCATCTCCTTTCCTCCCTTTCCCCCATCCTTGTCTCTCTCCTTTCCTACCTCCCTTCATTTCTTTTTCCTTCCTCCTTTCCTTCTTTCCTTCCTCCCTCCCTGATCCCTCCTTCCCTCCCTTCCTCCTCCCATCTTTTGTCCCTCCTTTCCTCCCTTCCTTCTTCCTCTTTTCCTCCCCCGTCCCTCCCTTCCCCCTCCCTCCTTCCTTCCCTCCCTCCCTCCCTCCTTCCTTCCTTCCCTCCTTCCTTCCTTCCCTCCTTCCTTTCTACCTTCCTTCCCTCCCCCAGCCCTTGTCTATTCATTCGCATATCCACTCAGCAAACCTTCTCCATTGAGCCTGGCCTGTGTGACCTTGAAATGGGCTGACCCAGCTCAGACTTGTGTCACTGGCCTCCCTTTACAAGACAAGGCAGAGACTGCAGATACTTTTCTAACCGTATAAAAAGTGAGAGTTACAAGTGCAGCAATGAATGCGGAAAACAATGGCAGACAGTCGAGGACCTGATGAGGTTCTGTACATTTCACAAAGCACATTTGTCTAGGTTTTCCCTGGCAACCTTGAGGCATCTTGCCCTATTCATGGACCGTCTTGTGGCCTCACAGGATTTTCATCTTTTGATTTTCTGAAAAGCTGTAGAGTCCCCTCCAAAATTAAGTGACAAATCTCCAATCTGAGTTTGATTCTTGGCTGTAGATTGGGTGTGTCGTGTTTATGATACAACAATTTCCACGGAGTGTCACTGGGGGAAAAAGTGGTGATTCTGGGTCTATATTCTACTCTCAAATGCTCCTAGCTGTTTTTTTTTTTTTGTTGTTGTTGTTGTTTTTTGTTTTTGTTTTTGTTTTTACTTTTTTATTCTTGGAGACAGAGTTTCTCTCGTCTGTTGCCCAGGCTGGACTGCATTGGCTTGATTTCAGCTCATTGCAATCTCCACCTTCCAAGTGTAAGCGATCCTTCTGCCTTAGCCTCCCTAGTAGCTGAGATTACAGGCATGCCCCACCATGCTTGGCTATTTTTTGTATTTTTAGTAGAGACGGGGTTTCACCATGTTGGCCAGGCTGGTCTTGGAACTTCTGACCTCAAGCAATCCATGCACCTGGGGCTCCCAAAGTGCTGAGATTACAGGCGTGAGCCACCGCACCTGGCCGGCTGTTTATTAATCTTAATTTTTAAAAGCTACAACCAAAACATGATCTTAGGTGCTACTCAAGGCCAGAGCTAAGGAGACAGGGCCCCCACAGGCTGACCGTTTCATGAATGTATCTATATGGTTCCAGGGTTCCAGGCACTTCCTCACATCCACGTCCTAGTGTGTCCTCCCTCATGTATTGAACACACACCTGCCATGCATTTGAGGGAGGAAGAGCATGGGGCATATTGTAGGTCAGCAAACTGGCGCCCCGGAGGAGGACATAGCCTGGCCAGCACCCCTGGTGAGCTGAGGCAGTGGGTCCCTTCCAACAGTGGTGCAAACGTTCAGGCGTGTGTGCCCCATTCTGTGATGTGTATGCAAGTAGCTGGTAACAGACTGGAGCATAGCATCAGCCCTTTGCAGAGACCTCCTCAGAAAGCTCAGGCATCAGGGGCTTTGGCTTTAAGCATTTCTGCCAAGCATCGAGTGTGGGCCTCTTGAGAAGAGTTCTTTTGTTCCGTTGATTCCTGGAAAAGTGAACGCTTGTTTTATTCGTTGTTTTTGTTGTTAATTGAGCAACTACTTTCTGATTTTTACTGATGGAGTTGGTTAGAGAAAGACTTTGGGTAAAAGGTCTAAACTCTCACTTCCAGGCCAGATTGAGGTTAGTGCTAAGCCAGAAGTGGGCTCCTCCCCATATTCCCTGTGTTCCCACAGTGAGGACGCTGAAATCTAAATTGTGAACTCTGGGAGCCGGAAGATACCAGAGAGTTCACTTAAAAGGAAACTTTTATTTGACATATGGGGAAACTGAGGACTAGACAGCTAAAGTGATTTACCTATGACCATATTCTCCATTATCCCAGCAGATTTTTCCCCACATTTCTACAAGTCCCAGGCAGCAATCTGGGTGCTGGGACTCCAGCAGTGAACATACAAAACCACGGCTCTCTGGGAGCCTGCATCGGGGTCACATTCTAGAAAGTCCGTGTTCGTGAGTCACGTGGGCAGCAGATTCATGGCAGGATTAGGACCCTCATTCTTAGCCTGTGGGACACAGCCCCTGATGGGGGAGCCTGTCTGAGGTCTCTGGGCTACGCTAGGAGGGCCCACATATGGCTTCAGGGACTGCAGGAAACCCCTAAATTGCATGTAACACTTGAATATGGGCATCTCTGCCATCAGAAGGAACCTATAGATGCCATCAGCTCCTCAGATGGGCCCCTGACTCCCACAGGTGCTTAGAAACACTTCCTGGGGCCCATCTCTGAGAAACACAAAGCAAGGTGGGCAGCTCGTTCTCAGACCTAGCAGCAAGAGGCATAATTATGGGGAACCAGCCGAGAAGCCTGCTGTCAAGACAGTTTCCTGGGCAAGGGTCTGGGACGGGTATGTCCTGCTGAAGGCAACGTGGCTCTCCCAAGCCCTGCAGTTTGCTTGTGTGATGCTGAAGGGTGTGGTGGCACCGTGGCTAGGATGGGGTATTAGCAGGACCCTGAGACACTCAGAAACCCCATTCTAGAACTTGCTAGCCAGGGTGAGAACTGTGTTTCATGCCTTTGCCATGTGGCTCAAGGGCATTGAAAACGTCCTCTCCCCACAGTCATTGGGAAGCAAGGTCCACTCATTCCCAACTTGCCTCCAGGCAGGAGATTCAAGCTGTGCACACTGCAAACTTCTGCTGAAAAGCTTCAGTCCACCCATTAGCGTTATCTGCAGTGGTATCAAAAAACGAATTAGGGTGCACAATGAAGTATTGGGTTCTCACTTTGATGCAATGATGAGGAATAGGAAGGCAGGTGGATATTCACATCTGCTCATGTGATGGAACATCTGCTCATTGGCTGCCTGGATTCACATCCAGGTGAGTATCCACATCCTCATTGGATGTCTGGATTCCTTCTTTCTTCTTTCAACAAGGCTTTATGGAGTATCTGCTCTACGCCAGCCTCTGGTGAAGCTGGTGGAGATTATATGGGAAAAAAGGCAGATGAAGTTGCTACTTTTGTGCAGCTCCCATTCTTGTGGGCTCTGTGCTGCGTGGATACAACCCCAATACATTTATTTTTATTTTGAGCTACATTTGGAGGCCTTGACAAACAGCTTCCCAATGGATACCCAAAAGTCATAACTGGATGGGTAATATTGTTATTCTCTCCAAGAGGTTAGCCTGCTTGTGTAAAGAAGTCAGTGATGCCGAAAGCTCAGGTCCCATGGCCTGGTCCTGCTAAGACCACGTGTGCATATTTTCATCTTGCTGGAATTTTGGGGCCAGATCCAGGCTACCGATTCCGAGAAGTTCCAGGGTTCAAGGAGCAACAGATGCAGGGTTTGTGCTAGCTCAGTCTCAGATTGGGAGGATCCCAGGTGCCAGTATCCTGTCAATTCTGTGCAAAGGCGGAGAGGTGTTTTCTGCATGGAATCTGGCTGCTGTGACCTGGGATTCAGGGAGCAAGCGGCTGGCTGGGTACTCTTGAGAGACCTTAATCCTGCCTTTGAAAAGCTGCTTAAAAATAATACTACTAAATAAATCTTTACAGTGGATGGAACAAGCTAGACTTCGGTACCCATCCCCCAGACAAACAAGGAGAGATTAGACGCCAGAGTGAGAGAAGGTATTAGTTGCCCATCAGTGGCATCAGTCTGTGAGGTGTGTCCAGGTGGGTCCTCCTCCTCCAGCCCGTGTGACGTTCTACCTTGTGCTTTGCAGCACAGGAAGGCAGAATCATAATCACACAGGCATCTGGGGCTAATACATATATTCAACGTCTGCCAAGTACTCTAGACTGGAGGCCTCAGGAGTATAAGAACTGTATCTGCTTTGGTCATCCCCGAATCCCCCAGGTCTGGCACAGTGCCTGAAACAGAGTAGAGGCCTTAAGAGACACATGGTGAGGAAAACAAAGGAAAGAAAGAATGGATGGATGGATGGATGGATGGACAAATAGCAGTATTTTGTGATTATAAGGATTATCAAAACTTCTGGTACCTGGCTTATATTTTCCAAGCCATAGATCCGATGGAGATAGCACAGATGTCTCACAACTTTTCAAATCTCTTTAAACGAACAAATAGAAGCCACTTGTTTACCTGTAAAAAATAGTGTGGAGTCTGTTTCTGTTTCAAACTAGGTGAAGGGAATCTTGGTATTCATTTTATTGCTACTATTATCTTATTGAACACTATGGATATTATTGTGCATATGATTAAACATATAATTTAAAAATTAATTTTAGAAAGGAAAACAAGGAGGGGGCACCAATCTTGCATACTGTGATGGGAATAAAAATGAGTAAGTTATTTGCAAAGGGTGATTTCATAAAACAATGTGGTACACAGTAAAGTCTCTTTAAAAAAAGCACATGTGATTTGAAGCATCAACTTTGTTTCTAGAAATTAATACTAAGCAAATAATTAAATATGTGCACAGGCCAGGCACGGTGGCTCATGCCTGTAATCCCAGCACTTTGGGAGGCCTAGGGGGGTGGATCACCTGAGATCAGGAGTTCGAGACCAGCCTGGCCAACATGGTGAAACCCAGTCTCTACTAAAAATACAAAAATTAGCCAGGCGTGGTGGCACACATTTATAATCCCAGCTACTCTGAAGACTGAGGCAGGAGAATCGCTTGAACCTGGGAGGCCGAGGCTGCAGTGAGCCGAGATTGCACCATTGCACTCCAGCCTGGGAGGCAGAGCAAGACTCCATCTTAATTTAAAAAAAAAGTGTGCACAGGGTAAACCACAAGGATGCTCATCACAGTGTGGTATGCAATAGTAGAAGACTGGAAACAGCCTGGACAGGGATAGTGATGTACTGAATGACTGGTAAGATGCTAAAACAATAAAATACATTTCTGTGAATACACATGGATGGCTGCCAGTAATATGTTATTAAGCTTTTTTTTAAGTTACAGAAAATATAAATATAGTAAAATTTATTTTTGTAAAAATATTCACATTTATAAGATTTATTTATTCATGGAAACATTTTGAAGTCTATATTCCAAGTCTATCTATATATTTGCATATTATTTTATACTTTTATAATGAGTGTTTATTATGTTTATAATATGTTTTCATTTTGGAAAATATAAAATAAAATCACAGTGTAGCCTTAACAAGAAAGCTGTTGAGCTTTATGTCAGGAGTTTTTGTGGAGTGCTATTAGCTTCACAGGATAACTGGTTTTTTTCTTTATGATCAGAGGCACTAACTGGTCACCACAAAGGCCTTTGATGAGTTAGCATGAGAAAAGTAATCAGTTATTACCTAATAGATGCTTTTTCTTGGTCAATAAAACTTGTCAACAAATTGAGTTTGTGGGTCTTGGGAAATGATTTAAAAGCAGCCAGCCACTAAAGTAATTAAGCCAACACTCTTATTTTTCACATGAAGAACGGACATTCAGAGAGGGCGAGTGACTGGCCTGAGGTTGCACAGCAAGCTCGGGGCAGAGTCAGGAAGCCCTGGCCCTGAAATCTTCGTGCATGAATGACTCTGCATGATGGGGCTTCTGGAGAAGGGACAGCAGGAAGGCAGCCAGAGTCCTTCCAGCGACAGCAGGTTTTGCAGGCACAAGTCCACGTAGCTTGCACTACAAAGCAGATCACACTGCTGGAACCTTGTATTCATTACCTTATTTAATCCTCACAGTCTCTCTGTTGGGTAAGGGGTCTCATTATCCCCATTTTACAGATGGGAAAACTCAGTCTCCGCTGGAGGAACTCATTCTACATGTTCCTGCCATTGATGCTGTAGGAAGGTAATAGTGGATGGTGCGAAATGCTTTTTTTGTTTGTTTTCTTTTGTTTTAAATTTCCATAGTTTTGGGGGGTGCAGATGGTTTTTGGTTACAGGGATAAGTTCTTTAGTGGTGATTTCTGAGATTCTAGTGCACCCATCACCCAAGCAGAGTACCCCATACCCAATGTGTAGTCTTTTACCCCTGACCCCCTCCAAACCTCCCCCACCGCCAAGTCCCCAACATTCATTATATCACTCTTATGCCTTTGCATCCTCATTACTTAGCTCCCACTTCTAACTGAGAACATACAGTATTTGGTTTTCCATTCCTGAGTGACTTCACTTGAAATGATGGCCTCTAGCTCCATCCAAATTGCTGCAAAACACATTGTTTCATTCCTTTTCATAGCAGAGTAGTATTCCATGGCACATATATACTGTATTTTCGTTATCCACTCATTGGTTGATGGGCACTTAGGTTGGTTCCATATCTTTGCAACTTTGAATTGTGCTTCAATAAGCCCACATGTGTGTGGGTGTCTTTCATATAATGACTTTTTTTCCTCTGGGTAGATACCCAGGAGTGGGATTCCTGGATCGAATGGTGGATCTCCTTTTAGTTCTTTAAGGAAGCTGCAGGATGTTTTTTGACATCACTGTATCTTGCAGACAGGCAGGGACTATCACCAGCTCACAGTCCATGTACTTCCATCACACAGATTCCCATCTTCCTTCTATGACCCTGGCTTCAGATAGGAGCCGTGCTGCTTCAGGTTTTGAGGGAGTCAAATTGCTACTTAGGACAGAAAGACTTTGGCCATTTGAAAAGCCTGGAGTTAGAGGTGGGAGGCCAAGAATCCAGGTAGCCAGTCTTCTGTGAGATACTGAGCTGAGGCCATGTCCAGGTCACCAGCAAATTGAAAGAGCAGATGTTCCTGGAAAACTGCTTGAGCCTAGGAGTTCAAGGCTGCACTGAGCCATGATTGTGCCACTGCACTCCAGGCTGGGTGACAAAGTGAGACCTCATCTCTAAAAATAAAATAAAATAAATAAAATAAAATAAAATAAAATAATAAAATAAAATAAAATAAAATATAAAATAAAATAATAAAATAAAATAAAATAAAATAAATAAAATAAAATAAAATAAAATAAAATAAAATAAAATAAATAAAATAAAATAAAATAAAATAAAAATAAAAGTGCCTGCAAGGACACACACACCTCTTAAGGCTTTGAAAGGGACCTCCTCCTATTTTTAGATGCTACATGCTTTCAGCTGTCACGGGCAACCCATAACCTCTGGTCTTCATGGTGGGATGCAGTGAGTTGGGGGTTTCCCAGATGGAGTGCAGATTTAGTTCTGAGGGCGTGGGTTGGTGCTGAGCCACCTGAAGTAAGCAGGGCATGTTTATTCCACCGTTGGGAGGCCACTTCACCAGTCTTTAGTCAAGACCCTGAAGGTGTTTGGTTGTCCCCTTTCTTAGGTGACCACAGTTCCATCATGAATTGGTAGGTAACACTTTGTGAAGGAAACAGAGAAGAATGGTCCTGAGTGTGAATTGAGTTGACTCCCAGGCACAAACGGGAGGGTGGCTAGAGTCTGGGCTCTGCAGACCCATCCTGTGGATTTCAATCCAGCAGGGGCCCTGTCCAGCTGTGATCCTGAGAACGTTGCAGCTCAGCTTCCTCCTGTACGTAAAGAGGGCTACATCATGACCTCCATCAAAGAAGTGGCTGCATAGGAAGAGGGTTCTTGTCAATCCTCGAATCATGGAACACTGGGGGCAGCTATTGGTGGAGGCCCCAGCAGGAGAAAGGTGGAGTGGAGAAGGGAGGGGAAAGGGAGGATGTCAGAATGTGTGTGAAGGCTGGCTCTCACGACCCCAGGCCATGCCATTGTACCAACCTGGCTATCTCTGCACAATGCAGACAGCCCCTGGCTAAACTGTGTTCTTTATCTGCAAACTGAGCAGCTTGGATCAAATGATCCCCTCACCTCCCTAAACCTCTTCGACGTAGATTTTTGTCAAACTTATTTACAAAAGATCCTACACAATACCATCATACTTTCTACACCTTGTTTATGGCTGAGTGTGGCTGTAACTTGCTTTCAAATGTTTTTTTAAAAATTCATGTGAAACTTTTTTTTGTTTTAGAGTTTTTTACTGGTGTAAAATGAGGCTTTCTATTGACATTTTGTGATGGGGATATTTTTATTATTATTCTCATTGTTAATTTTAATTACGCTCTTCTTTGTTCATCAATAGCTTTCTTTCATGTCCCCTCCTTAATTCATTATATTTTAAAAAGTAGCCGGGCACAGTGTCTCATGCCTATAATTCCAGCACTTTGGGAGGCTCAGGTGGGCAGATCACCTGAGGTCAGGAGTTTGAAACCAACCTGGCCAACATGGTGAAACCCTGTCTCTACTAAAAATACAGAAAAATTAGCTGGACGTGGTGGTGCACACCTGTAATCACAGCTACTCGGGAGGCTGAGGCAGGAGAATCACTTGAACCTGGGAGGCAGAGGCTGCAGTGAGCTGAGATCATGCCACTGCACTCCAGCCTGGGTGACATGTCTCAAAAAAAAAAAAAAAAGTAACATACTTTCAGAAAAAAGTCCCTATGCATATGTGTGTAACATATTAGAAATATATATGTATATGCATTACTTTATAGTCCTATTATTTTTGAAAATGTGATCATATAATGATCATACAATAGGTATTTTCTGCACTTTGCTTTTTTTCACTTAAACAGAATGAGGCAGATGTAGAAGTATTGACTTTAGTCTCCAGTTATATTGTTACCAGGTGCATAGTATTCTATTAGACCATGTACAATAAATTATTTAACCTACCTGGTATTGATGCTTACCCATACAGGATATGATATTGTTGTGAGATTTTGTTATTTCATGCAAAACTTCACCAAATATCTTTTGCGTATTTGTGCAATTGTATTTATACAATAAATTCATTGAAGAGAAATTGCAATTGATTTTTTGAATGGATTTGTTTGGAACAAGATTTACAAAATTCTAAATGGTATGACAAGCACAGAAGTAAACTTTTTCAAGTATCAGACCAGAATGAATCTTGAAACCTTCAGGAGATCACTGTGGGCAGAAGAAATGGATTTCTACTCTGCATCGTGGTCCTTTGTCCCTATTCACCTCATCACAGGAAGTATTTACCTAGGGTCATTTTTTTTTGCAGGTAAACACTTCTTGGGATAATAAGCAGGTGAATGTTTTTCATGGGCATCTGCAGATGTGAGACCCGGGAGACTTGTGTAGGGTGATATGATGCATACCAAAATGAGAGCTTTCTGGACACGAATCCACCAGAACTTTAGCCTGGACTGGCCAGGGCTAATCCTACCTGAAGGTTTTATGAGGTGCCAGCTCTTTACCCAGCTGTAGGCTACCTGATTCCAGTCTGGGACCTAGAATGAGCCATATTGGTTGATGGCTATAGAAGACACTGGTGTAGTGCACAGTCAGGCTGGGTGAGGTTCCTGGCTCTAAGGAACTGGGCCCCAGCAGCTTGGAGATCTAGAGTCTCGATCACATAGTTCTTGTTGTGTGTTTCCAAGGGGCCCAGCACTGATCATCAGGGTGAACTTATGTTGTGGAAATCTCCTGTGATTCTTGCTAAGGAAGATATAGGACTTTCACTCTCCCTCTGAACATTGTGACCAGCTTCCTTGGTGCCTAAGGAGTGGGCATGGGAATCAGAATGTTGCCTTGGAGCTTGGACCAGATTAAAACTCTAGTGCAGTCCCTTGGGAGATGTGTTGACTCTCATCTCGAAGCCAGGAGTCAGCCACGGAAGTGGAGAAGTCCAGGTGACAAAAGGGCCCATACGTGTCTCTCTCATCTTGGCTTGTTCACTACAACATGGTAACTGCTTGCTGAATTCGATGGATAGGAACAGCTAGCAAAGTGATTGCTTCTAGACTATCATTGCATTTTCTACTTTTCTATTCAATTGCTCTCCATGTACATAGTGCAATCCCTTGCCCCATCTCAGCTTCTAGAGAGAATTAAGAATGCTCACAAATATTAAAAGAAGACTTGTTTGAACCCCAGGAGGAAGATTACATTTTGGAATCTGAGCCTTCTATCAGTCAATAGAAAAATGGAAACAGGGTCAAATATATGATTCAGGGAAACCCACAAAATAGCTCTTGTCTAGAATCACCTCTGGACACTTTCTATACAATTTCTAATTACTTTTTTGAGGTTAGTTATAAGGAACTTCAAATGTATTTTTGTAGAGCTAAATTCTACCCCTGACTCTGCTTCTCAAGCACTGAATGACTGGCCTTAACATCTTTGAAGTTCTGTTTTTGCAGCTGGCAAATGAAATAATTTTTGCCATGGCTCTGACATAGCTATTGTGAGGGCCCAAGAAGATGTGGTAAAGAAAAGTGTTTTCTTAGCTGTAAAGTTTTGAAATAATTAAGAGGTTAATGGCAGTGGCCTGTAATGAAGCTTGTATAGTTAGGTTGGCCATCAGTGTTGTTCAAATGTACACTATCAAACAACTCCGTGCTTCAAGACATTTGTTTATTCATTTATTCATCCATCCATCCATCCACCCATCCATCCACCCATCCACCTATCCATCCACCCATCTACCCATCCATCCATCCATCCATCCATCCATCCATCCATTTACCTACCCATCCACCCATGTATCCATCCATCCACCCATCCGTCCATCCATCCACCCATTTATCCATCCATCCATCCACCCATTTATCCATCCATCCATCCATCCATCCATCCATCCATCCATCCATCCATGCATCCATCCATCCATCCACTTATCCATCCATTCATTCAACCATCCACCCACCCATCTATCCATTCATCCATCCATCCATCCATGCATTCAGCCATCCATCCACTCATCCATCCATGTCACAGATATTTATTGAGAATCTACTACATGCTAGGCACTGTGGAAAGACAAAAGCACATCCCCAGCCCTCAGAAACTTCTTTCTAGTGGAAGTAACAAGCAAGGATAGTGGATGTTACAATGCCTTACAACACATTTTCTCATTTTTTAATGATAAAAATGTTTCTAGTTTCCTTAGATCTAAAACATGGACCTAAATGATAAATGCCTTTTGTGTGGTGTTGGGACAGGATAGGGTGTGACGGCAACCATATTTCCATCTGGCAGGGCAGTTCCAAGAGGCTGGGAGAGCTGATACTTCTTCACATGGCAGGCTGGGCTGGCACATTTGGGGATTACTTCAGATCCCCCTTGGTGGCCAGTCCTTGTGGGGGTCTCCCCCTCTGGGTGGGGGAGGCTAAGTCTGTGGATGGCTGCTCCATCAGCAGGTGCTATTTTAGGACTCCCCATTGGGCTGATCCTGGGGTGAGGTATTCCCATTCAATTTCTGTTTGAATCAGAAACAGAGTGGAAGCTTAGCCGTCAAAAGAGGAAGAAATGGATCTTCATGTCATCTCAAACTTTTAAGACAAACTCAGTTTCTAGGCTTACATTCCTAGAACATACCTTCTCCACTGGCCACCCATTTTGTTTTCTTTTAAATGTTTCCCTCTGAACCAAGGACAGCCCTGTCACCCGACTGTCATTGCTGCAGAGTGTGTGTGTGGAGGCGGGTGGGGGGGATGAGGACTCAGACATGCAAGGCCACACCCAGAGAGAGCTGCTTCTAGCCATGAGAAGGAATAGCATGCCCATGTTCATGCATTCTTCAGAAATTTATCAAAATGTAGCCTCTACCAAATGGAGCATTGTTTCTTGAAGAAGCTCTGTTATTTACCTTCACAGTACCTGCCAAACTCGAAGAGCTTGGAGGCAATCATTCGCTCAGTTGTGGCATTTTTGTTGAGGGCTTACCATGTGCTTCCAAGTCTGGGCTTCCCTGCCATTTTGTGTGTAGACAACTTGTGGAAAATAGGAAGGTCGTTGTTAGGATAGGGTTAGGAGAGGGGGAGACCAGAAGAACCCGGAGCCATTGGGAGTCCTTCCAAACCCTCTGGGGGTAGAATAAGTGACCTGTTCATTTGACATTGCAGGGCATCTATCCTCCAAGATGATGGGAAGCAGGAAGGAGTCTCCTCTCTTCCCATCCCTGTACACCCATGCCACTGTCATTAAGGCAGTGGCAACATATGTGGCCACAGCTGAAATCTCAAGTGAGGGGGAGCCCTGAAGTGGGGGACCTCAAAGCCACTCAGTTTGCAAACAGGCATCCCAGAAAAGCTGCCCTTGGACCCCTCTTATACTCCTTATTATATTGCATTAAAACCCCCTGCTCTGTTCCATTGATAAAGACAGAAATAAAAGGTGTTCTTCCTAATATGCAGTCATATGAACCATATTTGTTCACTTACCACATAATCCTTAATTACTTCCATACTTTTATGTATAAAGAGCTTTGACTGCATTTCTGAATATGTAGTAAACTGGGTAAACCAGAAGTCATTCCTCTCTCTAAATTTGGGCAATCTGGGTAGGGAAGGTTTAGCTTTAGGGTTGGTGACATGGCGCGTACTATTTCTGCATAAATTTCCTTGGAGTCATTGATCCACTGAGTGTCAAACAAAATGTGATACCCACAAAATTCATGTATGACCCTGACATTTTTCCAGTACTTAAAGTAATTGCCCTTCTGTTTAATAACAGTGTTTATAAAATTACTTTCTGATTGGCTAGGTCCATGGAACACTCGTGTCAATATCTGCTGCAAATATATGCCTGTGCCCTTTGGACTTGGTTTTCAAAATAATTTTCATCTCTTAAGCGTGGATCAGTGGCAGCCCTGGGAGTTAGGAGTCAAGGCTCCTGTGCACGGATCTTTTGCTGTTTGGTCGTGGGCATTTTGGAATTCTCATGGCAGCTTCCTGGGTTTGCACACTGAAGTGAGGATGGGTCTTGTGTCCTCTGTGATTTCTGTATCTTTCTAAAGGGATTTGAGATTATGAAATGAGCAGCCCAGCTTAAGGATTTGGTGCTCCCGAAAGAAACATCGTTTCACTCTTTTATTGAGTTTTATGCTCTACATTTTACAGATTTAGAAATGGGAAATTGTGAATGGGTGATTCGCTATCCAAGATCAATTAAGTGGAGAGGAGATGGTGGTAGGATCTCCCCTGTCCCCCCAAATCCAGTAGGGTGTTGAGACTCTTGGATATAAGTAATTAGATTTCAGGCAAGCTCTCAAGCACTCTTGGGACTCCATACCCAACATTTCTATCCCCAAGTGACTTGCCTGACTTTGCGGGACCATCACCTCTTTACCAACCAGAGGAAACGGGGTGCCCACTTGATTCTCACTGAGGTCTCTGGATATGGAGATACCATGGAGAGAGGAAAACACGGCTTCCCATCTTAAAATGAGGCTGAACCAGTCCCAGGGAAAAGATCCATGTCGTTGGGATTTTCCATTTTGATGTAATGACTTGTAGATCTGTTAACTACCTTGTATCTTTTATGATTTCTCCCAGTGGGACTTCCAGGAACATTTTTTAAAATGTACCTTTTCAACTTTTTATTTCAAAATATCAGATTTTCTAAAAGAGTTTAAAAAGATAGTATGAGGAGTTACCTCATCCCCTTTGCCTAGGTTCCCTAAATGCTAACGTCTTACCTTCCCTTAGTTCAATGATCAAAACTGGGAAATTAACTTTGATGCAGTATTACGAATTAATCTATAGACCTTGTTAAAATTTCACCAGTGGCCCACTAATGTCCTTTCTCTGGGCCAGGGTCCAATCCAGGACTTCATGTTGAATTTAATTGTCATAGCTCCTTAGCCTCCTCCAACGTGGGGCGGTTTCTTCGTCTCTGTCTTTCATGACCTTGACATTTTTGAAGAGTAACAGTCAGTTACTTTGGAGAAAAACGCTCAGTTTGGATATTTGCCTGCTATTTTCTTATGATTAGATTGAAGCTATCAATTGTACCAAAGATGCCATGGGACTGATGTCACGTCCTCAGTGCATCCGGTCAGGAGGAACTTGAGGTGATCTTTCCTTACTGGTGATGTTAACTTTGGGTCACTCGGTTAAGATAGTGTCCTCCAGGTTTCTCAGCTGTCAATTTTTTTATGTTTATTTTTCCCTTTATGATGAAAAAGCATCGTGTGGGCAGATACTCTGAGACAACACGGGTCCTTTTTCTTTTCATACTTCTGCTCACTAACGTTTATATCCGTTGGGCGATCTTGCCTGTAACAATTATTATGATGATAGTCCAACTGTGATTTTTCTATTTCCCTCAATCCTACATGTCTTAAATTCAAATTCTTCTGTAAAGAAAAGCTGTTCTTTCTCTCCTATTGGTTATTCATTTTGAAAAATCAGTGTAGATGCACTGATATTTATTTTATTTGATGGGTTATAAATCCATGACTGTCAATATTTTGTTGCTCAAATTGTCTCAGATTTGGCAATTGGGAGCATCTTCTTCAAATTTGGTATGCCTCCATCATTTTTAAGCACTCAGGAAGTGTTTTTTGTTTTGTTTTGTTTTTACACAAGCACATAACTAAAACTGTACCAAAAGGTACACTTGTATAAGAAGAATTGAGTCTTTCTCTTACTCCAAACTCAGCCTAACCAAATTGAGCGACCATAGATAATGAGTATATTTTAATACATTTTAATACAAATATATGCATTAATTTTTAAGCACAGATTGAAACACATCATATTTGCAGTTCTAGACTTTGTTTGGTTCTTTTATTTATTTATTTATTTTTCTGAGACAGTGTATCACTCTGTTGTCCGGGCTGGAGCGCAGTGGTACGATCTTGGCTCACTGCAACCTCCGCCTCCTGCGTTAAAGCGATTCTTCTGTCTCAGCCTCCCGAGTAGCTGGGACTACAGGTGCGTGCCACCATGCCCAGCTAATTTTTGTATTTTTAGTAGAGACGGGGTTTTGCCATATTGGCCAGGCTAGTCTCGAACTCCTGACCTCCAGTAATCTGCCCGCCTTGGCCTCCCAAAGTGCTGGGATTACAGACGTGAGCCACTGCACGTGGCCCTGTTGGTTTTTCATCTGTATATTGTGCATATTTTTCCACCTCTTCCATATTTTTGTTATTAGGTTGTTGCAAAAATAATTGCGGTTTTTGCCATTGCTTTTAATGGCAAAATTAATAATAATTGTGGAGATTTCCTAGTTCCTTTGTAGAGTTCTACTCTTTTTAGAGATCTACTATAATTTACTTAACCATTACCCTGTTGATGAACAATTTGATTATACATAACTATATATATATATATTCTCTCTTTCATAACTGGCCACCTTTAAAGGAAGGGCAGTGGGGACTGGGCGGGGGCGGGGGAGAGAGAGAGAGAGAGAAAGTAGGTTTCTGTAGAACAAATTCCAAGAAGCAGGACTTCCCAAAGATGGAAACCTTTGCCCATCTGATAGGTTTCTGATTGTTTTTATTTGCATATCTTTAATTATGAGTGACATTGAACATCTTTCCATATGTTTAAAAATCATTTCTATTTCTTTCTCTGTGAATTGACTTTTCATCTCATTTGCCCATTTTTTTCCTATTGAATGATTTGTATCTTTCTCACCAATTTGCAAGAGCTTATTATATATTAAGGAAATTAGCCCATTTCTGTCATTTATGTTGTAAATATTTTTCCCGGTTTGCCATATGCCTTTTGATTTTGTTTATTTTTTTATCATAGTGAGGTTTTAGGATTTTTATGCTTAGATTTATCAGTCACGTTATGGCATCTATGACGTGCTTGCTCCTTGATTTTATATTAACCCCATGTTTTCTTTTATTCTCCCCCTTTTCAATTTTTTTTTTTTTTTTTTTTTTGAGGCGGAGTTTCGCTCTGTCGCCCAGGCTGGAGTGCAGTGGCGCGATCTCGACTCACTGCAAGCTCCGCCTCCCGGGTTCACGCCATTCTCCTGCCTCAGCCTCCCGTGTAGCTGGGACTACAGGTGCGCGCCACCATGCCCGGCTAATTTTTGTATTTTTAGTAGAGACGGGGTTTCACCGTGTTAGCCAGGATGGTCTCGATCTCCTGACCTCGTGATCCGCCCGTCTCGGCCTCCCAAAGTGCTGGGATTACAGGCGTGAGCCACCGCGCCCGGCCTCAATTTTTGCTTTTAGATCCTTAACCATCTTCCTTTTATTTTGATGTAAAAAGTGAATTAGGGTTCCAGTTTTATTCTTTGTGTCCTTTCTCCAACCCAATGGCTAGCCAATTGAACCAAACACCATTTATTAAATAATTCTTCTTTATCCCACTCATTTAAAAGCCACCTTTATTATTTATTAAATTCTCATGTGAGTTTACCCTAGTTCAGTATGCTCTATTTTACTCAATTGACATGTCTGCTTTTTCTGCACCTGTTTCAAACCATATCAATGATTTTGCAATTCAGTGTAGTATCTGGTCAGGCTTATTCTTTTTTTTTTCAGAATTTTACTATCTAGTTTTGTATTTATTTTATGTGATATTTAATCTTATTTTAAAATTATATTCCCCAGAAAATGCTCCGTAGAATTTTTCGGGGGTGGCAGGGGGAGGAGAAGGTAAAAAGCTACATTAAGTTTATAGATTTATAGGAAGAATTAATATTGTTATGACTTGGAGTCTTACGTCTAAGAGCAAAATAGGGCTTCCTATTTATGTTGCCCAGTCATTCTAAATAATTGTTCCTTATTTAGCCCCTAAATTCATATTGAGGTTTATTTCTGGGTATATTCTCTTCTCTCTCTTTTCTCCTCTCTGTCCCTCTCTCTCTGCCTCTCTATCTCTCTGTCTGTCTCTCTCATTGTATCCCATTGTAAATCAAATCTTTTTCTCGATCATGTTTTTCTAATTGGTTATTGTCTGGGTTAACTTAAACCACTGATTCTTGTATATTCATTTTATAACCAGCCACCTTGTTAAATTTTCCTATTGTTTTTAACATCTTTTTTCAGCAGGTTCTCATAAGTATTCTGGTATGGAGTCATATCTTTTTGCAAATAATCATAACCTGCTCTTTTTTTAAACAATTTTAGAATTCATGCTTCTTGCTCCTTTTCCATTGCAATGACTAATATATTTGAGAGAAATGCGCAGTAAGAGTGGTGGAAGTGGACATCCTGTCCCTGACTTCAGCGTGCATGATTTCAGCATTTCAGCATCGAGCATCTGGTTGTATGCATGTTACAGAAATATCCTTCTATGACTATTTGGTTGATTGTTTATTTGTTTTAATCAGGGATTTGTGTTTAAATTTATAAATGCCTCTTATGGAATTTGTGGAGATGATCAAATATTTTTCTCTGACATAATATTAAAATAGTGAATCATATTAATAGATTGCCTTATATTAAAACCTCTTTTTATTTAAGGAAATAACCCTATTTGATCAAGGCCTGTTATTCTTTTTAATGTACTACTGCTGCAATCTCCTTAAAAATGTTATTTAGAATTTGTTATTTGCATTGCTGTTACAAAGCATGATTGATTGATTTTTAATATTTTCGTCAGGTTTGATAACCATATTATATCACCTTCAAAAAAAGAATTTGGAAATTTTTCTTCTCTCTTTTAGCTCTTAGAGAGTTAAAATAGCATGGGTGTCATCTGTCTTGAGAAAGACTGATAAAATTAACCTGTGAAAACACCAGGGCCTGGTGCATTTTTGAGGCAGCTCCCTGAGAACTCTTTCAATTATTTTTTTCATGGTCCTTGCCCTGTTTAAATTTTTTCTCTCTCCTCTGTGGTCAATTTCGGTAACTACCCTTTTCACAAAAAGGCATTAACTTAATCTATTTAAAGCTACTTGCACAAAATTAAATATTGTGTTATTTTATATATATTATTTAGTGTTTATAGTTGTATCCATGTTACTGTTTCTGATTTCGTGAATTTGGGCTTCACAAATTGAAGATACTTGGTTCCTCGTTTTCTATATTGTGAACTGAATGTTCATTTCACCTATTTTCTTGCTTTCTTATTGAATAGCCTCCTTTTTTATTTTTATTTTTTTTTTATTTCCATGGGTTTTTGGGGAACAGGTGGTATTTGGTTACATGGGTAAGTTCTTTAGTGGTGATTTGTGAGATTTTGGTGCACCCATGTCCCAAGCAGTGTACACTAAACCCAATGTGTTGTCTTTCATCCCTCACTCCCCTCCCACCCTTTCCCCACAGTCCCCAGAGTCCACCATATCTGAATAGCTTACTTTTTTTTTTTTTTTTTTTTTTTTTTTTTTTTTATGAGATGGAGTCTGACTCTGTCACCCAGGCTGGAGTGCAGTGGTGCAATCTCGGCTCACTGCAAGCTCCACCTGCCGGGTTCACACCATTCTCCTGCCTCAGCCTCCCAAGTAACTGGGACGACAGGCGCCTGCCACCACGCCTGGCTAATTTTTTGTATTTTTAGTAGAGACTGGGTTTCACTGTGTTAGTCAGGATGGTCTCGATCTCCTGACCTCGTGATCTGCCCACTGTGGCCTCCCAAAGTGCTGGGATTACAGGCATGAGCCACCACACCTGGCCTGAATAGCTTACATTTTAAGGATTATATTCTCCCTCCTGTTATATCTTTAACCCCTATGCCACACAATTTTTTTAACCAGAGATTCTGCAATTTCCCTTTCATTTCCACTTTATCCTGAGTAATTTCTATCTTTAAAAAGTTTTTAAATGTTTTTTGTTTTGTTTTGTCTTCTATTTTAAGAATTAATATCTAAATCCATATACATCCTACACAGAGACTGTTGGCCTATCTGTCTTAAGCATGGTTCTGTACTAGAATTCCATGTGAGCAAAATGTGGTCTATTGCGTTTTATTCCACGGACAACAAAAAGAGTGTTTGTTTTCTATTTTAAGCGAATGGAATTTTGTGCATCTCTATTGGCTTTACTGTATACATTGTGCTGTTTATTTCTTCATATGCTTCCTAGTTTTTAAGTACTTGATTAGCGATGAGTTAAAGTCTCACTATTTTGTTTTGGTGATTTCTGCTTTTTAATTTCTTACTTTTTGTATTTGTTTTTGTTTTGCTTCATATTGTTCTTTGTGAATTTCTTTAGTGTATAATGCCCCACTTAGGTAATTGGGTCTTGTTCAATTGATTGTTATGAAGTGTCTCTTAGTCTAGTTAAACACCTGCCTTAAATTTAAACTTAACTGATAAAATTATCAAAATCTTTCCTTTTTTCTTAGTATGTGTTTGTGTTCTGTCTTTGCCAATCATTACAATTCTAATCTTTCTGATTCACTTTACCTTAGATGAGTTAAATAGACAGCATAATATTTTGTTTTCCTTTCATCATCCAATGAAATGGATATATCCGTTTCACTATACATACATCCAAAGAAAAGCATATTTTTATTAATAGATAAGATTGGCTTACTTATACTTATTGATGCAAAAAATGTATTTGGTTCTAGTTCTGTGATTTTACATTAAATCTTTCTTTTGTCTTTCTTTTGTTTTTGTCTTATGTTATCTGAGCTTTCTTTGTTTTATTGTGTATGTACTTGTATTTCTCCATTAATAGTATAGAAAAGTTGTTGCATTTTAAATATTCTAATAGTTACCTTTGTATATTTTCATAATACTCTCAAATCTTTTTGTTGATTTATTACTTTTTGTTTATTTTATTTGTTCCTTGTTTTAATATGGAATCCATAGGATTCTTTTTTTTTCCTTGAAATCTAAAATGCTCCAGGATTTTCTAAGACTCTGTTTTTCAACCCAAAGTCTGCATTCCTTTATTTGAGGATAGTTTTCTTTTATTACATCTTTGGGGTTTTGTTACTTTTTTGGTACAAGTTTAAAAGTGCAGTTTTGTATAAATTCTTTTTGTATTTGTATAAGTTTAAGGATGTATACATTTACAAGTGCAGTTTTATTACATGAATATGCTATGTAGTGGTGAAGTTTGAGTTTTTAGTGTAATCATTGCTGAAATAATGTACATTGTACCCACCACGTAATTTCTCATCCCTAACCCCCCATTTTTTGTGTGACTTTTCAAATACTCTTTTTTTTCGGGTGCACTAGTTATGTGCATGTTGAATTCTGTTTGTCTTGCTTATCTTTTTTTTTCTGTCATCCATTTTAGTTTTGGATGTTTTTAAAACTTTATTTTGTTTGATTGGTTTGATGGGCAATGCCTTCTCCTATGAACTTCAGATACTAATTTTTTCTTGCCTCTTTTGTGATGCTTAGCATTTGCTACCTAATTTGAGAGTAACTTAGGTACATGTCTGGATCCAAAATGAGATTCAGCTCTGTGAGGTCAGGAATTCTGTCTCCTCCATGGTGCCAAGCAGCAGACCAAGGTCCTCAAAGCAGCTCAATATATGTTCTTCATTAGAACCACAGTGTGTGGCCTTCAGCCAGTGTTGTCCCCAGAGAAGGGAGAGAGCAATGAGGGATGAAGTAGAAAGAGGAGACTTTTTCAGGACAGGAGATCCTGCAGGGGCCACAAAGGCAGGAATAGCAAAGCCCAGAGCTCACCGACTCACATGCACACCCCCAGTATTCCACATTCCATTCTGCTTTTCCCTGTAGTATTTTTCACACACATGTGATCCACTTATTTCTCATGTCTGTCTATATTTATTAATTCCCTGCTCTTCCTTGCAGGAAAGCAAGCTCTGTGGGGGACAGAAATTTTTGTTTGCTTTGCTAATTAGTACCTAGATCAGTGCTTTGCCCATAGAAGGTGTTCAGTAAATATTTTTTGAATGAACGGAAGCCAATAGGTGCCAGGCAAGTGACATGAAAGAGTGATGTGGACTTGATATTTACATACATATCTGTTTATTGGGCTATTCTGCTTTCACGAGCAAGAGTATTTTGTTGTATCTTACTTAAAGCATGCTGCCCCACCATCTCCCTTTTCTTTTTTTCTTCCTCTATGCTTTTTTTTTTTTTTGTAGTGATAATTTAGGTACACAAAAGGGTTCCTTTACCATAATAACAAGAACACGTTTAGTGCAAGAATACATGCTGGCTGACACTCAGCCAGACTCTTAAGGTACAATAGGGAGTGGTGGGGACTGTGGAAAACTGGAGAGCAAATGCCTGGCCTCAAGGGGCAGCCTCTGCTCTCTTCCTGTGGTGCTGCCATAAGGGAAAGCTGGGCCGGTGTTGCCACAGCAACCTGTTTTTAAAATAAAGGTTCTGGGTCTTCATGTGAAACATCATTACTGCTAAACGTTCACTCAAACATTTTTAAAACACACACACACACACACACACACAAATACAAAACAATGACAAAAAAACTAACCTTCTTTGGGTCAAGATCAAATAAAGCAAGCTGGGTCCTGGAAGGGACAGTGGAACTGCCTGGTGGTGACATTCACCCAGATGGGGAATGGAAGTCCTGCAGGTTCCGGTGATTCCTGGCTTTTCCTCCTGCCATCCAGGGGTCTGTGGGCACCCTCCCTCCTCTGAGACGGCCTCTCTCCTGGGCCACTGTGCAGAGTCTAAATGTCATCCCCATGTGTTGCAGTGGTGGCTCTGGAGACATCGGGGTGAGCTGTCTAAAGGGGTGTCAACTCATTGGACAGGGTATAATTTCAGTCAACGTGTTCCTGTCTTATTTTAGTTCAACATCATTTCCCAGTTGCAAACCTTTTGAATGACACACGAAATGCAAAACAACATAAAAGGTCCTCCCTCCGGCAGATCTGTGTCCATGCAGAACTTTAATTATTCTTTTTGAATCCTCATAATAATGTGCTACCCCAATTCTGGCAAAAAAAAAAAAATTGAAAAGTCTGATGGAAAAGATTTGTGTCACCTGTACTAGGATTCCATTTTATTTTTTATAATAGTCTTTATATTTTTAGAAGTGCTGAACAAAAGGAAGGGGCTTCTAATCAAGAGTATTCTTTAGATACAGAGCATCAGACAATATTTGTGATAAATAGAAAATAACTGCTCTGATAGTCTTCTGCGGTGACATTTAGAATATCACGTTTGTCTTTAGGAAGTATTTTTAGTCAGATTTGAAGAACAGCATCTAACATACTTGCTTGGCAGGGAAGGGGCAGGTGGCTATGTTTAGTAGTTTTGAGATACTAGATTAAAAAACAAAATTTTCACCAGGAATGAAGCAGTTAGGTATTATTAGACTTTTTTTCCCCTTTTAAGAGCAGCAGAGGTGTCTCTCATAGATCATTACAGATGCTTCGAAGGTCTTTCTGGAAGTAACTGACCTTCCTTCTCACATATCGTGCCAGAATTTTCATTCCAGAGTTTTAGAAAGGGGGTGTGGCCTCTCCATGCTGCAAGCTGGGTGTACAAAGCCCAGCTCTTCTCAGTGGGGGGACTCAGAGGCTGAAATCAAGCATCCTTTTTTTCTCTCCAGACTCATCAAACAGTCCATATTAGATGAAATCTGAGCCCAAGAGAGCTCCATTTTCTTTGAAAGCTATGCAGGGTGGCCTCCAAGCGCCAGACCTAAAAACAATATCTTTAAAACTGCCAGCCATAATTCAGTGTGATAAAGTAACTATGTTTTTGTTTTAAACCTGAGAACATGTAAAGTTACAACAGACATAAGCTGGGTGAGGAGCAGCCGGGTGGGAGCCGGTGTCCCACAGGCTGGGTGGATGCCGTGGGGCCCTGGGGCCAGCATCAGGACATAGCCCACTGGGATTCAGCTCTGCAGCTGCTTAGAGGCCGGGAACCTCACAGCGTCATCTGAAACCACCTGTGCTTCTAGGTCTTTCTCTCTCTTTCAAACCCTCTCCTCTTCAGGCTTCTTTCCTTGATTAATTTGTATTTTAAACGAAAACAGTTTGAAATGGTCCCCCAGACAGCGTGCAGTGCCCTTCAATTCATATCCGCACTCCTCAAAACAGAAGATTAAAAATAAGTTTCTGGCTTCTGCACTTAAATGGAAACCTTTAGTAATCAAAACTAGCTCACCATCAACTTCCCGGCTTGAAACGTCCATTTCTCCTGCTGATGCAAGAGAGAGAGTTAGTTATTTCCATTGGCTTTCAACTGACCCTTAGGCAGATGGGAAGAATGGGTTCCCTGTTATTTATTTGGGTGTTTTGGGCAATTTGCTGTACATAAAAGCTCTAAATATGGCAGCAGCTGATATTGCCCCAAAGAAGGAGGTTAATAATGTAGATTTAAATGGTGTTTAGCAAAAGCAAAATCTCAGAGACATCAGCAAAGTTCAAGTGTCATTCAGAGTCTATGAACCAGCAGTGTTTAGGGGAGTTCAATTTTCCTTTGGTTTTTGGGGGACAGCCTAATGCACCAAGTGCCATCATGTCCCCCCAGGGGCATGTTTGGCTTGGGGCCATGGCAGGGCCTCATGCCCACCGGTGGGTCAGAAGTGGCCGTTCTGGATGTGTTGTTCGAAAACCTAAGATTTGGTGCCTTGCTGGAGTCGCATAATAGACAGCGTCACTTTCACACCTCTTAAAAGTCTTTTTAAAAATAGTCCCTCTAGCAGGAGGCTTATTTGGGATGCTGTGCTTTACACCTCTGTATTTTCAGACTATCTGGGGATGCTTTTTATATATGTTGTTTTACCCTCAGCTCCCTGGTTCCCCGCTACGCAGCTGTAGGTTGAAGGCCCAGCTTTGGGAGTCACCAGGGAGACGGGGAGGTCAGATGTTTGGGGTGGTGCTTTGGGGAGGAAAAGCAGGCTGCTGGCCCTGACAGACTCACCACCTGCAGGCCACCTCACCGGCTGCCTGCGATGTTGGAACCCCAAATACCTCACTTCCCTGACCTCCTGTATCCTCCAAGGCAGACAACCTAGGAAGCCCCTGCCCCATCTTGGACCCAGAACCCACTCCTCCTAGAGTTTTTTTTTTTCTTTTATCTCTGTTAACAGCAGCTCTCTGTCCTTCTGGTTTTTTCCAGCTAAAAATCTTGTGTTTTTTTTTTTGTTTTTTTGTTTTTTTGTTTTTTTGAGATGGGATCTTGCTGCATCACCCAGACTGGAACACCAGTGGAACAATTGGTGTCATTCTTGACCCTTCTTTTTGTCTCCTACCCCATATCCATTCCAACAGCAAATCTGCAGACTGCACCTTCAAAATACAGATAGAAAGAATAGCCTTTGCCATCTCCTTATCCACCCTGCCATGAGATGGGCCTAGACCAGGAACAGCCCTTATTTCGTTATCAAACAGAATCCTAGCTGGTCTCCTGGCTTCTTCCCTGGGTACTATTTTCAGCACAGTGGTCTGAGTGATTCTCTTAAATGTTGCATTAGACCTTGTCACTGCTATGCTCAGATTCTTGGGGGCTCCCAATGCCTCTAGAGCCAAGGCAGTGGCCAGCAATCCCCATGCAATCTGGCTTGCCACTATGCCCTGGCTTTGAGTCTTGCTATCTCTTGGCTCTCTGCCTTGCTCAGTCTGGTCTGGCCACACTGGCCTCCTTGTTGTGCTCAGGCCCAGCAGCCTCCCAGGGCCTTTGCATGGGCTACAGCCTCTGCTGCTACAATGACTTCTCCATGCATAATTGCAAGGTTGGTTTGATCCCTCACCTTTTCTGGGTCTTTGTTCCACTGTAGCCTCTCAGTGAGGCCTCCCTGAGTCCTCCTATTTAAGATTTGGACCAGCCCCATCCTAGAATTCCCTCTGCCTCTTTCTGCTTAGTTTGTCTCCAGGCCTTTTATTACTGTTTGCATGTTACAGAGCTGCAAATGTTGGGGTGTTATCTGTTTTGTTTGATAGTGGATCCCGTAGCACTCTGAATAGTGTCTGGTACTGGAGGGGCCTCAGTGCATTTTGTATAAATGAATGAGTGAATGACTAAATGAATGAACAGACTGACTCTACAGAGTCCCATGTTTCATGGGTTAGAGAAGTGGTGTCCTTTATTGGAAATGGGCTTCGGAGTGATTCTGGCTGTGTGGTCATGACTGCTTTGTGTGACTTCTCTGCCTCTCCTTCATAAATGACTCAAAGAGGTCCAGGACTTGTCTGGCGTATTGTGGGGTGTGTGGCACTCTGGGGTGTGGGTATGCCTTGGGAGCCCTATAATAGCATAGTAGTCAGGTGGATGGGTCCAGGCTCAGCCGTATGCCCATGTGACCCCTGGTTGCTTGGCCCTCCAAGTTGACCCCTCCTGTTCCCTCCTGTCTTTCCAGACCCACCAGGTTTCCCACACAGGGTCATCTATGAAAGCTTTTAGCATCTGTCTCCATTCCCACTGTGAGGACCTGTGCCTGTTTCTGGAATCTAGAGCCTGCCTTGAGCCTCAGGGTGCTGCCCTTACCTCATCAACTGCTAGCTCCCCTGGGAATCTGAGCCCGAGCCCAGAATGATCTAACAGTGTTGGGAAAGCCCTTAACACATGCAGTGATGGCTTCCTAGGTAGTAACACTTTTATGATCATGCCATGTATTCTTGATTCTGAGCTACCATCACCTATATAATGGGCCATCTTTGGAAGGAAAACAATAAAAAGCCTGATCTCTATTGTAAAGTGCATTATTATTTCAGGCTTGTTCAGTTTTAAATATGTCTGGAGTCTTGGTGTTGAGGATCTACAGAAGCTTGGGTTTGTTAGGGAGCAGGGCTGATTTGGGCTCAGCCATCAGGGTGTGTCCTTGGAATACCAGGTGATATGGTTTGGCTTTGTATCCCCCACCCAAATCTCATCTTGAGTTGTAATTCCTATAATCTCTACATGTCAAAGGAGGGACCCAGTGAGAGGTGATTGGATCATGGAGGCAGTTTCTCCCATGCTGTTCTAGTGATAGTGAGTGAGTTTTCATGAGATCTGAGGGTTTTATAAGTGTTTGGCAAGTTCCTCCTTTCCTCACTCTTCTCTCTCCTGCTGCCTTGTGAAAAAGGACATGTTTGCTTCCTCTTCTGCCATGATTGTAAGTTTCCTGAGGGCCTCCCCAGCCATGCAGAACTGTGAGTCAATTAAACCTCCTTTGTTTATAAATCACCAGGTCTTGGGCAGTATCTTTATAGCAGTATGAAAATGGACTAATATACCAGGAATGCAGCCAGGCTCAAGGAGCCAGCTTCTCTCACAATGAGGCCAGAGCTGAGGGTGGGCCCACAGGTGAGCATAGGTAACCAAGCACAGCTGAGCTCTGCCCCTCACACAATAAAGGGTATGACTCACTGGGCCCCACTCTGACCTCACCCCCCAATCAGGGAGTCATGATCACTTGACCAACAGAGGCCCAAGAAGCATTGGATCTCAAAAATCACCTATTTGGATTTTCCCAGTGAGAACACCATTCTAATCTAGGAGGAAAGCTAGTTAACTTGTGTTGGCCTCATTATATGTCCTAAAATGAGAAATGATAATTATTAATATAAACTAACAATATTAGGAACTACCATTTATGAAATTATTTCTCCGTGTTAGGAATTATACCAGAAGGTTGATATTATTTGAATTATTTTAGTCCTGTTAAGAAGCGGGCAAGGTTGGCATTACTGCATCCACCTTGCAGGTGAAGAAGCAGTGTCAGATAGGTTTAAAAATTCACTCAAGGTCATAATGTTGAGAGGTTATGAAAACAAGAGGCAAAATTATCTAATCTCCAGGATCCCTCATTCAGGGAGCTCCCCAGCCCAAGTCAGTTCAAACCGTTTCTGGACAGAAACAGTAACCTGGATACACCTGCTTCCATGTTCTGGCTCCTTTATGCCATGTAGGCATGCCATGGACTCTGTGTTGGTGAATGACATGCCCTTTGGGGGTTGGAGCTGAGGGCTGAATGCATGGGGGCTGAGAAAGGCCTCTTGACCTATTCATTCCCATGTCTCAGGACATCCTTGATTAAAAAAAAATGGTAGCTGCCCTATAGAATTGAAACGGTGGCAGTGGCTAAAATATTTTAAAATGATTTTTTTCCACACATGTGGGCAAGAGGTTATATTGTAAGTTCAATGCTAATCACAGTTATTTACCAAGAAAAAAACATCCATGTAAAAGGGCAGGGCATTTGGTTCCAAAAAATGCCTGCTTGATTCTGCTACCGGCTGAGTCTGTCTCTATGGCAAGGAGCCGGGCAGGAGACGGCTCCGGCCAGAGCACGGGGATGATAAATAACTCACAGGTGTCAGACACACACAAGAATTATGCGTGTCTGACCTATGAGGGGATAAATCCCACGTCTCTGCCGATGGCCAGGGGATGCGTCTTTAAGTGTCATAAAAATTTAGCAATTTTTTCCCCTTCCTAATTATCTTCTATATTTTTGCCAGATTTATTAAAATAAGATTTTCTGGGGGTTATTTTTTTTTTCTTTTCACTGGTAGAATGTGCTCTTTAGTATCATTTTACATAATTTAATACAATTTGTTCCATCCATTGATTTTCATGGGGATACAAGCTGTTCGTTTGTGAGAAAGCTGGCATCGGCCAGAGTGCTGGCAAGACGGCACCTCGAGGAGCTCATTCTGGTTGCAAAGTTCGGTGGGGGCTTCAGCCATTTTTAAGGCAGGTTTAGTGGTGCTGGAGCCTGGGAGGCCTTTTCCCCCGCTACCCCCACTTGGAGGCTCAGGAAGGAGGCCGTCCGCTGCCCCAATGGGCTCAGGAGCACCGTGGGCCCCTGCACGACGCAAGGAAGCTCTCCCCCAACGTGCAGTCTGATGGAGAAACACAGGTGTTTCTTAATTACTCGTGCAGAAGGGAAGGGGATGCTGGGCGGATGTGCGGTGATGGTGACCGCGCCAGATAGGGATCCCGGCCAGCGGCAGCCTGCTCCCCGCACGGCCCCCACCCCGGCCACCTCGGTGTTGCATTTGGGAAGCCCTAACCTCCAGGCTGCCCTCCCGTCCTTCCCGGGTTTTCTTAATTCAATTGGGGTTGTGGATATTTTAGGAATTAGCCAAACCCCTGAAATGTGGAGGAGAGACAGAATGATGGGACTGGCAGTAAGGTGGGGAGTACTGGGCTCTGGAGGGTGGGGGCTCAATGACCTCTTTCATCTTGACAGGGCTCCTTCCTGAGCCTGGAAGCTGAAGGGTGCCCCTTGCTCCTCTGCTATCTGCCTCCCTGTGGGTCTGTTTCTGGGGGTAGATAAATGGTTAGGTACCAACGGAGGACATGAAAGTTCTAGGCTGGCTGGGTGCTCACGCCTATCATCCCAACACTTTGGTAGGCCAAGGCGAGAGGGTCATCTGAGGTCAGGAGTTTGGAAATAGCTTGGGGAATGTAGGGAGACCCCATCTCTACAAAAAAAAATAAGAAAATAGTCAGGTGGTGTAGTGGTACACATCTGTAGTCCCAGCTAATCGGGAAGCTGAGGGAAGAGGATCACTTGAGCCCAAAAGTTTGAGGCTGCAGTGAGCCATGGTTGTGACACTGCACTCCAGCCTGGGTGACAGACCAAGGCCCTGTCAAAAAAAAAAAAAAAAAAAAAAAAAAAAAAAAAAAGGCTTTCTATGCTGGAGCTGGAAGACACAAGAATTGGGTTCCAGCCCTGCCTCCATTGTGCTGTGTGACCTTGGATAGGTTGCTTCACCTCTCTGGACTCTTAAATAATGACACTCTTAAATTCCCTCTTAAATAATGACACTCAAGTTCTCTGTACAGGAGAGAGGGGTTCCGCAGATTCTCTGAAGGCTCTCATATTCTATGATGCGCTGAGCTGTAGAAGACACAGACCAGGGAGGAATTTTCCTGCGTTGACCTTCCCCTGACATTGTCCTGCCTCTAGGGGTGGCCTGAGATGGGCGGAGGACCAGTGAGGAGAGGCGAAGATGGGTGCAATACCACTCAGCTCAGCTCTGACCCTGCGGGTGCAGCTTGCAGTAATGGCTCAGCACCAATATGACCCACGGCCTCCCAGGGCTGGGTGGCTCCGGCCATGACTGCTTCTTCTCTGAGTGTCCATCACGCCTCAACCCAGAACCCGTGTCCCCCGTACCACCCCTGCTTCCCGTGGGGAGGGCTTGGAAACTGTGGCTGTCATGTCACACAGACAGACGGGAATGCAGCCTCCTCCCGGGTGGAAGGCTTTCTGCACGAGGGTGCCCCAGACAGTGATGAATCATCTCCCCTCCAGCACCCCTGGGGGAACGCTAAGTAGGCCAAATGAAATGATCCGAGCTGGCTGTGGGCCAGGGCAACAGGGCTAATCCTTGCCTTTGTGGGAGAGCCTGGGACCAGAGGGTCTGCCACCAGTCACAGCCGCCTGCTACGATGCTGGCCCCGTGGCTCTGCCACCACCCCAGGACCCTGTAGGCCTCCTGACTGCTCCTTCAACTCCCTGTGCTTTCCAACAGACATACAGCTCTGCACCGAGGAGGACAGAAAACATAGCACAGCACGCTGCAGAGCTCCAGCTCATCCAGTAGTCACTTTTTTTTTTTTTTTTGAGACAGAGTCTCGCTCTGTCGCCCAGGCTGGAGTGCAGTGGTGTGATCTTGGCTCACTGCAAGCTCCGCCCCCCGGGTTCACGCCATTCTCCTGCCTCAGCATCACGAGTAGCTGGGACTACAGGTACCCGCCACCACGCCTGGCTAAGTTTTTGTATTTTTTAGTAGAGTCGGGGTTTCACCATGTTAGCCAGGATGGTCTCGATCTCCTGACCTCGTGATCCACCCACCTTGGCCTCCCTTTATTTTTTATTTATTTATTTTTTTGTTTGACGGAGTCTCGCTTTGGAGCCCAGGCTGGAGTGTAGTGGCATGATCTCGGCTCACTGCAACCTCCACCTCCTGGGTCCTGGTTCAAGCAATTCTCCTGCCTCAGCCTCCGCAGTAGCTGGGATTACAGGCATGTGCCACCATGCCTGGCTAATTGTTGTATTTTTAGTAGAGATGGTGTTTCACCACATAGGCCAGGCTGGTCTTGAACTCCTCACCTTGTGATCTACCTGCCTTGGCCTCCCAAAGTGCTGGAATTATAGGCATGGGCCACTGCGCCTGGCCCAGGAGTCACTTTTAAAGCACCTACCGAATGCCCACACCTGTGGGAGGGAGAGGAGACTGGACCCTCTGCAGCTGCTATGTATGGGGCTTAGACTTTGTGTGGCACAGCAGGGTACCAGGTATGGAGAGCAGTTATCACTGAAGGCTTGCTCAGTGCCAAGTGCTGGGCTAAGTGCTAGACAATTGCCTTTTATTTATTTAATTTTGTTTTTTTGAGACAGAGTCTTACTCTGTCTCCCAGGCTGGAGTGCAGTGGCATGATCACGGCTTACTGCAGGCTCGACCTCCTCGGGTTCAGGTAATCCTCTTACCTCAGACTCCTAAGTAGCTGGGACCACAGGCAGGTATCACCGTGCCTTTCCAATTTTGTATTTTTGTAGACAGGGTTTTGCCATGTTGCCCAAGCTGGTCTCAAACTCTTGGGCTCCAGCCATTCACCCACCTCGGCCTCCCAAATTGCTGGGGTTATAGGCATAAGCCACCATGCCCAGCCTGATAATTGCCTTTTAAATTCTTGCAACGGTGCAACGAAGTGGACGTCCTTATTATCTCTTTTGTAAAAGAAGGGGCAAGGCTCAGAGAGATCAAGTAATGCTCAAGGTTACAGAGCTGGTGAATGCAGAACCCGCCTTGTGCTGGCCTGCCTGCTGGCCGCAGTGAAAGGGTGCTATGACCTGTCCCTCAGTCCTCATAGGCTTTGGCACTGTTTGTAGGTCTGGAATCTGCCACGAGTTTCTCTGCTCCTCTGGCTCCCCTATGCCGTTTGTCAACCAGTGCATCCACATTCACTCCATTCCCTTCTGGGGCCGGGCAGGGGAAATGCCAAGGGCAGGGGCAGTGAGGGTCCCTCCTGCACAGCAGCTCACAGTGACACAGGCACAGTGGTCCCTGCTCAGCCAGAACCAGGTGATCTGAGCAACCCCGTGCCATCCAAAACCACCAGGAGAGAACACCCATTTGTGGGCAGCTCCACTCCCTTGTTTCTGCCAGGGAGGGCATTGGGCACAGCTCAGCCCTGACTTTGAGAAAGTGTGAACTTAAAAAACAGCTACTCTCTAGGGAAGAGAGGGTCATTCTTTTTACAAAAGTTTTATCTGCAGAATATAAGTGACAGAGTGGGCCGGAGAGCACCAGGGGCTACAGCTGGTAACTTGCTGGGTTGGGCAGGCAAGAGAGGTTGAATCGGGGCATTCTTCATCCATTCATTCTCTCATTCGTTCATTTATTCATTGAACAATATTGACTGAGCAACTCATATATCTCAGGCACTTTCTATTAGGTTGGTGCAAAAGTAATTGCGGGTGATTGCAAAAGTAATTGCACCAACATAATGGATTTGGAAGGCAGGATACATCAGTAAATAAAGCAACCCAATCCTCATTCTCCAGGAAGTATCCCGTGTGTGTGTGTGTGTGTGTGTGTGTGTGTTTGTGTACCTGCGTGTGTGCACACGTCCTGCATTTGCATGGCTGTGTGTGCCTGGGCATGCAAGAGCATGAATTTCCTGGAAGAGAAAGGAGACCCCGGGCAGGAACAAGAGCAGGGCTGGGCCTCCGTTTCAGCCCTGGCCCGCAGACCCTGCCAGCAGCTTCTGCTGAGAGAGGAGCTTTGAAAAATCCTCTGTTCTCCAGAAAGCCCTCCTTGGCACAGCCGACCTCCCTTCTGCCTGCTCTTCCTATCTTAGGGGCTGCGACTGCTACCCAGGCTCAGTCTGGGTCACTGTCAGGACTTGCTACTGGGCCAAGGTCAGCAGAAACACCCACCCAGGGCTTTAGGTGAGGCCAGGCTGGTGCCACGGGGAGGCTCCCTTTTATTGCTCTCCCAGCCACTTGCTGAAAAATTAATTTGCACGTGAATCACATTTATTGAGACCTTCTGGATCAGATAACAGATGCAGACCAGCCTGTTCTGCAAGGCCATCCAGAGAAGAAATCCTAAAAAATTCAGTGGACAAAGGGATGTCTGCTGGCCGAGGCTCGCTCCTAGATCAAGCCCCTCCCTCGAGGTGTGCTTGTGTGTATTTGGAAGGCTCCCCTGGCATCAGAGGCTCCAGGCTCCATCCTGCAAGGGCTCCTGGAGCGGAGGCTGGGCCGTGCAGCCGGGCACTCCCGACCGGCTCTCTGGATTGGTTCTCCTGTAGCCCCTCGGAAGCAACCAGGAGCCGGCCCTCCCCTCCCTGGCCATCTGCTTGAAGCATCTGGTGATCAGGTGCAAGCCCCACACCGGAGCATTCAAGCTGAAATGTGCAGTCACCTTGCCACCCACACTCGCTTTTGTTACGCAGCCAGGCTGCCCCTCTTTGTGTCGGGGAGAACAGTTTGGGGATGGAAATCCGACTGCTGGCACTGGGAATTCACCATGGCTGAGCCGAGATCCTGCAGGCCGAGAGGCTGGCCCAGTCTCCAGACCCGGCTGTCCCCTCCCACCAGGGTCCATGGACATGTCTCCAGCAAACGGGTTGGCTTTCCAGAGCAGGGAGAAGATTGCTCACGAATGTCTTCTTTACCCCTCTGGGTCCAGCAGGTCTCAGATATTTGGATCCTGCCGTAAAGGAGAAATGCTTGTCAGTTTTATGCCTCCACCATTACTTAGGAAGGAAAGGGTGGGTTACTCCCAGTGCTACTGCTGGCCTGGACTGCTGGCCTAGAGTGATCGATGGCTCTTCAAGGGGTGATTCCCTGGGTTACCAGTGACGGGGGATTGGGAGAAGGCTCAGGACCTACTCCTGAGGCCGACTGCTTCTGCGCTAACCCAAGCATCTTGGAGGGCAACGTGGGTGTCTGTATTGTTGAAAACATTCTGTTCTTCAGCTTTAATAAGCACCCATCAGAGAGCACTCGAGGATTAATATGGGGGAGTTTTCATCACCAGAGAGTCCATTTCATTTTCTGAGCCACTGACGACTCAGCTGAGAGCTGCGGACTCACTGCACCAAGAGGTGCTTTTGTTTGATTTTCAGTCTTATAAAACACGGCCCCTCTTGCCACCTCCCCAAACCACTATAGGCCTGTCCTCACAGCTGCCAGAGCCCATAGGCGTTACATTTAGCGTTCTTCTCCTGGTGGGGGTTCAAGGTAAAGATCTCACAGAGGACAGAATGGGACCGCATTTGAAACTATTAACTGTGAGTAATAGTTCACTGGAAGAAGTCTCTTTGGGTTTGGGTTTTAGTAGCTCTGTGTGACCTTAAAGATGAAAGTGATGTCCTACTATGTGCTGGGGACGCATTTTCTGTTCTTTCTACAATAGCCATGGTCATTACTCTAGAATGTTGTTACATGAAGAAACACCAAGAAATGTGTCTGTAAAAACCAGAAGTCCAGCCAGGTGAGGTGGCTCACACTTGTAATCCCAACACTTTGGGAGGCCAAGGCGGGAGGATCACCTGAGGTCTGGAGTTCGAGATCAGTCTGTCCAACATGGCGAAACCCCATCTCTACTAAAAATACAAAAATTAGCCAGGCATGGTGGCAGGCGCCTGTAATCCCAGCTACTCAGGAGGCTGAGGCAGGAGAATCGCTTGAACCTGGGAGGTGGAGGTTGCAGTGAGGTGAGATCACGACATTGCACTCCAGCCTAGGCAACAGAACGAGAATCCATCTCAAAACCAACCAATCAACCAACCAACCAACCAACCAATCAACCAACAAACCAACCAACCAACCAACCAACCAACCAACCAACCAACCAGAAGTCCTGACTAGGCCCCAATCTCTGTCTCTACCTCTCCCAGTGTTAATTGTGACAAGCAGTTTGATGTTGCTTAAGTCACTGCTGGCTGAAATTAGTGAGAGATTTTATTCTTGAGAGACACAGAGAAATTAGAAAGAAGTCAAAATCCCTGACTGACTCCATTAGTTCATCTCAATCCCAAGTTATCTTCTTTAAATGATCTGGAAGATTGAATTCATGGGTATGGACAATTAAAGGGTGGAGAGAGGAGGAAGAGGGCTGTGGATTACAGATTCTAGATGGTCCATGACATGCCTGCTTGTGAGAGTTCTACCAGCCAAGCCCTTTTCAATAAGATGATCAAAGAGGAAGAACTTATCTTTTAAATTTTTGGAAACTCTCAGCATTCTATAATTGATCCACTTCCTTAGTGGAAAAATAGAACAGCCAAAAGTCTTCAATCTTAGATACTGGAATGAAAGCTAAGGTTGTTCACAGGTATAGAAGAAGCTGATTGTGGTATCAGATGGAATCTAGCTGTCAAACGCTTCCACAGGAATAGATAGCTCAGGATGTCGATATTCAATTGTATTTATTCTTATTTTTATTGTGTATTGACAAATTCTAGTTTTATATAATTATGAGGTACAAAGAGGAGTTATGGTTTTAAATACGACGTGGGAAGATTGAATTAATCTGATTAACATATCCCATCACCTCAAATATTTAACTTTTTTTATAAGAATATTACAAATTTACTCTCTGGTAATATTGAAATGTAACAAACTCAACTGTTAGCTATATTTGCCATGTAATGCAATTGATCTAAACAAAAATTCAAATGTGTTCCTCCTATTGAACTGAGGCTTCAACTTCTGGTAACCACCATTCTGCTCTCTGCTTCTATGAGATCAATTGCTTCAGAGTCCACATTTAAGTGAGAACACCCAGTATTTGTCTTTCTGTGTTTGGCATATATCACTTCATATAATGTTCCCCAATTCCATCCAGATTGTCACAAATTATATTAGATTTTATTTTTATTTGATTTTTAAATTTTTTAAATTTTTTAATTTTTTTGTAGAGATGGGGTCTCACTATGTTGCCTAGGCTGGTCTTGAACTCCTAGGCTCATTCAATTCTCCTGCCTCGGCCTCCCAAAATGCAGGGGTTACAGGCATGAGCCATTACACCTGGCCAATATTAGATTTTAAACACCCCCTAAGGATCTTTAATTTTAAAGATGTCATCTTTTTCTTTTCTTCTTTTAATCAGCACATCAGTGTAACATGTGGTGCTATTTCCCTCATGAAACATTGCCTGTACTAAGCATGTGCCTGAAGTGACACTGCCCCTGCCCCCACCTCCGTCGTACCCCTTCCCAGGAGCTCAGGCTGCAGGAAGGTCGTTTCCATTGCATCCCTGTGCTAGCTGGGCAGACCATCCCTACTGGCATTAAAGACCCAAATGTCTTTCTCTCCCGCCTCTTGGTGGAGCATGAAGACAAGGTCCCATTGGCTTAAGGCGCGGTGCTGGCTTTCTCCGATTGTTGTGCCGTAAGTTAGCAGGATAAGTTTGACAGTAATTTAATTTTCATTGACAAATGCTGTCATAATATTGAGAACAAAGTGATATATTGTATCAACAATAGTGGTCGACGCTCAGCCAGTCATATGGACTGGGCGAGCACCATATGGTTCTTCTAAGCTCGACTTGGAAAGCTCTGGCTAAGAACTTGACAAGCTTAAGATACCAGTCAGGAAAAATGATTACCCTTGAGAAGTTCCTGCCATGCCTCCAGTCTCTGAATTTCCTAGAAAAAAGGAGGGAGTGCTTCCTGGGTACCAGCCAGGGTCCACCATACCCCTGGTCGGAGCAGTCCCTCAAGGGCACCTCTGCTGACAGCCGGCATAATCGAAAGTCCTGAGATGATAAAACACCATTGATTTCCTGTTGGTTTGTGTTTGTTCCTGGCTGTGGTCCTCTCCACTTAATGCCGGTGAATGTTGCATCCACGCGTGTGAATGAGGCCAGGACTGAAGTCTGGCCCACGTTACAAACTCACACAATCCAACCAGAAAGGGGACGGGATTTTCATTTCGGGAGTGCAGCTCGTTATGGCTGCATCTCCAGACCCCCTTCTGAGCCAAGCAGAGCCAGAGCCATGAGTAGATTACGTGTCAGTCTTTGTGTGCCTGGGTACGTGTGTGTCTGACTAAACTCTTAGCCAAAATCTCAGCTAGATGATTTGACCAAAAGTGTCACCACTGTCAAAAGCAGTCTCCATTTGTTCTGCTTTTCTAACACTCAGCTTATTTTAATTCTGGTTACTGTACATAGAAAAAACAACCGATGAGCAAAGTTACAAACAGGCTGGGAGAGAAGAAAGCTGGGTGTGTGTGTGTGTGTGTGTGTGTATGCGCGTGCCCCACACGCGCATGTTTAGGGACATACCATATCCCCATGCACATTCGGCTGGTGTCCTTGTCTGGTTTGCCAAACGTTCAGGCACTTTCCATTCTCTGAAGGATTCCCATCCCAAACAACGCTAAGTAAAGAAACAGGCATATGGCGTGGATTGGAGATGGTGCAGTGTTGGCACAGCCCTTCTGCTGTGGTGAACAGGTATCTGGAAAAGATGACAGTCCAATTCTGCTCTTTTTGGAGTTTATCATTTATTTGGATTTTGTGGTTGTTGCTTTGTGTTTATTATTAACTTAACAAAGAGAGGGAGAGTGTGCAATTCACAGAACTGGGCACTGGTACAACTGCTCTCCAAGATGGCTCCCTGCCTGAGCCAGGGCTGTCCTTCTTGCAAGGCACTCTCTTGTCCCACCCTGTGCGGATCCTCGGCTCCCAGGCACTCTGGCCAGGAGCAAGGGCTGCCTGCAAGGTGCAGGGGGAGCATCTAAGTGCAGAAGGTTCTCTGGAGGCCCCAAGAGCTCCTGGGTGTGGCTGGGGGTGTCCTTGGTCTTGAAAGAGAGTGTTGACTTCAAAAAGCAGGGCAGATTGGAGGAGCAGCTGCCCTCCTTGTGGATGGCATCCGTTGGTGGCTGTGTAAAGAGGAGTTCCGGACTGCCTCCCATTACCATTTCATTACGCGACAGCAGACCCATACACAGATCCATACGCTGCCTCTTGGATGGGGTTTCCAAACACAGCAGGACACTGCGGAGAGCGCTTACCTCCTCTCCTGCCTGCTGGAAACCCAGCTCCCTGCCATGTGGCGCTTTCTGAGCTGTGGCTGCAGGCTCTCCCCGGGTACTCCAGCTGATGGGTGCCCCCAGAGGATGAGTGGGCCGCCGGAGAGCTGTGCAAGGTGCCAGTGGCTGCAACGTTTTCCAGAAGGGTCTCTGGAGAGAATGTTCAGGAAAACACCCAGCCAAAGGATGTTTTCTCTCCCAGGTACCTCTGGGCTTTGGAATCTTGCTTGGTGGGGCCCGGGTGTGGCGTGTCATCCCTTCACAATGGTGGTCAGCCATGAGACATGGTGACCACCTAACAGGAGCTGGCTTTTCTTATCTAGGCTGGACTCACCAGCATTTTAATGATGAGGGAAATGAGATAACCAGGTCCTACGCAGACAGGAAAAGTGAGAGGGTCATTGGCCCTATCTGCTGATTCCAGGATGGGTGATCATCTCCCCCATGGCAATGTGGGGGAAGGGATTGGGGACCGGATGCGTGTCCTGGCTCCACTGTGGCTGAGCAAAGATTCCCATCCTCATGAGGCCCTTGTCTCTTCATGGATAAAAGAAAAATATTGCTTGTGAAAAAATGATGATTTCCCATGTTCTTCAAGTAAGAGGCTCCCTCCTTCCTTCCTGGGGATTTATCATCTTTATGTTTAAAGAGAAAAGTCCACAGGGTGGAAGCACAGAAAGTTATTCTTTCTGTCTGTTTAAACCCATTTTGCGATGTTGGATTTCCCCCACCCATTTCGGGTGAGATCTAGGCAAGGTCCCACAATATTTTTGGACACTCTGGAATAACGCAGGGTCTTTATGTGCCTTTGAGTCATAAAAGAACCTCATTTTGGTCATGGAAGCACATGTTTCAATGTCATACTCCTAACTCCAAGCTTCATGTAGAGTGGGATCATTTTCTGGACCTGGCTGCAGCCTGTTGCGGGCCTGGGGACGGGGGCAGGCCGTGTCTTCTCTGGTCCCTGGCCTCATGTTTTCCTTTCTCCTGTGCGTTCTGGCTACCCTGGTTTCGAACAGAGTCCGCAGAAGAAGTCAGGGCTGGAAACACAGCCATGACAGTCATTTTTCTCCTGGGCTGGATCCTTTCTGGAGTTCTTTGGGCTCTCCCACATCTCTAGGATTCTGTCACCTACAGTTTGGGCATGTTGCCTCTGGCTGGCTGCTGGCTGCTAGCCCTTCAGCAGTGAACATCCAGTGTCTTCCTGGTGAGTTGTTTCATCCTTTTAGGCAGCCTCTTGGGCAAAGTCCTTGACAGCATTTTTATGCAGAGGGTCCTTCCATACTGACCCACATCTGGACCTTGGGAAATATTCTTCATGTCTTCCAGCAAACTGAAACTGGAACCTTTCCCCATACAGGCCTCTTTTCAACCCACCCTAAGAACAGTCTCTAGCCTTTCCACTTTGGCATAGCTGGGTATCATGTCCTACTGACACCAAGGGACATGGAACAGGTTCTCTTTGAGAGTCCATCAACTGGGATTGAAGTGAAGGAAGCAACTTCTGTCCATCCCCTGTGGAAGGAGGGCTGGTAATAACATCACACCCACCAACTCTTTCCAAAGAACTCTTCTATTTTGCAACTCTCTGCCTTTTCAAATTATACCCTTCTATAGACTCAAATTGGGTCTTGGCATGAGGTTGAGGACACTTGTTGGCCAGTCTTCATTCTCAATTTGGATAAAGCAAGCATTCATCCTTTACGCTTTGTGGTCAGACTTTTGGAGTTTCCATCTAAAGAGTAACAAAAGCACATATTTTAACATCCTTCTACCCTTGATGATCACATAGCTCTTCTTCCAATCCAAACCCAAATCTTTTTCTAGAGCATCACCCCTTTTTTCTCTTTTGAGATACTTGGCGAGAGTAGAGTTTATTAGTTTTGCACTTACAATAGCCCTTCTGGTACATAAACATTGATTGAGCTAGTTGCTTCTCACCTTGCTTTTCTGAGAAAGACTGTGTCTTTTTTTTATAGCAAGGGTTAGACAAAGGCAGCAAGGTATTTCGAGGGTTTTTTTGCAAAGCTGGTGTTATGTAGACAAAATAGATTGCCTCTGTACTTTGTCTTTTGCTCTGCTGTTGGATGTTTGGGACATCACAGCACAACCCAAACATCCTTGTGGCTTACTCATGGACCACCCAGAAGTAGTCGATGCAAGCCCTGAAAACTCTTTCCTGAATGTTCCAGTCTGCATCAAACAACCTGGTATCAGCTCCAGATCTGTTGTGTTGACACTGCTTCTGGTCTCTGGGAAACACTAAGGTCAAACTTGATGAAAGGGCAGAAAGCCAGGCCAGGGTGGCTGGTCTTTCTCAACCCAGACCTCTGATCCATTTTAGCATGTCTCTTCCATCAGTCGTAAGGACTTTTAAGGTCTTAACATCTCACACTGCTGTGTTAGTCTGTTCTAGATTTGCTATAAGTACCTAAGACTGGGTAATTTATAATGAAAAGAGTTTGAATTGGCTCACAGTCCTGTAGGCTGTACAGGAAGCATGATGTTGCATCTGCTCAGCTTCTGGGGAGGCCTCAGGAAACTTACAGTCATGGTGGAAGGTGAAGTGGGAGCCAGCACTTCACATGGCCTGAGCAGGAGGAAGCGTGAGAGGGGGGAAGTGCTATACACTTTTAAACAACCAGATCTCAGGATAACTTACTCACTGTCACAAGAACATTACCAAGGCAGGTAGTGCTAAAAACCATTCAAGAGAAATCTTCCCCCATGATCCAGTGACTTCCCACCAGGCCCCACCTCCAACATTTTACAATTCTCTACATCAGATTTGGGTGGGGACAGAGACCCAAACCATATCAACTGTTTAGTCTTCTGACTCACTGGGGAGAATTTGTCTGGGCTTCTGAGGGGATTGTAAGGTAGTCATGGGCCAGATTAGGACAAGAGCAAAACTTTATATATCTTTGCAGTCAAGAACAGGACACATTGCTGTATTATGCAAATGGAATCTTCTTCCAGCTAACTCTTTCTTGAAGTATTTCAAAACTGTCTAGCTCTGAATTTCAGATATTGTACTCTTAGTCTCACAATTTCCAGTTGATTTCTTTTGGCGATTCCCATTTTCTACCTAAACTCCTTATCTTGTCATCTATTTTCTTAAATATATCAGGTATAGTTATTCTAAAGTCTGTAACTCTAGAACTCAATATTTGTATCTTTGGTAGGCCTGATTACATTAGCTGTTGCCTGATTTTCTGTCTTTGTTTTTACTCATTTGGTCGTATTTCCTGGTGTTCCTGGTAATTTTTATCAAATGTCAGACATGGCGTATACAAATTTTAGAGATGCCTTTTGACTGTATGAGAACTGCCAAATAGGAATGTAATGTGAACCACCCACGTCATTTAAATTTTGTAGTAGCAACATTAAATAAGCATGAATACATAGTTAACTATTTTTAAGAACGTATTTTGTTGTATTTAACCTGGTGTACCCGAAGTATTATCATTTGAGCAGGTAACCAATATAAAGAGTATTAATGGGACATTTTACGTGTCTTTTTTGTACTAAGTCTTGGAAATCCAGTGAGTGTTTTACCCTCATAGCACTTCTCAATTCTGACAAAGCCCCATCCCAAGTTCCCAGTAGCCACATGGCCGTCAGCTACCCTGGCAGGCAGCACAGCTCTGGATGGTGTTATCTTCCTCTAGGGAGGATTTACTTTTGTTTCCAGTAGGCCATTAGGCTTGCGGAAGATCACCATAAGTCAATCAGAAATTGAGCAGATTTTAAGGATTTATTTCTTATCTGTTCTTACTCCTTCTTCTGCCCCTTTAGGGGTAACAAATAAGTGTGCGGGGTGCTTATCAGGAAACTTCTGCCTTACAAAGCCCTAGATTCTGGTGTTTATCTTCTTGGTCCCTTGGACTACGGATGTCTCTGCTTTGCTTCTCAGCATCTCGTTGGCTGCCATTTGTAAGTTCACAACTGTCTCAAGGGGAAAAGCAAAGTCAAAAGCAAGCCCAGCATTCTGTGCTCCTTCCTTTTTAGAATCTTGACCTGTCAAGTCTTGGCTCCTTTGATAACTCTATTACACCTTGAAATTATTTATATACTCACATACTGGCCAGGTGCTGTGGCTCACGCCTGTAATTCCAGCACTTTGGGAGGCCGAGATGGGCAGATCACCTGAGGTCAGGAGTTTGAGACCAGCCTGGCTAACACGGTGAAACCTCCATCACTACCAAAAAATACAAAAATTAGCTGGGCGTGGTGGCACGTGCCTGTAGTCCCAGCTACTTGGGAGGCTGAGGTGGAAGGATCACTTGAATCCGGGAGGCAGAGGTTGCAGTGAGCCAAGATCACGCCACTGCATTCCAGCCTGGGCAACAGAGTGAGAGTGAGACCCTGTCTCAAGAAAAAAAAAATTGGTTATATACACACAAATACGCACCACTGTTTTTTTCATGCAGCTTTTCTAGTTGTGCTCAATAAGACAGTTGATTTGTTACAGGCTCTTTTACTATAGCCAGAAGTAGAAGTAAAATAACGTCTTAAATAACTAAAACCAGATTTTCCTCCCCTGTTTGGCAATCAGCACTGTTTCAGCCTTTGAGAGAAAACTTATTTCTTTACTTCTGACTCAGCACACCAAAATCTCTGGGGAAGAAGATTATCTCCCCAGTTCTAAGGACTGGCAAATTGAGGTATCGTAAGATTGTGCCTCGCAAGAGTCAGGCCCAAGATCCTCCAGGCTTCTCCCTGCACCGTCTTACCAGCCTGCAAGGCAGGGAGGTTTGCTGACCTGGTGTTTGTACTGGTAGCTCCTGAATATCCCTCTGTGCAGGCACAGGCACTCCATATCCTATATGAAGTGGTAGCAGTGGCCATCATTCCAGGCAAGCTTACAGTTTCACAGAGATCAGAGGCACATTCAAAGGACATTCATTTCTTATGCAGCATTTACTAAGATGTTGTCTTATACCAGACCTGGGCTAGGGCCTCGTGTCAGCAGCAGAATGCCGTCATTCACAGCCCTGCTGTTGGGGAGCACGTCTCCTGGGGCACATCCTGGTTTGGTATGAAGGCCCTGTCTGGGACATAGACACAGAATGCTGTGGACACATGAAAACCCTATGCAGCTGTACACATTCCCACCTGCGTAAGTCTCTAGTTCAGCTTCAGTACCGCTTAGTTATCTCTGGATCAGCAGCTAAGGCCTTATAATATTTCAAGTATAAAATATTTAAATAAAACATTTTACCATGTTCGTGAGATAAAATCTTTAGCATTAATAGAAATTTTACTTTTTCACAAAAAATGGAAGTTAACTGAAGCTTACTTTTAATATACTACATTTAACCCAATCTGTTTTACTTCTCAAAAAAGAAATCAACCTGTGTTTTCTTGAAAGAAAAGCAAATTCTATTTTTTTCTGTTCTGATTATTTAAAAAATAGAAAAAACTCCCAGACATTGCTTACTGCATGAAGAATGCCACAGTTTTAGTTTATCTCCTTTCAGCTTTCTTCCTGTGCCTAGCTTTTATGGAATTGTAATCTTGCTGTCATATGATTTCTGCATGTCATATACATGTAATATATATGTGTAGTATGAAATTTTTTCTCATGTTATTAAAACGTATATGTATAAACGTATGGCTACACTAAAATATCATTATATAGTTATTTACCCTATTGTTGAATATGTCGACTGTTTCCAATGTTTTTATTATTACAAATATAATACAGGGAATGTCTTTGAACATAAAGGCAGCTCCTCTTATTCCATCTTCACCCTCGTGCTTTAGAGTATTTCTCTAGGGAAGACCACCAGAAATGGAATTACTGCATCAAAGCAATGAAATATTTATATCCTTTTTCACTTAATTTTAAACCTCAGATTTACTCCTCAATGGGAGGTCACTTCCCGCCAAATCTCAAATCCAAGACAGGAATTAGGGGCTTCTCTTGGCCGGGATGTAATGCCTGTCCCAAGATGAGGAGACCTAGAGGATGGCAGTAGAGTGGGGCAAGTCCTTGAAGGTGTTTGAGGGGTTGGTTGTGGATGGAAAAGCGACTCTGATTGCAAAGCCAAGGATAATAGTACGAGCCAAAGGAAAGCCTATTTAATGAGATTGGCCATGCACTTGCAGGAAAACCTTTTGAGAAAAAAGCACAGCAAAGTTTGCGGGACCACCTCCCTCTGCAATGGCTGTGTTGATGGGGGCCATTGCTGATATGGCGTGGGTGTTGGATTTTGGGAACCGAATCCTATTTTAGATGCATTGTGAGCTGAATCCTATTTTAGATTGACTCATGTAAGGAACCCCGTGGTGACTCTATAAATCAGAAAGTTCGTTTGCATTGCAAATCGCCCTTTCCTAAGTAATCTTCAGCTCCTTAATTTTACAAATTGTATATTGGAAATCTTTTATTTCTGTATATTGGTTGTTGCAAAGTACACTTGGAGGACACTTGGGGCCCATTTCAACCAGGGGGTTTGAGGGTCTTGTTGCAGGAAAGTTCTTCTAGTCAATCCTTCCCTGGGGGTTGACAGTCTGTCCTCCATCTCTGGTGGACAGCTGATGGCATTTGCCTTCCAGGTTAAGCCCCAGTGAGAAAGTCACTGCCAGGACCCGCAAGTTGAAGGAGGAATGGACCTCAAAAGCTTCAGAGGGGACTGAAATGTGTTGGCTGATTAGAAGGTAGAAGGTCAGAGAGACTAGAGAAAACTCAAGGCGTGAGCTGAGCCTCGGGCTGTCATTACGGAGAGGAGGCTGAAGTTTCAGAAGGAAATTTTGATCATCAGAAGTGCCTGCAGGAGGTCCTCGACTCTAGCAACAGATTAGATCCCACTGAGAAAGGAGAGACTGTTGTGCTGCAGACCGGTTGTCCAGATGGGTTTCAGGAGATGATGCAAAGGCTCTGTCTGAGGGTGAGATGGATGAGTCAGTCAGTGCCTTCTTTGAGTGGATCAAATATCGGTAGACTTGGATCTCTTTGTCCTGAGCACCTGAGTGAAAGAGGCTGTGTGGGGGGTGAGAGCCCAGCTCCCTGAGGGACACAACTGAGGTGTCTGTCTAACAATGGCCTCAGCACTGAGGCTTTCTTTTAGCCTTTTATGTCAACACCAAAAGTCATGGAGCTGGGCCTTAGAAACATTGTTCAAAAGTCATATCTTAAGTTATGACCCGTCTTGAAGTATTTATAACTGATTGGATTTCATAAGTAAAGCCAGATTTGCATAAATTAATAAAATATTTCACCAGGTAGCATCCTTTCCCAAGTTATTGGGGATCCTGTGGTGGGGGAACGGGTGCTTCTTCTCCTGCTGGGTTCATGAATCTATCCATTCCACTGGGACTGTGTCCTCCATCCCAGCCTTGGCTGCTGAAAATTGTGCTAAAATGTCACTGAACTTTGCAAGTTACTTAATTTGCTGGGGTATTACTTAAATCTCCAAACCTAATTGGAGGTGGATGTGAGAGAAACACACTAAGACCCACACTCGACTTGGGAAGATTTGGAAAGAGTCCCATGATGTCACGTCCCTGCTGGGGCTTGGTGGAACATTTATACAAGTATCAGTAATTATTTAACAATCACCTTGTCCTAAACTTTTATACCATTTATACAGTGTTTAATGTACATTGATTTCTTCATTTTACATGTAGTAATTAATTTTGTCTTACTGACAGATGATTCTCAATGACTGATTTCAAGACACATTCCGGACAGGTACTTTTTAACGCTTCGTTTTGCTTCAAAAAGCCTTATTCTACTCTGGGGTTCTGCCAGCTATCGCAAAGCAATTTCTGCAGGGGGGGGTTTTGGGGCACCAACCTGTGTGGAAGCATGGAGGTGGGAGGTGAGTTTTCACGTACATTGTATGTTCACTTAGGGTAGCTTTGGGTGGAAGATTGGGAGTTGCGTTGGGGGGTGGTGCTTACATCTCCCCCAGTTAACCCTTTTCTCCTCTTAGTGAATATTGCTTTAGGCCATGCTTGAGTGAACTCCAGGGTATTAGAAAAAGATTTCTTTGCTTTAGAAAGCAAAGTAGAAATTCCCAAATTCAATTTGAATCAAAAATTGGGGGGAAGTGATAGAATGAACCAAATTGAAAGGCAAACATTTTTTGTTATTGATTTCACGTTTCGATCTCTGTTACATGTGTTGTAAATGTCATCTATCCCAAGGTGAAAGCTTCAGAGACAAGTGTTTAAAATGGCAGTGGAGCCACAGATAACAAGTGAGCTCTGTGGTTTAACTTTACTTGTTCAAGAAGTGCTTGTCCACTTCAGTTGTCCCTGGGAGATGTTGGAAGAGGGATCTGCAGTCAAAACACAGTGGGGTGCATTTTGATCTGCTATGCTTAGCTGTTTCTCTTTATATGTATATTTTTAAAAATTTCCTCCTTCCTTTCATTCTTAGTTTGTAATCTCTAAGCATGAATTCATAACGATTTGGTTTAAAGTATGTACGTCTCCAGAGTTAAAATGGAGAGAAAGCCTATAGTGGACATTTCTTTCTTTTTTTTTTAATTATACTTTAAGTTTTAGGGTACATGTGCACAACATGCAGGTTAGTTACATATGTATACATGTGCCATGCTGGTGTGCTGCACCCAGTAACTCGTCATTTAGCATTAGGTATATCTCCAAATGCTATCCCTCCCCCATCCTCCCACCCCACAACAGGCCTCGGTGTGTGATGTTCCCCTTCCTGTGTCCATGTGTTCTCATTGTTCAATTCCCACCTATGAGTGAGAACATGCGGTGTTTGGTTTTTTGTCCTTGCGATAGTTTGCTGAGAATGATGGTTTCCAGCTTCATCCATGTCCCTACAAAAGACATGAACTCATCCTTTTTTATGGCTGCACAGTATTCTATGGTGTATATGTGCCACATTTTCTTAATCCAGCCTTTTATTTGTTGGACATTTGGGTTGGTTCCAAGTCTTTCCTATTGTGAATAGTGCCTCAATAAACATACGTGTGCATGTGTTTTTATAGCAGTGTGATTTATAATCCTTTGGGTATATACCCAGTAATGGGATGGCTGGGTCAAATGGTATTTCTAGTTCTAGATCCCTGAGGAATCGCCACACTGACTTCCACAATGGTTGAACTAGCTTACAGTCCCACCAACAGTGTAAAAGTGTTCCTATTTCTCCATATCTTCTCCAGCACCTGTTGTTTCCTGACTTTTTAATGATGGTCGTTCTAACTGGTGTGAGATGGTATCTCATTGTGGTTTTGATTTGCATTTCTCTGATGGCCAGTGATGTTGAGCATTTTTTCATGTGTCTTTTGCCTGCATAAATGTCTTCTTTTGAGAAATGTCTGTTCATATCCTTTGCCCACTTTTTGATGGGGTTGTTTGTTTTTTTCTTGTAAATTTGTTGGAGTTCATTGTAGATTCTGGATATTAGCCCTTTGTCAGGTGAGTAGATTGCAAAAATTTTCTCCCATTCTGTAGGTTGCCTGTTCACTCTGATGGTAGTTTCTTTTGCTGTGCAGAAGCTCTTTAGTCTAATTAGATCCCATTTGTCAATTTTGGCTTTTGCTGCCATTGCTTTTGGTGGCATTTCTTTAAAAAAATTTTTTTGGGGGGAATCAATGCCTTGGTGCCTTAGCATCAGAGGATATGACTATTATAGGACACTCCTGTTATTATTAATGAGGAGGACATGTATCCTTCATTTTGCAACTTTTCATCCTCAGTGACCTTTTAAATATGGAAACTGTTGAAGTCACATTTTAATATTAATGAATGATGTAAAAGGTAAATGAAGTTCAAATTATTCTAATACTTGCATGTTAGGATCTGTGTCTATATCCATATCTTCTCCACAGGCTTGTCATAACTTTATAAGTGTCAAAGGGATTTGAGTGTGAAGCCCCACAGATGAGGGCCGTCTGCTAGTGGCTGCAGCCCACTTAGCGGATGGCGCCACCCTGCAGCAGGGAGCTTCCCATCTAGACACATATGTTCTGATGCTTTTGGTCATTATTCTGACCTAGACATTCACCAAGAATGAAGAAACTATTCGTTTGGCGAACAACACGTCTGCATTTTGGGAAAGTTCGCCATGCCGTTGCCCAGCCTGGCTTCTTGCTGGATAAGCTTTGGGTTGGAGCCCTGAGGACAGCAGGTCTCAGATCTAGTCACCGTCTTCTCCAGCCTCCTGCTACTGCATTCTGTAGCTCTGTCTCCAAGTGCAAGAGTTTGGCCCCTTTGGGGATTTCTGCCATTATTTTTTCAGAGAAGGTATTCAGCTCTGGTTTGGCTTGTAGCAACAAAGGTCTTTTTGTGTCTCACGATTCCTCTCCCCTCTGCCTCTTCTTTCATCCCTGTGGCATCTATTATTACCGTAATGTGACTAAGGGGGCCTTTCCCCCTGTCATGTGCCTCCCCAACTGTCCTGGTGGAAAATAGTATGTTCTTTTTTCCTTTACATCCATCATTTCCACCTAAGCACAGTATAGCAGCCTCTGGGGAAAGAAGCTTGAGCCTGCGCACACATGTTCACGACTGTGTGTACACGTGTCTAGGAGCACGAATGTGCACAATGTGTGTTTAGGCAGGAGTGCATCTTTGCAAGGTGTGAAGGTGTGCTCATGAATGTCCCTATGTAATGTGTGAATGTGTGCATGTGCGGGTGTGTGCGTGCTTCTGCATGAAGCCATCGGTGTGTACGTGTGGATGTGTGACTTTGCCGGTCAGTGGGCACAGCTGTTGATCACGCACTGTCCAGACCACAGTGCTTTAGCTCCTTCTAGACATTTTCTCCACCTTTATTTGTGTTAATTACTCAAGTGGCAATTAGTGGCTCTGCCCCCCTTTTGGTCGCAGTCTCGTAGTATTTGAGGGATGGTCATGTATTCATCATATTTCAATAAATCCTTTCCAATGTTATTGCCCTTGTTGTATCAACTGGCACCTGCCCTCCGACGTTACACCTGCAGGAGAATTCCACCACGTTTGGGCGCATTTCCGAAGCAAGGCTATTGATGTTGTATGTTTAAAAAAATTAATTAAAAAAACTCAGATCTCGGGAAATTCCAGCAGTCAGTCTCCTTTTTTTATCCTAATCTCTTCATAGTAATGCTCACAAGTACCCTTGGTCCAGACAATTCTTCATTCATTCTCCACCCCCCACCACACTCACACCCAAACTCCCCACCGCTGGAGATTAGTCCTTTGTGAGTCAGTGCACAAAAGCTTTCTTAAAGTCCCAGTAAATTATACCCCTGGTTTCCCTCTTGAATTCCTTTTTGTTACTTTTTCAAAATATTCTATTAGTTTTGTTACGTATGATCTCCCTTTTGTGAATCCATGCTGAATATCTTTAATTAAATCATAACTTTCCCTATTTTGTCCCTGATTAGTGTTTCCAATATCTTCCCCACTGCTCAAGTCAAGCTTACTGGTGTTTAATTTCTTTGATCTCCCTTTGAGTCGTTATTAAATATAGGTGTTGCATAAGGGCTCTTGGCCACTGGTGCTTCTCCCGTTTCCCTGGGTGTTTTTAAAAGGTATTTGCTAACCGTTCCCCTGTTTCCTTGCCTCTTCTTGCACAAATTCTAAGATGGTTCCCATCTGCTCCCGGAGTTATCAGTCCTTAGACACTCTAATTTCTTTCTCACCTGTTCTGCTACTAGGCTGATTTCCTTCAGAAATATTTTCCTCTCCCTGGGAAATGCTTGTCTGTTGCTGGCATCTGCTTTCGTCTTCCCTTTATGGACATGAAAGCAAATAATTTATTTTTCATTTTCTCTAGAAGTTGTCATCCCTCCTTCCAATCAACTATGTTCTATGTATGCCTCCTTGTGTTTTTTAAAAGAGCATTATAAACCCAGTTCCAGCACCTCCTTGCTAAGACCCCAATTTGGAAGTGGTATTTCCTTTCCAAAGGGTTGATAGCATCACCAACTTTTAATCTGGGGCAGGGAGTGCTGACCCTTTGCTAGCGAAACTGTTTTGGATGCCCCCAGCTGTCCTACAGCAAGCAGCATGAAGTCTTGAGGCTTCCCTGACAACCGGTACAAGAGGGACCTGGCCCCATCTCCGGGTTTTAGGGAGTTGTGAAGTTTCCCACGTGTCGCTTTGGAAATCTCTCATATGAAGTCAGCTTCAGCCAGGAAGCTTGCCTTCACTTTTCTTCTGCTCAGTGCCTCCAATTTTCCTCACACCTGAGGGATGCATCGGTTCTCCTATGGCTCGCTCCCCTTCAGGCTGTACTGTGGGCTCATCCTCAGATGGAATTTCCTTCCTTTTCTGCCTGTGTTCCCAGAACACAGACTAAAAAGGGCTGCTCCATGCAGAAGGTGCACACCCACGGGCTTTCAGATGCTCTTAGCTGCAGGTGCCCTGTCAAGGGGCTGGGCCCACAAGAAGCGGTTCCGAGTCCCCAACCTGCGGCCGCGTGGAAGCCTCCTCAGATAGCACTGTTCCTCTCAGCTTGACCTCATTTCCTTTTCCAGTACAACCCAGATCTGCGTGCTGAGACATCACTCTCAGGTTGTAAATTCTACACCAAATCAAAAGGCCAAATCCTTTCTGCAAACCCACAGGCGCTCGACCTACATCACACCAAGGAGCCTGGCCCCGATGGCTATCTCAGGACCCCTGGGCAGGGGCAGCAGAGGTGTGAGCCCCCACCCCTCCAGCACCAGCTACTGGCCTTCTGCAGGACAGCAACTTCCCCGGATCAAGTGGCAGAAACAGCATCAGCCAACGTTTCCACAGAGTATGAGTCATAAATAGTCCTTTTCACATTGTTTCACATCAAAAGGCAAGCAGCCTGTGCTGTTCCCCGTCCCTCATCCCTAACATAGAAGTGCGTGAAATTTGCCCACAAACAAGGATTTGAAATTTTAAAAGCTCAATAAAGGTAGTCAATAGACACACTCCAGTCAGTTTTTAAAAAGTGTTTTTAATTGGGTCAAATAGCATGTTACTTTGGGGAAAAATAAAGATCATTTAAACTGGTTCTTTTAGTTCACATGTTTTTGAAAACTGATTTTCTGGTGCAGACCTAGTTCGAAATATCATCCGGAAGTGCTGATGATAAACGGGTGGGCCCAGGGTTCCCTCTGAACTTTAGGGGGTTCTTCTTCACTGTTTCTCCGACCACTGTTTCTTCACTGAAAGAGTCTATAGTCTCTTCACTTCAGGGCGATGGGGTAGGACGGCTGGGGTCCTGATTCCATAGTTAACCAGGATCAACCCTGGGTCTTGAGCCACCTCACTGTATGCCCGACAGCTGCCCCAGACAGGGAGGACAGTCCTCTGTCAGCCTCTGAGCAATGTTCCAGAAGCAATTTATAGATGGACTTGGTGAGCAAAAAGTGAGAGTCACAGGTGCTTCATAATAATTGCTTGCACATTTCCAGAATCGGACATTCTGTCATTTAATAGACCTAAAACTAAAAAGCTTTTGTCTGTGAAAGGTGACCAGTAGAAACAGCGTTTGGATTATATGATATCCCATAACTTAATCATATGGCTCTTAACAGGGGGACATACACAGCTGTGTCTCACTAATATGCATGCAATATGTGTAAACTGATACGCTTTAATTCTAAACTTGTTTTTAGCAGGAAGAAAAAAGCATTTAGATGAGGAACATTAAGATTCAATATTAACCATTTTTTCCCCTTTGGGCAAAATTATTCATCACTTGATATTTATTAAAGCAGCATTTTCCTTTTTTTTTTTTTTTTTTGCTATTGTGAGATGCATCCTGCTACTGATTTTCCAAACATCCTCAAAGTTATGTGGCAAAGTGAAAAAGACACAGGAACAGCCAGTAGCCCCTTTGGGGTCACAGGAAAACAATAGACTTGAAAGATACACACTTGTTCTTTTGAAGCCCGAGAGTCATCCTAACCCCTAGGACCTAGTGACAGGGGCAAAGTTGGAGTAATTAATTTAGAAGGGGGCTGACTGGTTTTCCACCTCTCCAATTACACATATTTGATTTGCCTATCCTGTCTGACGTTTTAATTGTTAGTTTATACTGGTTTAATCTGAAATATTTAAGTATATTTGCTTTGATAATCTTAACTAAAAAAAAAAACTAAGACAAAGGAATTGTAGATTAGAGACTTTATTTTCAGGGCAAAATGATACGGGTAAGTGAACATCAACTGACCAGAAATTATTTGCTTCTGTCTGTTAGACACGTAATGGAGTCATTTAACTAGTCAAATTAGGAGCTGCAGAAATGCACCATGCTTCATTACTGAGTTCGAATGGGCACCATTTTACATTTACGTCAAAAATTATCTCATAGCAAATTAATGTTTTCATTGTGCAGAAAGGCTGAAGCTATGCAGTGTTAGCGGCACCTAGAGGCCATTGCGAAAATACTTCAAAGGGATGATCTGCAAACAAGGACAAAATGATCAATAGATGAGTGGTGGTGGTGAGAGCCCTGACCCCGTTTGAAAGTAAGAGTAGTCATTGAATCAGATTGGCTCTCTTGGTGACCATATGAAGCTCTGAGGGGCCATGACGGTTTTCCTAAACTTGGCCTAGAACTAAATGTGCTGAAAGAGCCCCAAAGATTTCTCTCCTTTTCTTGTTACTCTTTAAGTCCTGAAAATATCTGTTTTTGTTTTGTTTTGCTTTGTTTTCACAGTTTGAGTTTGCTTTTTCTTTTACCTATGGGCTTACATTATATCAGAATCTCATATGTTAGCCGATGAGCATTTCTGTAAATAAGCAAGGAGAGATTTTTTTTCCTCCCACATTGTAAATTGGCATCCTTAGAATCTTTCTTTTGTCATTGGTAAAAACTTGCTGTCCGTAGAAAGAGGCAACACATGACACTGTTTCATCTTAAAAAATACTGAACTGGGTAAATCCTCCATCCAAACAGATGACCAAGGTTGGTTGTTGTCCCAAGAATGTCAATCTCTGCTCAATTTAGCGAGAAATCATGTTAAATGAAATGGCAAAGCCCTCACCAATGAAAATATGTGTTAAAATGATCTGCAAGTCGTCAGTGACGCTGGGACGTTGGAGCATACTGTCAGAGCAGAAGCAAAGGAGAGAATGGAAGCATATAAATAGCATTGAGAACTCGAGAATATTTCAAGACAATATTGATGTCTAAAATATATGTGAATGACTGCATAATGATCGAGGCAGACATAATTCAAAGTACAGTCAGAATCTGGCCTCCAACTCAGAGCTTTAAATTCTCCAAAAGACATCTGTTTGCTGAGAAAGCCTCACCAACAGCTGCGCCACATAAAGGGGAGAACCCGGGATAAGGTTGGGAGTTGGCAGGTAGGGGAGCCTCAGAGGGGTTAGGTGGGGTCCTGGAGGGCGGGCGCCCACCTTCACTCCACAGGTACCGGAAGCGGGGCTGCTTTGGACAAAGGCGAGGGAGGTGCCTGTATTTCCTAGAACCAGGTAGCAAATGTTGCCTGTGTGTTTCATCAGAAAGCGCCCCAGTTGGGCACTGTGCCTCTTGGATGCTGACAAGAAGATTTGACGTTACTTCTCTGGTCCTTAACTTTGTTTACCCAGCTGCTATTCTTCCCATACTTAACTCTTTCACCGTGCAGAAAGCAAGGGGGAGGGAGGAAGGGAAGCTCCAGGTGTGATTTTTCAGAACAAAATATAATGCTGTGATTTATTTTTAAAAAAGAGAATAAGCACGAGGAAATTGAATAGCATCCATTTCATGCTTAACCGTGGTTCACAAATGATAGTTTGTAATTAAAATTCTGTCTGCAAACCTATTCTGCAGACCCCAAAAGAAAACTTCCTCAGAATGTTATCAACTCTCCAATTTCTGTAAAGATGCCATATTTTCAGATTTCAAAGAGAGGATCTCCTTTTGAAAATAAAGAATTGTTGGGTATCGTATGAGCCTGCTAAGTACAGCATTTTAAACCCACACTGTGTTGAAAAATTCAAGAATTTGGCAGTGACCTTAAGGCCACAGATAGGATAATGAAAAATGAGGCGATGAGGGCAGTGTCTAAAGGAACTACTCTTTTGTTCTAACAGAAGCTTTGTGTGTGTGTGGCTTAAGCAAGTGGTTCAATAGAATTTCTTTGAAACAGAAACAAAAATGCTAAGAGCTGGTTACAAGTACTCTGGTCTTCTTTTCTCCTTAAAATGCAGGAAGAATTTTTACCTCTTCTCATGAATCTTGTCTGCTGAAATGTCTCAGTCTTCATGTTATGTTTACCAAGGCCAGGCCAGAGGATCTGATAATTTATAACCATTCCTATTGGGTTTTATGTAATAACTTTGGAACTCATATAAAGTAATGATCCACAAACTCTTTTAATGTTCATTATAAAATATGAAATATTTCTCAGAACCATTGCAATTATGTGACCAGACATAACTGTTTCACACATGAGTAAATACAGGGAGGTTTAACATAACTTTATTATCTTGCTGTCTTTTCTTCTCATTGATGTGATAATACTGTTTTAATATTTTTCTAAAGAAAAGTTAAGTAATTTTAGAATCTCTACTGAGGCCCGCTTTATTGGCTTTTGTAATAGAACTCTCAAATCTAATTGTATTTATGCTCAGACTGACACCACTAAATGTCGTGAATGGAAGGGAAATGCCCCCCAAAGCTGTGTATTCTGTAATTATCGATAGATGTGTCTCTGCTGACGAGGCCTGGGGATCTGGGGAGAGTCACGCAAGTAAAGCTGAGATGGCAGCAGGCATTTCCACCGTCATCCTGAGGCCCCCATGGATGCAGAGAGGTGCTTTTCTAAGGAGTGAATGAGCCCCGTCATTCTGTAGGACTCACCAGGAAACTTTTCCCCCTTTACTGTGTGTGCTGTGTCTGCCTCTCCTGGGTCTGGAGTCAGTAGCATGCAACTTCTAGTTTCGTAGAAGGCTGATCTCCGAAGGGAATTTTCCTGGGCTTCCTGTCCTAGTGATCTGAGCTGAGTGGCATTGTTCCGGTTGCTTGACCTTCACCTGGGGCGTGGGCTTGGGGTCATCCCTGGTGGCTGTAAAGTCTCCTGCAGCGATGGAAGCCAGAGAGGGATTATTCTGGAAACCCACTTCTTACTCCCCGTGTGGGCAGTGGAAGCTGTAACACCAAGGCGGGGAACCCAGTGACAGTGCTGCATCCACTCTCGATGCCCCGTCAGAATCCAGGATCCTCCCAGGACCGAATGGCGGCTATTTCTAGCCTAGTAAGGTTGGGTGGAAAAGATTAAACATGAGGGAAGGTGCCGTTATCTGGGCATTTCCAAGTCCTGGAGAGGAGAGAGGGTTTCACCATGCTTGACTCTTTTATCTTACTTGTTTTTAGACAAGTGTTTCTCAAAGTCTCATGTGCAACCAGATCCCCATGGATCTTGCTATGATGCAGATTCTGACTCAGTAGTTCTGGGGAGGACCCTCTATCCTGCCCTTCAGCTCCAGGGTCATGGCTGTGCTGCTGATCCAGAGACCACACATTAGATCTGGGTGTAGCATCTGTCTTCTCACTGCACATCTGCTTTCGGGGAGACAAGCAGACACAGGGCATGGAAGGTTAGGTGGGGCCCTCTGAGAGGCCTATGAGTGCAATGAAACTTGAAGAGTGGCCTGATGGCTGGAGCCAGCTCACAGTTGGGTTTTGTTTGACTTGTCCGATATTACACTTTTGCTTTCAATTGGTTGCACACAGTTTAAAAATGAAAGATTTTTTAAATTTACAAATCCAGGCTTTCAGGTTCTCTTGAAAAACTAGAATGTCTGGGACAAGAGATAGAAGAGAGGTGGGATCCGCTCCCTTAGGAGCAGAGGATGGAAGAGAGGTGGGAGCCACTCCCTTAGGAGCAGGGGACGGAAGAGAGGTGGGAGCCGCTCCCTTAGGAGCAGGTGATGGAAGAGAGGTGGGAGTCACTTCCTTAGGGAGGTGTGGCTCTTCCCTTCTCCGCCAAGGGGTCCCGCCCAGCCTGCCTTGCTCATAACACAAGAGTTTGCAGACAGGGAAGTTAGACCCCAGGAAAAGAGGGTCACTTCCCTGGCACACACAGGGCATGTGCAATGGTGGAGGCTGCGTGCCCCCCTGCTGCTGGCTCTTGTCTGGAGTTTGCTGGAATGGAGAACTCTTGCCCCATCAGAACCCAGGACTCACCTGCGTGCTTTAGCTCTGCCTTCTGGCAAGTGCCATCTTCCTCTTTGAGGAGCTGTTCCTTAGCTCTCTAGTTCTCACAAGCAAGCCACTAGAGAGGGTGCAATTCCCAGCTAATTAAAGGTCTTGAGATCCTCCCCTCCCTGTCGCCGACGCTCCTTTGAAACAAGCGGGCTGCATAAGAAGTCTCCCTGGCTGCTACCTGGCAGCAGGTGTGAGCCAAGGGCTGGTGCCCAGGCTGCGTGGGGCCCAGTGGGGAGGGAGCCTGACCTTCACCTAGGTACATCCAACAGGTGTGACCGCCCGGCATAGTAATCACCCAGTTCCTAGGTGGGCAGTATTGGGGATCATCACAAAATCTGGAATGTTCATTAGTGCATGAAATCATCTGATCATCTTCCCACTTGGCCCTCTTCACTCCTCACCACCCCCCTTATTCACCCCTCACCACCCCCCTTATTCACCCCATCCCCAGTCTCTCCTGGAAACTGGTGGGTTGCATTGGAGTCAGATGTGGCAAAACACAGCCTAAGTCAACATTCGTGGTTCCTAAAGCGAAAGAACTGTGGAATGCTTGTATTCAAAGATTTCTCCATGACTGCACCTGGTTGAGTGATGAAATAAAGGTGAAACCAAAAAGACCTTTCTGCTTCCCTGGGCGGTGGCTATCTAGGTCTTTAGTTCTTTTAACCGGGCGATTGTTGCTGTAATGGGTCTCAGTGCTACTGGGGCACTGACTGAGGCTTGTTTTTTTTCTCCATGAAGACCAGGAACCCAGTGCCCTGGAAGGCTGGTGGCTTAGGTAAATTTGAGGGCTGGGCTTGAGCCAGGCTCTGCTGAGCTCTACACTTCAGCTGTGTCTGCCACCCACCCCCCACACACCCCCCCATGCTGGGCAAAGCCACCGTGCTTACAGCGTTGACTTTCTTTATCCCCAAGCAGCATTCAGGGCTAACTTTTCAGAAATTTTTATTTCTGAATGCTGGTTAAAGGCAGGATCTTCTGCTGCCAAATTTCTCAAGCTGTCACCTGCACAGTGAACAAGTGAGGAGTGGCCTGAGGCACCTGGCTGTGCTCCTACAACGAAGCACTCTGTTCTTAGGGACTTTAGTACTGGGTACATCTAGGGAGTTAGGAGGACTCACAGGACACTCAGATTGACAGCTCTCAGCATTTGGCTGCTGGTTAAATAAATCTCACATGAGTTAAAATTTCTACATGTTCTCCCATTTACAAGACAGAGTAAAATCAGCACTTAATGGGTCTTGTAGAGTATTGCAATGACAGACTGCATAGGGGTAGCCGGGTGACTGCAAGAGCTTCCTGCTCTCTTCATCATCTTCTCAGAGAGCTTTGCTCATTTCTGTTTTTGAATGTGAATAAAAGAATCTATTACATATTACATTCAGAGAAAATGGTACGTGGTACCCAATTGTGGCCACATGCAAGGGGAATGCCATACTGAGAACCCAGCATGCTGATTGGTATAGGGAGCTGGAAGTCATTGAATGGGGAAGGGCTGGAAGAAACTGAGGGTGAACTCAGCCCTCACTTCAAAGGAGTTTGCCGTCAACTCAGAGAAATGGAGCTAAACCATGCAAGCTGCATTGCTACCCAAGACATGGGTGGGAAGGGAATGAGGTTGGGGAATAGGGCAGAATTGAGCTGGGCCTGCAAAGATGGGGAGGGTTTGGCTAAAACCTAGGATTTTACAGATTTATCCAAGGGAGGAATCTAGCAATGATCTCCTTTTGCTCTTTAGTGTCTTTTCCTCTGGCCGGTTAAAATTCCCTGTTCATGTTGGCTTGGTGGCTTACACCTGTAATCCCAGTGCTTTGGGAGGCTGAGGTGGGAGGATCACTTGAGCCTAGGAGTTCGAGACTAGCCTGGGCAACATAATGGGACCCTGTCTCTACAGAAAATGTAAAAATTAGCTGTGCGTAATGGTGCACACCTGTAGTCCCAGCTACCTGGGAGGCTGCAGTTGGAGGATCACTTGAGCCCAGGAGTTTGAGGCTGCAGTGAGCTGGGATTGCACCATTGCACTCCAGCCTTGGCAACAGAGCAAGACCGTGTTTCATAAAAAAAAAAACCAACAAACCCACTTTCATTGACATCTGCATGTATTTGAGAGGGCTCAAAAATGAGGCAAGTTTTTGCTTCTGCAGCAAGATGGAGTTCTAGAGTCCTGGAGACCTTCTCCTTGGTTCCTCTCCAGTGCTGTCCTTGGTGTTACTCAAAGGAACAATTGCCTGGTCTTCTGAATTGGGAACTACTTAGAATATAACAGCTGTGCTTTATATGATGAATTTAATTCTTTTCTAATGAATTTTATCAGACTGCTTTTTGGAGCACATACTGGAATATGGCAGTGCCGGACCATTTTCCATCATAAGAAAATAAATTAACTTAGGATTGTGAAATCACATTAAAACAATATGAAAACTCTGCCATGCTTTTGGTTATCCCCTTGGCTGGAGCACGTTGCACCATCTCTACCCTGCTGGAAACGCGCTGTCACTCTGTCTCCCTGTGCCCTGTGCAACGATGCTCATGGAACTGTTGGCTGTCAATGTTGTTGTGTGTACAACCGGAGCAGTGAGGTTAGTTCCTCTGCAGCACACTCTCCAGAGAGTCAAAGGATGTCATTCCCTTCTCGGCAGGGACGCAATCATACATCTGCTCTCTGGTCTGTGACACCTCACTGTCTACTTTGGCTGTGTCCCTGGGCAGCAATGCCTGTCATCATTTTATGAGGCACAACAGAAAGCCTGGTTCACTCCTGACACTGCGGGACAGGCAAGGCCACCAAGCCAGTGTCATTAGGTGCCCCTGGACTTGGAGGGCCTCATTCTGATGTTTCTGCTCTGCACGGGGTCAGTCTGAACCATGGAAATCGCAGGGGAGATGCGAGGGCTGGGAGCATGGCCTGATTGGAAATTGAGAACCTGCTTTGAAGGCCTTTCTTTCCTTTAGTTATCTCCTTCACAAAGCCTCCTCCCGGAGTTAATTCACAGGCACTCATGGCCGGCCCTTTTGCAGGGACACTAGAAAGAATCAGCAGGGTAAATATTTCATCCGAAACCACAGAGATGCTGGCATTGCTGGTGTGAAAAGTGTAGAAAGAATACACTCAAACTATGTCCCTGCGTTTTCCCAGTGGTATGTCTTGACCACATGTAGCCAGCTGGACCCTCCAATCCAGGAGCACCTTAGAAAGTCAGATGCATCTAACAGACTGGGGGAGAGCTCTGGAGAGGGTGCTATGTGGGTTTAAGCTGGAACGTGATGTCCTGTAAGTCACCAAAACTGCCTCAGCTTTAGTATTCTCTGTGTAATGACTATGAAAATAGAATCTACCTCAAATAGTTAATCACTCTACAGACTTGGAGAGTCCACAGGCAACGAGGCTTCAGGGAGATCACTGAGAAAGCAGCAATGTCCAAGAGGCGGCCGCCAGCAGACCCTGTGCTAAAGCCACCTCTCCTGTGGCAGCTAGGAGACCAGACTCTCTCGGTATTCCTGCCACTGCTCCGACAACGTCTTGATCTTTCCTACTGACCCTCTCTCCCTTCTTTGCTCTTCTGGCCCTCCTTGGGGCTCAGCCCCGCTTCTCTTTCTCTTCCCCCTGCACTCTCTTCCTGGAAGGACTCATCCTTCCTTGCAGATTTCATGCCTCTCTTCTGCTGATGATTCAAACAGGCACTTGCAACTCTCTTATCTTCTCCAGAATTTCTTCTCTGATGTTCTCTTTGACTTCTCCACTTTGACATCTAACAACCTCAAACCTCAAAACTTGCAGTTATCCTTGATTTCTCCTCTCTCTCCAGTCCACCAGAAAGACCTGTTAATTCCATCTCAAAAAGAAATCAATCCAGAATCCTTCTTCCCTTCCATCTGCACCCTGAGGAATGGGTGTCATCTCTTACCTGGATTATGCCAAACTGATCTAACAGACCTTACCCAAACGTTTTTACACGCTTCAGCTAGAAGGAACTTCTGGAAATGTAAATCAGACCATATATCCTCTTGTTTAATACCCTTCAATGGCTTTCCATTCCCCCCCCCCTTTTTTTTCCTTCAGATCGTGTCTCGCTGTATCACCCAGGCTGGAGTGCAGTGGCGCAATCTCGGCTCACTGCAACCTCTGCCTCCCAGGTTCAAGCGATTCTCCTGCCTCACCTTCTGAGCAGCTGGGACTACAAGTGTGCATCACCATGCCTGGCTAATTTTTGTATTTTTAGTAGAGACAGGGATTCATCATATTGGCCAGACTAGTCTTGAAGTTCTGACTTCAAGTGATCTGCCCACTTTGGCCTCCCAAAGTGCTGGGATTACAGGTGTGAGCAACCGTGCCTGGCCTTTCTGTTCCCGCTTGATTAAAACCCAAGCTCCCCTCAGCCACAATGCCCAGAGTGATCAGGTCATTGCCCAACCTTCAAGCTCATCTCTCAAGCTCTGCTCCAACCCACAGATCTTCTCTCCGATCTTTAAATCGGTATCCCAGCTCTTTGCTGACACCTCAGGGTCTTTGAATATACTGTTCTCAATGCCTGGAATGAATGACAACCTCTCTCTGTCACACACACACACACACACACGCATACACCTGGCTTTGCCTGGCCAACTTTTTCTCATTCTTTGATGATTTCTTACCTTCCACTCAAAAATGGCTATTCCTCTGTTATTCCCTCTGTGGGTCCCATTTTAACTTCTTAGCAGTTATTAAAAATTATGTGTGTTTGACTTCTTCCTCTTTTTTTTTCTGGTCTGACTCTCCCACCGAATTGAAAACTCTAACCAGTCAGAAACCATATCTGTCTTGTTCACAGCTTAGTCCCCTTCACGGACTACAGTGACCAGCCCAGAGAAGAGAAGAGGTTCAGCACATATTTCTTGAATGCGTACATAAGAAAATATACAGAGACATAAACTTGCTAACATTTGGCCTAGTTGTTAGGTACATAAGTAAACATTCATTTTTACTCCTGTTTAAAATAGGTTTCTTGTATCTGGGCAGTTTGTCAGCTCTCAGGTGGGTCCATTAGGGATGTTGAAGTTTTGCTGTCAGGAAATCTGATTTTACCGTTTGGGTGGGGATTTCTCAGAGATTCTTGAACTCTTTGGCAAAGCTGGTGGTGATGCAGTGTATTAGTCCATTCTTGCACTGCTATAAAGGAATACCTGAGACTGGGTAATTTATAAAGAAAAGAGGTTTATTTGGCTCACAGTTCTGCAGACTGTACAGGAAGCATGGCTGGGGAGGCCTCAAGAAACTTAGTCATGGTGGAAGGTGAAGGGGAAGCAGGCACATGCTTCTTACATGGCCAGGGCAGGAGGAAAGGAGGGAGGTGGGAGGTGCCACACACATTTAAACAACCAGATCTCGTGAGCACTCACTCTTGTCATGACAAGACCAAGGAAGATGGTGTTAAACCACTAGAAACCACCCCCATGATCCAATCACTCCCACCAGGTCCCACCTCCATCACTGGGGATTACAATTTGTATTAGTCTGTTTTCAAGCTACAGATAAAGACATACCCAAGACTGGGTAATTTATAAAGAAAAAGAGGTTTAAAGGACTCACAGTTCCACATGGCTGGGGAGGCCTCACAAACATGGTGGAAGGTGGAAAGCACGTCTGCATGGCAGCAGGCAAGAGTAGAAGTGCCAGCAGGGGAAATGCCAGAAGCTTATAAAACCATCAGATCTTGTGAGAACTCACTCACTATAAAGAGAACAGTATGGGGGAAACAGCCCCCATGATACAATTATCTCCACCTGGCTCCACCAGATTATTACAATTTGAGGTGAAATTTGGGTGGGGACACAGCCAAACCATGTCACTATTTGACATGAGATTTGGGTGGGGACACAGATCCAACCATATCATGTGTGCAAAGTATGGCCTATAGAGTGAGCACTTGGACTCACCTTTCTGCAGAGTCTGATTATGTTCAGTCTTTGCTCCTACCCTGTTTGACACAAGGGTGTGTGTGTGTGTGTGTGTGTGTGTGTGTTTGTATGTGTTTATCCTCTTCAATAGATATCAATGATTTCATAAAGCCCCATCTATACCTCCTTTGAAAAAGCCACAGATAACTTGTCTAAGGGATTTGTTCACAAATGATAGTGACAGGCTGGTCACTTTGCCTATTCGTGGAGAAACAATTGTTGTTTTCTTGTCTCTGGAGACCTGCAGATCTGGTTATTTTTGAAGATAAACCAGGCAGAAGGAAGGAAAACCCACATGATGGTAATCCTTCAACAGCCATGGCAGTGTGCAGTTTCAGCACCCAGGCTCTCTTTACAAAAACGACTGAGTGTCAGAGCACACACCTTTCCGAGAGACGTTGTTTGACTATTTCACCTAAGAGCTGTCACAAAGAAGCCATCTCTGATGTTGGGAAATGCTGTTGACACCCCTGGTTCTACATGGATCCCTCTCCACCCTGTCATCTCTTTGGCAGCGTGGAAATAAAAATATATGTATCATTTCATTTCCGGGGACTCTGCTGTTAAAATATATAAATGAAAGAAATTGACTTCAGGCCCCAAAATAAATATATAACACAGTAAGAACTGATAAACTAATAAATATCTATCACCGTTATATTTCATGATTTCCCAAAGATATCTGAAGAGCACTTAATTGTTACTGAGTAATCAATTATTCAATTAACCTTCTTCTCATTGAATATATATTTGATACAACTTTTTGAAGCTTCAGCTTTAAAAGGTTCCTATCGATTGCAAGTTTCAAGGCCATATGGCCTGAGTATTGGATTTGTGCCGTCATGATTGACAGTAGCGGCTAGTAATCACATGCAACTATTTCAGATGGTGTGAGTTTCAGTGAGGAGGTCACAATGGTGATGTTCATTTTATAGATAAATATATTTATGTGCATGTGTGTACATATACATACACAAAATCTCTGCCTCATACATGCTCCGCAGCAGCCTTCTGCATTTACACATGGCGCCTGTTTCGTTTTGTGCAAACATTGACCAAATACAGGCCCCACTCCAGACGTGAGCCCAGTGTTCCGAAGAGTAACTGCATCATCTCAGAGGCCACCCGATGATTCCGTGATCGGAATTTTGGAAGTCTTCTATTTAAACAAGATAAGAGACCAGCAATGCTCTCAAATTCAAAAATTAAATTGCATGAGGCTTGGAGTTGCAAGTTGAAAAAAAATCATTTCAATTCAAAGGAAATCTTTTCTGCTCTGCTTTGCTCTGGTTTACTTCTCTAGACTCTTCTTAGGCAACCTTGGGTGTGTAAGAGACTACATTGACTGACTCTCTTAATTTAATCTTTCTTCTGATGACAGATTTTTGGGTGAGTGTGCAGAATTGAATAGTGGTCATGATATCCTTGTGTGATATAAGTCAGCAGATGCAATGCAATGTTCAAGAACTCTTTGTGGTGTCCTGCAAAGGAAAAGGCTGGTATAATGGATTTGTAACACATCCCTAGAAATATGTAGTCCTGTGAACACTGTGTTATTAATATAAATAGGTGCAAGCTTTTGGGGGGGCCAAATAAAAAATAAGTATCAAATAGGTATAAAATGTGTGTTCCCTCTCACCCAGCAATTCTACTTATTGGAAGTTTTTCCAAAGAAAATTATCTGACATGTCGGGGAAAGACTTTCGCATAAGGATATTAATCAACACATCCTTTATAATGAGGGGAAACTTAGAAAACAACTGACAAGCCCAAGAATAGGGGTGAAGCTAAATTAGGCACTTCCACATGAAGAAACACCATGTAGCTATAAAATTATATTGCAGAGGAATAATTAATGACAGGGAGAAATATTGACCTTACCTATAACATTTAGTGAAAGGCTGTATTTGAAGCATACATTGTATAAAAACATTAGATAGTTATGGCTGGAAAAAATATTTGGAGTGAATTTACATTCAGAATGGCCAGTGGTTTTTTTCTAGATATGGAGATGGTGGGAGATCATTCTTTGTTCTTTGTGCTTTTCGTTATTTTCCAAATATTCTATGTGTTTGAATAACCATCCCCTGACGACCTTGAAATTAACATAACTTAATAGCTCAAAGCTTAAATTATTTGATGCACCCAACTTTCCCAAAAATAGCACGTGATTGTGGAGTCCCTCCGATGCCATCTCCTGCCCTGTCCTCTCTTAATTCTGCCTCCCGGCTCCCGGATGGAGACAATGCTGAGCTGTGGGTGCTGGGATGGGCCCCCCAGAAGACGGTCATAATCAAGATATTAGCAAAGACTTTCTGTCCTGAAAAATGCCGTAAACAGACTCGGTTTGACCTCCTTAATGCAGGAGCACTTTAGTAATCTGTGCCTAATGATTTTTTACATTAAGTCCCAGCTTGTGTTGGGCCCTTGTGAGGCACAGTAATTTAAGAACAGTCATTTTGCACATTCCGATCTCATTATGTTACATTGTTACTGAATAAAGACTGGTATTATGTTGCTCCCATAAAGGGCAGAAGTGGCCTGAATTTTATCTGCTGAACGAATCAATCTGGATTATGTCAGTTGAAAAGAATTGTGGACTGCAGTCTCTCCCGCAGATGGGGGGGGATAGTTTTTTGTTTTTTGATTTTTTTTTTAATGTATCTGGTTGTTCTGAATACATGAACTACGATAATACCTGGTGGTGACTGAGTAGTAGTTTTTCTCTCTTATTTTTCAATGAAGAGTGTACCAATTATCATTTCAACATAACGTATTAGGAGATCAATTGGAAACTGAAAGCCATTTCCCCATGTTAATGCTGTGTTGTGTTTAAGCTGCCCTGACGGCCGGTCGGGGCTGTGGGAAAAGGCTGAGCAAATAATGAGGAAAGAGCTTAGAAAATAGACAAGGGTGGGGCTTGGCAGGGGATGTGAACTATTCATCAACAACTCAACGAGGATGATGGAAATAATAAGTCCTCCTTAAAGAAAAAAGGGAAAATTTTTTCTCTTTCTCTCTTTCTTTCTTTTTCTTTTTCGTTTCTTTTTTTTTTTTTTTTTTTTTTTTAAGAAATAGTTTCCCCTTTGGGGAGGAAGAAAAGCACATTTAACCCTAACTTTGTCCTGCTTCTCCATGAGCTGATTTCAAACTTCCTGAAATCAGCCAATACTTCCCTTTGAAATGGATAGTGCAGGTTTAAACAGTGGGCATTCTTTAGCAATCAGTTTAAGAAAACAGTGTCTAATTTCCTGTCCATTCCTGCACATTTCTTAGCACATGGTAGTGTCATTTAATATCTAAGTACAGTAATGCTGTGCTTTAACTTAAGAAAATGCAGACAAACCCCCTGAGTGAAATAATTTGTGTGATCTTTGAACTGACCATGAATAAAATCAAGCCCTTACTATTTGCCCTTTATTTATACAGTGGAGAAAACCTTTGAAACCCGAAACTCTGCAGGATATGGTATATGCATACAGTATGTTTCTTAAAATTATATAACTCTGTTGCATTTTATAAGTTTCCCCAACTTCTCCAGCCGCCATTATACGACGCCTTCCAAATATTTACCTTAGAAATGAATACGATTTTCTAATATTATTGCATTCAGGAGTTGCTAAATTTCCATTCAGCAGACCTAATTCCACCATCTGTAAAGTTCTAGATTTTATAATACTTATAAGCTGTTTCTAATCTATTTTTACTGCCTTGTTCTGTCCTGAAATGTCAAAGAGTGCAGAATAGGTCTTGGAATTAACATGACAGTTAAGAAACTTGGCAAGGTTTTACAGCAGACTGTGACATTAACAAAATACAAAGGAGAATGGTGAAATTAACATTAATGTATGCTTGCAGACACTATAAAAATCTATATGTCCATGATCGTGGAATTAAAAAATAGGCATGTTTTTAGGATGATGCTATTAAAGACAGATCTTTACTATGAAAGGAAATTTCCATATGAAAAGCAACTTACTAAAAGTAATGCCATAATCCCCTCTCTGGAATGAACAACAGGTTTACCGTCCTAGGTCAAGTAGGCATATGGCTGTCTCTGGCTGCCAATTTTTTTTCTAGGCTTCTTTAATCTGTGATAAAACTGCTTTGAAAGCACTAATAGCATTTTTTCACAGCTGTGAAGGAGATCATATGATACATGTACCTAGAAGGGGGATCATTTGTTTAGATTCACAGATTGAAAAAATAAATCATTTAAGACTCACTTTTAATTTCATCATGGGAAGATTTCAAATAGTGCTATCTAGAGGAATTCTTGCTGAGTTTTCTCTCTCTCTCTCTCTCTCTCTCTCTCTCTCTCTCTCTCTCTCTCTCTCTCTCTCTCCCTCTCCCTCTCTCCCTCTCTCAGCAGCTGCTAGAACCAGCCTGTCCTGTCCTAGTTACTCCTTGGTGACTGTAGTTGTGTAAACTGTAATAACCCTGACCTTGGGCTGATGGACGCTGATTTAGGAACCTGCAGTCCTGGCATTTGAATCAGGCCAGGCTGCTGGAGGGCGGGGTGGATGGAGCCTGGGACTGGCTCTGCAGGCTCAGAGCAACAGGCACTGGTCAGATCCCAGACTGAGGCTCCACTCCTGCTGTCTGGGTGATCACAGGCCAGTTGCTTAACTTCTCTGAATCTCACCGGAAAATAGAGGAATCAAAAATACCCACCTACATAGGTGGGATCTGTGAAAGGCATGTATGTCTACAAAGTCCCTGGCACGTAGTACCATTTATGCGATTGTTTTTGTTTTTAATTGGATAGTGGTGAGAATCGGGGAGGGTGGGGATGGGGGAATAAAATCCTGGCCTTTGAACACACTCTGCTCCCTGTGGAGTCAGTGTGGCTGGCATCAAAGAGCGCTTTCTGCTATGAAGATCTCTGATCCCGCATGTACTCTGGACCCTTCCCGGCTGGGAGGGCTGAGGGCTGATGTCTGGGCTGCCAGCCCAGTTCTTTAGCCCGGCAACTTTTCACTTCACCACCCCAGCCTCTGTTTATCTTCCTATAAATAGGTCACAATAGTGCCTCCTAGAGGCTCCATGAGAGTAAAGCGAGTTCTTCAACAGGAAACACTTCAGGCCTGGAAAATAATATCCAGTAAAAAAATTAAAAGAAAGTTTAAAAATGCATAAGCAGTGGCCAGGCGCCGTGGCTCATGCCTGTAATCCCAGCACTTTGGGAGGGCGAGGCAGATGGATGACCTGAGGTCAGGACTTCGAAACTGGCCTGAGCAACATGGTGAAACCCTGACTCTACTAAAACTATAAAATTAGCCAGGCATGGTAGCACATGCCTGTAATCCCAGCTACTAGGGAGGCTGAAGAAGGAGAATCGCTTGAACCAGGGAGGCAGAGGTTGCAGTAAGCCAGGATGGCACCATTGCACTCTAGCCTGGGCAACAAGAGTGAAACTCCATCAAAAAATAATTAATAATAATGATAATAATAATAATAATCCATAAGCAGTAATGCGTTGTTTGAAGAGCTGTCTTGGGGGATGTTTCTATGTTGCTCCCTGCACACAGCAGACTGGGGGGATCAGTGGAGGAAGCTTAGCTCAGCTCAGTTGAGAGATCCATGGCCCTGTGGGCTGAGGAGGGCCTGCCTGGGATTGAAGTTTCACAGGAAAATCACCTTTGCTGCATTTCCTGAAAGTGGCTCCTGAAGATCCTGGTCACTCAAAGGCCATGTGACTGGCCCAGGAGGGTCTGGTGCTGGGTAAATTCTGTTTCGAAACCATCTGGAGATCCTTGCTTCTGCCAAAAAGACACCCTTTCCATGTCCATTCCAGGCTCGAGGGAACAAGCCAGGTTTCCCTTTTGCTGGACAAAGTGCTCCTAGAAAACAGGTTAAGGGGATCAGCAGCAGCGTGGAGAGATTTGGGGTTTGGGTATTTGGGGGGCCCTAGGCAGCAGGCACAGTCACTAGGGGATCAGAGGACTGAGAGGAAAGGAGGGGTCACTGTCTGGAGACATTGCACATTCTGGTGCACTGCATGGACAGGTGATTCCTGGTGTGTCTGGGATTCCTGTGGTGGCCCCTTTTGGGAGACTTTATTTGGGATCCTGGGGTCCAGGCTGGGGCCCCTGCAGCCCCAAAGGGCTCTGAGGAGGGACCCTCGATACATCTCACCTAGGTACCCATGAAGATGGGACTACACCAAGTTTGTTGCTTTAGGGTTGATCTAGACAGAAGGTGCCTATCTGCAGACATGCCACAGACATGCGTGTGCATGCTCGCTTGCTGATCACGGCTCACCTGGTCTCCCAGGAGGTTCTGAGCTTAGGCCCAGCCCTCCCAGCAGCAGGTGCACTGCCTCCCAGTCTCCCATCACTCAGGATGCTTGAGCTGCTTCTCATCTTTGATGAGGTGGCTCAGGCCCTGCTGCTGGGTTCCTTCTCACATCAGAAGCTGGCCGGGTCCGACACGTTCCCTCCTGTCCGCTCTTCTTTTCTCCCTCCCTTTCCCTGCCTCCTCCCTCCCTTCCACTCCCTCCTCTCTTTTCTCCCCTCTCCTCCCATCCTCTGCTGGGGATCCCGGCAGGCACTGGCTGCACTCACGTCCTTCCACCAGTAGATGGCGGCCTCTGCACAGAAGTGGAACCCACATTTCTATTACTGTTTAGGCTTTGAGAGGGGGCTTTCTGAGCCTCAAGGTGGGGTGTTCTAGGAACAGCTCCGGGCTCTGGGGGTAGCAGAATCCTCAGAAGCCCACACATGGGGTAAGGCGGGAGCTGGAAACCTCGCGGATCTAGTTTCCCTTGCCTCAGAGCTGGGACCCAGAAATACCTTTTAATTGCTTTATTTGTTTTCTCTGTGTGTATATATATAATATAAATATACACACAAAATATATATATTCAAAAATATATATGTAAAATATATGTATGTGTATATATGTGTGTGTGTGTATATATATATATATATGTATGTATGTATGTATGCATATTTTAAAAGACTTATTCACATTGAAAATCCAGGATATTTTACAGAGCATATCAGGCAATTTCTGGAAAAGTCAGAAGTTGTGGTAACCCTGGGCTCATGTCTCCTGGGCCACAGGGGAAGGTGCTGAGTATCGCCTGACCCTTGGGGCAGCTGTTCTCAGGCCTACCTTGGTGTAAGCTCTTGCCCTACCCAATTTTCCCAGGAATGCAAACTGTGCTGTAAGCTGGGCCCTCTTGTCTAAACTAACCTCGTTAGCATCTCGCAGTAGCACAGCACCGAGGACTAATGACTGAACACATGCTGTGTGCTGTAGACCTCCCGAGCACCAGGTACTGTCTCCATCTGAATTCATTTACACGCCTGAACAGGTGTAATTATCCCCAGCTTACAGAAGGGGAAACTGAGGCTCAGAGGAGCAATCGCCTGTCCCAGTAGCAGAACAGGGGTGACTTGCACACAGGCTTGCCTGGTGGAAAAGCTGGGTTAGTGCCTGGTTGGCCCTTGGGTGCAGGGAGGGGGCACCTGCACCCTCCCACGCTATCAGCCTCTCCCTCTGTGTGCGTTAGCTGCTTTCTGTGTCCATCCGGGAGGCCTCCCCCATGCCGAAGCTGCCTGTGAGTGGGAAGGTGGGTGGTTAGGAGACCTGAAATGCCGAAGTGTCCCCAATGGCCTGGATCAAGGTTAATTGAAGGGACTGACCATGACTGTGTATAAAACAATGTCAGAAGACTCTCTCAGCTAGAGTTTTTTCTAGCTTTTTTTTTTTTTTTAATTAATGAGAAGTGAGGTAATCTCACCTTTTCAGATTCCCAGAGTAAATGAAGACCTACCTGCTCTGGAAGCCCAGAGCATGTCAGGTTGTCTTGGATATAGAGTACATGAACAGCTCCCAGCCTATTTACTACAGTACTAGATAACAATAGCAGAGCAGTAGTGTTAGTATACACTCAGCATGTCCTGAGTGCTTGCAATGTGCTAAGAACTATGCTGTGAAGGTCAAACCCTATAAGGTATACATTGTTATTAGCCTCATTTCATCGATGGGGAAACGCAGGCTCAGAGAGGTTAAGTAACTTGTCTAAGGTCACACAGCTGGTAATTGGCAGGGCTAGATTTGAAGCCAGGTCCTCAGGGCACTATCCTTTCAAGGAATTCTATCGAAATGGCATGTAATTGGCTCTAAAATAACTGGAGTGCCCTTCAGAAGTGCTAACTGCTCCAAGTTATCTGGATTCTTCTTGGATGTTAAATGTAATATTAGAAAAAAAATTTTTAGTTCATGATGATGGTCTTGGCCACATTTTCTCTCTCTCCAGGAAATAAATTTTTGCAAAATTAAGATATTTATTTGCCCTGGAGACTCTACACCATGTAGAGATTCCACAGTGGGGGCTCCTGACCTTGAGTTTGAGGGGAGGGGGTGTGATTGACTTTCTTTTGCTTGCTAGGACAGGTCCTGCATCCCTGGGCCAATCAGGGGCCCCTTCTAGAATTTTCTGCCTAATACACTGCTAACCCTGTCCCAGGCCAGGCTACAGTTGCTTCCTGGTGTGTCTGAGTTTTTGTGTGGGGGCGCCTTCTGGGAGCTTAAAAGCTCAGGATCTTGGCGGCCAATTTGAGGGTCCCTGCAGTCCCAAAGGACACTGAGGAGGGACCCTTGTTATGCCTCTCCCAGGTACCCGTGAAGATGGAGCCACCAAAGTTTGTTACCTTAGAGTTGACCCAGATCTGTGGTGAGGGGAAGTCGGCTCCAGCCTCTGCGCTGCCTCTCTCTGCTGATGGCTCCCTGGGGGCTCGGTGTAGGTCTCCTCTATAAGGCGGGTCATATTTGCCACACCCACTTCGAGGCCATGTGAAGGGGCCGCGTGGGAGGTGCCCAGTTCTTGGCTGGTGGAAAAGTCGTTTGTTGCTGTGATCACAGGAGCTCCCAACTCATTCCACCTTCTCTAAGCCAGCTCCGATTCCTGAGGACCACCTGTGTGCCCAAGCCTGGTTGGGGCGTTTCTGGTTAATTAGGAAAGGGATCCCATACCCCAAATGCCCAGAAGAAGGAGCCAGAGGTTTAGAAGGGCCAGGCCACGGAGGAGCAGCTCAGCGAGGGTGGTCTCTGAGTGGGCAGCGGGGGCAAGGGTTGTCGGGGGACCCCCTCACACGCCTGGGTGCATTGTGCTCATGGTGGCCCCTGCCCCTGGAACTATGAATGTGGCAGTCCTGGAGGCTTCCTAGAGCCCAGCTAGATCATTCCTGGAGGGAAGGGGACAGCAGGAGCAATTGTCCCAATGCCACAGTGGGGCGATGCACAGGCGGCTGGCGCTCCCTGTCTGTTTTTGGAGAGGAAATGACACGACCTGCAGCTGGGTAGACTGCCTCTTGTCTGGTCGGGTCTCCTCCATTTCTGTTCCTCACGCGCTTCCCTAAACTGGGCATCTGGCAGGCTCAGCCGGGCAGACGTGTTCCAAGGACCACTGGCATTTGTGATGGCTGAGTCCTGTGCCTGCGGGAGGGGCGGCCCCCATCCCTCACACACTCCCTTTAGGCGGTGCCTGGCCGTGGTCAGCTTCCCCGGGGACTCAGCCTCGGTGTCCAGCCTGATGAAGAAAGAAGGGACAGGCTCCTGGAGAGTAGGGGACTGCCAGGCCACTTCCGCAGGCAGGCGGAGGGGTCCCTTGGCCTCCCTGTCCTCAGCCCCGGAGAATCCCACTCTCCTGCTGCGGGGACCTGAACTTCGGGAATCCCGAGATGGCCGCAAGAGGGCGCCCGATCCTCGCAGAAGGACAAGGCTCCACTTTCCCTAAAACCTGAAAGAAGCTTGCAGGGGGGCTGCGTGGGGTAGAGGGCACCAACTGACAAACACCCAATTTTGCTGTCTCTCAGGGTGTTCGGAGCAAGTATGGAAATAAAAACTGTTCCTATTGTTGGAAAAAATTAAAGGAGAAAAGACCTCAGGTTAACCGCTTTGTTCAATGACGTATTCATTGTGGCAATGTGCACGAATAGAGCGTCTGCTGAGTGCTAGGCTGGAGGAGTTCTATGAACTAGGGCGGACTGGATTGTTCCTGCTTCTACAGGAGGGAAGAGAACGAAGTGGGCAAAAGAGCTGAGCCCAGAGTCACACAGACTCACGCCTGCATCTGCCTCTCTCCAAAGCAGCTTTTCCCTTTCCCCTCATCCTGCCCAGGTGGGAGAGGGCGGGCCCGGGACTCACGGGCTTCTTAGCCTCTGGCGCAGCATGGCGTCTTGTGGCTAGGTGCCAGAAGCTGGCGGAAGGAGGGGTACGTGGGAGGCTTAGTGCAATGGGGGAACGAATTCCTGAGGCTCCTCTCTCCTCCCCATCCCGCCCATCCCTAGGGCCCAGCCTCAGGCTTCCTCTGAGACTCCTCCCCTCCTGCGCCGCTTCTCATTCGCTTAGTGCACTGGGATCAGCATGCCTGAGTTCGAATCCCGTCTTTTGCCCTCATTCGCTGAGTGGCCTTGGAAAACTGTGGCATTCATTTGGGCTGGGTGTTCTGCCTGTGAAATCCGTGGTCACGATGACTGCACCTGTGTAGGACGATCCTATAGATCAGATGAGAAAATCCATGCCAGGAAGGCTGTCTGTGGGATGCCCGGCCCATGGCAAGCACCTACTCAACACGGGCTGTTAATATAGTCCTTGTCATCGTTGTCTTCTCGGCCTTGCCAGGTTGGACACTGAGCTCCCCCGCAGACGGGTCTCGGGGAATGAACTGTTCACTACGAAGTCCAAAGAGAGTTTCATTTGGTTTTGTTGGGGGAGGCATTTCCCAGGCTCTTCCTCGTGGAGTCTGAGAACAGAGACAGAGGCCTTCCTTCCCCAGAGACGCCTTTCCGGACTGGCCCCTTGGTGCCTCTGTTGCCCACGCCCTTCAGGCAGGTTCTGAAGGCAGGAGCCATTCCCGGGTCCATCCCTTCAGCCCGGGAGCCTGGCTCTCTGCTGTATCCCTGCCAGGCTGTAACAGCGAGAGCACAGAGAAGGTACTCTGTCCACTCTATCAAATGGATGAATGATTGCCCATTTCATGGCCAAGAACATTCTGCTGCTCTATCCAGGCTCCTCTCCCCACCCCATTCTGCCCATCCCTAGGGCCCAGCCTCAGGCTTCCCCTGAGACTCCTCCCCTCCCCTTCTCTTTCTCATTCAATCATTCTTTCATTTTCCCGTTCACTCAATGCACGCACGTGCTTCTGCATGTGAGGCTCACCACAAGCCCTAGAGGAACAAGGATGAATGCATCATTATCCTATCTGCCAGAGGATCGCCATGGTGCAGGCCCACAGGTACCTAGGGGGTATAACTCAGCATGGGTGTTGCCCTTAGGCAAATCATCAATGACCCATGTTCAGGCTTGACATTGGGGAAGGGGTCATGTGTCCAGTCTGAAATCTGGAGGAAATTGTTAGGTGCCCGTGACATAGTTGGGGGCTTCCCAGCCAAAGGAGTAGCATGTGATGATCACTGGAAAGGTTGGCCCAGCCGGGGAGCTGAAGGGTCTGTCCTAGAGCAAATGCAGAGGGTGTGGAAGCAGTGACCAGGGACAGGCCTGGAGAGAGACTGTGGCCAGGTCACGGAGGCCTTGTCAACTCAGCAGAGATGATGGCGGCTTCATCCAAGTGACTCTGGGGCTTCAGGGGTGCAGAGCAGGAAGAACTGAGGGAGAAGGAGAAGGGGAAGCGGGGCAGGGGTGGAGGCCCCAGGTGCTGAGAGGGCACAGCCTCACTGGAGGGAGGTGGCTCTTCCTCAGTGACCAGAGGTGAGGAGGAGGCGGGCAGTCTGCAGTGACATGGGGATATGTCTAACTAGTGTTTATAGCACCTGCGCTATCTCAGGAAGCACTAGGTATAAATAGATACTCAGCAGACATTTGTTCAGTGACGAACAAACAGCCTCAACTTGGGTGGTTGCAATTTCAAAATGCATTCTTCCGACCCTGGGAGGCTGCCAAGATCCTTGCTTGGCAAGATCCCTGAGAATGTCCTTCTAGTCCTGGTACAGCTGGAAGGATCTCTGGGAGGGTCTGTGGCCATTGGACTTGAGGCATCAAGACAGGCCCATCATCTACCCAGGAGTTCTTTTCTCAGTAGGACTTTACGGAGCGTGGTCACCGCCCTGGGACCCGGCCCACTCAGCCAAGGCTATGTCACTCACTGGGGCCGTCCAGGCCTTCACTTGGGTCACCCGATTCCCATCTCAACGTTTCTTTTTCCTTGCTATAATATTTTATTCAAAACAAGATAGATTACTTGGCCAGAGAAACTGAACCCAGACAGACAGAAAATAGCTTCCCCTTTTATTCTGCAATTCAGAACTTCTTACAAATGATCTGCCAGTTGGGGTGCCCCATCCCCTGGAGGAGTCTGTGTGTGCAGAGGGGCCATAATTGTGCTGATGTTATAGAGACTTAAGTGACCACCCCAGGGCTGCCGTTGCTCAGGTGTGTTTCTGGCATTCCCAAGTTGGTACCCTTACATGCAATATTTTACATTAGAATGCATGCGTTTGAAATAGCGAATTGGTGAACATGTAAACCAGATGCTAAGAGGGCTTTGAGAGCTAGCCTGGGCACCCAATTACAAAAGGGGCATTATTTCCACAGCAAAGCATATTTCAGGGTCCATACAGCAAACAAGGTCAAATCTGAAAGATGGGGTCTGCAAACCTCCATCTTCTTTGTAGTGATGTTTTAATCCCATTCCTCTCCAATCCTAGCTCAAGAATCTGTTAGTAAGAGCATGGGGGAGAATGATGAGAAGCCTGGTTTAAAAAACAAACACATCAAATTCTCTGCTACCACTTATGAGTTCTGTGACTTTAGTCCTTTGCTTGGAATCTTCCAGAATCATACCCTAAGATAAGGATTTAGGCACAGGCAGTTTTTTGGGAGGAGGGAGAGAAGATCCCAGGAAGTACAAGGAGGGAGTGGGGGGAGCAGATGTAGGCGTGTTTTGAAGCAGGTGATCCCTGTGGGAAATGGAGTCTTATTCCTGCTGGGACCCTCCGAGGAACTATGTGGACAACCTCAAGAAAGCTGCGGTGTTTATAAGCCAGCCCCTATCCTGTCTTGGTTGAGTGTATTCCTGGGGTGTTCACCCTTTGGCCCTTTAATCCAATAAGAGCCCATGACTGGAGAACCCCCTTGGCCAGAAAGCCCCATATGCTTTGGCATATGTGGAAACAGCCTGCAGGAGATGGCCCAGGGGAATGGGTGAGGACTCCAGTGCCCCTGTCACATGAGAATCGAGCCTCTCCGAGCCTCCGTTTCCTCATCTGCACTGTCAGCTGTTCCAGCCCGCCTAGGACCCTTCCAGGGTGATCTGTATGATCTGTGTGACCTATGAGACATGAAATAGTGACAGATCTGAGCAGAAGCCAAGCACAGCGCCTGGCCCTTCAGGGGCACACATGACATCACTGTTGTTTCATCACTTTTCTGCTTGGTCTTCCTCTGCCTAGATTCCAATATGAATTTTTTCAGTTCATCTTCAAATCTCTGCTCTCCTCTCCCTGGGGGAAATCTTCATTGCTCCACGCTGGGGTCCTGAACCCACTGAAAACATTCTCTCTGTGTCTGAGAAGCTGACTCAGATTTTCCTTTTGTAGACGGGTCTCCCGCCCTGTGCCTGCCACGGGACTGGCACATACATCGCCCGCACAGCACCATGGCCCTGGCCACCCAGGCACATCTTAAATAAAAGCAATAGTAAAAGAGTCAAGCCAACCAGCCACAGCCACCCTTTTCTCCTCCTGTGGCTGAAGCCTGCAGTGCCCCTAAGCCTGCTATCTCGTCACCTCTTCCTGCCTCTGGGGCACACATCCCAACCTAACTCTCACATGCGTGCCCACCACCCCAAACCGTGCACGGACGCACGTCCCGATGTCAGGTTCCCCATGTTTATAGGTAAAATATTACTGGTGACCGACACACAGCCTTTTTCTCCTACGTTGTCATTTTATGTTAATTGAATGCTAGTGTTAATCTAATAGAGTTTAGATTTATGTTGGGTTCTGTAGCGAGTCATATTTTAATCAATACACATTCCAACATTTAGATGGACAGATGAGAAAAGCAGCTTCATCTCCGCACTTGGGTTCCATCAGCTGTCAATAATTCCCCATTTGAATCCTTCAGATGGTCAGATTTATGGGTTTGAGTATATTGCATTCATCACAGAAATTAACTTTTGGTGGAACTGATGTGAAAGCTCACATCACATCTCCAAGAGGCAGATATTGTGTTTCAGAGCTGAGGCACTCGGAAATATTATCTGAGAGGAGCAGGTTGGCGGGGTGACAGCAGGAGATGGGATAGGGGCCTGGGTGGAGAAGGCTTTCAGGGCACAGTGCTCCTTAAGGCACGTAGGCATCACTCTGTGTCCCGTAAGCAGAGCTAGGGCTGGTTCTGGGCATCCTGTGCCATGCACCCTGTGCCCAGGCTGCCCGGGGATGGAGAGGGAGTGGTTGCATAGAGTCAGGTGAAAGAGGATGCTGTTCCTGCCAGGTAAAAGACTGAAAGACTCTTCTCTTGTGGACCTTGGCTGGTCCTACTCTCAGGTTAATTTCTCAGGAAGCAGAGCCAGAGTTAAGAAATCAGGGCATCCAGGTTTACTTGACATGTGACTGATGGAGTATTGGGAAGGGAAGGAAACCAATGGAGTGTATGCCCTCAATCCAGGTGGGCAGTTGGAGTTTTGGGGAGCTCTGGGACCTGAAGAGCACTCCTCAGAGTGACCCCACCTGAGAGGTGAGGAAGCTGCCTTTGTCTGGTAAATTGCTGCCCATCGTGGGTGGAGGCCAGCTTGAGCTCTAAATATGAACTCGGAGGCACTTTCAGCTTGTCCAGCTTGCCTCTGTAGCTGGGATGTCAATAAAAGCCTCCTGTATAGTGTGTTCTTGGTTGGTATTCGAGGTAGGCAGCTTTTTGCATTTAGAGATGGGAGTCAAGTAGACAGGGCAGGACATGCTCAGAGATGGTCCTTCCAGCCATCCCCCTGTGGTCAGGGAGAATGACACCCTGCTGCTTGAACAGGTCACGTGGGCATCGGGCTGGGCTCCACTGCTTACCTGCCCGCCTTGTCAAAATCCCTTCCCCCTGAGAAACTCCTGCAGCTGAAGGTGGCTGAGAGGCTCTGTTTCCACAACTCCCAAGAGACACAGATAACAGTGCAGTGCTCCACGAGGCTCAGTTTCTCTCTCTGGCCTCATGTTCTCTGGCTTTCATTCCTGTAGCTATCTATAGGACAGTGCTTATTGATCTTGGAATCCGTTTGCCGCACCTCTAAGGAACTGGATATGCCATTTAGGCTTTGGGGGCCATTAGACACTTCCACAGAGATTTGTATCAGAAGTAGCAACCACTCGTCTCTGTTTCTGCCATGTAAACAGGCAAATGGATTTGCCCTTGAGTTTGCTGATGCAAGCGTTCAAAGTGCAATGAGCCCAGAGCTTCTACCTGATGGACCCCTCAAAGGTGTCCGTTGCTCTATGGCCAGTGAGCAGAGACAGGTGAGAAAGGACGCTGTTCCTAACAGGTGAAAGACTGAAAGACTCTTCTCCTGTGGACCTCGGCTGGTCCTACTCTCAGGGCAACTTTTCAGGAAGCAGAACCAGAGTTTAGAAATCAGGTCATTCAGGTTTATTTGAGATGTAACCCATGGCTTATCACGAAAGGAAGGAAACCAAGAAAGTGTGGATTGGAGAAGGAGCTGGGAAGGCTCACAGCTGCATGCCTTGAAATCTCATCTTGAGATGTCTGTTTCTGCTTTATTTCCAGAGGCAAAGGTAATGAGTGCGCCCACTCTGATTTCTCTGTCTCCTGGCGCCCAGAAAAAAGAGGAGACATTCCTTGACTTTCCAGTCTAGCTATTCTTTCTTCAGAGGAGACAAAAAGATGGCTATAGAGATGACAGCCCTCTCAGTTTCTCTCCATGAAATGAGTGATCAAGAGTGAGGTCTCATGGAAATGCACTCTTGCTTTTTTATTTTTTATTTTTGACACAGGGTCTCACTCTGTTGCCTAGGCTGGAGTGCAGTTGTGTGATCATAGCTCACTGCAGCCTCGACCTCCTAGGCTCAAGTGATCCTCCCACTTCAGCCTCTTACATAGCAGGGACTATAGGCATGAGCCACTACATCAGGCTAATTTTTTAATTTTTTTTAATAGAGATGGGGTCTCTCTGTGTTGCCCAGGCTGGTCTTGAACTCCCGGGGTCAAGAGATCCTCCCTTCTCCCAAAGTATTGGGATTACAGGTGTGAGCCACATGTGCTGGGCCAGAAATGCACTTTTGTTTTTAAACTTCAAACACTTTGGGAAATTCATTGACTCTTCATGTCTTTGCATGCAGTTTATTCTGGGTGCTCATGGGAAATGATTTCCTTGCCTCTACTGTGAGCAAGATGAACATGAACCTTTGTGCATAAAACCTGAACTGTGCCCATTGAGAGTCTATGGCCATCTGTGAATGTGTAAAGAAGATGGCTTTCACTCTGTGAGCCCCTTGTCAACATTGTAGGACAGGAAGTCACATGCCTCCATCATAGGTCTGCCTCGTGATCACAGCATTATTTGAGAACATATCTGTATTTGCAAAAATCCATTATAACTCCCTTGTTGTTGGGGATGCAGTTAATAAGTGAAGGTAACACAAAATATGATTTCAAATCAGTTTAATAAAATTATTCATGTAGATTTTAAATCATTTTTACAGTTGATTTAACATTTGTGACTGGTTTATAGATTATGATATAGGATGGTGTTTGCATCTTTGCAATTTTATTCCAATTTAGAAACAGTACAAATATTAATTTTTGCTTCAATAATGGAGCCTTAGAGAATTAAACTTGTCTTTTCTCCACACACATTTTATGAAAATGATTTTAATATGATTTTAAATATATCTTTTGAGGAACTTCTTGCAGGGAAGCCCTTTGAACAGGGACTTAAATGGGAGTATCTTCTCAAAAGTTTCTTTTGAGACAAGGGTGGACATTTTATTTATTTTTTATGGAAATGGAGTCTTGCTATGTTGCCCAGCCTGGTCTCAAACTCCTGGCCTCATGTGATCCTCCCACCTCGGCCTCCCAAAGTGCTGGGATAATAGTTGTGAGCCGACACACCCAGTCAAATATTGAGTTTTTAAGATATTTTGCTTGTGAAAGAAATGGCGTGATGCCTTTTCTACAATTGAAGAAAGTTCTGAAGCTTCTAGATGTGGCTTCTTAACAATTATGAGCCCAAATTAATGTATACCTTGGCTCATACCTGCTGGGCTGCCGCAATCTCCCTGGGGCCAGGCCAGCTGGATCTGTGCTGAAACCAGACACCTGGCTGGTGCTCGGGAGAGGTTTTGGCTTCACAATCCCAGCCTCTGATGGTTTTCTTGGTTACCTCAGGATTACCTGCTTCTCGGTTTCTTATTGGTGTTATACTTAAGATCTCAACAGCCAGGTGACCATGTGCAGGCATTGGAGTTGGCCCTATCAATTTGGCCTCTGAAAGGTGCCCTCCTGGCTATTGATGCATCTGCAGAGGGCAGCACAGTGACAAGGACAGGGCCCTGGCCACCCTTGGCCATCCACCTGGGGCTGTGGCCAAGGCACTTTCCAGCTCAGCACAGTGTGCCTTGGCGAGGACATTCACTGCTCTCCATGCAGGATCCTGGCCCTCAGGCCCAGAGCAAAATGTCCCCCGGGGACACAGGAAAAGCTGGCGGCAGGCTGACCTCTTGGGTCCTGTCTAGCTCTGACCCCTGCATGCTGCAGATACAGATAACTGCACTGTTTTTGTGAATTATATGTAATTGTAGAGACTGGGATAACCAATGACTTTGATCTTTTGCGATTTTTGTCTTTCCTGGCATCAAGAAACCACTTAAAAGCCTCCTAAGACCCTGAGCTCATAAAGCCCAAGTGAGGGGTGCTGCACGTGGCCTGCCCCCTCTGATTTGGGGGGACTTGGTGATCCCTGAATGGGAGTCTCTGCCCAGGAAAGGAAGGGCTGTTAGAGAGGGGATGGGGTGAACGGGAGGCACCCTGATGGGCACAGGTAGCCCCCAGCTATCACCCTGAGCCACCGAACTTCCTTCCTTGGGAGGAGAAGAGGCAGGGTTTAGAGACTTCTTCTGGCCACGGTTGAGAATGTCAAAAGCTTGAGTGTTCGGTGACAGTTTATATTTAAAAGCAAACTATTTCAAGAGGATTTGGGATGAGAAATTAGACTGCAAAGGGTCCATGAAAAAGCAGCATCAAGAAACAATCAACAACTTGCAAGAGAAGCAAGGGGGTGCTGTCTTCAGGGACCGGAGAAGCCTCCATGGTACCACAGCTTTCCTCTTCAAAAGGCTGGGCCGGGTTATGGCCGCTGGCTGGGAGATGCTCAGGATGCGGGACAGGTTAGGGGCACTGTGTGCAGGGGGATTGCTCAGGGTCCTCAGCAGGGGTCGGAGAGGCTCACGGCCTTTCTGGTCTCCCTTCTGAGCCTGGATATCGGTGAGAGGCTCCAGGAGCCGAGTGCAGAGCCGATCCAGCCCAGCCTGTGACTCTGGCCACAGGCAGAGACCTGCACAAGCTCTGGCTTCCCTCCCTCCCCATCGCCCACTGTCCTTCTTCACCATCTTCTCTCAGGAAGCAGTTACCTGTCCCAGCTCAGTTTTCCCTTCTGCTCACAGCATCTTGACAGACATGGTGGGAACCCAAGACAAGAGAAGGCATGATATTGCTCTTGAAACTGCAGATCCCAGGCAGATCCTGGCACTGGACTCCTAGAGCCAAGCAGGGAGCCTTGGGAGAAATCAGACTATGTCTGGAGCTTCCTTTAGAATTCCTCGGAGCTCCTTGGTACCCACCCCCAAGCCCCCCCACACACACCTATACCCTTACTGTTTAGGCTTAACTTTTGCTTTTTGCCCTCTGGAAATAGGTCAGTTAAATCTTCATTCAAAATAAAGAGATTAAGGAGGCTGAGACAGAAGGGTCGCTTGAGGTCAGGAGGTTGAGACTGCCTTGAGCCAAGATAGTTCACTCCAGCCTGGGTGACAGAGTGAGACTCCATCCTAAAAAGAAATGAATAAAATAAAATAAAAGAGTAGCACGTTGTTACATAGATGACAAGTCCCCAGTGAATAGCTGCAGGATCCCTGCAGCCCCCTTCAACACCGAGCCAGCCGAGACATGAGTAGATTCTCTCAGTGGCAACAGGTGATTTTTCTTCTGTGCAGAAGACAGGGGTGAACGGGCTGCCCATCCTTAAATTCTGAGGCCACACAGCTGCATGGAGGTCGGTTCAATACAGGCTCAGGACTTCCCATATCCAGGCACCAGCCCGATTTTTTATTTTTGAAAGTTAATCCATCTGTGCGGTGGATTATCAATAGCTGCTTTCCCTTAACCACCGCTTCACAGCTATCTGGGATCAGAGAGCAATTTTGGAGCCCGCAGCTAGATGATGGAGGTGAGGCCCTGGGCCGGGAAGGAAGGGAAAGGAGACGCGGCAGCTGAGTCTTTCTTGGCTGCAGCAGAAACAAGGTGGCTGGGGGTGGCGCTCAGGAAACCCTAGGGTGTGAGGCTTTAGCTGCTGGTGCCAGGAGTAAAGCCCACCGGGCTGCCTGCCAGGGCCTGAGGGTGCAGGGCTCTGTGCAGCTGTCCCCTCCCCTCCACGAACTGCCCCCTCCCCACGACTTCTGGGAAACGTCACCTCTTTACATCCAGGAGGCAGAGCCCTTGGTGTGGGGCAGCAGGGAAGGGCCAGATCCTACTGTGGCTGCAGGACAACCCAGCAGGAAGGTCAAAGGCAGGTGCGTGTCGGCTCCCGGCAGTCTGCAGACTTGCTTGGCTGGGTCCCCCAGAGCCTCTGAGGGTCTGGAATTGGTAGTTAACATTTAAAACTCAAGGGATTTCACATAAAAACCTGTTTCTGGCTTCTCTGGAAAATTGAGAGAAATTGCAATTCTCAACCTGTTTTGCGGGGAGAGGGGGGTCAGCTCTGGGCATCCAGCCCACCTGGCCCACATCGGGAACTGGAGTTACTTGCCAGATGCACAGGTGAACGAGTTTCCTGCCACCTGGTCATCCATGCTGTCTTTACCCAGGGCCTCTGTCTCCACTGTACGCCCTGGGAAAAACCCAGGCCAGGGGAGGGAGGGAGGGGTAAGGGACACTGGACAAGGTTGGGGTGTGTGCTGTGCCCAAAGAGGGGTCAGGCTGAGTGGGAAAAAGACTCCTGGGTCTGGAGGCCGGAGATGACAATCCTGCCTCCTCTCTGTCACACCGGGGACAAGAAATGGGGAGGCAGGGGCCCCATGCACAGACCCTGCTGTTCCTTATCTGTTCTGCAACTGTCGTTTATGATTATTATTTTTATTTTATTTTATTTTATTTTATTATTATTATACTTTAAGTTTTAGGGTACATGTGCACAATGTGCAGGTTAGTTACATATGTATATATGTGCCATGTTGGTGTGCTGCACCCATTAACTCGTCATTTAGCATTAGGTATATCTCCTAAAGCTATCCCTCCCCCCTCCCCCCACCCCACAACAGTCCCCAGAATGTGATGTTCCCCTTCCTGTGTCCATGTGTTCTCATTGTTCAATTCCCACCTATGAGTGAGAATATGCGGTGTTTGGTTTTTTGTTCTTGCGATAGCTTACTGAGAATGATGATTTCCAATTTCATCCATGTCCCTACAAAGGACATGAACTCATCATTTTCTGTGGCTGCATAGTATTCCATGATGTATATGTGCCACATTTTCTTAATCCAGTCTATCATTGTTGGACATTTGGGTTGGTTCCAAGTCTTTGTTATTGTGAATAGTGCCGCAATAAACATACATGTGTATGTGTCTTTATAGCAGCATGATTTATAGTCCTTTGGGTATATACCCAGTAATGGGATGGCTGGGTCAAATGGTATTTCTAGTTCTAGATCCCTGAGGAATCGCCACACTGACTTCCACAATGGCTGAACTAGTTTACAGTCCCACCAACAGTGTAAAAGTGTTCCTATTTCTCCACATCCTCTCCAGCACCTGTTGTTTCCTGACTTTTTAATGATCACCATTCTAACTGGTGTGAGATGGTATCTCATTGTGGTTTTGATCTGCATTTCTCTGATGGCCAGTGATGGTGAGCATTTTTTCATGTCGTTATGGAACATCTGCCTGCCAGGTGTACCCTGCACCCCGCCCCTTTCTATTCCCCAACTTTCACTACAGCCCCTTTCCGACTTTCCGAACCCCAGGGGCAACCACACTTGATCTGGGATGAATGGCTCTGTATCCTCCATGGATATGGAAAGTCTGTTTTAAGGAATGAGACCCGTGGAGTGGGCAGGAGGGTCACTGCTTAGTTTGCCCTGCAGCACAGGAACCCACAAGGGTCCTGACTCCTGGGGCTTTCTGCAGACCTGAGCGCCAGGCCTGTGCAAGGTGCTGAGGAGGTGTGCTAAGTTTGAGTCAACAGGCAGCTGTGCACTCCTGCTGGAGCCAGTGTGGGAGATGTTGTGGACTGAGGGGCATCACAGGGGGCTTCCTGGAGGAGGAAGCCTGTGAGCTGGCGGGGAGTGGGGTAGGAAATAGGGGCGTGCCCAGCAGAAAGTGCAGCTTAAGAGCTCTCCGCATGAAGCGCAGGAAGTCTTTCCCTGGTGTCCCTGGCCTGCTTTAGCTGGGGCACCAGCCAAGAAGCTGGATGGAGTCCTAAGGGCCCCTCCTCCTAGCACTTAGGGCAGCTCTCTGCCCAGCAGATACTGGTGGCGTTGATCCTTTCTCTCCTATTGTCATAATTTGGATTCTAGGAAGCCACGCTGCAGACTGGTTTACCAGGCGGGAGGCTGGTGCCGAGCAGCCTCATTTGATGGGTCCTAATTACTTAGGAGCAGAAGTGGCTCCAGTCCTCCAGGTCCAGTTCCACCCTCTGGTCTCTGGGTAGCCCCCCTTCCCCAATGACATCTCCGCCACGCTGGAGAGAACAGCCCCTCTGGAATCCGCAATGGTGTCAGCCCAGCCAACGTGGGCTCCAACAGACGTTAATTGTGTCCCTGGAGGAGGCTTCCCTGAAGTTGGGGTCACTCCACTGTGTCTTCCGTAAGCGATTTGTGCATAATCGACAGTGCAAATGGGAAGGAAAAAAGGGAGGGCAGTCCCAGCTTAGCAGGGTAGGGGGACAAGAGAAAGAGGCCTGTATTGCCTTTATGGCCCAGGAAGGAGAACAACGAGGGAGGGGCTTGCGGACCACCAGGGGCCAAAAAGCTGCATCTTCAAATCTCCAAACCAAGGAGCTCACTGGGTTCTGACCCAGCCAGGCAAGGGGATGAAATCTTAATGGTATCTCTCGAACTCTGCAAGTTTTGGGTTTGCATACAGCCTGTCCTCAGTAACCCCCAAGATGAAGCTGCTGCGTGCTGAGGACTCGAGGCGAGGATGTGTTTCCCCAAGAAAGGAGGAATCTATAAGAGACATGATGAGATGTACCGTTCGAATTGGTTTCTCTCCCAGAATATACATTTGTGCTGGTCGCGCGTGCACACAGCATACAGTGTAATTCACACACACGCACACAAATGCACGACCAGCCGCATCGAGATTCTTGGTAGAGGACCAGCTCTCGGATCAAGCTGGCAGAAGGAGGCAATTCAGATACGACACCCCTTTCTTTGGAAGGGTGCCTTCCCCACCTCCATCCCCAGGGAAAATCTGCCAAATGGGCATAATATTAAGTAACGTTGGCAGGGGGCAGCTCACGGTCCCTCCTGACGCTGCTTCCTGGATCTGCAGAGATGGTGTCGTTGCTTTCCTGCCCTCCCTCTCTGCCTCCCCTCAGCCCGGAGGGGAAATGAGGGATGAAGAACGGGGTGGTGGCACCCTCTCTCCCCCAACACCCTCCATCCAGGCAGCACCTCTGGCCCCGGAGGTGCCCTCTCCCCGGGAGTGGAAAGAATCACCCGTCTCTTTTTGGCACCAGCACCCTCCTGAATGCCATGAGAAGCTGGTGACCTTCACTCTGGTCTCCATGACGACAAGATGGTATATGTTTAATTAGTTCAGGCTTATTTTAGGACCAATTTTCTTTTATTTTAGGGCAATGCGAGCTATGATAACTGTAAGCATGTTTACGAGGCGCGCGAGGCTTAGCTGAAATGTGCCAACAATTCTAGTCAAACAGATGGTGACCCCTGATTCAACTTGCCCTCTCATTCAATTATTCAGCTGTATTTAATTTTCCTCCGAGTGACTCACGCGCCGTGCCTCCGGCTGCCCTCTAGGTGGCGCGAAAGACCACCTTTATGGCTGCGAGGCAGGGTTGAAAGCCGGGTCTCGGGGAATTTTCTCAGCCTGGCCTTGGCTGGAGAAGAGGATAATGAATTTCTGCATTTGAACAATAGTTTCTGCCTAATATCAAATGATGTGAAAGGGTGGAAAAGAATTGGGTCAAATTGTATGTGATTTGACCATGAGCTCTAAGTAATCTCCTTTCTAATAAAGGAATTTGAAAGACCTTCCAGGCTTAATATCCTCCCAAATAATTTGTTTGGAGTTCAAGGAGTGTTATGGTGTTAGAGCTGTTTCTATGATTGCGGATATGTTCTGTTTGCATTTGGAAAACCTCTTCTGTTTAATTTTTAGTAGCTGCCAGCCCACCTCATCTGGGACTAGGAGGATAACCTGAGCGGATTTTTTTTTTTTCTCTTTTTCCCTCTGATGGTTTCTGCCTGCCTTCTACGCTGTCAAGGCTTAGCAGTATTTGAAAACTGGATGTCCCTGTAAAGGGGAATGAAATTGCTCACTAAATATCTTTTCAAAGACATGACCTTTCTAATGCAGGAACCAAAGAAGCGTGTGGCCACACCCATAATAACAACACATTGGATTTCTCAGAACCTTTGGGAAAGGAAACAGCCTACTCAACTATCACCCACTCCACTTCATCCCATTCTGTAACACCTTAGACAGGAGGGGCTGTACCTTAGACATGCTCAACTCACATTTCTTGTCCATCAACATAGCTAGGTTAATCAGAGCAACATGGAATCATACCTTTATTCATCAATCAGTTAAGAATTCATGCCTTTAGTATTGCTTTTTTTGATACATTAAGACAAGCTTGTAACCGATCACTCATATATTTTTCTCCAAGAATATCTCTCTTTAGAAATCTTCTTGGAAAATTATCTATCTTTCCTGTCCTGCATTTGGTCAAACCACAAGTAAAAGAACCAAGATCAACAATGACTCACATGTACACACACACACACATATATACATATATATATTTGAGATGGGGTCTCACTCTGTCACCCAGGCTCGAGTGCAATGGTACAATCTCGGCTTACTGCAACCCCTGCCTCCTGGGCTCAAGTGATCCTCCCACCTCAGCCTCCTGAGTAACTGGGACGACAGATGCATGCCACAATGCCTGGCTAATTTTTTTGTGTTTCTGGTGGAGATGGGGTTTCACTATGTTGCCCAGGCTGGCCTCCAACTCCTGAGCTCAAGTGATCCGCCCGCCTTGGCCTCCCAAAGTGCTGGGATTACAGGTTTGAGCCACCGCGTCTTGGCCTCACAAAAATCTTAATGCATAAACTGCTTCTAAAGACAACACGTCAACTTTCCATGGATTCACGGTCCAGGTTTTGGTAAGGAAGTTCACTTTACCTGAAAACTCTTAGTTCTCATTTTTGCTTAAGGGCAAAATCATGGCAATAGAAAGGTTAAAACCATGTGCACCGATTTGATTCCTGGAACTCCATTTTTACAGGCTTGGCTTTGGTTTGCTTTCCTGCTTTATCTTATCCACCGATGGCTTGGTTCGGTCATTCTGTGTTAGAGGTTCTGCATGTAAACCAGGGAATCTTTGGTTCAGGCAAGGGAGGGGGCTGTTGCTTCACAGCATGACTTTATAGGGGCTGATTGACGCAGGGGGCGGGACATGGGCAGCGGTCGGGACCTGATCCCGGGCTGAACAGCCAAGGGCCCTTACCAAGCCTCCGAGGGCAGATGCAGTTGCACCCTATTTATGTCTGGGACACTCAAACTTAGCCTACTGGGGCCACTTATGTTTTCAGTGCGTCTTCCAGGGGGTTATGTGGGAGGGGGTTGTCTCAATTACAGCTACTCAGGCCACGCAAGTGAATTGTACTTAATACCTCTGCCCTCTGATTAGCCTACCAGATTGGACTCAACAGCTTCCTCAGATGATCAGAGCCCCCTTATCCTTTTGGATAACTTTGTGTTGGTGGGGGGAGGGGTCTTTATCAAATCCTTTGGAAGAATTGGGTAAAACACCAAAGGGGTTTGGGTGTGTCCCATCTGAGCCCTTGGGGTCTCTGGATTTTCTGCTCTGAGGGTGCGACTGCACCCCTGTCTCCCATGCTTCATCTTCCACAGGGATGCAATGACAGTGAGTAGGGGGCTTTAGAACAAGTCCTCGAGGTAGCCCCATCTGAGCTGATGGAGAGACTCTTTCTGGATATCTGTGGGCTCTTACAGCGGGAGTGTTTTTATTTGTAGGTGTGGGGTGTGTGTGTGTGCACAGACACATTCATAGAAACAAGCCTTCTTGATGCTTTGCAGGGAAACCAAACTCTGGTATCCCCATCCAGCTTGGCTCCTTGCAAACAGGGCCCATGGAACCCAGGGAGGTAGAGACGGAAGGGATGGATTGGGAGGAAAAAGTCAGGGCAGCTTCACCAGGGAACACACTCTGTAGCCAAGTCACGATTTTAAAAAAATAAATGCCATAAAAATCATGGCTTCTCTGGACCTCTGGCTTCAATATGGGATTTGTACATATTACATAATCTGTCACTATAGTACTGTATATTAAAGAAATGGCCCCGTGCAGAGGCAACCAGGGGGATGGGGGCACCGTCCCAGCCGCTGCCGCCGTCCTCCCCTCCATCATGGGCTGGGACGCTGTCAGCTCCACCACCTGCCCCACGGTCCTGCCACGTTGCTGAGATCCCAAGTTACTCTGCCTCCTGGAACGTCATTTGTTTTTCTTTGTTCGGAAGACAGGCTACATGAGCATTTGCGTGAGGCCATCTGTATCTCTGCAAAGAAATAATGGAGCAAGGTAGAAAATGTCTGGGTGGGGAAGACCCCAGTCTGTGGCAATGGCTGAAGATGGGGCAGGGGCCAGAGAAACTTTCTCCAGGGTGTGATGTCTGAATCCCTGTGCCCAGGAAAGGGCCTGCACAACTTCTTTGCCCCTTCCCTCTCTCACGTTCTCAGCTTCTGCATTTACTCCCCACAGCTCCTTTCCCTCCTTGCAGTCCTCATTTGCAGAGTTCTGTGAAGATCATTTTGGGAGTGTGAGCTGTCTCTAGCCAGCTCATTCTGCAGTAGCAGCGAGCACCCCCCAACTCCCAGGAATCAACCCCCAACACACACACACACTTTTTTTTTTCTTTTGCAAAGGGCCAACTCTGTTTTTTTCCTGAAGGTGGCAGTGAAAGAAAAAAAATGACTCCCTTAGAAGAGTTAGGAATTTTATTACAAACCAGATGGAGCCGCGGGCATCCCCGTTGTGTGTCCCCCACCCTGTGAGTGTGTATGTGTGTGTGCACACCCAGGGGCACTGACAATGGAAGCTGCAGCCCCCCCAAGTGGGGCTCACACAGGGCGCGGTGGCCTCCCCTGGCACCGTGGCACCGTGGCCCAGTGGCCCAGTGCCAAGTGGCTGCCGTGCTCAGCCAGCCTGCTCTTCGTCCTCCCTCTTAGTCCCTTACCAAGATAATTGAGGATATAATGGCGGGGAAGGAGCCCGCCGGCTCCCGCGGGCTGTCAGGTATCTGCGCGCGTCTTCATGTCATCCGTCAGCATTGAGCTCCTCTGTCATCTCTCCTCAGCCTTCAGCGTCGCACACTCTCATCGCCTTCATTATCTCGGCTCAGGCCAGCCCTCCCCCCACTCCCCCCATCCAGTAAATGCATCTTTGTGCAACTCTCAGTCTCCGATTATGAATCGATGATCATGTGGTATAAGAGAGATAGATGGCTTTTAGTTCCATCCTGTCTCCCCTAATTGTAAAATATTAGTTACATTACACTGTGTCTTTTGATTAATGGAACTTATTTGGAGTAGCCTATCCGATCCCTCCCCCTTCTAAAGTCCTCCACTGACTTTTGAGAATTGAGTGATTTCACTTAAAGCAGACAAATAGGCCCTTCAGCGAGGAGATAGCAAGACTGTGATACTGTGGGCAAGACAGGCTGTACAGACAGAGTTGTGTATTCCAAAGAAAGGCTTCAGCCCGGCCGGGCAGACGCGGGGCTGCAAATGCATGCCTGGGCCGGGGAACTTCCTTCCCTTCTTTATTTCATCCTCTTTTTGGCAAATCTAGCCCATCTTGCTGACTTGCAAAACAGGATGTGAAACAAAATTTAATTAAAATTAAATAAATTGCAGATTTGCTACATTCCCACATGTGGCTCATGAGAAACCAGTCAAATCTGAACTTTGATGAATTCGAGCTCTCACTCTACTGGGCTCCCTTCTTAGTGTACAGGACGGGGCATCAAAGGGGCGTTCTGCTGCCCACGTCCGACACAGGGAGAGATATTTATCTTTAAAGCTGAATTTATTTTACTTGGCACTATTTACTTAAATATGGTCCGTTGATAAAGTAAGCCCTTCCCATACAAAAGGGAAGTCGGTGGCTAAATCTCTTATTATAAATAATCACTATCAGTGTAAACTCAAGGTCACGTTCACTTTCAACCTATGAGCTCAATTAAAAAAGGTCTATTTACTGTCGATGTGTATAATATCTATATGTCAGGGAAACAGGGAGACTTCATAAACAAATCAAATTTTCAGCAAAGAAAGGCATTGCAGCTTAGGAATTTCAGCATGCATTTTGAGGGAGCACTTTCAGGCCTCCTGCTGTATAAAATACACACAAATATTTATGTCTATTTTATAGAATATGCCTAGTATTTCATTCTGACCTTTGGATTTTTTTAAAAAAAACTTTTATTTGCATGATTCTTGAACACACTGACTATTACGTATTTTCTGGGGACATGCTATTTCACTTAATGCACTGGGCAAAAGATTGATTTTATTACGTGTAGAGAAGCTGCAAATGTTTTACTTTATTTTTTAAAAAAGAGCATAACAATGTGTTTATGACTGCTAAAAAAAAAAAAAAAAGGGCAGGCAGCAAAACAAACCAAGCCTGAGTTTCAAATTCATTCTGAGGATTAAACACCCAGAAAACACGGAGATTAGAGATTGGAGGGCTGAGCCCCACCGGTTCAGTCCACCTCCCATCTCCTGCCCAGGGCTGTGCAGGGGGCCTCACAAGTGTCTGGAGAATCAACATCCACATTTGTTCTGGATTAATAACTCAGGTGCCCGGATCTCTCCTTCCCAGCACCTGAGCCTCGATTTTGGAATTTCTGTATTTCGTTTTCATGTGTGTTTTGAGTCCTTGCTTTGAGGAGAGTGTGTGCGTGAGGACTCTTTGTTCTGAGTGTCAAGGGACTTTTGTAAATGTCAGCTGAGTTTCGGCTGCTGTGTCTAATAAACCTCCTTAGGGCTTAAGATGCACTTTCTCCAAATTTTCATCAGCAGCATCACTCACTTAGTTATCTACATCCATCATATTTTGAGAGTCTTTTATAGAATATTCTTAATACAGCGTGTGAATGCATATTGACAATTGTTGGCACTTTTATATATTCCGCGATACACATTTATCTGTTATGGATCCATAATATCAAATGTGTAGTAAAAAGCTATATCAAAAGGCAGTTATCCCACATGCATAAAACACTCTCACATGGTTGCTTTAATTTTCTTACTACAGCTTTTGAAACCCCCACTTAATACTGATGGACTCCCATATTTCATTTAAGTGTGTGCCTGAGAGGAGCTGAGTTGCTTCTAAGGCGAGTGGGTAGCTCTGGCTCTTACTGGGGGAAACTCTGTGTTGGGGCTAAGCTCAGAGCATGGGAGCCTACACATCACCCTGGCTGGCCCTCCTGGTAGCGCTCTGGGCTGGAGATGTTTCACCTCCTGGGGACTGGCTGCAGAGAGGGTGGTCTGAGCCTCCAGGGACCTGGCCTCCCCTGAATAACAGCAGCCAATATTTATGGCCATAGCCTTTGACAATATTGGCCCGCTCTGCTCCACATTCTGTGCTGAGCTCTCGATGTGTGTCATCCCCTTAGACCTGGCCATCCATTCGGAGAGAGGCACTAGCCTGAGCCCCTTTCACAGATGAGAAAACTGAGGCTTTGGAAGGAAAGAGGGACTTGTTCCAGGCTACGCAGCTGTTAAGAGCTGAAGGTAGAGAGCTGTCTGCCTCCAAAGCTGAGAACAAAATGTTCTCCTTCCTTCTTGAACCTGTCTGCCTGCATCTGGAATTATTTGGAGCTTTACGCTAACCTAACACTGGATATTATCCTGTTGTTTTGAAGATTCAATGAGACATTGATTTGTGTACAATACCTGATCACAGTAAGAGCTCAAATGCCAAAAACATGTCCGTCTGTGAGGGCAGAGGGGATGTATAGGCAGCATACCCTGTCCAAACAGGAACATTTTCTTTCAGGAAATGCTCATTGCTGCTTTCCTTTTTCAGTTTTCTAAATCATTTTGGGAGGGGAGAGAGTTTAGAAAACTCGTTTATTTGGGTAAGATTTCTGATGGGTTGTGGCTATTCCTGGGACAATGTGATTGTCAGGAAATGTTATCAAAATGAGGAGATTCCCTCTCAAAGGTACATGGCCCTGGCCTTGGGAAGAGACATGGATGCACTTGTCATGTTTGGAGTGACCAGCAGGGACCAGGACCATCTGGGGGCAAATGCCTTCCTGAGACAGCGTTCCCGTGTGTCCCGTGGAACAGGGAGGGCAAAAGCTCCTAGTGAATTATAAAGTCTGCTGCATGTGTGAGAGAAGACAATGGTGGCATTAATGGTGAAAATAAAGAGAAGAATAAAAAAACAGGTACACAGGCTTGTTCCTGAAGGCTGCAAGAAACAGAATTAGATTTTGTTGCTAGATACCAGAAAGTGAAAATTTCAGCGTGGCTTTTCATTTGGCATCATGGATTTTAACAAAATAAAATAAACATCTGGTTGTTTGAATGCCAGTGAGGCACCCTCTTTCCCACCACCCTGCCCCCTGATTCAGCCAAACTGTGTGTGTAAACACTGTCTTAATTGACTTCAGGTTAGGGAAGTCTGGAAAACAAGCTTAAATTCATAAAACTGGAATGGACATCCTTGAGGCCTCTCCAATCATCAAACAGTAGGTATTTATTTATCAACCACTTACTGGGCGCACGGCTTTGTTAGGTATCAATGGGGAACAAATGCCGGTAATATTGGTCCACCATCCTAGAGGAGGCCACATTTGGGGTGAAAAGACTCTTCTAGCAAAACAAAGGTCCAGTGAAGAACTAAGTCCTGTTGTAGAGAAAGGGGAGAAATGGGGCCTTCTGAGGATGGGAGGGGATGCCAGAGAGGAAGCGATTTGAAAGGGATTTGAATCCGGATAATTATGCTGGCGATGAGTTTGGTAAGGAAGCCTCATTTAGTTCACATTCAGGTCGAGTCTCTCTCTTTCTCTCTGTATAAAGATGTGTCTATTTTGAGACTCAGGAAAGAAATGATTCTATTTGCAAAGTAGATATTTGTTTGTTGTTTATTAATCATCACGAACAGCTTTCCACTGGATTCACTGGCACTAAATGGCTGCCCTTCAAATCTTATCCTTAAAGCAGGATCTTGGGGTTCTCTGGTGGTTCAGAGAGGAGGGGTTTGGAGCCAGACCACTTGGTTTCATACCCAGCTGCCCCATTTCCTGCGTCACCCAGGCACATGACTGTCTTTGCACCTCAGTTTTCCCGTCTGTAAAATGGAAGGATCGTAGTAATTGGGACTTACCTTACAATTTGTGTAAGGACTGAATGGCACATAATCAGCTGTCCCATTCTTAAAACCAAAGTGAGGAGGATCTGATAAAAACCACTCCTCCCCTGCAAACAACATGATTTTTGTTTTCCTTTTGGCAATGCTTGGTTTTTTTTCTCTTTCATTTTAGCAAATCATTGTAGAAGGAATTTTGCAGCTTGACTGAAGATACCGGCTAACTATTGTGAGTAGTTTATAGCCTGGTGGTCAGTGAGGCTGCTGCTTACGGTCTGAGCTAGGAAAGGCAGAAGAACATGTTTCTAGAGGAGTTAAGGGCTGGAGGTGGGGAGGGAGATTTGTTTGCACAGACCAGAGGCCTCCCAACAAAATCTCCAAGATCTTTCAAAAGCAAATCAGACCGCTGACCAGCTGGCTGAGCCGGCAGAGTTGAGCAGGATCTTTCTGTATTAACCGTGAGGTCTGCTCAGGAGACCACCTCCGCTGGCCCACCCCCCACATGCACATGAAAAAAGGAGGCAGACTTTGCATCAGGGCGGTCGTCTCCAGAGATCTGCGGCCAGGGGACAAGCCCGTCCCCGCTCGGATCCCAGGCCAGATGGAACAGGAAGATCCGGATACTAAAAATCAACTTGTCACCGAGACATTCCTCAACTGTTAATCAAATTGGGGCTGAGGGTGAGGGGGTGGGAATACCAAAAGGACATCAAAGGGGGTCTCACGCCCAGACTCCGCTCCGTTTCAAGGCTCTGTAATTTGGGAAGGTTGTATGCTAAATAATTTGCGAGGCTCCCAACATGCAGGTTATTGTTTGTGGACAGATGGTGCATTGCGTTTTATCGCTTTTCCTTCTGTGGGCCCTCATATGTGGGACTGATGTGTATTGTGAAGTCTTTGTCTCCTTGCTAAAATCTCTAATCTAAAACAGGCAATCAAGCACAGAGGCAGGGCTTCAGAAGGCATCATCAGAGTTTTAAAAGCAAAGAAAAAAAAATGGGGAGGGGGGAAACCAGACATCCAACTGCAGTTACGAGGCAGATGTGTTTGCAGAGAACGTGAGAGGTTATTAGGGTATTAAAAGTGGACAAATGAAAGGGATTCGGAAGCACAGAGGGAGAGAAAGGGCCACGCTGTGGCAGTGGTGGGCACCCGGGTGGTGATGCCTAGCATCACCCCTGCCTGCAGCCTCTGCCCGGGCCTCCACCTCCCCTCCAGAGACCGGGGGTCTTTGTCTCTGCAGGCGGTCATGGCCGGGCCTGGGAGGCCCCCTCTCGGATCCCAGGCTGCCCTTAAGAGTTAAATCATGTGGATATACAGGAAGGAAATGAAATAGACGAACTTGCTCCTCTTTTCTTCCTACGGATTTTTCTTTTTGATTCTGAAGATAGAATTACTGTTTGTAAGCATCTGAAAGTCATTAGAAACCCTGCAGTCTGTCAGGTGCCGACGCAAGAAACTGCTGAAACCAAACGGGTGCCTGCACCGAGGGCTGGGAATTCATCATGTGCTGATGAGCAGTTATAATAATATATGAGCAAATCACAAGCATTCTGCAAATTAATCAAATTTTTTTCCCCTTCTCCCTTGTCTCTGGGAGAGTGGCTTTGCAGGCAGACGTAGGTGAAGCAGTTTTACTCACAGATGGTCGCTCTGGCATCAGATGGAATTTATATAACAGTAATTCTGATTCTTTGCCAAAGAGGCAGCGAACACACCAGGGAGATTGTAGAAGGCAAGTCATGTGGTTTTGCTGAGGTTGTTGTGGGAAGTTTAAGGGGGGAAATCTCAAATTTTCCTCTTTGCCTTTACTGTTTTTGCCTGAAGGGCCAGAAACGGAACGCCGTTCTGCCATGGGCGAAATCCGTCACGTCTTTTCTCGCGACTTGTGCTGAAAGAGTGCTTCGCAGCTGTTGCAACTGCTGGCGGTGACAGAGCCCCAAGACTCCGGCTCCTGGCTGGCTCCTTACAAGATTTAAAGGGGAGAGGGTTCAGAAGGTGGCCACGCTGCACACTAGGAAGAGGCAGAGCTGCCTCCTCGCACGCCCACAGCGCTTACTTACCCTTCTGCTCCCTGTGGCATTGCTAAACCTATAAGGGCTTTTCTTTTGAAGTGTTTTATTAAATGAAGAGTCTAACAACCCTCACTTTAATTACACACGGGCTCCGTTTATAATTCCTCTGGATTTATTCAAGTAGTTGAAAACGATGGTGCCTGGTGATTAAGCTGATCATCTTAGTTTAGCAGCTCCAAAACCTGGGGGGGAGAGAGAGAGAGAGAGAGAGAGAGAGTGTGTGTATACGTGTGCAGCGTGGAGGTGCTACTAGTGTGTGCTTGCACATGGTCGCTTGTCCCTATGCCTCTCCGTGCTTCGGACACCCCCCACTCATTTTAAACTTCTCTCTCCCTTGAGAAACCTCATCTCGCATGGGACAAAGGGATACATGAGCTGACCCTCTTGGGTCCACACTGGATCACACCACAAGGTGCCCTTATCCCTGCTGAAGGAAGGATGATACCAAGATGGCGTGTAGACTGCATTATGCAATACAGTCCTGATGCTGTGAGGTTTTTTTCCCCCTCCCCCTGATGTAAAGCCCTGCCCATTTGTTTTGGTTTACGTGACTACAGAGAAATAAGTGGATTAGATGGAAACTTTCACATGCTTCATTGCAGCTGGGTGCGGACATCTGTCATTCCTCAGCCATATTCTGGATTATGCCAGCAAGAGGATATGCAAAGTCTGACACCTTTGATTTTAGAGAGAGCCTTTTATAGTGGGGGGAGAGAAGAGAAGAAAGGAGGCTCATTTCCTTTGTGACTTCATAAAAAAAAAAGAAAGACACCTCTCTTCTGTGTTTTATTTTATTTATTTATGTCTGCCACGTGACATTAGTGGCGCTCCAGGATGAGGGCTGAGCATTGAAAAGTTTATGCTTCCATCTTTCCTTTTTACTTTGTAATTTTCTATTGTTCACAGTACCAATTTGTTGAATTGGGCATGATAAAAAGTAGCTATTTTAAATATATCCAGTGTGCCCATCTATATGGATATATACTGTGGGTATGGATTGCGGGTGTCTGATTCCTTTATGGGAAGAGAGATGTGCGATTCTTTCTCACACATAAACTCACATTAATACAATACAACCTCACTGAATTTTGATGGAATGTGACTGCTCCCGCGACACTGTTTTTGGTGAGCTGCTCTGCAACCCATATGGCCCCCCCAACCCACTGTAGGAAATGCACTAATGTTTTTATGAAAGATGTGTGCAGGTAGTGAATTATCCACAGATAACCTTGGATGCCAGCTTTCAGTGGATTGGATATCGATACACTTAAGGTGCTTCATGCTGGTGGTTTCATAGGTTGGCCCCTCCCCTTGTGGCTTTCCTGGTGCCATACAGAGCACAGCACACCCTTGGCACAAGCCAAGTTCCAATATTGGCCCCCCTCCCACATTTAAGTTGTACAATAAAACAGAAACTACAATTAAGGGCTGATGTGTTCATTTTAAGCGACACAATGGAAAACAGGAAGTGATTGAACCAGCAGGGACCACCCACTTGTTTATTTCACTGGGTGTGTACAAGAATGCAGTTCATCTGCTGGGTGAAAAAACACACAAAGCCTCACCCAGTCTCCCTGCCCCAACCTCAAAGAAAGTGCAATACTGGCTGTTTAGTTGAGAGTGGTACAAAGTGGAGATTGGAAAGTCCAGGGCCCACAGGCGCCTGGCTGGTGATGCCTGGGAAGTAAATGGGTGCCAGGCAGCGGGAATAAGTGGGACCCAGCTCCCCAGCGGCTGCCTCCAGGAAGATCTTGCCAGACCTCCTGACTTTGCAAGAGAAACTGGAAATCCATGTTTTAATGTGAAATATTTTTTTAAATGTAACATTGGCAATGAATTACATTTTTTTTTAAAGAAATAGTGTTGGGGGAAAAAAATATGTGGGCCTGCAGCTTGTAACCACTAGGAGGGTGAATGCATTTATGTCTACAGCAGTGATGGAATCTATGGTGCAGCCACTTGGCCCCCATGGGGGAGGCCTGTGGGCTTTTGGAGCTCACAGTCAGGGTGGGCCGTGCCATCCCAGTCCCCCACAGAAAGTGGTAAGGTGGAGGGCAAGAGTGAGGAGGGCAGGGCGTGGTTCTTGGAGATGTGATTGGGATTCTGAGCTTCAATGCAGGAAAGAGGAAAATGCAGAGCTACCCAGTATGTCAAGGTGCACCTGAGAAGCCGTTCAACACTCTCCACCAACGTGGAGAATGGGAGGAAGAGCGTAGTATTAATAGCTGAGATTGGGGTTACTAAAGGGACCCCCTGGAACACAGAGCACTCAGATTTTCCTGCTGAGGAAAACAGCAAGGCATGGTGGGGCATTCCAGGTATGAGGCACAGACCAGGTAGGGACAGTGTGCAGGGGAGGGTGCTCCAGGGTCACCTGTTAGGAGGTGTGGCCTGCACGGAGGAAGGAAGCCAAGTGCCAGGCTCTGAGCAGGGTGTGCATAGCAAGGTGGGGACTCCTGTGGGCTGAACCCCCAGAAAGAGGTCCTTCAGTAAACAACGTCTGGTTCCTTATCCAGTCCCTACTGTGTGCAGAGCCCGCCAGAGGGCAGCAGTTTCCAGCCTCCTAGAGCCATTAGCGAACAGTGCCTGACAGAACATAATTAAGTGCCTAATTGTGTGGTGCCACAGATAAGTGGAGCTCTGCAGACTGGGTCCTGAGAACCGCTTCTAGGAGGAGTTGGGGCTTTGGCGGGTCTCAATGGAAGAAGATGTGGGGGCTGGAGATGGGTGAATTTCTGGTAGGAACGACAGTGTATAGTAGGTAAGAAGGGATTGCAATTTGGAAAGCCAGGTTAAGGAGGTGAGATACTGCAGTGAGAAATAGGGAGCCATGGATGGCTATAGAGGAGGGGTGGGCACATGTATAGCCAGGATTTGGGGACTTGACTTGGTATGGATGGTGTGGCTTTCTTCTGCCTGGAGAGGTCTCACTGTTGGTCTGAGGTGGACTATTGACCCAGTGGACTTGATGGTACCCAGAAGAGGGTTTACAGGGACAGGGCTGGCTGTCACCATCTCTGCTAAATTCCGTGCATCCTTACAGCCCATCTTATTGCCAACAGGGATTTCAGATAACTGTGTTTAGCCCAATGTTCCTAAGGAGGGAAGCGAGGGATATTAAATGTGTATCATAGGTGCTGCGTCTGCTAATTTTAGACTCCTTATTTTTGCCATCTCTGAGTGTCACCCTAATAATTTCACTTAATATTTAAAAATTAATTGGTTAAAAACTTAAAAATACACAACTCTAGCTTTGTTTTAGGAATAATATCCAACTCTGATTCACTAGTTTTTGGGATTTTTGCTAAAGCTGTTAACCTGAAAAGTGGTCAGCTTGGTTCCATTTAAAATTACCTTTGAAGCCGGTTTAATAAGCACCTCTCCCCCAGCCCCCGCAATGTTGGAGAGAGAAGGGAATTTCTGGAGGAGTGAGGTGGGCCACCAGCCCCTCCGCTCCCGGCTCCCCCACTCCAGCACTTCCAGGCCAGCGCCTTCTCTTTGGTTTCTCCCGGCATTTCTTTAAAGACTAAATGCACTCACCCAGAGACAAACTCTGGGTATCATTAGAGTATTATTATATTACACATCGAAAAATCTTCAAAAACGGAATGTAAGTTCATTGACCCTTTGAAGGTTATTTAATGATAAACATAAATGCTTTCATAAAATCCGGGCAATGATTTAAGGTCCCCGATCAATAGTTGCTGTTGAGTGCACACTGGCAGGGCAGGCCGGCTTGCCTGACCACCCAGGCGGGCTGATGGCTCCACTCATCAGAGGAGCCTGGGTAAGCAAATAAACAGGATATAAGGCAAAATCTGTAGGGCATGCGCAATGGCGGGGGATGAAGTTGCTGGGGAAGGGAGCCACCTAGAGGCCAGGCCCCAGGAAGAGTAGCCCTGAAGCCAACACCTGGTGGGGCTGAGCTGGGAGGCATGGGAGACTCTGCACCACCAGCCAGAGGCTCCTCTCTGCTGATGCCCTGCTGAAATCTGGCGACATCTAAGCTCTTATCCTAACTCAACTTGGGCCTCAAGCTGCAGGGAGACAGCAAGACACAGTGCAGGTTGAGCTCCAGCTGCAGGACCATGTTCTGCCTCTCTCTGGCTTTGTGGCTCTGGACAGATGCTGTGCTAGTCCATTCTCACACTGCTACAAAGATATGATCAGAGACAGGGTAATTTATAAACAAAAGAGGTCTAATTGACTCATAGTTCTGCATGGCTGAGGAGGCCTCAGGAAACTTACAGTCATGGCGTAAGGTAAAGGGGAAGCCAGGCATGGGGGCAGGTGAGAGAGAGAGCAAGTGGGAACTGCCAAACACTTTTAAAACCATCAGCACTCATGAGAACTCCCTCACTATCAAGAGAACAGCATGGGGGAAATGGTCCCCATGATCCAATCACCTCCCACCAGGTCCCTGCCTCAACACCTAGGGATCGCAATTCAAGTTGAGATTTGGATGGGGACACAGAGCCAAACCATATCATCCAACAAATGGGAGCCCAACCCCTGATTTCAGCATTGGCAGAGGAATCAAAATGCACATCTCCCATTTGAAGTTCAAGGTTACCATGCAATGGGCACGTAGTAGGTGGAGTATTTTAATACTTACAGCCTTTTCTAGCAGACATTCATTTAACTCTATGTGCTGCACTTTGTGCTTAAGCATCAGGCCTCATCTCATTGAATCCTCACAGCAATCCTATTAGGGAGCTATTATTATTATTGCACCCATTTTACCGATGAGAAAACTGAGACTTAGAAAGGTTAACTAGCTGGTTCAAGAGCACACACAACCGATAAGAGGCAGATACGTTAGAGCCTTGGTGTCTGGCTTGAAAATCTACAGTCTTCATCACTGTGCTTGAATAATGAAAAATGCTGCATGCTAGCAGGGCAGTGGCGATTTCTCAAAATCTGCTCTGCTGCCTTCCCTGATCCTTGGGTTGCAGGCCCAGCAGACTGTGTGTGTGCCATATGCCCTCCAGAAGTTTTCGTGTCAACAGAAGTTAAGTATTACCTGTTTGGTTCTGTGACTTTGGAAGCATCTCTTGATGTGGGGTGTTGGTTTCTTCCTGTTCACAGAAAATCAATCAAATCCACTTTTAAATAAACTTTCAAAATAAACTTTTAATTTTAGTATGGATTTAGATTTATAAAAATGTTTCATAGACGTGGGATGTGGTGCTTCACGCCTGTAATCCCAGCACTGTGGGAGGCCATGGCAGGCGGATCACCTGAGGTCAACTGTTCAAGACCAGCCTGGCCAACATGGTGAAACCCAGTCTCTACTAAAAATACAAAAATTAGCTGGACCCATTGGTGCACGCCTGTAGTCCCAGCTACGCAGGATGCTGAGTCTGGAGAATCACTTGAACCTGGGAGGTGGACGCTGCAGTGAACTGAGACTGCGCCACTGTACTCCAGCCTGGGTGACAGAGCAAGACTCAGTCTCAAAAAAAAAAAAAAAGTTTGCATAGATAATACAGAGAACTCTCATAGATTTCACCGCCATTTCCCACTATTATTAACATCTTACATTGGTAGGGTATGTTTGTCACAATTCACGAAGCAATATTGACACATTATTTTTAAATAAAGTCCATCTTGTATTCTTAGTGTTTTAGTTTTTATCCGATGTCCTGTTCTGCTCCAGGATACCATATTACCTTAGGTGTCCTGTCTCCTTCCACCTTCCTGGCTGCAACAGTTTCTCACTTTTCTTGTTTCTGATGACCTTGACAGTTTCCAGGAGTATTTTGCAGAACGTCCCTCAGTTGCAATTTCTCATGTGTAGACTGGGGTTATGGATTTAGGGAAGGAAGACCACAAAGGTAAATTACCATTCTCATCATATCAAGTCAAGGGCACCTGCTGTCAGCCTGACCTTGGTCTGCTGGCTGAGGTCATGTTTGTCTGGTTTCTCCACGGAAGTTACTCTCCCGTCCCTTTCCATACTGTACTCTTTGGAAGGAAGTCACTTGGCACAGTCCACTCTTAAGGAGTAGGGAGATATGCTCCGTCTCCTTGAGCAAGAAATAGCTACAAAATTATTTGGAATGCACAAGGCATTTGTCAATCCTTCCCCCTGTATTTATTGATGCAATCATTTATGCCAGTATGATTTGTGGATATTTATTTTAGACTCTGGGTCATAATCTGATATTATGTTGTTTACTTTGTTACTCAAATGGTTCTACCTTTGGGTATGGGGGCTTCTTCAGCAAGCTCTGTGCTAATCTGACACCCCCACTCCACCATCAATATGTGGGGGTTTTTTTTTAGTACTTTCTTACTTTCTAGCACTAAATACCCCGGGATTATTTTGGTGTATTTCCTATCCCAGTCCTAGAATCAGCCATTTCTCCAAGGAGCCCTGGTTCCCTTTTTTTGGGAGTGGTATTAGAAACCAATGTCACCACTTCTAGACCCTCTCAGCTGACAGAATAAGGAAATATATGCTTGTGTACTAACTCCTGTATATACACACATCTATATTATAAATATGAAGTTAAGCTTGAGTTCACACAGATGTCTTCAATCCATTACCACACAGATCAAAATGCACTTGTAAAATAAGTACATTTTTTTTTGGGTAGCCTTCTAAATTAAAACCCAAATCACAGGAAATTTGAAACCTAAATTTATTTGTACTAAGGATATTCCAAAGTGTTTTAGCATCTTTGATGAGATGGATGAATATTTTTTTAAAACTGAAAACATAAATTACGTACCTGATTGGAATCATTCTCGCCTATTTGGAATTAGGAAATTTTTTTAAACTATATGTGCAACTGAGAAAACGGCTCTCTCTGTGGGCCTAGTGATTCTTTATGTATATTTTTACCTCTCTCATTGCCCTGCTGAGCCACTGAGCCTCTTGAAGCTGAAGGCAGGATTGCCAGGGTCCTGGGCTGGCATCCTCCCATTTTGCAGCCTCAGGGTCAAAGTGGTAAATATTCAAAGGAAGCAGCAGGTGATGGTGAGGGGCTTCAAGGTCCCCAAGTGAAGACCAGCCAAGCACCCTGCAGGCCTGACCCACTCATGAACCTGTTGTACCACCATACCCAGTGGATTCCCCCCAGGCCGGCGGGGCCCACTCTGGGGAGCTGAATTTCTTTTTCCTCCTTTCCTTTCTCTCTTCTTTCTCTTTCTCTCTTTTTTCTCTTTCTTTCTTTCTTACTTTCTTTCTTTATTCCTTTCTTTCTTTCTCTCCCTCCCTCCGCCTCCCTCCTTCTCTCTCCCTCTTTCTTTCTCTTTCCTTCCTTTCTTCCTCCCTCCCTCCCTGTCTCTTTCTTTCCCTTCCTTCCCTTCTTTCCTTCTTTCTTTTCTTTCCTTCTTTCTTTTCTTTCCTTCTTTCTTTCCTTCTTTCTTTCCTTCTTTCTTTCTTTCTTTCTTTCTTTCTCTCTCTCTCTCTCTTTCTTTCTTTCTCTTTGTGTCTTTCTTTCTCTCCCTCCCTCCTTCCCTCTCCCTCTTTCTTTCTCTATCCCTCCTTCCTCCCTCCCTCCCCCCTCCTTCCTTCCTTCCTTCCTCCTTTCTTACTTTCCTTCCTTCCTTTCTTCCTTCTCTTTTTCAGAGTCTTGCTCTGTTGCCCAGGCTGCAGTGCACTGGCACTCCAACCACTCACTGCAATCTCCAACTCTTGGGCTCAAGTGACCCTCCTGCCTCAGGCTCCCAAGTAGCTGGGATCACAGATGTGTGCCACCATACCTGGCTCATTTTAAAATTTTTGTAGGGATGAGGGCTTATTATATTGTCCAGGCTGGTCTTGAATTCTTGGCCTCCAGCAATCCTCCTGCCTTGGCCTCCTAAAGCTGTGGAATTTCAGGCCTGAGCCTCCCGTGGCCCTGAATTTTTAATGTATCCTATTGACCTATAAGAGGTCAATGTATCAAATGTATCCAATGGTCAAATGTATCCAATTGACCTATAGGGGGATACCTTTTTAATGTATCCAACTGACCTATAGTGATGAAGACCTATAGTTTCTTACCTAGCTGCAGGCATTGCCTAAATGTTCCTAATTTCAAGGAGTTCAGGCGGCGCTGGTTGTGCAGCTCTGGGAGAAGTGTGTTATAGGGAGCCCCTCTGGGTGCTAGTGGGCAGTGGCTGTTCTCAAGCCTTACAGCCCTGTGTGTGGGAACTGATGCGGAGGCTGCTTCTCTCCACTTGATCACCTGCTCCCTTCTAGGCAATGGCACTGTCAAACGTGGATGCAGGACGCCCTTCTGCAGTAGAGATATTTTGTGATCCCATGCTCTGAAAATGATGTTCCTCGTGCTCAATGCCCAGCTTTGATGGGCTTCTGTTCCTGTAAGGGGAGTGACATCTGGTGCATGTGCTATATCTCACTCTCACACACACACACACACACACACACACGCAAACACACACAGACACACACAAACACAAACACACACACAAACACACAGACACAGACGCATACAAACACAAACACACATACACAAACACACACAGACACACACAAACACAAACACACCAACACACACACAGACACACACAAACACAAATACACAAACACAAACACACAGACACACCCAAACACACACAGACACAAAAACACACAAACACACACACAGACACAAACACACAGAAACACAAACACACAAACACACACAGACACACACAAACACACACACAGACACAAAAACTCACAAACACACAGACACACAAACACACAGACACACAAACACACACACAAACACACACACATACACATGGTACACACCCCTTCAGGGGGTTCATGGACCACCTCTTGGAGCATCTTTGACTCCTAACCAGAGGCCCCTCTTTGTAGAGACTCTTCCAGCAAGCAGGTTGCAGTCCATGGCAGGAGCAGGTGGAGAGACGAGCATTCTTTTAGAGAAGACATGAAGTTGAATTCCTGATCAGTAAGCAGTAAGTTCCATACGTGTGACTTTGGATGATCATTTAATCTCCCTGGATCGGGGATTTCATGTCTGTAAGGTGGGAAGACATCCCTCTGCCATATCTCCCTACTGACAGTCATGAGGACCAACTGAGGCCACTCATGCTGATGCACTTTGATGAGTGGGTGCCAGAACATGTTCACCAATGGGCACTGTCACCACTCCAGGACTAAACACCACAGGGTGGTCACCTCTTCTCTCCCCACTCTCTTACCCTCTGTCCCACACTTGAGGAGAAGCCATCAGTTTGGAAAGTCTGGAAGCCCCATAGACGCAGCCCCCTCTCTTCCACAAAGCCAGCTGCCCACAAGTGTGGTGCTGTAATGAATGGATGGCCCTCCCAAGGGCAGGCATTTTCTACTCCCCCTTAGGTGCGGCGAAAGAGCAGATATTTCCATCCTAGCAAGTAAGAAAAATATCTCGTTTCCCCACTTTCGTTATAAACAATGTACGACTTGCTTTCTCCTTACTCCTCTTGACCCTCCGCACTGTATACATATTTATATATTATTCATAGTGGATTAAAAATGAATGTGCTCTTTACCACGGCTCTACGGCGCAGCGACAATACAAATTAACGTATGATGTACTTACTTTTCGCATGGCAGTGATGGGAAATGTTGATGGCCTCAAAGTGAGAGGTAGAGAGAGGGGAATGAGGTGGGGCGGGCAGTTGGGGGGGCCCCCATCTGGCCACACCACCAGGGCTCTGAGCCCTGGATAAAGATAGATGGGGATTGGGAACATTCTGGGAACTGGTGTGGCGGCAGTGCTGGAAAAGTCTTCCCAATTCTCTTCTCCCACGGAACGAGGGCCAAGTTTCCCGGTGGATCCTGTGTGCCTGGCCCCTGTTCACCCTCCCCACTGAGCTTCCCCTGTACCTCGCTGACCTGCTCCTAGGATGCTGCACTGACCCAGGCTTCCTGCTTCTGTGCCTGGGCTCAGGTGTGCCCCTCAGACTGCAGTAGCACTGTCTCTCTTTCCTATCTCCTGGCAACCTGTTTCATTCATCTGTTCCTTTGCTGGAAAAAAATGCTTGGCGGAAATCTGTGATGTGCCAAGCACCGTGCTGGGTGGTGAGTAACAACAATCATCAAAAAACCCAAACAACCCCAAAATAAAAGCTCAGTCCTTGCCCCCGTGGAGCTGACAGTCTGCCTGGTGGGGAAGACAGCCGTGATTGTTTTATTTGTTCAGCTTCTGCTAGCAGCCAGACTGAGGAAGAGGCGTGTGCTGGGATGTGTGTCACAGCCATGGTGGCAGGCCTGGGGTCATCCGGGAGGCCTTCCCCAGGCAGAGGCAGCTGCATGGAGGCCTGGAGGATGAGTTTGCAGGAGTTGGATGAAGTAGGGGCAGGCAGAGTCCAGATCGAGGAGACGATCAGGGAGGATCGAGCAAAGGTCCCGGGGCAGAAAAGAGCATGATGCATTTGGAGAACAGAGAGAAGTCTCCTGTGGCCAGAGTGCAGCAAACTATGCAGGCTTTAAGGGAGATGAGGAGGGGGGATGCTCAGAGGCTCAGATTCCTCCTGGCAGGTGTTACGGGAGCTCCCCATCACTTGTACAATATCACAGCCCGCACTGCCTCCCAGTGCTGTTTGGGACCTGGCCCCCAGCCAACTTAGCCCTACCTTCTAAATGGGGAGTTCCTTCTGGCAAGAGGCCTCACCCACATCAAATTCTATCTCACATTTGCTGAACTTTCTCCCAGTGAAATGCACCTGTTAACAACTTGTTCCTTTGGGCTTTGAAGGTCCTCCGGTTTCCCAGATCCCCCATTCAAATGCCTATGCCCCAAAGAGAGACAGTCCCTTAAGCTTTCATGGTGCTACCTGCGGCAGGAAGCACAGGACAGTGGCACAGGAAGCACTTGCTAAGTCAGTACTTTCGATGAAGAACCAGGCAGAGCTTCCCCTGAGTCAGCTTAGATCAACAGCAGGATGACAGCAGCAGCCGTGCCAATCACCAGCAGCCGACATCTTGGAGTTCTTCGTCATTTACCAATGTGTCACATGCCATCATCTGATGCTCACAGCACTCCTGTGATATAGTGTCAGTATTATTGCATCATTATCAAGGTGTGGAAATGGAAGCCTTGAGTTCTAGTGGTTGCCCAAGGTCAGAGAGAGAGAAGATTGAAGTTCAGGGTGCTAGTAGCTTAGCAGCCTTACAAAAGAGGGAAGCAGTGGTAGGAACCCAAGCTCCTCAGTCCACTGGGGAGAAGGAGTGCCCTGAAAGTAAAGCAAAGGTGCCAGAACAAGAGAGCTCTGGGTCTTCCTATTTGACCAAAGGCCATCCTGGAGTGTGGTGCTTCTTAGCAAGTTCAACTTGGGAGAGGCTATCGCCTTGATGCTCTCTCCAATGGGGAGCTGGCAGGAGTGGGTGTTATTCTCTTCAGTTCCGCCACAATGGAAGCCTGCTTGACCCAAGTCTGTCTTAATACTTATTCTGCATCTTCAACATTGATGGACATTAGCATCTTCCTTACACCTCTAGGAATCCCCAAATCTAGGTCCAGTCAACTAAGATGGCACAGGCAACATGGCTGGTCTTTTGTTTCATTAAAAAGAGATAGATGGGCTGGGCACAGTGGTTCACGCCAGTAATCCCAGCACTTTGGGAGGCTGAGGTGGGCGGATCACCTGAGGTCAGGAGTTCGAGACTAACCTGACCAACCTGGTGAAACCCCACCTCTATTAAAAATACAAAAATTACCCGGGCATGGTAGCAGGCACCTGTAATCCCAGCTACTTGGGAGGCTGAGGCAGGAGAATGGCTTAAACCCGGGAGGCAGAGGTTGCAGTGAGCTGAGATCGTGCCATTGCACTCCAGCCTGGGCAACAAGAGTGAGAGTCCATCTCAAAAAAAAAAAAAAAAAAAAAAAGAGATAGATGGAAGTGAGCAGGCCACTGAGGGGCTGCCTTGTCACCTCTGGGACTGCAGCGGCTTCTCCTCTGGGGATGAGATGACCTACCTCCATCTAGAGAGATCTGACTTCTTCCAAACCCACAGCCCCCTCAGCAGGAATGTCTCGCGGTGTTGTTCCATGGGCCCCTCTTGCTGCTGCTGCCTTCAGGAGGGTCTCTGCTGTCAGAAATATGTGAAATCCACAGGGACGTATTCAGCAGAGCTCAGCACTTTTTTTTTTTTTTTCTGGAGCACTTGCTTATGTTCTCTGACCCAAAGCCAACAGATCCCAGTCTTATTATCATCAGGGGCTTTCACAGGGACAAATGGTAGAGAGACATTTGGAACTTTTTATCCAGATTTACTTGGACTCAGAAATGTGTCATGTCCAACAGTACTGTGCATAGCAACAGCTTTCTGTTTGGGAATAAATGTTCTCATCATCAAAAGATCAGGCTTTCAGTTATATTTGATTCTTGGGAAAATATAATGGCTTATTCCGGGCCTATCATAGCTTCTCCCAGTCAACTTCCCCAAGGGTGGGCCTTTCACTTCTTCATAGAACTTTCTTCCACATCAGTCTCATGGGAGCCTTTCAGCAAACAACTCAGAAAGATGTGTGTGTGTGTGTGTGTGTGTGTGTCTATAAACAATATTATGGATATAGAATAAAACGCATTGTAAATTGTGTATAAACTAACACATTATGTGTGTGTGTATGTGTGTTTGAGCCTATAAAAACACATTTTAATCACAGTCTTTGTAATAAGTTTAGAGAATGAGGGTGACTAAGTACTTTATATCCATTGGAAATTTGTTTTAAAGCCAAACCTTCTAGATTCACTGTATCTCAGCTCTCTCATCTGTACAATGGAGCTGATATCATCCCTTGGCAAAATTGTCCAAAGCTCAAATATGAGGATAAACATGCAAAAATGTATGTGAAAAACTGTGGAATGAAGGTCTTCAGGGTCTTTAGGTACTATCAGTATTATCTACAAAGCTTCTACTTACTAGATACACTGCAAGATCAGGATTTATTATGATTCTAGCATTGTATAGACTTCTTTCTACAAATGGATATGTGCATAGCTTTAGATGGATTTACATATAGATTTCCATCTCACCTAAGTGAAAATGAAACCAATTCAATACTAATGTTTTGACCAGTGAAGTATCCAAATCTGCCAGAATTATTATTATACATTTGGCTATTACCAAGAAACAGAGATTCAAAATATAACCATAGGATAAAATCATGATTAATATTTTAAAATCGATTGGTGGAAAAAAGGTACTAAGTGCTTTTATACCAAGTTGGCCAAATCAAAAAGGCTTTCATTGCAAATAAAGGTGATATCTGAGGTCCACATTTTAGTTTGCCAAGAGGCACGTTGCATCACTCCTGTGGCAGTATCATTTGTAGGGAGGGTGGCTTCCATGTAGCATAGGATTCATACGTGAAATTATTACTCAGTAATGTGACAATCGAAAGTACAATAGACAGTTGGCTGGGCGCGGTGGCTCACGCCTGTAATCCCAGCACTTTGGGATGCTGAGGCGGGTGGATCACGAGGTCAGGAGATTGAGACCATCCTGGCTAACACGGTGAAACCCCGTCTCTACTAAAAAAAATACAAAAAGTTAGCCGGTCGTGGTGGCGGGTGCGTGTAGTCCCAGCTACTCAGGAGGCTGAGGCAGGAGAAAGGTGTGAACCCGGGAGGCAGAGCTTGTAGTGAGCCGAGATCACACCACTGCACTGCAGCCTGTGCAATGAGTGAAACTCTGTCTCAAAAAAAAAAAAAAAGAAAGAAAATACAATAGACAGTTTTGCTGATGAACAAAAACAACTGAAGAATGGAAGAACTAGTGTCATCCTGGTAAACCGAGGCAGATTTATAAACAATAGTGAGGTTTGGTCGCTTTGTTTCATAGTGCTGCTGGCCTATTTGGATCATGGTACCAAGGGTTTTGGTTTTATTTTTTATTTTTACTTACTATTTGGAGTTCTTTACTCGAAAGACTTGTCATACGATAGTGACATTCTCCATCAATAAATTATTGCCATATAATGAATAAATGAATGACTTAGCCCTAGCTTTATCTGAGCCATGGTAATTAGGACAGTGGCCAGCCTTTGTCCATGAACTGCTACAGAGCTGCCCTTGGTAGAAACATAGAAAATACAGTCCATTTCAGAGAAGCTTTGGCCAAAGCCTCGAAACATTTCTCAGGTTTCCCGGTGTCTTGCTCCTTCTTTATGTTGTTTGGGATGACCTTCAATTGGCTTGTAGGCCTCCAGCTACAAATTGGGCCCGCCTTTTTCTTGCTTAATAGTGTCCATTTCAGAGTAGCTCGAACTCTCTCTCAGTGAGTCCTGGGCATAGCTTCGGGCCCACAGGGATGATAACTTAAAAAATTGGATGGCTGAATCTTGGGGGCTCTGTGTTGTCTCTAAGATGCTTGGCCAGGACGATCTACTTGGAACTCACTCATGCCCAGCTTAGTCCTGACTTAGATTCACCATTAAGGTACGGAGAATGGGTGTGGCTTTGCCCATCCCATTGCCTCTGATTGGCATCCTAATTCCATCCTTCAGTCTATGCCCTAACTCCCAGGTCATGAAGAACAGGGACCATTTGCATTTTTTTGTATAATCGAAAATTTGCATTGGAAATATGTCCCAGTTGTCCTTCGCCTCCCAACCCAGGGCCTTCCCTAGGTGACCAAGCCCTTAAGGTGAAAAGGGTGGCAAGACAGCAAATGGGCAGTCACCCTGGGGACTCCTTCTCTTACCTGGCAATCATGGCACTGGCCCCTCGTGCTAGCTGTGCTCTTCCTCCTGTGGTTGGCTGTCAGGAAGGGCCAACAGCAAGTGCACTGTTCTTGTACTTTATTTTGTTCTTAACTCCGAAGTCTGTAGATTTGCACATTGTCTTCTTGAAGTGGGAAGGTTGATGAAATTTAGCCTTGTCTTAGGGACAACAGTAGAAACAGAAGAAGCAGAAGCACTATCCAAAAATGTGTAATTCCTGGCAGGGCATGGTGGCTCACGTCTGTAATCCCAGCACTTTGGGAGGCCAAAGTGGGTGGATCACCTGAGGTCAGGAGTTTGAGACCAGCCTGGCCAACATGGAGAAACCCCATCTCTACTAAAAATACAAAAATTAGCTGGGCATGGTGGCTTATGCCTGTAATTCCAGCTACTCGGGGAGTCTAAGGCGGGAGAATCACTTGAACCCAGGAGGCAGAGGTTGCAGTAAGCTGAGATCATGCCACTGCATTGCAGCCTGGGTAACAGAGTGAGACTCCATCAAAAAAAAAAAAAAAAGAAAATCCAAAAATGTATAATTCCTTAGAAAAAGGCAAGGTGATACAAGAATATAATTAATAATTCCTGACTACCTGCTTTGTGCCAGGCACTGGGCTTGGCATTCATAACACTGAGATGGTCATGGTTCTTGCCCCAGGAATTCACGGCCTTTTTGGGAGGACCAGTACATACACTCAGGCCCACAAAGCAGGCATCCTGCTGATCAAAGCCTGAATAGAGAAGTGGGTTTGAGCCTGCAGAGAATGAAGTGGCATTTCAGAGAGAGGGTAGACAAGCAAGGGTATGGAGACACTGCACAGTGACGTCTATGTGCAGAGACCATCTGAGGTTTGGTTTGGTGTGGGCAAAAGGGGTTGTGCTGTAGCGTGGAATGGAAGGGTGTTTTAGGATTGAGCCATGAAAGTCCTGATTATTCCTTTGGAGGCCAGTGGCCATGAAAGATCTGGGGCAAATAAATCACAGGCTGAGCTTCTGCTTTAGGCACTCGCTCTGTTGTCCCTGGGGAGGACAGGCTGGCGGTGGGAAACTGGAAGCATGAAGGCCACCCGCGGGCTGCCATGTTCATAGTCTAGACAATAATTGGTACACACTGGACCTGGTTCTGAAGTCAGCATTGCAAAGGAAAAGATTCAACAGGTAGAATGGATTAGTCCTGGACACCAGTTGGTTATGAGGGAACAAAGAGGCAGTGAACTCCAGAAGCCCAACAAGAAGCAAGAATTTAGCACTGGGTGCAATTCAGTGGGAAAGTGAGCTTCTGCTTCCAACGTTGCATTGGATTCCTGTTTCTCAGGAACAAGACTGTTTTGCTAAATAGACGCAGGACTGCTATTACTGCTTTAGAAAAAGTGCTGAATATGTGTTTGCTTGTTCTCTGGAGCCAGTGATGGGGCTCTCCATTTATTTACTTGTTTATTTTTTTGAGCAAATGAAACCCAGCTCTGGGCCCTGACCTCTCTGAGTGCTGGGTGAAACAGCACATGAGAGCTTCCAGGAACGGCTCATCAACAGCTTCCCGGAAGCAGGGGAGATGCCATTGCTTCAGAATAACTTCCCCAGCCAGATGTTTTACCAGTTCCTCGAGATGGTAGAGTCTGTGCATGGCTGTGACGCATCAGGGTAGAGATGTTGCGCTTGGAGGATTAGGTGAACGTCCACAGGAATCCACCTCCTGTTCCAAATTACAGTCTTTCTAGGAAGGTTTCATTTCAAGAGTCACTATTCAAAATCTACCTTCTTTAAAACTCATGCTGGCCTTGATTACCTGTTCATCTTTCTCCTGGTCCCGACAACTTTCGCTGCTGCCCCTGAGACCCTCAGACTCTAGAAATCCCCCCAGCTCAGCCCTTCCAACTCTGCCTAAGAGCAAGACTCAGGTGACACCCCTCACTCACCCCACCCCCAAACACACGCTCCCTTGCCATTCTTGGTTTGCTCAACAATAAAGAGTCAACGGGAGGATCAGAACATGAGCTGGCTTTGCCCTGAGGCCTGAGTCAGACTCCCAGATGGAAGGATTTATGGTCTTTGTGCAGAATTGGGGTCAGCAAAGTGTAGCTCGTGGACAAAATCTAACTATTGCCTGGTTTTTTGTTTGTTTGTTTGTTCTTTGTGTTTGTGAAAGGGTCTTGCTTGTTGTCCAGGCTGTAGTGCACTGGTACCATCATAGCTCACTGCAGCCTCAAACACCTGGCTCAAGTGATCCTCCTGCCTAAGCCTCCTGAGTAGCTGGGACCACAGGCATGTCCCTGGCTAATTTTTAAATTTTTTTTGTACAGACAGTCTCACCATGTTGCCCAGGCTGATCTCAAACTCCTGGGCTCAAACGACTGACTTGCCTCAGCCTCCCAAAGTGTTGGGATTCCAGGCGTGAGCCACTGTGTCCAGCAATTGTTTGTTTTTATACAGCCTGTGAGCTAGGAATGGTTTTTCCATTTTTTTAATGTTTAGGAAAAAAACTCAAATGAGAATAATAGTAGTTCATCCCACATGAAATTTATATAAAATTTAAATTTCAGTGTCCATAAATAAAGTTTTGAATTTCATCAATAAAAAGTTGAGGAATATTTGTTTCCTGTCTTGTTCTCTAAATACCTACACAGTATCTTGGATTTTGCCTCTTTGCCTGCAAATCTGGGACTATTTATTATTTAACCCTTTATAGAAAAAAATTCAGATATGGGGAGACTTATCTTCAATTACCTAGAAAGTCTGGGTTCAAAACTCTAGCTAGAGCCTGGTGTGGTGGCTTGCACCTGTAATCTCAGCTACTTAAGAGGTTGAAAAGAGAGGGTCCCTTGAGGCAGGAGCTCGAGACCAGCCTAGGCAACATAGCGAGATCCTGTCTCTAAAACAAACAAACAAAATTGCTGGGCATTGTGGTGTACCTGTAGTCCCAGCTACTCTGGAGGCTAAGGCGGGAGGATGGCTTGAGCCCAGGAGTTTGAGGCTGCAGTGAGATATAATCGCACCACTGCACTCCCAGCCTGAGATGAGGAACGGGACTTGATCTCTAAAAACAACAACAAAAATATTCAGGGATGGGAAGATCTTCTAAATCTTAGCTTATGTGCCTGATGTATCGGCTGCTTTTCTCACTCTCACTATTTGATTTTTGCAAAGTAATAATAATATTGATCATACTGGTGATTGCAATTATGATCCTTTGAGCCCTGGGGGCCAGGAAGGTGTGAGCAACAGTGCTGACCGGCCACTCTTTCTGCCCACAGGTCACAGGCCTTTCCAGTGCCGCTACTGTCCCTACAGTGCCTCTCAGAAGGGGAACCTGAAGACCCATGTCCTCTGCGTCCATCGCATGCCTTTTGACAACAGCCAGTATCCCGACCGCAGGTTCAAGCGCTCCAGGGTCGACTCAGAGGCTTCTGGGAATTTCGAGGAGCCTACAGCTGTCAAGGCGGGGAGCTCTGCAGACCTCACGGAAGAGGGCGGCAAGGGCCAGGAGGAGACCAACTGAGCAGACCAACCTGTATATTGCAATAGTATTTTACACAGTTTTAACATTATGCATCTGGTAAAAGTTTGCTAACTGCATTCCAAGGGGAAAAAATCATGTACAACCCCCCAATAGTGTATAGAACATTTAAAAAATTTTAAAAGATATCTATATATATATTAAAAAAAAAAAATTCCCCAGCCCTTGAAAATGGCTGCTAAACTGTTACCCGGCAACAAGTACTTCCAAAACAATGCAGGTGGGAGAAAAGTGATTTCAAAAATTCTTGGTGCCCTCTGAGCTGGAGAGAGCTGGGGGCCCTTCCAACTCGAAAGTCGTCTTTGTCCAAAAATAATGCTCTTAACTGAAAAACGATACCATCTAAACGATTTAGTGTTGCGTTGAAGATGGAGGGGCTGTGTTTTCGTTGTTGAAAACACCTCTATAATCTGACACCAGCTGCTGTAATTCGCCTAGAACCCTAATGAGATGTGTCGGGAGGCAGCTGCGGTGCCAGTCAGACTGGAGCGGTCACTGCAGAGAAAATCAATTCACGTGGTGTTGTAACTGCACTCTTGGAGAAACCTTAGACGGCCCGCAGCCAGCGCCGGGGCTGACCGGCACTGCAGAGGATTGAGATCTTAAATGCGCATTTTTACAAAATACACAGCCAAATGAAATCAATGATCAGGAAGTGTCTGCAGACAAATGTCCATTGCAGGTTTGATGAGTAATTCCTTTTTTTAGATCAAATTGTTCTCGGTAGCCTTTTCTTCTTTTTTAAAAAAAAATTTTGGATGAAGAAGGAAGTTGCTATTAAAAAAAAGTAGGGTACATTATATAAAATGTTGTTAGAAAAACTAGCTAACCCCATCCATAGAAGATGCTGGTGAGCAATTAAAATTTAGGTAATAATAGAAAGATTTTTTTACTATGATTTTTAAAATTTTACTTGAATGAAGGCTGCTCCGGTCCTTATTATCGGATTTTTTTTCATGTGTTGGTTTTTATAAGTGTCACAGACATGAAGCAAGATTTTCTTCTCCAGCAAGCTCTTATGAAATAGCTTGTATTAAAATATGATCTAAACATCGTGCTCTCTATCTCTAATGACGAAAACTGTTTGAGTTAAAAATGTCTGTTTTTGTAAAACAAATGTGTTCTATATTTTTGTAGATTTTAGATTTTCTACTGATTGGATACTCCAAATTTATCAAGTTCTGCACCACACAGAAGGAGATTTTGAGTGTCAATAATGAAACACTTAACTCATTAAAAAAATGATTTAAGAAGACTAGTTAAAGGTTTATTCTTGAATCTGCTAGCATGGTGTAAAGTTGAGCCTTTTAACATACTTCCTTTGAGTGACATGAAATTGGTGCTGTTGCTTGTGGTGGTAGAGAAGTATGAAAGTATTAACTTCTTCTAAAACAAAATCATTCAGACTTAAAAAAAAAAAAAAGGTCAATATTTCCTTGCAGGCTGGGAGCACAGATTAAACCCCAGGGCCTTAAAAACTTCAGCTCTGCCTACAGCAGTTTACAAAAATACTAAACTGCAATCAATGTAAATAAAATTCTTAGTGCTATCCTGAGACCAGAAAGAATCTCAGGCTAATAAGGAATCCGGTTTGCATATGCTGTCAAAAGGGTGTCATCTAACCGAGGTTTCAGTGTAAATGAGGTCGCTGTGCAACTTGGACCCATCTGGCATAGAGCAAGCTGCTTTCTTGTTTTTCTAGTATAGTTCTCACTGCCTTACTTAAATCGAGTTGATAAACTTAATGCAACTGTTTCTATGATCCTAGAGAAAGGACTGAAATGTTATTGAAAACTTTCCGACTGTAGTAAGCTTTAGGATTTTGACTGCACTACTGTGTTTGGTGACTGTGCCAGTCCCTTGCTTTCTGTGTTTGCTCTGCCTTTGGTATCTTAGCAAAGAAAAATAAAAAAAGAAAAAAAAAACATAAAAAAAAAAGAAAAAAGAAAAAAAAGAGGAAAAAAAAGTGGGGGAAAAAATGAGAGCCACATTCCATTTCTAGCACTTTGGGAGCTCTTTCAGTATTTTTTTGTGTCTTTTCAGCATCCTCAGATGCGACAGGCAATAATTCTGTTTGTGACACTGGGAACATCCCCTCTTCTTTGTGGTGTGTGTTGATTCCATTTTGTCCAGTGCTGCTGTCCTTCCTCCCCCTCTGACACAGGCCTTCTTTCCAGAACATTTGTAACTTGTAATACAAACAAGTGACAGCCACAGTGATGCAGCGTCAGTTTCTGAATGTCATCAGGTTCTCATATCTAAACATGTCAAGTTTTTTCCCTGTAACTTCTGTAGTCTGTGATGCTGGTCATAATACTGTCTACATTCCTACGCAAAGAAAAAAAAATCTATCTTGGAGGAAATCTGAGATCAATAGGAGTAGAGGATTTTGTTGCTATGCTTGTAACAAGTAGAAAACTTTGTATTTAAAGTTTATTCTTGGTCATTATTTATTATTATAATACATCAGTTGACAGAACTTTATTCTGGTATAGAAAGTATTAAAAGTTGTTTTTTCAGCAATGACTGTTTTCTTTCTGCTGTTAGAATAAAATGTCTTTGAAGCAGCCCAGTTTTATCCAGTGTTTTACGCAATAAAACCTCTACCTCTGGGAAAAAAAATCACATCTTTTCCTACTCGCTTATGTTTACTAGGAGGAGTAAAACATATTTTTGCAGGTTTGTCAGACTTTGGCAAGACGTTGTCAAACTCCATGTATAAAAAGCCCTGTACTGGGCAGGGCGTGGTGGCTCACACCTGTAATTCCAGCCCTTTGGGAGGTGGATCATCTAAGGTCAGGAGTTCAAGACCAGCCTGGCCAATATGGCAAAACCCCATCTCTACTAAAAAGACACAAAATTGGCATGGGTCAAGCCTGTAATCCCAGCACTTTGGGAGGCTGAGGCGGGCGGATCACCTGAGGTCAGGAGCTCGAGACCAGCCTGGCCAACATGGTAAAACCCTGTCTCTACTAAAAATAACAAAAATTACCTGGGCATGGTGGTGCGTGCCTGCAGTCCTAGCTACTTGGGAGGCTGAGGCAGGAGGATCGCTCAAACCCGGGAGGAGGAGGTTGCAGTTAGCCGAGATGGTGCCATTGCACTCCAGCCTGGGCGACAGAGGGAGACTCTGCCTCGCACAAAACAAAACAGAACAAAAAGGCCGGTAGGGTCCTGCAGTACTAATGGTCCTCTCAGGCCTGTGCTTTTTCAAGCTGAGTCAACCTCTATGCCGCATACATAGTGTGTGAGTGGGGATGTGTGTGTGTGTGTGTGTGTGTGTGTGCACATGCATATGTGAACTATGCTTCTTTAAATGTTTGCAGACATGTGGTTCAGTAAGGTAAAGTCTATGGAAATACTAATGCTCTTCATATTACAGTAATTATATAAGGCACTTAGAGCATTGGGATCTATTATTTTCCTTTACTGGTAGAAAGTCTTTTTTTTTTAAGTCATTAAATGCAAGGGAGTCTTTTACGTCCATATTATTGGAGGATAATCGGAATTCTTCCTCTAGAAGAAAAGGAAAAGAGCAAAGGATGACAAAGTGTCTGGTAGCAGGGGCTACTGTGAACGCAGAGCTCCGACACGGAGTTGAGAGGGTTTGAAGTGCGTGCTCAACCCAGGATGTGAAGAGCTTCTTTTTGATTTGTTTTGTTGTTTTATTTTGGTCTCAAAACAAGCTAGGATAGTGCATATTCTATATCCAGATAGTTCTGGAATATGGAGGGCCCACTGAAATGTCACAAGCAAAGACAGCTGCCAAATTGTATAGAAATTTGTCTGTTTACCATGTTTCTTTCAGGGTGTGAGACTGTGTCCTTGGGTGGGAGCAGATGACTTAAACGGAATCATCGTCAGTTCTAACCGTCTGCTGTTATGAATATCAAAGGTGAGTTAAGGGGTTGTAGTGAGGAGGTCAGGAAGTAAACCCATGAGGGAGAGAAGACTGGAATGCAGAAGGTTGAGTTAGGGATTCTAACATCTACCCACACCACGTCCATGATGCAGCTCAAACCCACCAGAGCCACACAAGACACCAGAGTGGCGAGAGGAGAGTTGGAACAATCAGGGCTTAAGTGGGTTGCACAGCACGCCACTCTGATGGGAGGGGGTGCCGTGAGATCTCAGTAACTGCACATCATTGCCAAGAGGAAGGTGACATTAAATTTTCTGAGTTTTCAAGGTGTACTGGACACCTGGATTTTGTATTAAGTCTTCCAGTTTTTCCCTGTTGGCTCAAAATTTATTTTTAAAAACCACGTATGAATGAATGAACAGAATGTGTTACCACCAAAGAATGGAATATTATTCTGCCATAGAAAAGAACCTGAGATGTGGTACAACATGGATGAACCTAGAAAACAGTGAGAGAAGCCAATTACAAAAGGTTGCATATGATAGAATTCCATTTACATGAAATGTCTAGAATAGTCAAATCCACAGAGACAAAAGTGGATTAGTGCTTACCAGGGATGAGGGGGAGGAGAGAATGAACAGTGACAGCTAATGAGTATGAGGTTTCTTTTTGAGGTGGTAAAAGTGTCCTAAAATTAGATAGTTATGGTGGCTGTCCTTGGTGTCACTTGGTGTATATGCTAAAAAACACTAAATCGTGCACTTTAAAAGAGTGAATTTTATAGTATGTGAATTATATCTCAATTAAGCTCTTACAAAAAATAAAACTGTGAGTAGGAGGCATTTTTAAGAGGTAACAATATATATTTCCATCAATACATTGCTGAGTTCTCATACAGCCATAGATAATTGACAGATTAGTATAGTACAAATAATATAAAATTTGGGGTGTAATGGCTTAAATTTGAACCCTAGCTTTATTACTTACTGGATGCATGATGGTCTTGAACAATTTTTTTTTTGAGACAGTGTCTCACTCTGTCACCCAGGCTGGAGTGCTGTCGCACCATCACAGCCCTCTGAAGCCTTGAACTCTAAGGCTTAACCAATCCTTTCGCCTCAGCCTCCTGAGTAGCTGGGACCACGGGTGCATGCCACCATGCCCAGTTAGTTTTTAAATTTTTATCGAGATGAGGTCTTGCTATGTTGCCCACTCTGGTCTTGAAATCCTGTGCTCAAAGGATCCTCCTGCCTCTGCCTCCCAAAGTGCTGGGATTATAGGCGTAAGCCAATCTTGAGCAATTTAACTCTTCTCAGCTCATTGATAGTATCTGTAAAATTATGACAATTAAGTGCTGTACATAGGGAAATCATATGCACATTTCGTGAAGTACTCTACAAATGCTAGGTATTGTGATCATTGTGGCATAATGAATTATGGATGAATTTAAGATTAATGTCACATGCACAAAAAGCTAGACCTTGATAAAATCCCCATGCTTTGTAAAGGTCCCCTCATGGTCAGGTGGCTGGGATTCCCCACGTCCATCCCCTTCAGAAAAGATGACCCTAGACAAAGATCTTCAACTGCTGTTTTCTAATTTCCTCATTTGAAAAATCTGAGTATTAACAACTCTCTTGTCACTCACAGGGGTAGTAGCAAGGTGGCTGGTGAAAAGGGATGGATGCAATGGGAAAAAGATTAGTCTCAGTGGTAGATGTTATTCCACTCACTTGTTTAACACATATTTACAGAAGACCTACTGTGTTCTAGGCATTGGGTCACGGGCCAGAGAGAGATATATTGGTAAGTTAGGGATCATGTCCAGAGATCACTGTCTTAAGGGGAAAACAGATTTTGATTTCATAATCACACAAATAAATATAAACTGTCTGGAAGAGGAGATTCAAGGAGAACAGTAATTCCCCATGCGATGGAAGCTGATGATTTGCTGAGGGATGCAGGAGGGAGGGCCAGGCAGTGGAAGCAGTGCAAAGCCAATGTTCAGTGCAGACAGGACTCTCAAGTCCTGTCTTGGCCTCTCAGGAGCTGTGTGGCCCTGCTAGATCGTTCCATTTCCCTAAATCGGCTGCTCCTCTATAAAGTGGAACATCGCAGTGCCAACAGCAAAGACTCTTTCTGAGGTTAAATGAGATAGTACATGTAACAGCTATGGAGAGAACAAGCTAGACACTGCCATATTCAAAGGACAGTTCTCAAAAGTGACAGTGTCTGGAAACCCATGAGGACACGGAAATGGCGATGCCTGCTGCAGACCATGGCTTTCTCATCCTCATCGCCAAGGGCCAACATAGTGTGAGCCACATGACTTCTGCAGCACGTTACCTCTCACATCCCGATGCCTCATGCCCTTAGGAAGGAGTGGGTGAAAGTGTCCTGGGGCCAATTCAGGGTCTCTATGGCTCTGTCCATGGGCGTGGCCACCCTGAAGCAGCATAGTTTGCTGGAAGTGTTTCTAGAGGGTGATCAACCATCCTGGTTTCCCTGGGACTGAGGGGTTTCCCAGGACATAGTAATTTTAGTGCTAAAACCAGGGTAGTCCTGGACAAACACAAATATTCCCCCTAGGTCTAAGCTGGCTTCCTTTAAAAGCACGTGTCTTGTTTTGGCCAAGCCGAGGTTATGGCTGTCCCTGAGCTGGGAGGCCAGTGTGAGGCCCGGTGTGAAGGGGAAGCCATGGCTCCAGGGGGCCCATAGTATGGGCTTTGGCACTGGGAGACTTGGATTCAAAGCTTTCCTGCCACAGCATCTTTACCACAAAGATGAAAGTGACACAGTACCCAAAATACTTAGCGTGGCACCTGGCACGTGGGCATTATTTTATCCATTCTCATTGAGTGACTGAATGAATCTTTGTTCCTCCTTCTTACCCAGGTGGGAAATGGCTCAAATATGAATTTCTTTTCCTAGCAGCTAGAAGCTTCTGAGCTGCCGATATCTGGCATTAAGATGCTCTTTTGTGCTGAAACTTTTATAAAGACGATAACCCTGCTGTCTCCTGTAGTTTGGGATTTGCGCACTTCCCCCTCTCTGTTTAACATCTGTATTGTAACAGTATATTACGAAAACCTCACCTGGTGTATTGTAAGCACAATCCCAAGGAAATTAGTATTAAATATTGTGATCTTCATTTCAAGATAGAAGGGCTGGGCACGTTCCACCAAACTGGAGGTATGTTTCCATAGGGAAGGAGAAAAATTCATGGTGTAATACAATATTAAAAATGTCACCCAGCTGAGCATTCCATGTAGAAGCTTGTGTAGAGTTTTAATCTCTTCACCTGTTGGTGCTAAGAGAAAAGAGAGAGTTGGGGTGGGGGAGGGAGACCGGGAGGGAGAGGAAGGGCTTATGAGAACAGGGAAATCACAAGCAAAGAGGAGGGGGAAAATTTAAATGATCCCAGACCAAACTGTTTTGCTGTTAATACAGAAATACAGTGCAAGACACATTTAATGGGCTCTATTTTTTATTATACTATGCTGAATAATTAACTTTGAGGCTAAGTGTCACATGGATTTATCTTTTAATTAAAAAAGCATGGTTCACGCATATTTGAGTGGTAGTCCAAATAAATGCAATATAGAAATTTATGTTTGTTTATCTAGGTGTTAATTACCTAGAGATTGTCCTGGATTACTTCTTTTTATAAAGTGTCATAGGCTCGTGTCAGAACGAATAAAGCTTGGCCGTGGAACCTTATCAATTTGCTAACTATAGTGCCGGTCTGACCTGAGCAGGGAGGGCAGGGGAAAACTTTGGGGCTTGTTATGTATACACACGCCCGCATTCAACCCACAGCAAATAAAATAGTCGTTTTAGAAAATATTCCTAGGACATAAAGGCACAAATATATCTTCATTGTTTTACAGCCTCTTGTCCACAGCTATTTATAAAACATGTGATTATTTATGCGTTGGGTTATGAGAAGTTCGCTGGGAGAGGCTGTGAAGGAGGCTCTATCAATCCAGTTACCTGGTGCCCTGGAGAGGTGGAGGGAGGGCTTCCCAGTGGAAACTGGGCTGGGACAGGAAGTTGGCTACTGTGATTTGTCTAACATGTGTCAACCTCCCGGCTGCTCCCAGAAAAGCCAGACAGAGGGATGACAAAGTTGAGGGTTAGAGGTCACATTAAAAAAAAAAAATCATGAATGCACACTGAGAAAGTGAAACCAGAAGCCCCTAAAAATTGTTCATCATACCTTGAGGCAGCCCCTGCCTTTTTCTTTGTTTACAAAGTGATTTTGGGGTGGCAGTTTCAGTTAAATGGTTTGGAAGAAACCGAGGGTTTTGGCCAAAAGGTTCTACTTTAAAGAAATAGATTTTGTAAGGGCAAGAAGAATTCCAGACAGAGCTGGGAGTGTCTAAGTTGGGTGCCCGCTTTTGTTGGGGAAGTTTGTTTCCCTTGGGTTTTCTGCCTTGCTTGTCTTCTTTTTCCTACGCACCACACCTCCATTTTTGGCAATCAGATACCAGAAAATCAATACAAGTAACTGCGGGTCCCTGTGGGCTGCACCCGGCTGGATGGACTGTTCTCCTGGGGTTCAGGAAAGCCTAGGGGAGACAGGCACTGGTATTCAACTGTGCTCGCTTCTCTCCAGCTGGAGCCGAGGGGAGCCATCGAGACCCCTAAACAGCAAACTCTCCTACCGTGGAAGCTCTCTGCTGGGTAGGGTTTCATTTTCATTTTGTGTTTCCTTCCTCTTGGAGCCCGTGCGGGCTGGTGGGGCGGCTCACTGTCAGCTCCGTGATCCCGCGCTTGGCCGCGCGCCTGGAGAGGTGCGCCCGGGCCAGGAGCAGAGCAGGGCGCGGCGCCAGGCGGGGGCGCCCGGGGCCTGCGTGTCGTCGCGGGTGGGGGCGGGTGTCCTCGGGCGCGCACCCGCTGCGGCCTCCGGCTCTGGACCAGCCCGGTGGCTCCAAGGGATCAAAGCGAAAAACAGCTTTGGCCGCAAAGGGAGAACGCCCTGAGCCAGCTCGTCCCTAAGGACTCGTCTTTTGGCGAGGAAGGGGACGCCTAGGCCCGTATGGGGCGCGCTGTGGCCTGGGCCACCGCCGAGGGCGCGTGGGTCCTGCGCGGCGCCTGCTGTTCACTGCATTACTCGGACAAGGATCAGAGCCTCTTTATCTTTTAAATTATTAACACTTAACTGTTTTCCTCCCCAAATCGCTGCCCATTTCCTCCCCAGGATCACTGCCTTTATCAGAAATTGGGCCCGGCAGCACTGGGGCGTGAGGTGGAGGCACCGCTGGGAGGAGCTGGGCAATCTTTTGTGCTTGAGTCATGCCAGATACTGTGCTGGGTGCTGGGGACGCGGCGAGGACAGGAGAGGAGGGTCCCTGTGTCCTCTTGTGCCCCCTGCCCAGTCACAGCAGAATTCAACAAATGAGGCGATTCCAGAGCAGACAGAGCTTTAGAAAGTGGGGGTCAATTAATGCTCAAAGAAGGCCCTTAGTGCTGAGCTCTGAGAAGCACTTGCTGGCTGCCAGCAGATGCCCCGAAGCCTTGTTCCAAAAGAGAGACCTGAACCAAGAGGGGAGTGGGAGGTCTGGGCTTTAGAGGTGGTCAAGCAAGGGACCCCACAGGGCTTTGGAAAAGAGGCTATTGGGCTGGAAATGACACAGAAGAGTCCACATGGCCATGTGATATTGGAATATCAGGGTTTTTTTTTTTAATTAATTAAGCTGAAATTCACATAACATAAAATTAACTATTTTAAAGTATACAATTCAGTGGCATTTAGTACATTTTAAGTTCCTATTTTCATTACCCCAAAAGAAAACCCCAGGCCAGGTGCGGTGGCTGACGCCTGTAATTCCAGCACTTTGGGAGGCCGAGTCAGGTGGATCACTTGAGGTCAGGAGTTCAAAACCAGCCTGACCAACATGGTGAAACCCCGTCTTTTTTAAAAATATAAAAAACTTAGCTGGGCGTTGTGGTGGGCACCTCTAATCCCAGATACTCAAGAGTCTGAGGCAGGAGAATCGCTTGAACCCTGGAGGCAGAGGTTGCAGAGATCACATCACTGCACTCCAGCCTGGGTGACAGAGTGAGACTCCGTCTCAGAAAAATATTTGAAAAGAAAGGAAAACCCCAAACCTGTTCAGCAGTTATTCCCCATTCCCCACTTCTCCCCAGCCCCTGGCAGCCACCACCCAGCTTTCTGTCTGTACAGATTTACTGATTCTGGATATTTTATATATGTGGCATCCTACATTATGTGACCTTCTGTGTCTGGCTTCTTTCACTCAGCATCATGTTTTTGTGGTCCAGCCACTTGGTAGCATGTATCAGAATGGCATTCCTTTTCTGTTTTGTTTTGTTTTTTGAAACAGGGCCATGTTCTCTCACCCAGGCTGGAGGGCAGTGGTACATCTTGGCTCACTGCAACCTCCACCTCCTGGGCTCAAGTCATCCTTCCACTTCAGCATCCTGAGTAACTGGGACTACAGGTGCGTGCCACTACACTCGGCTAATTCTTTTTGTTTTTTTGTAGTTTTTTAGAGAAGGGGCTTCACCATGTTGCCCAGGCTGGTCTCGAACTCCTGGGCTCAAGCAATCCACCTGCTTCGGCCTCCCAAAGTGCTGGGATTACAGGCATGAGCCACTGTGCCTGGCCTGTCATTCTTTTTATGGCCTGCATCAGAGGCCCTACGTGCTCTGGCCTTGCCAATCTCTCCAACCACCTTTTTCTCTTCCCCTCTAGGTACCCAATTTCTTTCTTCTTTATGGTAGTAATCACTACCTGGAAATACCTTGCTTACCCCTTTCTTTAACTGCTCATGGTCTACCTTCCTTATGAGAATGTAAGCTCCCTGAGAGCAGGGCCCTCAGCTGGGGGTTGTTTGTAACAACCGTGTTACAAACAGTGTCTATTAACAGCACGTAGGACCTCAAATAAATAGATATTGAATAAATAAAAATTCCCAGCACAATTTTCTTTGATAATAATCACTAGATTTTTATGGGAATGTTGTTAGCTTAAAAAAAAAATGGGCCAGGCACGGTGGCTCTCCTGTAATCCCAGCACTTCAGGAGGCTGAGACGGGCAGATTGCCTGAGCTCAGGAGTTCACGACCAGCCTGGGCAATATGGTGAAACCCCATCTCTCCTAAAATACAAAAAGTTAGCCGGGCATGGCGGCGTTCACCTGTAGTCCCAGCTACTCAGGAGGCTGAGGCAGGAGAATAGCTTGAACCCGGGAGGCAGAGGTAGCAGTGAGCCGATATTGCGCCACTGCACTCCAACCTGGGCAACAGACAGAGACTCTGTTTAAAAAAAAAAAAAAAAAAAAAAGAGCTCCTTCTGCAGTCTTCAGAAAAGTGACCCCCAACAAAGAGTAATATTGACTAGACTCCACAGCAGACCGGCAGTGTTTTGGAGAACTTAGGCGTGGTCCCGTTTGCCTTTAGTATGGGCTGTGTCTGCATGTGGAGGGAAGGCCTGGCAAAGCAAGACTGACGGCCCCCTTCGCGCCAGGATTGTCTAAGACCAGCTCCCTACAGAGGGACTTGTGGCTGCAAATGGGAAACTTGGATCCAGTCCAAATCTACTCTACGAGGCACATCCCTCCTTCTCTCTGCACTTCAGTTTCCTCATCTATAAGAGAAGCTGTGAGCATCTGCAGCACAGGCTTACTGCGGGCAGCAAGTAAGACCATGGAAAAGTGCTTTCCAATTGGAAATGCCCCCACACAATCGTTAATGTTTAAAAAACCTTGTGCACCCTGCCCATGCCCAGTTGTGGGCAGGGATAACAGAGCCAGCGGCTTGGCCAGGGTCTGCTGCAGCCACCCCAGGTCCCTCTCCCAACCCATTGACCCTGGCCACCCTCCAGCCTGCGAGCCTGGGGTCAATGCCTCCTCTTAATGCCTTGCCATTTCTTAGTTTGCTGACTGGGGTGATTTTCGGTGAGGTCCACATAAATACTTCAAAAATAATTCATGATGAAGAGGAACGCTTCTGGAATGGATGATGGCACGACAAATTAAACGCTTTGTAGGGCCAAGCGTAAATTATTTTAATGCATGTAATAGATCCGCCCAGGGAGACTTGAGCCCCTCTCGGTCATGCCTCTGTGCCCCCAGGGCCTGGAGGGTGGTGGGAGCAGGTGGCTGGGAGCCTGTTCTGCTGGGGTGTGAATCATTTCCTTCTCCAAAGACCTATTCCCCCAGCACTTAGGTCCTCCTAACCTGAGGAGAGAATGGGAATGTGTCGATGTCTGGCCAGGCGGAGGCAGGAACCAGGAGACAGATGAGGCAGTGTAAGAGCATTTGTTAGCCATGACGACGGCCTGACCCACACCCTGCCTTCCATTCATTGTCTGCCCCTCTGGAGGGGGAGTGAGGAATGCTGCTGTGTGGCACCAGACATTTAAAATATTTTGTTTCCCTTGAAAATGTTTGGCAGCAAGACTAATGTCCCAGTTGAGGCCATCAACAAGCCATGTTTTACATTTGGACTTATTTTATGGGAGTGCGGGAAGGAAAGAGAGGCGATTATGTCCGACAAACCCATTCCACAGAAGAGAATGCTGAGAGCCCAGAAAAGCTCAAGATGTTGAGTTTCCAGACATAGAAAATAAACACACTTGTTATATCAAAAAGGCTATCTATGTAATATTCACCAAATGATATCTAAAGATTGTTGTGGTGGTTCCATAAATACTGAAGTAGGCTTGTAATCCCAGAGGAAAGAATTCATTGATTCCAGAATGTGCTCCCGTGACCCCCATGGTCAGGCAGAGCATGGGAATAGTGCTTGTGGTTGTTGATCAGTTATCGCATATCTGGAGAGAAGCTTTCGTTCACTCAACATTTAATGACCATGCGCTAGTTCCGGGGTCGTGTGCAGGGCATTGGAGGTACAACAGGAGCAATGCATGGGCCCTGCTCTCAGGAAACTCATGACTGCTTGATGACCTCAGGAAAGACTCAAGTCAGAAATGCTGCAGTAACTTTGGCCAGGCACCGTGGCTCATACCTGTAATCCCAGCATTTTGGGAGGCCGAGTTGGGCAGATCACCTGAGGTCAGGAGTTCGAGACCAGGCTGGCCAACAGGGCGAAACTCCATCTCTACAAAAATACAAAAATTAGCAGGGTGTGGTGGCACATGCCTGTAATGCTAGCTGCTCGGGAGGTGGGGGCATGAGAATGAGAATCACTTGAATCCAGAAGGCAGAGGTTGTAGTGAGCTGAGATGGCACCACTGCACTCCAGCCTGGGTGACAGAGTGAGACTCTGTCTCAAAAAGAAAGAAATAAAAAGAAAGAAAGAAAAAGAAAGAAAGAAAGAAAGAAAGAAAGAAAGAAAGAAAGAGAGAGAAAAGAAAGAAAGAAAGAAAGAAAGAAAGAAAGAAAGAGCTACAGTAACGCATGCAATGCGAAGCCCTGAATTCTGGGATGAGTCTCCTTCCACAGATTGCTCCTTAATGTCCTGTCCATCTGCATCTGAAATCCCACTCTCATGATCCCATCACATGCATCAATGTTGGTGAGATTGCGCATAAGAGTAGTGGGAATGGAACATTTAAAAAGAGCAACCCCTTGCAAGGAAAGTATTATGGGTGAGGTAATGGGCCCTGCATGAAGAATAGGATTTGGATGTGAGGGGGTGAGAGAGAGAGAGTACCTGAGAAGGTTCCAGAAGGAAGAGTAAATGTGCTCCGGACCAGAGATCCAAAGGTCCCTGGTGGCTTCTGCATCCAGCAAGCAGGCCAGGAAGCCTGGAACCTGAAGCCCAGAATGCGGGGATGTGTGGACAGAATGTCTGTGTTCCCTGACCTCAAGTTCATACACTGTCCTCACCCGCAATGTGATGGTAAGAGGCAGGGCCTCTGGGGGCGAGTGGGTCATGAAGGTGGACCCCTCATGCATGGGATTGGTGCCCTTATAAAACAGACCCCAGACAGCTATCTCACCCTTTTTTCCTACCAAGTGAAGACAAATTGAGAAGACAGCCACTTGTGAAGGAGGAGGTAGACCCTCACCAAGACTGACCGGGCTGGCACCCTGATCTGACTTCCAGCCTCCAGAAGGGTAAGAAATACATTTCTGTTATTTATAAGCCCCCAGGCTATGGTACTCTGTGACAGCCGTCCAAAAGGACGAAGCCAGAGGTTGAGGGATAAAGTTCCTATAGGCAGCTATGCACAGGGTGGTCCCACTGTGTTTCCTAAATATTTTTTATTGTCATGCAGGTCAGGGTGGGACTGACAGATTCTATCACTGAAAGAAGCTAGAGTGACTTGTGGTGAACTAAATCATGCTCTACCCAAAAGGACTTTCAAATGAAAATTAACATTGCAACCCACAGAAAGAAGGAAGCTTCTGAGACAGTTGATGATTACTGTCTGTTCCTGGTATAAAATTAGCATCATCTCCTCAGTAAGCCTTCTGTACCCATCCCTGGTCAATAATTATTTTCCTCTTTGTAAGCCCAAAGCACCTCTCTCTGGGTAAGAGTGTGGAACTCCCTGTAGCATGTCAGGGCTGGTTGTGTTTTTCTACTCCTCGACTGGAGTGGGTCATTTGAAGGCAGCAGCCTTGGCTCATTTCTGGATCCATGGTGACCCATGATGGGAGCTTCTTGTATGCTTTATGTTCCATGTTGACAAATAAATCAGTGCAAAGGTAGAGTGATGTCCACAGAACCAGTTTCAAACCCAGCCTTCCTGAATTTTAGTTTAACAGGACTACAATTTCCCCTATGAAGTTCCTGGAAAGAAACCACTCAATCCACTAAAAATATAGTTGGCTCCTGGAGGGCATGCTTATTCAAAGCCAACATGGGCATCCCCATGGCCTCAACACAGCGCCTGGCACCTGTGCATTCAATCAATGTCTGCAAAATGACCACGATCGGGCCATAGTGGATGCTCTCAATGCCCTGATCCACGTTCCTGAGCTCACTCTGAACCCATCTGTGGCTTCACCGGACAGTTCCTAGCCACTGACAGCTTTTCTCACATGAAGAACCATGGGAGCTTCCTCAGCTCCTTGCAAGGAAGCCTGGTCATGCTGGAGATTAATGCACCCAGGGCAACATTCGGGCAATGGGAGACAGCATCAGCGTGTACACACCCCGAGACTGGCATTTGCTCTGCTTTCTCAGAGGGCGTTTGCAGGACGGAGCTCCAGTTGTCCATGGTGGTGACCTGCCCATAAATGCACTCAGGATCAATGTCCCCCCTTCCCTATCTCATGTCCCCACTCTCTCATTTCTGTTTCCTGGGATTATCTCTTAAATGAACAATCTGCACCCATGTCCTTGTCTTACCAAGTGCCTGCTTTTTGTGGGAACCCAAACTAAGATAGGAGCTAAAGAAATATATGAATAAATGTTGGATGAATGAATGAATGAGTGAAATTATGAAGAGAGAAGAAGAGTCTGAAAGCAAACCATGCACATTCCACCATCTCCATTGGGCTGAGGCCGGTTCCAGGAACAGGGACTGACAGAGAAGGAGGCTGTGGCTCCTTCCCAAGGTGGAGTCCGAGTCAGGGAGGGCCAAGTCTCAATGGGATTGTTCCTGGCAGGGCCACAGGAGTCAGGGGGAAGCATGGAAGGCCTCTCTGTCCAGATGCGGCAGTCAGGGCTGGCTGCCTCCTCCCAGAACATCCTCCTTGTGGCCGGTATCCATGCACGATCCTACCTGGAGCCTAAGGGAACTTCAGCAATGAATGAAGGAGGCATCACCCAGAGGGCAGCAGTACCCTCTGGGATGGAGTAAGACCATGGCAGGCTGTGTTCTGAGCCGAGTTCTATAAAAATAACATAAAGGCCCAGATAACCGGGGTGGGAGTGGGGAACATGGAGGAGCTAGAGCTGAAAGAGGAAAGGACTGGGCACCCCTTCCAGATGGCTCCTTCCCCGCTCCCCACCCATCCTGCTATGAGGACAGGGATGAATCGAATACCTGAAGGCGGAAACAGAAGGCTTCACCAAAGATTGGATGGAGAAAGCCAGGCGCTGCTGAGCGCTTAACGACAACCAGCCTTCTCCCCAGAACCGGCTGTGAGCACAGCTAAGAATAGACCTGGGCCAGGACGGTGGAGTCTCTCTGTGCGAGAGTTCTCTGCGGGAATATTCTAAACTCCGCAGTGGAGCCGGCTCTGCCTCAGCCTTGCCGAGCAGGGGGCCAAGCGTGTCTGAGTCAGTTCAGCTGCTGTAACAAAGCACCGTGATCGGGGTAGCTTATAAACAACAGACATTCATTTCCCACAGCTCTGGAGGCTAGGGAAACCAAGGGCTCTCTTTTCTGATTCCTAGAGTGCCATCTTTGTGCTGTGTCTTCAAATGTCAGAAGGAGAAGAGATCTCTCAGGGGTCCCTTTTTATAAGGGCACTAATCCCATTCATGAGGGCTCTGTCCTTATGACCTCACCATCTCCTAAGAGCCCCTCGTCCAAATACCACCCTACTGGAGATTAGGTTTCAACATATGAATTTGGGGTGCAAGGCACAAGCCCTCAGTCCATACTAATGTACACGTCTCTACCTCCTCAGCTGTGTGCAGAGCAACCACCTTTGAAAGCAAATGGTTCAACATCTGTAGCAGGAAAAAAATAAACAAACAAAAAAACCCATCAACTCCTGCAGTGGGCTCATTCACTTTGCATCCACGGAATGGCTTAAATCACTGAGTATGCACCAAGTGTCTGTGGCGTGCTGTGTTTGCTTGGTGCTAAGGGGCACACAGCGGAGAGGACATATCCCTGATCTTGGGGAACTTGGATTGATACTCTTTGGAGGAACAAGAGGGATAGATGGGAAAGTGAAAAGAAGGCCAAGGAGAGATCACGAGGGAATTTAGTTTGGCAAGTGGGGAGGGAAGCTGCCTTGGCAGTTCGTGGGGTGGTTGGAGAAGTAAGGAAGAGATTGGGAGAAGCCGGGCCTCACAATGTGAGGAGGAGGAGAGAGTCGGGGGTGCCCATAGGGCCGAAAGTAGCAGAGATGCCCAGGACACCACTGGGCTTGTGCAGGTGAAGCCGTGGGTGAACGAACCTTCGAGAATAGGCTCAGTGGGGCGGAAGACCAGGCCACGCAGCTGCACAAGATCAGCAGGGCTGGGTTGAGTGGAAGCAGGAGGAAAAGGATGGGGAAGGAACAGGAGAAATAAACAGGTGGGCTCCTCCAGGAAACTGGGCATGACACGGAAGACGAGGTGACTGTTGGGCATCTGTGGAACATGAGGTCACATGGTGGCGAGTGTCCCACTGGTCGCTTGGATTGGGTCGATCTGCCCGGCTAGTGGTGTCAGTTACCAAGCACATATCACCCACCCGAGTGTTGCAGCTGTAAAAAGAGGCCCTGCTCTCACAGGATGATGCTGAGCACATGTGGGAGCTCCAGTCTCTTCTCTTGCAGGAAACCTATAACCCACCCATAACACTGAGGCATCTAACTTTTGCTAAAGAGTTGCTCCTCTAATAAAATCCTGTGGTTTGAATAGGACAGAACCTAGGGATTTGACTCTTCAGAGCATGATAACCAACACTGCAGGGTGAGGCTCGCTGGTCCGAGTGAGCCAGACCAGTGAGATGCTGAGACTTTTGAGATGCTGAAGCCTCCTGGTAGAGGGGTGCAGCCATAACTTTGACCCAGGGAGCACTGTAGGCAGGCCTGGGGGTTGCTCAGTAATGTCTCTGTAGCTGACCACGTTCACTGATTCAACAGATGTTTATGGAGCACTTAACCATATGGGAGGCCCAGTGCTGGGGCTATGGTGGGAGCATGTCATTCATGGGCTCTACCCTAATGCTCCCAAGCAACATCAGATCAGGCATGGAAATAAGGACTATGACCTTGTCTATTCTTGCCTTAGTATTTTTAATTAATTTATTTATTTTGAGATGGAGTTTCACTCTTGTTGCTCAGGCTAGAGTGCAATGGTGAGATCTCAGCTCACTGCACCCTCTGCCTCTCAGGTTCAAGTGATTCTCCTGCCTCAGCCCCCCTAGAAGCTGGGATTACAGGTGCCCACCACCATGCCTGGTTAATTTTTGTATTTTTAGTAGAGACGGGGTTTTACCATGTTGTCCAGGCTGGTCTCAAACTCCTGACCACAGGTGATCCACTTGCCTCGGCCTCCCAAAGTGCTGGGATTATAGGCGTGAGCCACTGCGTCTGGACCTTTGCCTTAGTATTTTAAGAGTCTTCTCTGTAATGGATATTTACCCAGAGTTCCTTCCTGCTCAGTCTCTTGGCGGAGATAGAGAAATAGTGTTTTTCAGCAGCCACATCTCAAAGATGGTACTTGTGCTGTGGATTTCCCTGGTTTGAGACCTCAGGCTTCCCACTATCCTCTGATATAGCCCCAAAGGACTAATGGAAAGAAGCACCTTTTTTTCTCTCTCTTGTCACTCAGCACCTTCCAGTTGGTGGGATTTAGAGACTGTCATCCCAAACAGAGTGACCACGTTAGGGCCAGACTGACCGACACCCACAAATGTCTCCTGGGCTGAAGTAGCTGAATTCTCCTTCCTAAATTCTCTGTTTGGCCACTTCTGACCAGTGCTGGCCTCGTTTCCCCTTCGTCTTTTAGAAATCCAATTTTACAAGCTGTTGGTCTTGAGTGTGGACGGTTGCATTTTATTAATTTGAAAAAAAATATTATTTCTAATGACTCCTCTAGCCAGTTCTTCCTCCTCGCAGAGCTACTGCCTGTGTAGAAGGGGGCTTTGTTTGCACTCCTTTTATTGTCAGAAGTGTGAGCAGTGGGCTGTGGGCAGTGTGAAACCGCAGTGCTGCTGTGATGAAGCATCACGCATTTTCCTTGGGCTGTCATAAGAGGGGAAGTGGTGTTTGTGCCTTTGCTGGGTAATTCATGGGGTAGTATGTAGTGCTTTTAATGATGCCCAAACAACTCCCGGTTTCCTGCACAGAACTGACCTATCCCACTTGCCACTACCGTGAATGTCCCATTACCAAGATGGAAACACACCCCTTTCCTTGGAATGCCTTTTCTTCCTTTTTATAACAAGGCCATTGTTGGCTGTGGGAGATGTGTGTGTTTGTGGCAGGTGGTTCCAGGCCTGCTCTAGAGATGGCTCCTCACTGCCCAAGATGTGACAACTGACCCCCTTAGCAGGTGCCCCTCCAACTACTTAGCCCTCATTGCCCACCTCCCTTGGCTGACCTGATTTATACCATTGCATGTGGTCAGTTCAGTATCCTCAAAGTCACTGCCCAAGCAGCTCTTTCTTGTCTATGCTGCTTCTTCCTAGCAGTCCCTCAAGATTGGGTTTAGGTCCCTCCCTTTTCCCAGAAGCCCCTAGTGTCTCCTGTAGGCCCCAGTGGGCTCTCCTCCTCTAAACTTTCATGTTCTGTGTGATCCTAGCAGCGTGGCTGGCTCAGCACGTGATGACAGATGGGCTCAGCTCTCACCTGGCCTCCTGCACTGAAAGGGCCTTGGGGACCAGGCTCTTGAATCATTTTCCTTGTGCATCCTAGGAGTGCCCGGTGAAGGAGGAGTCGATGAGTTCCTGCTGTGGGTTGACCCAATTGATTGAGAGATGGATAACTGGACCCCGTGGTCTGTGTAGTTTTGTGAATTCGGAGTTTCTTTGGGGTTTCCAAAATCAGAAAGGGCAGGAGAAGGATGAAGCTTTTAGCAAGACAGAGGCAGATCTTCCTAGACGTCCCCTGCCCTGCAGTTGTCTGGTCCCACATTTAAGATCCCAGAATTGCGGACCTGGAGACATGGGGCACTGAATCCTGCCCACTGGCTATTAGTCGGCGTGGTTTACTAAATCTCCTTGCCCATGAATATGGTCATTGTTTAACTGATGGCTGCTTTCTCTACCAGGAGCGCTCAGCATCTCAAAATGGCCTTGCGTGAGCCTAACACAACAAGAAGTGATGCTTATTTTTGTGTATTGGCTTTCAAGGCTGACTGGTTCAGAACTGCATTGTAATTCTAATGGCCCCTACTGAACACACTGTCATCAGAGAGATTATGTCATTGAAAACAGGAATAACAATGGTACAATCGGTTAAATTGTTTACCCTTATTGGACAATGGTCAGTGACAAGTTCATGTGGGTTGATCACCTTCTTCTTGCTTTCTTACATTGGCTTCCCCTCTCTATCAGGTGGGAGTTTGTGCTGATAGAGTGTGTGTATCTGCATGGAAGTGTGTGTATCTCCCTGTGTGTGTCTGCATGGAAGCATGATACTGTGGAAATAACTCGGATTCTTTTGTTTGTCTGACCCAGATTTGAATCCCAACTCTGTCTCTTAGTAAGTATGACCTCAGCCAGGTTACCTATGCCCATCTCTGATGTGAGGGTGACTGGGCACCTCTGTAGCTGTATTGTGAGGGGTGGTGCATTGGTGAGGTGTGCAGGGTGGTGGAGCAGGCTGGCACCCAGTGCCCAGGCACCCCGTGTTTTCCGTTTTTATGGCAGATGGCAATAATGCCCGGGTGTGCGGGAGCAGTGATAATGGATGTTCTCGGCCTTTCGGTTCACTGCAGTGTTCCCCTAAAGTAGATCATTATTCTGTATGGAATAAATAGTGTTATCGGGCTGATATGCTTAAGGCTAATGAGCCCATGTCTAGCATCTGAGAAGCCAGATAACAAGACATGTTTTTCTCCATTGGCTTCTATTGATGTATTAATTAATGAAATCCAAGATTCCCCTTTGAGCTGGAAGAGTGTTTAAATCACTCTTGAGCTGTACACAGCACTGTCTCCCTCTTGCTCCCAGATGCTGGAGAGGCCAGGGAAAGGCAACAGGGTCTTCTGCCTCTGGCCTGGCCCAAGCGGGGCAGGAGGAGGTATAGACATGAAGTCTGCACCAGACATCCCAGGCTTGTCTCAGTCCCAGTGCAGGCCACATCACAGCTGCAGGGGCTCTGCAAGCCCCTCCTCCATCATCAGCCCTGGGGGACCAGCTCCGGCAGCCTGGTGGCCCCGGGCCCAGGCTTGCTCTTGGTCTAAGCATCTGCTCCAGTTCACATTTTACCTCCTTTGGGATTTCTGTCTTCCAAAGGGCCCCAGGACACAACACTGAAATTCACTGTGTTTATACCAACTCAAAACCTGCCCACAAAGGAGGTTGTGTCATTTCAGTCCTGGGCAAGGCTTTTGTACCCATGTGGTAGGTTGGTGGGTTTTGAGTGACCATCTCCTTTTGCAAGTAGCAGCATGGAAAAGGTCACAGTGTTGATATTAGACACGCTTGTGTTCTAGGCCCCATGCCAGCACTGAGTAGCTGCTTGAGCTTAGTCAATTTGTGGAAATTCTCCGAGCCTCAGTTTCCTGGTCTGTGAAATGGGGATTATGAACATATGGAGCCCAAAGCGCTGTTGTGAGGACTACATGAACTAGCATGAGTAAAAGAATTCCAGGAATAAGGCCTGCAAGAATAGATTATCAAGGAGGCAGGGATGATTCTTATTGTAACAATGATCATACATCTATTAAATATGGAATGGGGGGCTAAGATTGCTCAAAAGGTCTTTCTCACAAAAGTGAAATTGCATTATTTTTCATACCTTCCAGTAACTAGCTTTTCTAATACTCTGGTGAGAAAATATCCTTAAAAATCTGCTTCAATATTTAAAATTGGTGTGATTAGCACCTTGTTTTCCATACTAAGGGAGAAGGGCATCTGAGAAAAAGTTGTCAGAAGTGGCGTATACATCTCTCCACCACCTTGCTGGAGCCATAACGTGTGCCTTGGCACCCGGAACTAACCACAGACTTCCTGCACTCCTTCCATAACCACATACCTCACATCCTATAGATAGCCATCTAGCCTGCAACCCATAAGTAACTTAAGCCCCAACATCCTAAAGGTAACCATGTACCTCTGCACCCCATCAGTAACCATGCACTTCACATCTTACAGGTGACCATCTACCCCACACTCCGTTAGTAACCTGAGCCCCAACATCCTAAAGGTAACCATGTATCCCTGTACCCCATGGGTAACCATGCACCTCACATCCTATGGATAACCATGTACTCTGCACCCCATAAGTAACCTGAGCCTCACATCCTAAAGGTAACCACGCACCCTTGCATCCCATAGATAACCATGCACCTCACATCCTATAGCTAATCATCTACCCTGCACCCTATAGGTGACCTGAACCCCCGCATCCTAAAGATAATCATGCACCTCACATCCTATGGATAGCCATCTACCCTGCACCCTATAAGTAACCTTAGCCCCCACATCCTAAAGGTAACCATGTACCCCTGCACCCCATAGATAACAGGTACCCTTGCACCCTAAAAGTAACCTATACTCTCAGACTATAGGTAACCATGTATTCCAGAATCCTTTAGGAAACCATATACTTCACATCCTATAGGCAACCATGTACCCCTGCACCCCATAAGTAACTTGTACCCCTGCATCTTCAAGGTAATCATGTACCCTGCACCCTGCACCCCACGTACCCACACACACAAGGCCAAGCCTGCAGAGTGGAGTAAAGTTGCCTCTTCAGTCTGTGTTGTCTCACATGCAACATTCCCACGTGCTGTTGCCCCCTCCAGCCTGAAGGAGGAAGGCAGCCTCAGAAGGCTTCTTATTCGGGCCCACCTTTGCTCCTCCCTGGGAGCATGGCAGGTGTCCTGCTCTGGTCTGGATCATACAGCCATGACCATCACACCTCACCCTGGGACGCATGTGCTGCACGTCTTTGCCTTCCATGGTGAACCTCTGAGTCTCTCTCCCTGATACTGCTATTGGCAGTAGGCAGCCTGCACACCCTGCCAGGACACCATGGTGATTAGCATCGGTCAGTATTCACCACCGTGGACCCCAAAACTTCTTTCTCTTCTGCATTTCGTATCGGTACACTTAATGTTTTACAACTCACATTCTACTCTATTTAGAATCAATAGCCACTCAGAATTAAAATTCGAGCCGAACTATAAACCATAAAAGCCCTTGATTATTTCATTAGTAATTTACTAATTGGCATTAGATATTTAATTACACATTCCAAATATTTGATGAATTATTTTAGCTCTGCATAGAAAGCCAGTGATAGGGACTATATTTTTCAGGAAACAAAAAACCCAGAGAGATGCCGCGCGGGAAGGGTTAGTGTCTATGCGTGTCTGAAGCCGGAACAACTGGTGGAAGGATTTGCCTTTTCTTTGAAGGAGGCCACCCAGACAGCCATTGAGTCCAGCTTGGTATCCAGTGACCCAAGCCTGTTTCTCTCCCGTCTTTGTTCAACAACACGGCTTTCTGTTCCCCCTTTTCTTTTGGAGACGTTATCTTTTCTGCTTTGATCTGCTTCCCACAACATAAGGTGATTTCTCTTCTTATCCTCCTGATGGGCTGTGTTTTGACATGGATAAAAAGGAGTCAGCCTCTCACCTCCCGTCACTCGCTCTCACCCAGTCCCTTGTCCTCCCAATTCATCTCGCAGCAGGCCCTGTCTGCATCGGACACCAGATGGCCCCCACAGCCTTCTTAGAATAGATTTGCATTAGATACCACTCGGTCTCTGGCTCCCTTTCTTAAGGTGTGGGAGCTGTTTCTCTAGAAGGAAAAAAAAAAAAAGATAATTTCAGTACAAGAAAAAAAAAACGCACAAATGTTCATTTCTGTTTCTTCAGGGATCTTTCTGATGATAAGTGGGCACTGAATTCACGCAGCCCCAGAAGTGCCTTCTACCTCTCTCTTCACTGTGCCCAGGACCCCATCTACTGGGCACCCACCTATGGACCAACATCTCCGTGGGACAATTCAACAAATATGCGGGAAGATGTACATTGAAAGATGGGTGTTTGTTCTTAATCTGCCTGGCTCTCCATAGACATCAGCTTGTCTATCTGTTGTGGGGGTGGCCTGAGAGCTGAACTGGACCCAAAAAAGCAAAACAGCACAGCTACTCACGCACTATGCTCACCCTGGGCCAGACCCGGGGGAGAGCAAAATATATTTCTCACTGATTCTCACACTGAATCCTCTGTTATTCTCATAACAGATTGTGGCAGGCCATATGTGGAACTTCCGTTGACCATTCCAGGGAAGCCCAGGGAGGGTGAATGGATGATACAGAAGAGAAGGCTGCATCCCGGTCACAAACCTGCAATACAAATCAGAAGGAAGAAGTTAGCCCTTAAAGGGCCAGCCGAGCCCCAGTGCTGTGCCATGAAAGGCATATTGTCAGGAATTACAACATGGACCCAACGGCCCTTATTTGGAAGATGCAAATGCAAGTCTCCTGCCAGACAGACTTGCTCCTAAGTAAGAGTAGCCATTTGGGATGCCTGTGCAGGAGGGTGCAATGGAAGCTTGAAGACCAAGGAATCCTTTTGTGTCTGTCCACGAACACTCTAGGAAGGAAGTGGGAGGCATGAAGAGAATTTGCTACCAGCACACCCTCTCCAGCTTAGCTCAGCTTTTAATTGGATCTTTTTATTTTTTTCTTTTGAGATGGAGTCTTCCTCTGTCGCCCAGGCTGGAGTGCAGTGGCACAATCTCTGCTCACTGCAACCTCTGCCTCCTGGGTTCAAGCGATTTTCCTGCCTCAGCCTCCCGAGTAGCTGGGACTACAGGTGCCCAACACCATGCCTGGCTAATTTTTGTATTTTTAGTAGAGATGAGGTTTCACTATGTTGTCCAGGCTAGTCTCAAATTCCTGACCCCAAGTGACTTGCCGGCCTTGGCTTCCCAAAGTGCTGGAATTATAGGCATGAGCCACTGCGCCCGGCCATAATTGGATCTTGAGCCATCACTTAACTTAGCTGTAAAATGGAGACAGTGTGCCCCACCCATCTCATGATAGAGGGAGGATCACTGAAGACAAGGTCTTGGGAAAGTCCCAGCACCAAACCTCAGGAAGGGCTGGCAGGTGGAGGAGGAGAATGATTGTGTTTCACCGAGCCATTAGCTTTACTCCTCCTTCTCTGGCTTCTGAGCTTTAGAATTTATCTGTATTTTAACCAGCCTGTATAAATAGATATACCAGGTTTTATGAGAGGCTGCCTCAAATCCCTTTGGAAATAGGGTGGGTATAAAATAAAAACCAATACAGTAATTTCTCAAGAGAAATCTAGCTGCGATGATCAACATCAAGGAGTGCCTTTGTTTCTCTCTGGACTTGGAGCCACTTTGAAATAATGAGGCTTCCAGAAGCAGGAAGTTTGTCCTGTCCTTGAACCCCCAGGGTGCATGTTCTGGGGAAAGGAGAAGGTTCAAGTCTCCACGCAAAGGATTTCAGGCATGTTCCCCATGGTGCTGAGGTGGACCTCTAAGCCCTGGCCTCCTCTGTCCCAGCCTCTATCACACTGCAGCCCCAGAGCACCCCCTCCACTCACCACCAGGGCGTCCTCCCCTTGACCTGCTCACCCCTCTTTCTGGTCAGCTTAATCATTTCCACCACTCCCAAGACCTCTGGACCAATCAGCTCTTCACCAGGTCAAGATCAATGTTTAACAACTGAATAAAAGAGGGAATCCCATCGTTTAATTGGAAACAAAGAATGGATTGTAGAAAGATCTTTATCATCTGGGTAAATTTCGAAGTCAAGGTGTGACAGTTCTGATTAACTGATTAAGCTGATTCACTTCGCCTGGCTTGCTTGTCTCCCCACCCTCTGCTTGCAATCCTACAAGACCTTTAGGGCCCACTGCAGGGCTGGTACAGGAAGCCTTTACAGGTCCCTTGCAGAATGCCCCCTAAGGTTATCTGTCTCTTATCCCTGGGGCACTCAGCACCTCTCTTGGGTTTAGCTGTGTCTGGTCTCCTTCCTTCCAGGGAGCTGACCATCCTGTTGCTGCTGTTACCTGCTCTGGGTGCCTCTGTGTTTATTTCACAGTGTAAGACCTGGCATAGATTAGGTGCTCAATGACTATTTTGTTTGTGAATTGGTGGATAGATGACATAAACTGCAGACGCGTTCTTGGACAGCTGGAAAGGGAGGAGACCCTTGGGATTTGGAATGCCACTGACTGCCCTGTACAGAGAGCACTGTGAGGCTGGTGTCATACAAGTGTCCAACATCAAGGATTTTGCCCCTAGACTCAGAAAGGGTGTGGAAAAAAGCAGCAGGAAGAGAGGCAGGGATGAATGAACTTCTCCTGGGCAGGACAAGGAGAGGAGTCCTCATTGACTGAGGGTCAGAGAAGCTGCGGCCCTCAGGGCTGGCTTTCAATTTGGACACAGGATCAGAGTGATGGGGGCTGGCATGGCCAGGGATGGGAGGGATGTCAGGGGCTGCCACCCCAGGCCAAACGCCACCCAAAGAGACTCTTTACATAGAGAGACTTGTGTATTTACCTTTAGGGTCTTTGAGCTTGTGAAATGCTTTTCTACTTGGAAGACACAAGGTAGAAAAGCAGCCGCTTAGAATTGGAGCAAAAGAGATCTTGGGAGCACAGGTGGGGGACGGGAGAGAACAGAGGAGGAGGTGAGTCTTCAGAGGGGACATTTCCATGGGCCCTGATTGTACGTGCCCAGCAGACTTCAACCAAAATGCCTGGTTCCAGCCAGGTGTGGTGGCTCATGCCTGTAATCCCAGCACTTTGGGAGGCTGAGGTGGGCAGATCACTTAAGGTGAGAAGTTCAAGACCAGCCTGGTCAACATGGTGAAACCTAGTCTCTACTAAAAATACAAAAATTAGCTGGGCATGGTGGTAGGCGCCTATAATCCCAGCTACTTGGGAGATTGAGGCACAAGAATCACTTGAACCTGGGAGGCCGAGGCTTCAGACACTCAATGAGCTGAGATTGTGCCACTGTACTCCAGCCTGGGGAACAGAGCAAGACTCTACCTCAAAAAAAAAAAAAAAAAAAAAAAAGAGAGAGAGAGAGAGAAACCTCGAAATGCCTGAATGCCTGGTTCCAGATCGCCTCAGTGGGTAGAGACCCAAATAAATAGGAACCACCCAGTTTTTTCCTAGGGCATAGGCGCAATTGCTGTGTTTGGATTTTTTTTATTTTATTTTAGACCTAGGGTCTTACCACTCAGTCTGGAGTGCAATGGCGTGATCTCAACTCACTGCAGCCTCAACTTCCCAGGCTCAGGTGATCCTCTTGCCTCGCCCTCCCAGGTAGCTGGGACTACAGGTGCACACCAACACACTGGTGTCCTTCTTTTGTTAGGATGGGATCTCACTATGTTGCGCAGGCTGGTTTTGAGCTCCTGGGCTCAGGCGACCCCGACCTCGGCCTCCCAAAGTGCTGGGGTTACAGGTATGAGCCACTGTCCCTGGTGATTTAGGGAATCTTAAGAGACAGGAGTGTATCATATTTCCTGGGTCTTGCTACCTAGTGTTTGAGCCAAACATGCATAGACCCAACCCACTGCCCACACATGTATATACCCATGCACATATGACCCGAGGTTGTGTAGGAGATGAGAGGCTGTGATGTAGCCTGGCCCTTACACAACCCTCCCTGTGTGCCTCCCTCCCACACATAGGTCCTCCTGAACCCTGGGAGAGTTGGCCGCTGTGCCAGGGGTCCCTGCCCCCATGGAGCTGAGAGCCTAGTGGGAGAGACACACACCCAATCAAATAATCAGATGCACACCAGTCACCAGGAAAGGTGACATTTTCTAGGAAGGAAAGCAAAGGCATTTGGCTGAGGGGGACAGATAATGGGATATCACTTGACTCAGTTTTGGAGAGGTCAGAGCATGCCTTACTTGCCTTATTTTGATAAAACAGGAAAAAAATATTTAAAAGCAAAAGGGACTGAGGCCATTTGTGCCTTCTAAGGATGCCTATTTGTAGGGGATGGGGAGGAGCAATTCACCTCCATCAGGAAATAGCTGTCCTTTGTCCTTGGGGGCTGAAATTTGGAGAACTGGCCTGGTGAGGGCTCAGGCTGCTGAATTTAAGAATAGGTTCTTGCACCTGCACATGGAGTCTGGGGTCTGAACAACAGGGGATAACTTGCTTTGCATAATAAAGTGCTAGAAGTTAGATGTGCATCTATTTATTTGAGTTGCTGGGGTATCAGATGGAGATAGAGAGAGGAGAGAGGTGTCCAGTAATAAGGGGAAGGGTGAAGTCCAAATTTGTGGAAAGGATGAGAGAATTTTAAAGAAGAGAGCTCTCTATCACTCAGTTTTATTTTACTTTACTTTATTTTATTTAATTAATTTATTTTTTGAGTCAGGGTCTAGCTGTGTCACCCAGGCTGGAGTGCAGTGGTACACTCTCAGCTCACTGAAACCTCCACCTCCCAGGTTCAAGTGATTCTCCTGCCTCAGACTCCCGAGTAGCTGGGATTACAGGCATGTGCCACCATGCCCAGCTAATTTTTAAATTTTTTTTAAGTAAAGGTGAGGTTTCTCCATGTCAGCCAGGCCGGTCTCGAACTCCTGACCTCAGGTGATCCACCCACCTCGGCCTCCCAAAGTGCTGGGATTACAGGTGTGAGTCATCGCGCCCAGCCAGAGGTATCACTCAGTTTTAAATTGTCTGCTGTGTGGAAGTGCCCCTGCTGCTGCCCCCTCCTCACCCACAAGCCTGTTACTCTTGAGTCATTAGCAAGGTCCTCTACCAAGCTGCCCCCAGTAAGTGCAACTTTAGATGAGAGGTGAAAGGAAGTTGAAGAGAAACAGGGTTAGGCTGACGGCAGCGGTGGGGTTGAATTAAAGACAGCAGATGCTCCTGAATTTGCCCAGAGCTGGAAGTCAGAGCCCTAGGCCCTGGGACTCTTGGGAAGGAGTTTGGATTCACCCCAGGTCACGAGGTGAGGATTGGAGCTGCTATTGACTTGACATCTGGATTACATTAAGGCCGAGAACTGGGATGGAGAACCTCTTTATCTGATTATTTGGTACTAACATTAGTCAGATTTTAAGGGGGAAAAAAATCAGAATTATAGGATTGTTACAAACAAAGCCTTTCATTAAATCTGAGTATGCTGGATAACTGACGCTAATGGCTACAGAGTGTGGACAAGTGGGTGTCCTGCTGAACCTGCACTCCTGAAGGACCGAGGGCCTTTTGGGACGAGGGGGGACCTGCCGACACCCAGGGTAGGTCTGAGACACTTGAAAACTGCTGATCTTAAAAGGTTCTAGAAATGGTGTCCCACAGTGTCTGTTCACAGAGCCCACACTCAGCACATCTTTTGCGCACAGGCGGAGCAAGGTACAGTCTGCCTGGTCCTTGTCTGAATTTCTACTTATTCACACTATTTAGGAGCAAATGAATAAAGCCTCCTGTATCAGGAATTTCATAGCCCCAAATCAACTTGGGGAATCCATCATGGGCAAAGGTTGCAGCTGCACCTCAACGTAGTACCTTTGCAAGAGGAACCCTTGCTCCTTCAGCCCCCTTTGGAGTGCATAGACAGAATCTGCCTTTGAAAGGGCGTGCCCTGGAGCACTGGAGGGATGATTTAGGGTGAGTGTTTCTATAGGTTTCTCAACAGCGGCACTGTTGACGCTAGGGGCCTGATGACATTTTGTCCTGGAGGTTGCCCTGCGAGCATTGTAGGAAGTTCAGCTGCCCCTCGGCTGACACCCATAGATGCTAGTGGCACTCCCACCCCTCCAAGGTGCGACAACCAAAAATGTCTCTGGACACTGCCCGCTATTCCCGGGACACAGATTTGCCCCTAGTTGAGAATCATTGATCTATCGGAGGCAATTTGCAGGCACCTGCCCTCAAAGAGCATAAAATCTGTGATTAAAGGCAAAACCCGTGCTGAGGGCAGAGGCCACTGCATCAAAGGAAGCCGGGGAGGGAAAAGCCCACCTTCATGGTCGCTAATAACTCTCCTCGTAATTTCAATTCCGGCGAGTCCTTTCTGCTTTCTTCTTTTCTAAGAACTATATTTCTGAGGTCCCAAGTGACACATTGGACTCATTAAGGCTTCTTAATTCCCACATGAATTATTGCTGGAAGGGTCTGAAGGCCCAGTATCTCGCCTTATTACACCTGTAGTTATGAGCAGTAACTATGGCCTTTATTACAACATTCAGCACCAGCTATTAAATGTGAGGCATGAAAATGATTATTTCACCCCCAAATCCACTTACCACTGGCACATTTCCACGCATGTTCTCATACCAAACCGAGGAGCATTCTGCCGACGACCCTGCCAAATGCCGAGACCTCTCTGTGGGGATGCCCGATTTGCTGAGGTTGCCTGTCAATCATTCTTCATTACTGTTTATAGAGTCCAATTTCAAGATTTCCTTAGGTGTTGGCATTAGCTAATATTTCAATAAATAAAGCAAAAGCTAGTGCTGTCACTCTTTCCCATTTCACCAAAGGATTTTTCTTTCCCTACAGAAAATCAGTAGGGCTAAAACATTCCTTGTTTAGCTTGGGGCTAAACACACCCTACATGAAGCAGAAAAAATCATCTAATTTTTTCAATGAAAGCCTATGCCAGTCAAAGACATTCTTACCTACTCACACTTAAGAGGCATCAAAAATGTACAAATATTAGAATCCTCGGCCTCCACAGGCAAGTTGCCATGTACACAATTATGAAAGGGAACCAAATTAAGAGGGAATGTGCAGAACGCCTTTGAAATATCGAAGAAACCGTGAACGCTGCTTCATTTTAATGTCTTAGATTTCACCGATAATGAGGAAATTGTCCTCGTTTTCATGGGTAGAGGTTCTTAAAGGTTTTAAAATCTGAATAGTAATGCTGCTCAATTGTGCAGATTATAAATAACTTTTGACAAATCCAGTGCCTTCCATTTTGAGTCCACTGTTGAAAATACAGAGAGCAAGTGGGAAACAGAGAGAGAGTCCAGGGGTTGCATAGGATACCATTCAAAGAAGGGAAGAAAGAGAGGCATCCTGGTAACAAACTCTTTCTCTCCCAAGAAAGAGTTAACAGAAAGAAATAAAATCAGATATGTGTAGCCTCCAGACGTCCATTAAAGTGCAGAATGCTGTTTTCTATCACAGATTATATGCCAGATGTTCAAACTATCTCTAATCATTGCAGATGTAATGGAGTAGAATGTTGCAGTTTGTGAGTTTACTGGCATTAATCCTATATACTGCACAAGGGAAAAGATTTTAAATATATAATTATATCTCATTAATACTCAGGTTTTATTTCCTTTCAATGGAACAGGACTTATTAAAGCAACCATTTACCGCATGTTTTCTTTCAGTATTTGGCTCCAGCATAATCCTGTGTGCATTTGACGTGTAAATATGTACTAACCTGGGTGCAGAAAAACACCCAGGAATGGCTGTGAGTCCACCGCTACCAAAATTTGCTTTTATAAGCATGAGATGTTTTTATATTGTAAATTGATAAGAGAGACTTAACCGCATACTTTCTGAGTCGCTACTCGGGTTTTCTTCATGTTGGAAATATTTGTGTTTCTTCATTTGAAAGGAAATTGCCTTCACTTCGGCTCTTTATTGCACGTGGGGAAAAGGTGCATTCTGGCTCCAGAGGGGGCCTGTGCAGGTACGGGTGAGGGCCGGAACCCCTGAGTGGCACCTACATTCTCTTGGGCACTTGTGGGACCCACTAAAGGACTAAGAAAGTTGTGTGGTTGTTGTTGTTGTGTTTTTACTGAGCATCACCATGGTTAGGGTGTATCTCAAGGGGAATGCAGGAGTGAGGAGTAAAGAAATTCCTTCTTGAGCCTCCCTGGCCACTCTTCCCTAAATAAAATAGCAACCTTTTCACCAACCATCTAAACTGGGTTGGAGTAATGAATACTAACACCAAGCCATCTCCCGGGCTGATGGCCAGCTTCCTCCGTGGCTGGAGCACATTCACAGAAGCCTCTCTGGATCCTTTCTGTGGAGCCGGAGCTGTCCCTGCATCCTTCCCCGTGAGCGGGGAATCCATGCTGTCCCAGGGGTTGAGTTCCTTTGCTGGCTGAGGCTGGCCCTGTGGACGGATGGATACACCCACCGCTAGATGGGAGACACGGGAGCTTGCTTCCTGATAAGGACAGAGGCTGAATTTTCGGCAATCTGCTCTTTCTCGCGACTCTGGGTTCAATGGCTGTGACTTATTTGGTGATTCTGGTAACAGACTCCTCAAGCGCAGGGGCTGCATCCACCTTGCTCCCTGATTTCCCCCACACCAGTACAGTGCCTGACACCTCATCAGCTCTCTCCTTACCTCTTTCTTAAGTGACAGAATAAAAGAATAAATTACTGGGTAGTGAAGGTCTTTTGGGAAAAGCTGGGTGGGGCTTACAATTTAGTACAATGTCCTTAGCTATCATTTTTGGCGTGGAAGAGAGTTTGATGGATTCTGCAATAATGAGATTGACGAGACAGATGGTCGCTGCCAGGAATTCAGCAGAGGCCAGGGTGATGGAGAAGCAACGGCTCTGTGTCAGAAGCAGGGGCGGGAGCGGGAGGTGTTGGAAGCTCAGTGGTGGTTTCATACCCCTGGGGAAGAAGCGATCTGCAGGCCGGGTGGTGAATGGGATGCATGCAAGCCTGAAACGGGAGTGCTGAGCTCACAAAGCAGAGTCATCTGGGATATTTGGGTGGAAGCTCTGGGGCGCCAGGGAAAGTCCCAAAGGAGGGTTCTGGGAAGAGGGTGCTGCAGACAGCAATAAGAGGAGGAGATTGGAAGGAGGGGCAAAGCAGTTCATGGGGATCCCTGGAACTGAGTCCAGCTCATCCAAAGCTTCTATCTTCTGCTTTTATTTTATAATATTTAAGTTATAAGTGGATGCTGCCAATTAGGTATACAGATATACAGCCTCTCTCTCTCTCTTCCTCCTCTCCTTCCTTCTTCCTCCTCTCCTTCCCTCTTCCTCCTCTCCTTCCCCTTTCCTTTTAGGACACTAAGATCAACAGGAATAAAATTCCTGAGTATTTATCTCCTGAGGGGCAGAGCTAGAAAGAGGAGATCTATGCAGAGTTTCCAATTTAGAATTATATTAAATGGGGTGGGGGAAGCTGAGTGTTAATGTCCTTTTCCTTTTTGGGATTTGAGTCCTCTGGGAGCCAGGACTCAGAGAGCAGTAGGCGTGGGGCCTGGGCTGCAGAGGCAGCTAGGGGCTGGAGCAAGTGCCCCAGGGAAGGAGGGCCAGGCTGAGCATGGGTGAGAGACCTGAGAGCCCAGGACAGGCCACTTCCAATGGGGAAGACCCCGGTGCTCCCGGCTGCCCCCAGGGCCAGTGGCCAGTCTCCGAGGGGCCTAAGAGCTGGAGGAAAAGGGCTGTCAAGTCCGGAGGGCAGGAGCTGGGCTGGGGTGAGGGGAGGTGGCAGATGAGGGGTCCATTTAGGAACAAGGCCCTGCTGATATGGAGGAAACAGAAAGAAGGTGAGAGTCAGCACGGTCGCTTCAAAATGGTGACAACTGAAATCTTCTACTCAACAGGAATGGAAAACCAGGTAGGAATAGAAACCTGGAAGAGCCAGATGACCAGAAAAGAGCACTTATGCATTTTGGAAAAGGACGATAACCTCGTACCACTAAAAAGTTAACTGAAAAAATGTTTTAATTTCAATGGTTTTTGGGGTACAGGTGGTTTTCAGTTACATGAACAAGTTCTGTAGTGGTGATTTCTGAGATTTTGGTGCACCCGTCGTCACCCAAGCAGTGTACACTGTACCCAACATGTATTCTTTTATCCCTCACCACCCCCAACCATCCCTTCCGAGCCCCCAAAGTCCATTATATCATTCAAAAAGTTAGCTTTCTAGGGAACCTTCTCTGTTCGCACATCTGTCTCCAATACAGGACTGTTTGCTCTGAATGGGAGATCTGTCTTTTAGTGAATGTTTGCCGAATGCAAGAAGAAAGCACAAAGTGAATGAAATAATAGATAATTGATCAAAATGGATATGTGGCAAGGGTCATCACAGAGGACTACACAAGTGAAACTCAACTATCCTTAAGAGTTTTAAAAGATGTGACATGTTAGGTTGCCTGTGGGGAACCCATGAATCGGCAATAAGGAATAGGAAGCTCAGTCCAAATAGTTGTTGAGGATCATTGGTGGGTGATGGGGCACATGGCTGCAATCACCTTCACGCAGGTGGTCCTGAGGAAGTTACCTTGCCCTGAGGCAAGCAGGGATTATCCCGAGGGGAGACTATCACCTGCAGCTAGATGCTGGGTTCCAATTCCTCGGAGGGGCAAAGAGATCCGACAAAAGCTCAGTGCTCAGGGCCCGGTGCAGGTCAGGCAACTCTTGCTGCTGACTGAGCAATGCAGTCCCCCTTCACAATTAGGGGTGGGCATGGTTTGTTGTTCTGGGCACAGTGAAAATTACCTATTAGCAGCACAGAATCTTCTGGAAGGCCTCATGGAAGCATATCCGGATTGAACTTTCTGTCCAGATCAGCCTAAGGACACTGTCTCCCGTGTCATGGGGACCACTCACTGTACGCTGCACTGAACTCACTGTTTTTTGGCTTCCTAGAGTTTGGGGTCTGATGCTCACAGCTTGGCTGTCAGGCCTCCACTGCATGTAAGTGTTCACAGATGCACCTCTTTGGCCAAGCTCTGGAATTCCCTCCTGCTCTGCACTGGAAACGGACAGTGTGTCTGCCTCTGTCTCTCTCTTCCTAGACTCTCAGCCCCTCCAGGCTGGGGTTCTGCAGCCTAGGAGCATGGGCTCTGGAGCCTGCCTGCCTATGTTTGCAAACAGAGCCCATGCTTTCCTCACTCCAGGACCATGGACACACCTTGGTTTCCTCATCTGTTAAGCAGGATGGAGTTGTTTTCAGGAGGAAATGAACGTGCAACCATAGAGTGCTCAGAAAGGTGTCTGGCTCTGTAAGTGTTGCAGGTATGGTTCCCCAGGAAACAGGCCCTGAGAAGGGGGCTCACATGCAGGAGGTGTATTAGGAGGTTCCCTGGGAATCAACACCTCCATGAAGGAAGGGGAAGGAAAGAGGACTGGACAGAGGGAGATGTCAAGCTGCTGCATCAGCCTAACAATATCCACGGCCTGTCCCTGCAGGGAGGTCTAGAGTGAGATTAGCTCTGCAGAATTGCCCAGAGCTGGGCTGAGATGGCAGGCTTTCATGCTTCTTTGTCAGTCAGGCACTGGATGTGGTGTGATGTTGGTTGAGGCAGCTCTCTGCAGTAAAGACCATCCTGGGAGGAACTGACAGCTGAGGCCATCCGCTGAACTCCCAGAAGCAGACGTAACAAGTCCTTCCTTGGAAGGGACCTGGATAGTGAGTCATGCTGTCCACCACCATCTTCTCTTTGGCTGTTCAGATCCACTTCTTCATATGCATGGAGGTAGCGCCATCCCCGGGATTCCCATGGGTCTCTCTTCCTGAGGGAAACTCTAGAAGAGGAAGATTCATGGAGTGAACTCCAGCCCCCACTGCTGCCGCTGGTCTTAGGGTCCTGACTGATCCTCACCATCTGCTTTCTCCATGATTAATTCTCTATTTTCATTAGCACCGGTGCCAGTCTCAATGGCTTACTTGAAGTCATCACCCATACCTTTGCCCATAAAGGGTTTGAGGGTTTGAGTTTCTGGTGACTATACTTTTCTCAGGTCAAGGTTGGTGCATTTGTCCATTTGATACCACAATGGAGCAAAGAAATGCCACCCAGGTAAGTGCCCTGTTAGAGGAGTGAAACAGCTTTGTTGTCAGGGGTAATACCCGAGGTTCCTTGCCTTGTACCAGACACATGTGGAGTGAGGCTAAGAGCAGCGGTTTAATAGGTGAAAGAAAGAGAAAAGAGAATAGCTGCCTCTCCTGCAGAGAGAGAGAGGGGAGCCCAAGTAGGTCTTCCGCTTTTGTGGTGAAGTGCACGGGGTTTTATAGACTGGCTTGAGGAGGTGGTTTCCGATTTACATAGGGCCCAAAGATTGGCTGGACCAGGTGTGACATTTACATAGCACATGAAGAAGCTAGATACCCCACCCTAACCTTCTCTTGTGCAAATTGATTCTTTACCTGGCCAGTGCCATGATGTCTGCCCTTGCTGTACATGTGGTTGACAAAGCAAAGGGAACATGGGGCCGCCATGTCGAACATGCCTAACCCCCAGGTAGCCTTTTCCTATTGTCACAGCTGCCGGCATTCACTCCTGCAAGCTTCCAGCTTGCTTATCTATGTTTGCAGCTCAATTTTACAGACTGCTTTTTGTTAAAAAAGAAATGATGTGAGGCCTGTTTTTTATTAAAAGGGAAACCTGACCAAGGACTTCCTTACCGTCACTATCTGCCTAAATAATTTCTTTTTAACTCCTATATCGGGGGACTGAAGGGAGACTGGTAATCATTAGAGTCCCAAGTAGCAGGAGAAGGAGGCATGGCAGGGGATTTTCTGCGGCTTTCACAGGGAGAAATGTGCAAGTGGCATAAGCAGGATCAACAAGCTTAGGATTGGCAACTTTGAATAATTTTGGCAGACTCCAAGGAACAGGGACTGTCCTGAGTTGTCTGGTTCCTTGTCCTGGGGAAATTAGGGGAGGGAAATATTGGCCGTGGAGCATAAGAGACCTGTGAGAGCCCAGTAAAAGAGATGGTTGGGGAGTATGAGCTTTGGATTGGTTGGTTCATAGCCCTAGGAGAGACAATCACTTCCTGGTCAGGTCTCAAGATGTCAAAGCATCACAAAATACAGAAACTTAAATATAGAATTCATTTCCTTGCAGGCCCCTGACCATCTGGTCTGGGCCATTGCCCATGAGTTCATACATACTCTAACCTCAGGCTACTTCTTTGTTCATACAAAGTGCATGACCAGGCACAACACCTAAAGCATACCCATTGAGAAGTTTTCTTTCCCCTCTGCCTTTCCAAGTCATTCCTGGGTACTGGGTAGTAATGCAGCTGCTATCTATTGTTATCTTTAATCCACACACTGAGCTCACCCATCTGTGAACCAAATCTGATCTTTTTCCTCTTGTCTGAAGACCATAAGGTATCCTGAAAGTCATAGGGTGTGCTCAGGGAGAGTAGTGGGTATCAGAGTGTGAATGTGAATGATATGGAGCTCAAAGCTGCCTGCTCATGCAACCTGCCTGTGCCCCCTGGCTCTGCTGTGCTTGGTCCCAGATTAGCCACTTTAATCCTCCATGGATTATTGCTGGGTTACCTGATATTGTTATGTGTGACAGAACACAACTCATGATGGGTCCTCTCTCTTGGGGCCCCATGGTCAGGCACTCCTTCTTTATCAGGTCTTGGTGGCTACACTGGGAGGTATTTTTCCAAAGGCACATTCTCTGCTGTGGAAGGTATGGCCTTGATCCAAAACCCTAGGGGTCTACATTGTGAGTCTTCCTTTGGGATTTGTTTTAAAACTCCACATGACATCATTTCCTTCACTGACAATTTTTATGCTTTGGGGTCTGCCAGATCATAGGTCCATCTGCATCACAGGCTGGACCTGCTACAGAGCTCTTTTCTCTTCTGGGCCTCATACAAAACCAGCAGCTTTTCATATTACCTGGCGTATAGGTGACAACAGTATTTCCACATGTGGAAAATGCTGCCTCTAGAATCCAGAGTCTAGAACCAGATGTCATGCTCCATCCTTTATGATGGGAGCTCATAATTTATCTTTTACTATGGAAGGGATGTACTGTCATGCCTTTGACCACTGAACTCCTAAGAATGTTAGTGATGTAGCCGACTCCTTTGAATCTTTGAAGGAGTTCTTTTCTCACCCTCTGCAATGCATGTGTCTTGTCAAAGCCTCTGTCTTAGTGAGTTCAGGCTGCTATAACAAAAGTACCACAGACGGGGTGACTAAAGCAACAGAAATTTATTACTCATAGTTATGGAGGCTTGGAAGTCCAAGATCCAGGTGCTGACTAATATGGTTTTTAGTGAGGTCCCTTTTCCTGGTTTGCAGGTGGATGCCTTTTTGCTATTTCTTCCCATGGTGGAGAGAGAGTGAGCAGTCTCTAATCTCTTTATTTCTTTATAAGGACACCAATCCCCCTCATGGGGACTCTACTTTCATGACCTCATCTAAACCTAATAGCCTTCCAAAAGTCTTTCAAGATGTCCTCATGGCTCAGGTCACTTTAACCATATTATGACAGAGGGAGGGAACGCTAACATAGTTCTTGGGAAATCCTGTGAATGTACACCTTTGCTCATCCCAGAACTGTTTCTGATCCTTTCTTATTGTGATAGAAACAAAAATGCACTCACTAGATCAAAGGCTGCCCACCATGTTCTTGAGAGCATGTGAATCAGCTCTAAGGAAGATATTATAACTGATATGGAAGTCTCAATTGGGGTAACTGCTTGGTTAGGTATGAAAAGTCCACTGCCATTTTCCAGGATCCATCTGGTTTTTGCAGGTCTAGACCAGTGAGCTAAATGGAGATGTGATGGGAGCCACCACACATGCATCCTTTAGATCTTTAAAAAGAGCACTAATTTCTGCCATCTCCCTGGGACACAACATTATTATTTTCTACCTTGATTTGGGGAATGGGCCCAGTCAAGGACTCAATTTTTCAGTATATCTATGCTAACATCCATTAGAGGACTGGAAACATTACCACCAAAGTGTCTATGAGTCCAGTGGAGCCTCCATGAAGCAGCCTGGCCAGGACTCCAATGATTATATATCTCCCTTCTAACTCCCTTTGACAGGGGACTGTGATAATTCTTTGGGTCTCTAGGTATTGGTGTCTATTCAAACTCTGTGTCCACCAGTCTTCACGATGTTTGGATGTTTCCCTTGCCCTAGTCCACAGTGCAATGCCCTCTGGGAAAGGACTCAGAATTATGACTGGGTCCATGTGCCATGGTATTACAAGAACTTCCCTTGGGGGCTATAACTTCAGCTGCATTCAACAGGCTCCAGGTCTGAAAAGTGCACGAGCAGTCCTGGCTTTTTCTTGCAGCAGCTGCTCTCAGTCTTCTAACCAGCAGTCTTTGATTTCTTTTGACGGTACAAATTGAGCAGTACTCTTGTTGACTACTCTTCTATTTTGCCCCACACTGTGTTCTATTAACCATCTCCATGTCTCTTTGCAGATCAGATCCCCTGGCTGCTTCTCTAACCTTGCTACTTATGACAGTAATTGCATCCTCTTGGCTTCTGAAAATCAAAGGCCGCATTGTATTCTTCCTCTGCTCTTTCAGTGTTCCATCATCTCCATTGCCATTGGTGAGTCCAGTTCTGTAACAGCCTCCTTTTCCACCAGCTTTGGTCCACAGAAGAGAGTTGCCATTGAACTTGGTAGTGATGTCAGTGCTTCTCTCGCCAGTGTATTCCCATTGGCCTTAGTGAATGGTATGCTCTCCAAGAGTTGCCATGGACTGTGATGTGTTTTCAGCCGTATGGAGCATATCCACACCAGCATACCTACTTTTGCCATCTTTCAAATTTTTTCTTAACATTTGCTATGGCAATTCTGACATTTCAACCCCATTTGCTTCTTCCACACTCCTAGAAGCCATCTTACTATCACATCTCTCCATTTTCTGGGATTCTTGCCAAGGTGTTAAATCCTGAATTCTCAAAGAGTGCACTCAAACTCTTTCTAATTCAGTCTGTTGTTTTGTTACAGCCTGGCAGGTTCTTCTTTCCTGCTGCCCAGAAAAAGCCAATATGTTGAGAACAGCAGGTGCTGCAGCAGAGAAAGAGTTTAATAATTGCAGGGCAGCCATGCAAGGAAGACAGGAGATATTTCTCAAATCCACCTCCCTGAGAATTCAGAAGTTGGGATTTTAAAGGGTTCTTTGGTGGACAGGGCTTTAGGGAATTGAAACAATTGATCTGCTGGAGATGAAATCACAGGGGTGTCGAAGCTACAACTGAGTCAGCTCCTGGCTGGGTTTTGCAGGACCAGTTGCATCAGTTTTTTGGTGTGGGTCATGGGTCCAAGTGACATCTCTTGGTCTACCAAAATGCTAAATCTAAAAAATATCTCAAAGACCAGTTCTTTAGGTCTCACAATGGTGATGTTATCTATAGGAACAGTTGGGGAAGTCACAAATTTTGTGACCTCCAGTTATGTGAGCCTGCTGCAGTAGGCAACTAAAGAAAAGCAAGTTAAGTCAGGAATGGATGGTTATTGGTTAACTGTGTCTATTCTTTAGCACAGTTCAGACCCCTACCAGAAATCTTAACCTTGTTGTCTTTTATTAGCCTTTACAAATACAGTTTCAGTCTTTGAACAAGGAGGAAGTCAGTTCAAGAAAAAAACAAGTACTGACAAAAGCAAGTTAGCTTGTAGTGGTAGAAGCAGAATAGAATCAGTTATGTTAGATTTCCCTTACTACTATAATTCCTGCAAAGATGGCTTCAGTTTCAGTCCCCTTGGTCAAGCACTTTCAGTATCTAATTCTGTATCTAATGTCCTGGCTGCAGGTGGTACCTGCTGGACAGGTCTTGCAGTACCTCTATGGCATGAGCACTCCATCCTTTTTCATTCCCAGCATGACCCCAGCTGTGTTTTGTTGTGATTTCATCTTAGTGTGGGAGCAGGCAAGTGGAGGAAAATGTTGAGTGGCATGTATCTCATGATCTGGGAAAAGCCTCTGCATTGCCTTCAAGCAAGGGAAGGAGTTACCTCTTAAGAGGGAAGGGTGACCCATTTCTGCAAGTCCAGAAGGCTCTGGGGAGCCTGGGGATTTAAGATTTCCCAAGGCATTAATTCAGATGTCTGCAGCCCAGTGTCAGGGTCCATTTGTTTCTCAACTAGGGCCTTGATGTTGGCATGGCAGACCTGCCTGGATTGGGGATTGAGAGTCTAACCTTTGGAGCTCAGCTGCTCTGATGACACCATTCTAGGCCTGATCCTCAGCTCTCTGTACCCTCCTACTGTAAGAGATGAGGACCTTTGATTTCCAAAGATGCCCACTGACTTTTAATTGGTGATTATTTGCTCTTATCTTTTTATTATCTTTTCCCAGATAACAATCCAGCTTAGCTGGATTCCATGTTTCATTTAGTTACATTTCCTCCATATTTCTAACTACCTGATAAATCTCACCAGCAAACACACCCCCTTGAATGAACACACCATCCTTATCAGCATCTGTGAGAGTTTTAACAAATGGACTAACACCTATCATATGATGGGAGCCTTATTGTCAGTGGAGTAGTGATTGAATCATCCAGCTTCAAAATCTCGCCTCAGGGCTTGCTTTTTCTTGGACTGCATCTGTTTCTAGTTGCCACAGTTTGGGTTTTCTAGAAAGAAGACACTGATACAAAGTTTAGCATGCATCTTGTTTCATTGGAGCTGCTATAAGAAAATTCCATGGACTGGGCAGCTTATAAACAACGAAAATTTAGTTCTCATAGTTCTGGAGGCTGGAAGTCCAAGATCAAGGTGCTGGCAGATTTGTTGTCTGGTGAGAGTTCACCTCCTTGTTCATAGACAGCTGTCTTCTTGCTGTAGAAGGGTTCCACTTGCATGACCACATCTAGTCTTAATCACCTCCCCCAAATTCCATCTCCTAATATCATCACATTGGGTGGTAGGGTTTCAACATATGAATTTTAGGGGCACACAGTTATTTAGTCCATAACAGCGCATTTCATGTTTATGAAGGTATGCACTTGGCCTCAATACCTGTGATTAAGCCACGGGATTCATCAAGATGCAATGCAGGCTCAGTGACAGCCTACGGGGAGCTCTAGAGCTGGAAGACCCCTTAAGAGCCGAGCCAAGGTGGCCAGGCCTTTTTACCCCTGGGGTCATCAGTCGTTGAATGGGAGATGCCCAGGAAGAAGCATGACCTTGGGTGAGGTGGCATTCCATAGATAACACGATTCCTAAGAGAGCTGACAGTTCATGGCCAGCTGATGCACTCTTAGCATCTGGGGCCACAGATACTACATTAAAGGGAAATCTGAGAAACACATCACAGTGTCCCCCACAATACAGGTTATGATTGCTTTGTATTCTCTCTCATAATACCCCTTCATAAACATGAAGCATGCTGCTATGGACTAAACAATTGTGTCTCCCTAAAATCCATATGTTGAAACCCTATTGCCTAATGTGATGGTATTAGGAGGTGGATTTTGGGGAGGTGATTAGGATTATGTGTATCAGTTTTTCTCTCCCAGCCCCTAAGACAGCAGACAACACATAAATAATAAATATTGTTGAATAAATAGAACTGCACAAAATATTTCTGGAACATCCTTTACAGAAACTGGTTCTCTGCAGAGTATCTGTTGGAGCCACTGATATGTGGGAGTGACTGATGAACAGAGAATTTGAGGGCCAACAGGTCAGGCAATTCTGATCCTGTTGCCTGGCTTGTTCCTTCTCAGCAAGGTGGTCATGGCAGGCTCACATGGGGATGCAAGCTGACAACTGGTGTGGGTGAGTGGCCAAGGTTGGAGCGTTGGAGTGGAGGTGATGTGGAACAAGATGTCTGGATGTATTGGAGCAGGCATTGCATTGCATGCACACTTGGCCCACACAATAAATGGGAAACATCCCTGTTTCTAGCAAACAAAAGTTGACCGTTCTGCAGTAGAAGCAAGTCAAGAAGCAGATCCCACCGAGATAGGACTCCAACATTTAAATAACCTGTTAAATGGCTTTCATTGCCAATAATCTGATTTGCACTCAGGCAAGACAAGTTGGATGCCTCAAATGTGTCAATATGCAACAAGAAGATAAGGAAGAGAATTAGGTTCACCACCCAGGCTTTCACTTTCCATCCTTCATTTTCTTGGCAAGATTGCTAAATAGTTTTATATGGAACCAGAAATTGCTGCCTAATGCTAATTCGTGAATGATACAATCAGTGCTGAGGTAAATGGTATAGAGAATTGATACTGGAATAAATTGGGATGCATCCCTTTAAATAACAATATCAACAAATTTTGGCACAAAGGGCAGGGGTCTTTGTTGAGCAACAATACTATCCCCGAGAGCTGAAGCTTGGTTGGAGAGAGACAGGCATCTGGAAGCGGAGGCGGGCTTGCACCCTGGCTCCTCTACCTGCCAGCCCTGTGACCTTGGCAAAGTCCTTTACTTCTCTCAGCCTTTATTTCTGTAAGATGAGTAATAAATGTCACAGTTGTTATGAGGATAACATGAGAAATTGCATTTAGAACACTTGACACAGTACTTGGCACAGAACAACCGAGAAATACTAGCTGTTATTATTTATTATGATTGCTTATCTCCCACCTGAAGTGCTGAACACTGACCCCCAGGGAAGGTGGAGTTGGGGGCAGTCTTAGAGGGGTAAGTTACATCTCCAAGTGTTTCCAGCTCATTGCATGGAAATCCATTATGCATTGGGCCCTCTGAGATTCTGAGGATGGGTAGGAAACCTGAGCATCAGGGCACTCTCCTTCTTGAGGGATGGTTGTGGTTACAATCCCAGGAAACCCCATCAAAACCTTTTTGCAGTTTTGGGAAAACCTTGTGTTCTTATTGAACTTTCGTAAGCCCACAGGCTGCTCCCTGCCTCCCAAAGGCACAACCCACCACAGGCCAGGAATTTCTCTAAGACAGGGAGCTTTCCTGATACAACTTTAGGCCCTGGGCCTTACACTGCAAAGCAGTGCTGAGCCATTTTCCATGTAGACGCTCTGAGGATGGGAAGCTCTATATCTGCCTTTGCAATAGGGGAAGCTTCTCTCTGCCAAATCCTGTCAAGCACTTCAGGAGTCATATTCTATTTTTGTGGCATCATCACCTGACTACTTTATTTTCTGATTAGTCTGTGAGTTCCTGGAGGGTGGAGGCAGTATCTTGTTCATGTTTTAGTGGCCAGCATGGTGCCTAGGATGGGGCAAGGACTCAGGAAAGATCTGCTGGATATTCTGTTTCTGGGAAGAAAATTCTGGCATGATACGTAGCATTGATGGGCTACCATATCAGGCCACGAGAGGAAATTAGGGTTAATAGGTTTCGCACTGCCCCATTACCTCCTCTTTCCATATAGTCATTTGGGTGCCTCAAGTCTTCCAGATGGCTCTGTTGGGTTGGTTCCTGTTAAATATTGGTGCTTTTTGAACTCTGAGATGACCAAGGTATTTTAAGAAAGAGGTTGTCTCGGGGAAGAGCTTTTTAGAAGGCATTGTGACACTCTGTAGAGAACAGTCCAGCCCTAAAATAACACTTAAAAATGGCTACGAGCATTACCCCTGTGTTTAGATAAATTCTCCTGAGGAGCTTTGTTCTCCAACAGACTGAGTTTTTGGTTGCTATTGGTTTTAAGATGCTTATTTCAGTAGCAAAAGTCACCCTTGGCTACTTGTGCAGAACATTGCATGTCTTTTTATCATTGTTACTGTTATTTTAAGCACATAGTGATATATATATATATATATCTCCAAAGTTTTGCTTTGGATGAGAAAAGGGTAAGATACCAACAAGGACTAGAGGTAATTAAATGGGTCTTCAGGAGGATCATGGCCAGAGACCAGGGCTTGCCCAGCCTGGCCTTCCTCAGCCCTCCGCCTCTGGTTTCAGTGTCTCCACCCTGGCTGATCTTGGGTCTTTGTCTGTGTGTGGCTTTGGATTTTCTTACTCTTCTCATTCCTGCTTGGAAACTCCTCTTTCTTAGTGCCCTCAGGTTACCTCCTCCATGGAGATTACTGAATACTGAATTATGTGAATAGCTGAAAACATGCTCTATTGGCATATCAGGTGGCCCCAGCTCACTGAAATGCAAGGATGGTCTTGGGGGTCCCAGCATTTAGAAATGGAGGGAGTCTTGGTGTTAGAAGTGATTCTTCATGGGTTGAAGGAGGGGGAGTAATTCTGCAATACTTTGTGGTTCAACCTTTTGACCATCTCGACGTCATGTTTAACATAAGAAATTGAGTAGCACCAGTTACTAGTGGCCACTGGAATCAGAGACCTTCTGATCCAGGAAATTGATTTTATCCATTCATCTTTAGTTGAACTGGATCCAAATGGTGGCTGGTAATAGTCATTTTAACATGTTGAAATATTATTTCTAAAATAGTCATTCAACACAACCTGTCTGGAAGTTTTCTGGAGAACAGATATTTTTGGAATCCTTTTGACAGCCGGGCCAACACAATTGTGGTAGAGAATGACTAATGAGTAGTCACTGTATCTCTTAGCCCCACTGTTTGCGAGCAAGCCTTATTGAGTGTGTACTGGCTACTGGGCATGATTTTGTAGTGGATCAGCCCTGCTGACTCCCGACGCGTGAGAAGGCTGTGGATGTTGAAGGCTATCCCAGGTAAACAGATACCAGTTGCTCCTTAACCAGAGCCCTCTCAACGGCTACGCCAACCAAAGGGAATGTAGAGTCAAGCATGAACCCAGGCAGAAATTGTTGTGCATGAGCTTGCCAAAAGTGCTTGATTAAAAAAAAAAAAAAAAACCTCTGTGAAAGAAAAATAGAATCTCAGGACCCCGAACTCACAATGCCAAAAGGAAAGTTAAGTTTGGGAACTGAGTCACGCAAAAACTGCTTCCTTTTTGTTCCCAGATAGCTGTCACTTTATATGTTTGCTTTATCTCATGTAAAATGTAGATTTGCTGAGCAGGAGACAATGCATGGTTGACTCCTCCCCATCCTTTTCTTTAAGCAAGTGAAATGTGGATTTTCTGAGCACTAATCAGAGCCTCACAGAATGTCATCATTGTCTGCCTATCCTCCTTTTCTTTCTGCCCCTCGTTTCTCCAAATATTAAAGTTCCCAAAACTCTTTTTGGAAAAAGCACAGGACACAAAACCTATTGGGGCTTGTGTTCCCCAGCCCCACCCTGGGCGTGTCCTCAACCTTGGCAAAATAAACCTCTAATCCACTGAGATCTGCCTCAGTCACTTTTTGACTTACATCTCCTTCACTCCACTTTCTCCCTGGGAGTAAACTGGTGTTTCCCAAAGTGTGTGTCCTCCTGGCTCTTGATTGACTTATGGGAAGAATTACATTGCCTTTAGTGGCTTCCATTGGAGTTGCAAGCCTGGAAGAGTGATGGGTTTCTCCTAACAGGGACAAAACCCTGGCCAGGGAGCTCTGAGGTTACGCCTCTGGAGCTGCATGGGTACAGTGACCTATCCCCTAGGTGTATGCACATTGCCTCCAGTGACACCAGACAATAGGCAGGCTACAGCCAGCACTGAATGTCACCCAACGCTAAGTCCACTCTTCTGCTTAGGGTACGGAACATGTGCGCTTCTTTTTTTTTTGAGACAATCTTGCTCTGTTGCCCAGGCTGGAGTGCAGTGATGCAATCTTGGCTCACTGCAACCTCTGCCTCCCAGGTTCAAGTGACTCTTGTCTCAGCCTCCCGAGTAGATGAGATTACAGGCATGCACCACCACATCAGGCTAATTTTTGTATTTTTAGTAGAGATGGGGTTTCATCATGTTGGCCAGGCTGGTTTCGAACTCCTGACCTCAGGTGATCTGCCACCCCTCACCCTCATCTCGGCCTTTCAAAGTGCTGGGATTATAGGCATGAGCCGCCACCACCAGCCACATGTGCACTTCTTTATCAGCTCTGAAAACTGTGAGCAACTGAACTTCCTACACCAAGGGGGAAGAGGACGGTGGAGACAGCACATGCTGACTGATGGCTCAATACTCCCCCTGTAAAACGGTGAGGATAACATCCAGTGACAGATGCACACGTGGCTTCCAATCTCAAGAAAACTGACCTCATAAGGAGGGGAGAAGGTCAGCAAGGTTTCCCAGGCCGAGACCCTGCGAGGTCTGATAAGAAAGGGAGCAATTTTAAAAATCAATGGAATATTTACTGGAGTCCTGAGCATAGTCCTGCATCTATTGTAAAGGATGCTTCCCAGGTATCTATAAATAAAAGATGCTTGCCCTTCTGTGTGGGTCTCCTGGAAGCTGTAGAAAGGTACGAGACAGAGAAAAAAAAAAAAAAAAGCCCTCTCCATATCAGAACATTCTGTGATAGACGGCATCTCCTACTGACATTTTCATTAGCAGGAAATTTATGTTCCTATTTCTGTCTGTTGTAATGACCATTCATAGCCATAGCATGGTGGCGGCTAATGGACAGGAATGGAAAAAAAATTCTTTAATTAATGCAGAAGTGAAGCTTTTTCTTTCTGCACTTTGAGAAGCCAAGTAATTCACAGCAGTTCTTGGCACTGAAGTGGAGGTAAAATAATTATACGCAATTTCTAGTGATTAAAAGATTGTAAAATAATTTTAGTTACATCTTAAAATTATTTATTTTGTAAATGAGAAAAAGTGAAGAAATGTGAATAATGAGTTCTGAGTGTCAGGGTAGATTCTGGAGAAAGTTCCTCCTGGATGCCTGACTGCAGATGGCACCTGGCCTCTGAGCTTCTGGCCTGAGGCCAGCCTTGACCTCTGTCCAGCCCTGTCCTGCTTGGTTGCATGGTTGTCCAGACTTGGTTGGAAGGGAAACCAGCCCATCTCTGGGTCTTTTCTTTGAATGCATGGTCTTAAGAAGAGGAGCTATCTGAATCAGCAGTTGCCTTACAAGGGAGTTTTTGTTTATTTGTTGTATTAGGATTCTCTAGAGGGACAGAAATAATAGGATATACATGAAAGGGAGTTTATTAGGAGAATTGACTCACACAATCACAAGGTGAAGTCCCACAATAGGTTATCTGCAAGCTGAGGAGTAAGGAAGCCAGTCCGAGTCCCAAAACCTCAAAAGTAGGGAGGCCAACAGTGCAGCCTTCAGTCTGTGGCCAAAGGCCAAAGAGCTCCTGGCAAACCACTGGTATAAGTCCAAGAGTCCAAGAGCCGAAGAACTGGCAGTCTGATGTTTGAGGGCAGGAAGCATAAAGCACAGGAGAAAGATGAAGGCTGGAAGACACAGCAAGTCAGCTTCTTCCACCTTCTTCTGCCTGCTTTTTCTACCTGCGTTGGCAGCCGACTGGATGGTGCCCACCCACATTTTGGATGAGTCTTCCTGAGGGTGGGTCTTCCTCTCCCACTCCACTGACTCAAATGTTAATCTCTTCTGGCAACACCCAGTTAGACCCAGAAACAATACTTTGCATGCTTCCATCCAATCAAGTTGACACTTAATATTAACCATCACATTTGTTTTGATTTTTGTTTTCTTTTTTGAAAATCTAAAGCCAGGCTTCAGGGAAGCCATGTAGGGTGCTTAAGGTAACACAGCGAAAGTGACTGAGTTGACTGGTGCAGGTCTGTAGGCCCAATGCTGCTTATGCCTCCCAAGGCCTTCTGCACGCAGGTGCACTCTGCAGACACTCCATCCCCTTCCTCTCTTGAGAGGATGCGGGAGGGCACATGAGAGAAAGCAATATGGAAAATTAGCAGATGAACTAGGAAGAAAAATCATAGGCAGGGTACTCTGGGCCTCCTGGGTTGTGGAAAGGAGCTGTACAGAGGGTGGTGTGTTGTTTGTGCAGTATGGCTCAATCGGCCCTTACCCGGCAGCATCCCTGTGGGATACTCCATGAAGAAGAGACAAGCTCCAAGGCGATGGTGCAGGGATGCCCAACACGTATTTAGCAACTCAGTCAGGGAAAACAAAGGTCTCCTCACAGAGAAATGCCCCTCACTACACTGTTTTTCTCGTTAGGTGTGGGTGCCTTAAGATTGCCTTCTTTACATTTCCACACATTTAAAGAAATCCTGCTCAAATCCTAGAGCAGAAAGTTCTGGGACTGGAGGACTGGAGGCTACATCAGCAGCCCAGCCTAGTGGAAAAAATGACCACATTTTATAAATTGTAAAATGTGTTTATTGTAGTATTTCTTTATCATATCCTGAATAATACTACATATGCTTACATACATTTATATATTAAAGTGTGTATAAAATAAAATTTATACAAAACCAGGTAGATAAGTTTACAGATGATTTCAAGTTTTTTTTTTTTTCTTTTTTAGAGACAGGGTCTCCCTCTGTGGCCCAGGCTGGAGTGCAATGGCACCTTAAAGGCTCATTGCAGCCTTGAACTTCTGGGCTCAAGGGATCCTCCCACCTCAGCCTCCTGAGTAGCTGGGACTGCAGGCATGCATCACCATGCCCAGCTAATTTTTAAAATTTTTGGTAGAGATAGGGTTTCACTGTGTCACCCAGATTGTTCTTGAACTCCTGGGACCAAGCAATCCTCCTGCCTTGAAGTCTCAAAGTGTTGGGATTATAGGTATAAGCTACTGCACCCAGCCTCAAGTATTCTTTAAAGGTAATTTTGACACTGTGATTTTCCATGTGCCTACTGAAGGGCCTATCTCTTTAATAAGAATAATTTCACCAGAGTAATAGCTATGGCTTTCACGGAGTGTGCCCCTGCCAGGCACTTTGCTAACTACCTAGGATGCATTATATTACAGAATCTCCACAACTGCCCTTCAAGGTAGGTATTATTCCCATCTCTTGAGATGTAGGAATTGATGATTAGGGAGTTAAATACTAAGTATGCATTTTGGAGCAGGAGTGATCTGGTTTGGATGGGAACTTGGTCATTTCCTGGCTGTAGGGTGCAGATAGCTTACTGAAGGCCTCTCAGCTCAGTTCCTGGTAACCATGACAGCTGTTACAAGTGCATCCCTGAAGGTCTGTGACGCGTCCAGACTCCTCTTCTGCCTGCTGTCCCATGGCAGGCTCTTCCTTTCTCCGCTGACTTGCTTTTGCACCTTGGCCATATCTGTGTGGGTCTATTTCTGGAAACTATTCTGTACCACCCATCAGTATCCCCTCGCTAATAACACCACAGTGTCCCGAATACCGAAGCAAATTCTGAAATCAGACAGTGTTGACAAATTTGCAGCAGCATTTATTGAAATAATTTTTGATTGTTTTTCAGTATATAGTCTCAAAAATATTTTATTACGTTTGTCCTAAGTATTTTACTTTTGGACCTATTGTAAATGATACTGTTTTTAAAATCCCTGTTTCTAGTTATTCATTGTTAGTATATAGAAATATGATAAATACTTTTCTTTTAAATCTTTTATCCTGCAAACCTTGATAATCTCACTTACTAGTTTTAAAAATATTTTTGTAGATACCTTGGGATTTTCTAAGTATACAATTATTAATATTTCTTCTGTGAATAGGGACAGTTTTATTTCTTCCTTTCTAATTTGTGTGCCGTTTCTTTTCTTGCCTTATGGCACCGGCTCAGGCATCTAGTAAGATGTAAAATAGAACTTCTGGGAGTAGACATCCTTGCTTTCTTCCCATCTTGGGGAAAAGCATCTAATCTCTCATCATTAGGTGCGATGTTACTTGTAGGTTTTTCACACATATCCTTTATTCGGTTCTTATTAGGTTGAGGAATTCTCTTCTATTTCTAATTTTGCTGAGAGGTTTTATAACCATAAATGGTTGTCTAATACTGTAAAATTCTTTCTCTGTACCAGTTTATTTGTTTTTTTCTTCTTTAGACTAATAACAAATTAATATGGTTGATAGTGTATTATATTAATTGATTTTTAAACACTGAATCAGCCCTATACTTCCAGGATAAATCCCACTTAGTCACAGTCTATTATTACTTCTATATATTGCTGAATATAATCTGCTAACATTATGTTGAGGACTTTTTCCTTTCTTGTACATTTTTGTCTAGCTTTGGTATCAGGGCAGATCTAATCTCCTAATTTGGGAAATAGTCCTTCTTTTATTTTCAGGAAGGGATTGTATAGAATTGGTGTTGTTTCTCCTTTGGATGTTTGTCAGAACTCAGTGAAACTATCTGATCGAGGAGGACAATTTTTTCTCCAGATTTTTTTTTTTTTAAACTTCTAGTTCAATGTTTTTAATAGTTATAAGATGATTCAGGTTACCTATTTCTTCTTCGAAAACTTTGGCTGTTTGTGCCATTTGGCTAAGTAGTTGAATTTATATGCACATAGCTTTTTAAAAATAATGTTTTCTTATTAACCTTCTAATATCTGTGAGGTCTGTGGGCATGTCCCTTTTTCAATTCTGCTGTTTATAATACATTTTGTCTTTCTCTGGTATTTTCCTTGTCAGCTAAAAGTTTATCTTCTACTTTTTTTTTGGAGAATCAATTCTTTTTTGAAGAATCAACTTTTGTTTTCTTTATTTTTTTCTATTTATTTTTTATTCGTATTTTCTTTTATTTCTCTTTATTATTTCCTGCTTCTGCTTGTTTTGGGTTTCTTTTGCTCTTTTTTTTCTAGTTTCTTAATGTGGAAGCCCAGACTGTTGAGTTGAGGTCTTTCTTCTTGTCTAATGTAAACTTTGAATCCTATAAATTTTCCTTTAAGCACTGATTTAAGTACATACTGGAATGTTTGATACAATGTCTTTTCATTTTCGTTCAGTTAAAATAGTTTCTAAATTTTCTTTAGATTGCTTTTTTGACACGTATAATTCTTAATGTAACTTTTAGAGCAGTTTTACATTTACAGAAAAATTGAACAGAAAGTAGGTTCCCACCCCTCATCCCCCATGAGTTTCCCCAACTGTTAACATCCTGCACTGGTGTGGTACATTTGTTATAATTGGCCAACGAACACTGATACATTATTATTAAAGCCCATGGTTCACACTATGGTTCTTCCTTTGTGTTGTACAGTTCTATGGATTTTTCCAAGTGCATAATGTCTTTTATCCATCATTGCAATATCATACAAAATAGATTCACTGCCCTAAAAATCTGCTGTTCTTCAACTGTTTATCCTTTCACCATCTCACCCCACAACCCCTGGCAACCACATATCTCCTTACTGTCGCTACAATTTTACTTTATCCAAAGTGTCATATAGTTGGAATCGTACATTATGTACTATTTTCAGATTGGGTTCTTTCTCTGAGAAATATGCATGTAAGGTTCCTCTATATTCCTTCATGGCCTGATAACTCATTTCTTTGTATTGCTGAAAAATATCCCCTTGTATGAATGTACCATTGTTTGTTTACCCCTTCACTTATGGAAGGTCATCTTGGTTCCTTCCTATTTTTGCCAATTCTGAATAAAACTACTATGAACATTGTGTGCAGGTTTGTGTGTGGGCATAAGTTTTCAAGCCTGTTGGCTAAATACCTAGAAGTGTGATTGCTGGATTATATGATACGACTGTTTAGCTTCACGAGAAACTGCCAAATTCTCTTCCAAAGTGGCTGGTGTCTTTGAAATCCCACCAGCAGTGAATGAGGGTTCTGGTTGCTCCATGTCCTCCTTAACAACTGCTGTCTTCAGTGTTTTGGATTTCAGCCATCCTAATAGATGTGGAGAGATATTGCATAATTGTTTTCACTTGCAATTCCCTAAAGATATTTGCTGTTGAGTATCTTTTCATATGCTGTTTTGCCATCTATATGTCTTCTTTGGTGAGGTGTCTATTCAGATATTTTGTCACTTTTTTAATTGGGTTGTTTTCTCATTATAGAGTTGTAAGAGTTCTTCATACATTTTAGATGTAAGTCCTTTATCACTTTGTTGTTTTACAAATATTTTTTCTCAGTCCATGGCTTGTCTTTTCATTCTCTGAATAGTCTTTCATAGATAAGTTATCAATTTTAATAAAGTCTAAGTTACCGATTTTTTTTTTTCATGGACATATTGCCAAATCCAAGGTTACTTAGTTGTTTTCTTTTTTCCCATGCTGTCTTCCAGGAGTTTTATAGTTTTGCATTTAATGTTTGGGACTCAGGTCAGTGTTTAGACAGACTTTTTTTTTTTTTTGTATGTGGATGTCCAGTTGTTCCAGCACAATTTGTTGAAAAAACTATCTTTTCTCCATGTGATCGTCTTTGCCCCTTTGCCAAATACCAGTTGACTGTATTTGTGTGGGTCCATTTCTGGGCTTTCTATTCTATTCCATTGATCTATTTATTCTTTTGCCAATATCACATTGTCTTGACTACTGTAACACTACAGTAAGACTTGAAGTTGGATAATTGATGTCTTTTGACTTTGTTCTTCTTTAACACTGTGTTGGCTGTTTTGGGTCTTTTGCCTTTTCATATAAACTCTAAAATCAGCTGTTTGATATCCACAAAGTAACTCTCTGAAATTTTGGTTGGAATTTCATTTAACCTATTGATCAAGTTTGGAAGAACCAATATTTTAACAATGTTGAATTTTTTCATCCATGAGCATGGAATTGTTTTTTATTTATTTACATTTTCTTATTTTTAAATCAGAATTTTGTAGTTTTTCTCATACACATCTAGTACATATTTTGTTAGATTTATACCTATGTATTTCTATTTTTAGTGCTAATGCAAATTCTGTTGTGTTTTTAATTTAAAATTCCAATTGTTCATTGCTGGTCTACAGGAAAACATTTCTTTGCCTTACTGTACTAGCTAGGAATTTTGGTATGGTGTTGAATAGGAGTGATGATCTGGTTTCTCACTGTTAAGTGTGTTAGGTGTTAGGGTTTTTGTAGATATTATTTATCAAGTTAAGTTGAGGAAGATTCTCTGTATTCCTGGTTTTTTAAGAGTTATTTAAAAATCATGAATAGGTGTTGGAGTTTGTCAGGTGCTTTTGCTGGATCCATTGACATGATTATAAATACATTTTAGCTGTTGATGTGGTAGATTATATTGAATATTCAATGTCAAACCAGACTTGCATACTAGAAAAATACCATTTGGTCATGTATAATTATTTTTTATACGTTTTGGATTCAATTAGATGATTTTGTGAGGAATTTTGCATCTCTATCCATGAGAGATATTGGTCTATAGTTTACCTTTCTTCTTATGTCTTATTATCCTATTAATGTCCATGGGATCTGCTATGGTTGGAAGGTGTCCCCCAGACTTTATGTTGGAAACTTAATTTTCAGTGCAAAGGTGTTGAGAGGTAGAACCTTTAAGAGGTAATTAGGTCATGAGGGTTCTGCCCTTGTGAGTGGATTATTATTGTGGGAATGGGTTACTTATCACGGGAGTGGGTTCCTGACTAGAGGATGAATTTGGTCCTGTCTTGCACATTCTCACCCTCACCCTCTCTTGCCTTTCTGCCTTTCCCCATGAGATGACACAGCACAAAGGCCCTCCATAAATGCCAATGCTATGCTTTTGGACTTCTCAGCCTCCAGAAACATAAGCTAAATCAATTTCTGTTCATTAAAATTACCCAGTTTGTGGTATTCTGTTATAGCAACGTAAAGTGGACTAAGATAGAATCAGCAACAATGCTCTCTTTTATTTATGATATTAGTAGCTTTTGTCTTCTCTCTTTTTTTCCTGGTTAGCCTGGCTGGAGATTGTGCAATTTTATTGATATTTTCAAAGAAACTGTTATTGGTTTTATTGCTTTTCTCTATTGTTGTTCTGATTTCAATTTTTTAAATTATCATTTCTTTCCTTTATGCTGTATTTAATTTACTCTTCTTTTTATTTTTATTTATTTATTTATTTATTTATTTATTTATTTATTTTTGAGACAGAGTATCGCTCTGTCACCCAGGCTGGAGTGCAGTGGTGTGATCTCTGCTCACTGCAAGCTCCACCTCCCGGGTTCACACCATTCTCCTGCCTCAGCCTCCCGAGTAGCTGGGACTACAGGCACCTGCCACCATGCCCGGCTATTTTTTTTTTTTAATATTTTTAGTAGAGACGGGGTTTCACCGTGTTAGCCAAGATGGTCTCAATCTCCTGACCTTGTGATCCGCCTGCCTTGGCCTCCCAAAGTGCTGGGATTACAGGCATGAGCCACTGCACCTGGCCTTACTCTTCTTTTTCTAGTTACCTATGGTGAAGGCTTAGATTATTGATTTTAAATATTTCTTCTACTCTAAAATATGCATTGAATGCTATACATTTTCCTCTAACCACTGTTTTCACTGCATCCCAGAAATTTTAATAGATTGTATGAATATTTTCTTAAGTTCAAATTATGTTTAAATTTCTTTTGAAACCTCTTTGACCTATGTACTGCTTGGACATTTGTTTAATTTCTAAATATTTTGGGATTTTCCAGCTATAATTTTGTTATTGATTTCTAGTTTAATTCCACTGTGGTCTGAGAGCATACTTTGTATAATGTTCATTCTTTTAAATTTGTTAAGATGCGTTTGTGTCCCAGAATGTTTTCTTTCTTGGTGAAATGCTCGGTGAGTTTGAAAAGAATGTGTGTTCTGCCATTGTTAGATGAAGAAGTCTATATAAGTTTATTATATCAAGTTGATTGATGGTGCTGTCAGTTCAACTATCTCTACTGATTTTCTGCCTGCTGACTCTGTCAGTTACTAAGAGAGGGGTGCTAGGTCTCCAAATATAATTGTGGCTTTGTCTGTTTCTTGTGGTTCTATTAGTTTTTGTCTGATATATTTTGATACTCTGTTGTTTTGCACATACACATTAAGAATGGTGTGTTGTTTTAGAAAATGTTATCATCATATAATGCCCTTCCTTATATGTGATAATTTTTCTTGGCCTAAATTCTGATTTGCCTAAAATTAACAGGTACTTCAGCTTTCTTTTGATTAGTGTTAGCATGGTATATCTTTCTGCATTTCCATAGTTTTAATCTAGCTTTCCCTTTATATTTAAAGTAGGTATTTCTTATAGACAACATAAGTTGAGTATTGGTCTTTGATCCACCCTAATAGTCTCTGTCTTTTAATTGTCATAGCTAGAACACTCTCATTTTAAGTAATTATAGATGTAGTTGGATTAATATCTAACTTACTGGTATTTTTAAAATTTGTTGCTCTTATTCTTTGTTTCTTTTTGTCTTCCACTCTTTTGTCTGCCTGCTCTGGTTTTCACTGAGTGTTTCCTATAGTTCCATTTTCTCTCCACTCTTAATATATCAAATATACTTCTTAAAAAATTTTTAAGTGGCTATCCCAGAGTTTGTTACATACTTTTACAACTAATCCAAGTTCACTTTCAAATAACACTATACTGTATTGTGGGTAGTAAAAGAACCTTACACAGAATATTCCCAATTCCTCCCTTCCATCTCTTATAACATTGCTGTAATTCATTTCCCTTATCTATTAGTTATACTCACTGAATATATTGTTGCTATTATTATTGTTATCTGTTAGAATAATTAAGATTGAGAAAAATAAAAATTTTATTTTACCTTTATTTATAATTTCTTCAAATTGCTACTTTTCTTCATGTAGAACTGAGTTTCTAATCTATATTATTTTTATTCTCCCCAAATAATTTTTTAAAACATTTCTTGCAAGGCAGGTTTACTAATGACAATTTTTTTTTCAATTTTTGTTTGAGAGTCTTTATTTCGCCTTCATTTTGAAGGATAATTTCATTGGATATCTAGGTTAGTGGTTGTTTTCTTTCAACGAATTACATATTTCCATTCACTCTCCTCCTGCTTGTATGACTTCTTTTTTTTTTTCTTTTTTTTGACAGAGTCTCACTCTCTCACTCAGGCTGGAGTGCAGTTGTGCAATCCTGGGCTCACTGCAACCTCCGCCTCCTAGATTCATGAGATTCTCCTGCCTCAGCCTGCCTAGTGGTTGGTATTACAGGCATGCCCCAATATGCCTAGTTTTTGTATTGTTAGTAAAGACGAGGTTTCACCATGTTGGCCAGGCTGGGCTTAAACTCCTGACTTCAAGTGATCTGCCCACCTTGGCCTCCCAAAGTGCTGGGATTACAGGCATGAGCCACTGCACCCAACCCTGCTTGCATGATTTCTAAAAAGAAGTCTATGTTATTCTTATTGTTTTTTTTTTTCTTCAGGTAAGCTGATTTTTTATTCTCTAAATTCTTTTTAGATTTTCTCTGTCATTGATATTCTGCAGTTTGAATATAATATACCTTGGTGCAGTTTTTGATACTTACCTGCTTAATGTTTTCTGAGCTTCCTGGATCTGAAGTTGGTGTTTGTAATTAATTTTGGAAATTTCTCAACCACTTTTACTTCAAATACTTTGTTTTTCTCTCTTTATTCTCCTTGTGGCATTCCCATGACGTGTATGCTACATTTTAGTAATTGCTCTACAGTACTTGGATATTCTGTTCTGTCTTTTTCATCCATTTATTTTTTTCTGTGAATTTCAATTTTGGAAGTTCCTATTAACATGTACAAAAGCTCACTGATTCTTTCCTTGGCGGTAATCAGTCTACTTATGAGTTCTTTAAAGGCATTCTTCATTTATTACCTTTAAAAAAATTCTAGCATTTCCTTTGATTATTTCTTAGAATTTTCATCTCTATATTTATATTACCCATCTGCTCTTGCATGTTTTCCAATTTTTTCTATTAGAACCCTTAGCATATTTATCATAGTTATTTAAAATTTCCAGTCTGATAATTTCAAAAATTCTGCCATATCTGTCTTGTTCTGATGCTTCCTTTGCCTCTTCAGACTGTTCTTCTTCTTCTTCTTTTTTTTTTTATAACATGCCTTGTAATTTTTTTTTTGGTTATTGCTGTTGTTGTTATTGAAAGATGTATCAGGTAAAAGGAACTGAAATAGTATGGTTAGGGAACATTGTGTAATTTTAATATTTTTAAATTGATTAAAATTAAAATTATGACCCAGGACATGGTTTGTCTTGATGAATATTCCATGTAAATTTGTAAAGAATATGCATTATGCTGGTGGTGTGATAAATGTTCTATAAATGTCCATTAGATTCAATTGGTTGATGGTGTTCAGTTCTTCTCTCTCTTTGCTGATTTTCACTTGTTCTATCCATAACTGAGAGGAATATGTTGAATTATCTAACTATAATTTTAAATTTGTCTATTTGTCCTATCACTTCTATCCAGTTTTGCTTAATGCATTTTAAAGCTATATTGTTATGTGCATACATATTTATGTTTGTACTGACTTCTTACTGAATAGACATTTTTGTCATTTGTCTCTTTTTCTATCTGGTAATTTTTCTTGCTCTGATTTTCTCCTTATCTAATATAAATATAATCATTTCAGGTTACTTTTAATTAGTGTCTCCATGATGCATTGTTTTCTGTTCTTTTACTTTTAATCAGCATTATATTTTATCTATCTATCTATCACCTATCTATCTATCTATCTATCTATCTATCTATCTATCTATCATCTATCTATCTATCTTATATATAAAATCAGCCATATTTATGTGAGTTTTTGTTGACAGCATACAGTTGGGTCTTTTAAAAAAGGTCAATTTAGTGTAGACAGTGTCTGTCTTCTAATTGATATGTTTTGACCATTCGTATTTAATGTAATTTATTAAAAGGTTTAGATGTAGGCCTACCTTTTATCATTTGTTTTTAGTTTGTTTCCTAAGTTTTTAAAAATGTGTGTGTGTGTGTGTGTGTGTGTGTGTGTAGATAGATAATACATTTTTACTGTGGTAAAACACACAACATAAAGCTTACAATTTTAATTATTTTAAGTGTACAATTCTTTGGCATTGAGTACATTCACAATGTTATACGACCTTCACCACTATTTCCAGAACTTTTTTATCATCTCAAACAGAAACTCTGCAATCATTGAACAATAACCCCCATTTCTTCCTGCTTCCAGTTCCCTTGTAATCATTATTCTACTTTCTGTCACTATAAATTTACCTATTCTAGGAGCTTCGTATACAAAAAATTAGGTAATATTTGTTATTTTGTGTCAGGTTTATTTAACTTACTATAATGTTTTGAAGGTTCCCCCTTGTTGTAGTATGTATCAAATTTTCATTTCCTTTTGAGATTGAATGATATTGCATATATACACCACATTTTGTTTATTTACTTATCTGCTGATGGCCATTTGGGTTGTTTCTACAAATTGGATATTATACAGAATGGTGCTATGGAAATTGATGTACATGCATTTGTCTGAGTCCTTGCTTTCAATTATTTTGAGCATATACCTAGAAGCAGAATTGGTGAATGATGTGGTAATTCTATGTTTAAAAATTTGAAGAACTGATAACTATTTTCCACAGAGGCTTCACCAATCTACATTCCCACCAACAATGAATGAGGGCTTCAATTTCTCCACATCCTTGTTATTTTGTTATTACTCTTATTTTTTATGAATTTGATCTTGTATCCCATTGTGGTTTTATTCTGCATTTCCCTAATGAATAGTGAACTTGAATATCTTTTCATGTGCTTACTGGTCATTTGTATGTCTTCTCTGGATAAATGTTTGTTTAAGTCCTTTGCCCATTTTTTAATTGGGTTGCTTGTTTTCTTTTTGCTATAGTTGTTGATTTTCAGTAATTTTAAAAATATATTCTGACTTTTTAATGATTGCCATTCTAACTGGTGTGAGATGGTATCTCATTGTGGTTTTGATTTGCATTTCTCTGTTGGCCAGTGATGGTGAGCATTTTCTCATGTGTTTTTTGGCTGCATAAATGTCTTCTTTTGAGAAGTGTCTGTTCATGTCCTTTGCCCACTTTTTGATGGGGTTGTTTGTTTTTTTCTTGTAAATTTGTTTGAGTTCATTGTAGATTCTGGATATTAGCCCTTTGTCAGATGAGTAGGTTGCGAAAATTTTCTCCCATTTTGTAGGTTGCCTGTTCACTCTGATGGTAGTCTCTTTTGCTGTGCAGAAGCTCTTTATTCTGGAGAGGATGTGGAGAAATAGGAACACTTTTACACTGTTGGTGGGACTGTAAATTAGTTCAACCATTGTGGAAGTCAGTGTGGCAATTCCTCAGGGATCTAGAACTAGAAATACCATTTGACCCAGCCATCCCATTACTGGGTATACACCCAAAGGGCTATAAATCATGCTGCTATAAAGACACATACACACGTATGTTTATTGCGGCACTATTCACAATAGCAAAGACTTGGAACCACCCCAAATGTCCAACAATGATAGACTGGATTAAGAAAATGTGGCACATATACACCATGGAATACTATGCAGCCATAAAAAATGATGAGTTCATGTCCTTTGTAGGGACATGGATGAAATTGGAAATCATCATTCTCAGTAAACTATCGCAAGAACAAAAAACCAAACACTGCATATTCTCACTCATAGGTGGGAATTGAACAATGAGAACACATGGACACAGGAAGGGGAACATCACATTCTGGGGACTGTTGTGGGGTGGCGGGAGGAGGGAGGGATAGCATTAGGAGATATACCTAATGCTAAATGACGAGTTAATGGGTGCAGCACACCAGCATGGCGCATGTATACATATGTAACTAACCTGCACATTGTGCACATGTACCCTAAAACTTAAAGTATAATAATAATAAAATAAAATAAAATATATATATATATTCTGGATATTACCATTATCCAATATGTAATTTGAAAATATTTTCTTCCCACTCCATGGATCATTCTTTTACTCTGTTCATAGAGTTCTTTGATGTACAATTGTAAAAATTTTGATAGAGACAAAATTATTTGGCTTTTAAATTTTTGCCTGAGTCCTTGGTGTTATACCCAATAAATCATTGCCAAATGCAAGGTCATGAAGATTTTCCCCTATGCTTTTTTCTTTCTTTTTTTAAAGAGTTTTATAGTTATAGCTCTTTTGTTTATTTTGAGTCAATTTTTATATGTGGCATAAGGTTGGCATACAGTTTTATTCTTTTGCATGTGGATAGCCAGTTTTCCCACCAACATTAGTTGAAATGTTTGTCTTTCCCCCATTGAATGGTCTTTGTATCCTTTTTGAAAATCACTTGTTCTTGTATGTAAGGGTTTATTTCTGGCAATTCGATTCATTAGTTTATATTATCTGTCTTTATGTCAGTACCACACTGCTTTGATTACTGTAGCTTTGTGGCAAATTTTTGAATGAGGAAATGTGAGTCTTCTACCTTGTTTATTTTTCAAGATTATTTTTGGCTTTTTGGGGTTCTTTGAGTTTCCAAATAAATTTAAGATAGATTTCCTATTTCTGAAAAGAAACTTCATTGGTGTTTTATAGGAATTATGTTGTATTGATATCTTAACAATACTAAGTCTTCAAATCTATAAACACAGGATATCTTTCCATTTATTTATGTCATAATCTCTCTCAGAAATGTTTTGCAATTTTGTGAGTACAAGTCTTTTGCTGCATTGGTTAAATTTAATCCTAAGTATTTTATTTTTGAATGTTAACGTAAATTTTAATTCCTTCTTAATTTCTTTTCAAAATTCATTGTTAATGTATAGAAACACAACTGACTTTGTAACTCACAAATATGTTGACTCTTATTAGTTCTAACATTGTTTTTAATGGAATATTTAGGGTTTTCTATATGTAAGATCATATCATCCAGAAGCACAGATGACAGGTCTTTCTTTTCCATTTGGATGTCTGTATTTCTTTTTCTTGACCATTTCCTCTGGTTAGGACTTTCAATCAATTGTTGAAATTAAGTCTTGAAGACCAACATCCTTATACAATTTTAGTCTTAGAAAAATAGTTTTCAGTCTTTCACCATTGAATCTGATGGTAGCTGTGGCTTTTAATATATGGCTTATATCATACTAAGGAAATATCCTTCTATTGCTAGGTTTTTTTAGTGTTTTAATAATGAAAGGATCATCAATATTGTCAATGCTTTTTCTACATCAATCGAGATGATCATGTCTTTTTTCTTTATTCTATTAATATTGTGTATCACTTTTGATTTATATATATTACATTATCACTGGATATCAGAAATAAATCTCACTTAGTCATGGCTTTGGCATCTATCTATCTATCTATCTATCTATCTATCTATCTATCTCTATCATCTATCAATCACCTCATCTTGTCTATGTTCTAATGCACCTCCTTATTTCTCTTCTTGTTGTGGGACTTTAATGACATGTGTATTAGACCTTTTGGTACCTTTCCACACATCTCTCAGGCTTTGTTTCTTTTTTCCCCAATTATTTTTTATTTTTGTTGTTCAGACTAGGTAAGTTTTCCCAGTCTTTCAGATTCAGTGACTTTCTTCTTTCATCTCCATCAATAGCAGTATTGATCTCATTCAATGAATTTTTTTAAAGTTTAATTGTATTTTTCAGTTGTACAGTTTTTATTTTATTCTTTTATATATCTTACATTTCTGTGCTAAGACCTTATAGTTTTTCATTTATTTTGAAAGTGTTTTCCCTTATTTCTTGGAACATAGTTATAATCACTGCTTAAAATCTTTGGTAGTTCCAACACTCTGTCATCTCCAGGTTGTTGTCTATTTGTCATTTTCTTTTTCTTTGAGTAATCTAGAGAATTTTCTGATTCTTTATATGTCAAGCAATTTTAGAAGGTATCTTAGACATTTTGAGTATTATACTAAGGGGCTCTGGGTCATTTTAATCTTTTGAATAATTATTTATTATTTATTTATTGTTACTTTGTTTTATTTCAGTAGGCAATCAACCAATTATGATGTTCAGGCTGCAAGCCCACAGTCTGTGTGTTGTGGTTCCAATTTAAATTCAGTTTTCAGAGTGCTTACAAGGGTATTCAGATGTGTTCTTCATGTGTGTCACCCAGTGCCCAGTCTGGGACCTGGGAGTTATTGTAGTTCTCAATGCCTTAGGTATGTTTCTTAAGGCCAGATTCATGTACACACTGCTTGGGTATAAGACCAGGAGTTCATACACAACTTTTTAGAATCACTTCCTTGAACATTGTCTTTTCCACTCTGTCCTAAATACTCATTTACTCCTAAAGATTTTTCTTCCTGGCCTGATTAGTGTCTCTGCTCCACTGTTCACTTCCTGAAACTGTGTTATCTCCAGGGTCAAGTGGCAAGATGATAGAGAGAAAAAGGCATGTGGCTTATTCTTATGCTTTTGGGACCACAGTTTCTCTTGTAAAAGAGAAGTGTTTCCCTCCTTCATGGCTTTAGGCATGGGACCAGCTCCTGTTGTTGCTCTGCCACTGTAGGATTGCCTAGTAGCTAGAGTAGGAGAGAATAAAACACAAACAAAAATGCAGAGAATTTTCCCCACTATCTGACTTGTAGAGTTCCCTTTTATAATTTTTTGATCAAAAATAAAGGGCCTATCTTAAGTATTTTTCTGACCATGCCTGGTGCACAGTTGCAGGTTCTGGGCTGCCTTCAAGTTCAGGCTGAACAAAACAGAGAAAGGAAACAAACAGAGACTCACTTCCATTTTGGCAGCATTTTGGTATCTGTTTTCCTTCTCTAATTTGCCTTCTACTTAAAAAAGATTATTCAATTTTATTTTATTTAAAAACCTATGATCACTGCTCCATCTAGTCTGTCCAGGATTTTAGTTGTAGTTGGTGAGGAGGACAGAGCTTTCTCCATATTAACTAAAACTAGAACCCTGGCAGCTATTCTTATCCCCATTTTACAGTCGAGAAAACTGATTTTCTAAAATTCCATTCTGTTTCCTTTTGTTTTGTTTCTTTCTAAAATCCAATAGTACTAAAAGACAGAACTAACGTTATTCTATCTCATCCCAATGCTCCTTATCTACCTACCAACTATCAGTTCAAGAAGTCAAAACCTGATTTGAAGATGTGGAACAGAGACCAAATTACAGATGCCACAAGCTGACTTAGCTCCTGCCTAAGTGAGTTATGAGAGCAAGATCTCTTGCCTGGAGGTCGGGAAGCCTATATTCTACTTTTTTTCTTTTTTGCCCAAATCTTTAGTCAATCCTGGTCCTATCTCAGGAAATGGGTTTTATTTGTAAAAAAAAAAAAATATATATATATATTTAGAAATATCTCTAACGATTCTCCCTCTGCTGGCATTCCATGATTAGCAGAAAATGTCATCCAGAGTCTCAGTAAAGGAAGAAACCACTGGAGACTGAGTTATATAGGTATGATCCCATGCAAGATAAATGGGGCTCAAGTAGTACTCTGCTTGATGTTTAAGCAAGATTTATTAACACAGGGAAAGAGTAGGGTAGTGGCAGACAACCCTAGCTTTGTGGCTTCCAGCAGTTCTTTTTCCTTCTGGTTACATCAGCCTCAACCATTCCTCCCTTACATTCTATATTTGCATTTTTATTAGGCTGTGCCATCCTCAAGCTTGGGAGTGGACCTGAGATTGGCAAGAAAATCAGCATATTTTATCCTCCTCTTCGCCATAGAGATGGGTGCAGGGATAGCCACATGACCCACACCTATTCAATCAGAGCCTTTTGTTCTGGAAAAAAAAAAAAAAAAAAGTGAAAGAGGAGCTCGATTTCCCTGCTCTATTTAGTAAGCTGGCAAGTGCACAGCAAATGCTCTTGATGGTCATCTTTTCCATATGAGGGAAGAGTTTCTGTAGGGTGAAGCCAATGTAGAAGGACTTGAAGCCAAGGAGATGGGGACCTACAGAGTCTTAAAGATGTTGTTTGAGACTCTAGATTCAGCCACACCAGAAGCCAGCTCCATTTAGATTTTTCCATTTAGGTACATAATAAATTATCTTTGTGCTTAGACCAGCATGAATCGAATTTCTTTCACTAACCCTGATGGATATCAGGGTGGGCTAAGGAGCTAAGTAGTATGGCACTGGGAAGAAGACAAGAATGAACCTAGAATTTTGGGGGACTGCAGCAGAGATACTGAGAACCTTATAGCAGGGGTGGTTTGGCAGGAGCAATGTGAAATGAAGTCTATGAATAGATTTTTTGCCAGATCTTGGACTGTTTGTTTCAGAAGGCCAAGATGTTTGAATTTTTTTCTTGAAGACAAAGACTGAAGAGGTACCTGAGCTGGGCTGGTGCAGCTTCAGCTTTTCAGAGAATGCAAGTTAATGTGGCAGCAAATCTTTTACAGAGAACTGATCAGAGATCCCCCAAAAGTAAGGGGTGAGTTAGTCATTGATATGGTTTGAATCTGTGTCTCCACCCAAATCTCATGTCAAATTGTAATTCCCAGTAGTGGAGGTGGGGCCTGGTGGAAGGTGATTGGATCAAGGAGGTGGATTTCTTGTGAATGGTTTAGTACCAATCCCTTGGTGCTGTTCTCATGATAGCGAGTGAGCTCTTGCAAGATCTGGTCGTTTGAAAGTGGAGCATCTTTCCCCTCACTCTCTCTCTCTCCTGCTTCTGCTTCTGCCATGTAAGACGTGCCTGTTTCCCTTTCACCTTCTGCCATGATTGTAAGTTTCCTGAGTCCTCCTTGGAAGTCAAGCAGTTTCCAGCATCATGCTTCCTGTACAGCCTGCTGAACTGTGAGCCAATTAAACTTCTTTTCTTTATAAATTACCCAGTCTCAAGTATTTCTTTATAGCAATGTGAGAATGGACTTATACCGTCATTGATTGCTCTAGCTCTGCTGTTAGCAGTGCCCTAATTGACAAAATCTTGCACCAGGTGTTGCAACAATGGCTTCATCTCAGGCAATCTGGAAAAAAATCAACATTTTCACTTGAAACCTGTGGAGCCCAAGGACCCAAATTCTAGTCCCACCCAAATCTCACCCTTACTAGTTCTGATCATCTTGAGATAAGTATTAATTTGGTGTTAGTTTCCTCAGCAATCTCTAGTTTGTGTTTGTTTTAATAATAATGACTGTCCCATTTAGTTGGTGTGGCCCTTTGAATGTGAAATGAAATGATCTCTGTGAAAAGGCTTTGGGAACTTGGAGAGTTAAGCCAGTCCAAGGGAAAGTCACTCGAGAGATGCTTGAAATTCTTGAGTCCTGCGCACTGTAGATTTTCTGCTTTCAAAGAGCTTTGCCCCTGCTCTACGTCATCCTGAAGTGGAAAGTGGTTTCAATTCCATTAAATCGAAGAAAAGGCAATTGGAGATCCTAAATTGGTCATGGCTGCCCTGGGAGGTAGTGAGCTCCCCACCACAGGGAGGATTTAAGCATCTAAATAAATACCTGTTAGAGGGGCTATGGAGATTTCTCTTTCCTTTGTAGAAAGCGATTCATAACAGGCTCTGTTTTGGGTGCTAAGGTCTGGTCTGTCCGGTTCGTTAATTCTCAGCAGGGTGACTTCCCATTTGTAACCTGTGCAATATCATTGTCCCTTTAAAGAAATTCAAAGTGTGCTGTTTCGCGACAGGTTTGCTGTTGTTATTTAGTACTTTTTTGAATTTTCAAAAGCCTGTCTCTCCCTCTGCTTTTCAATACTACCATCTCCAGCCTTCTGGTTCACAAAATCCAAACACATTGTCCTGCATAAGTAATAATGAAGAAATCTACAAGAAAAGATTTGTGGCATTTGCTAATCAGTTTAATAATGGAGGATATTTCCACCACATTATATGGAGACAAATTAAAAGGGCAAGGAGAGCTCCCAGAAATCATCTGTTCGTGTTAACAAAGTGAATATTAATGAAAAACAAAATTGAGTTCCTCTTGAGTCTGATTTTCATCAAATCATACAGGTATTAAAAAATAGCTATAGAAATCCTATCCATTAGTAGTTAATTCAAAATAACTTTGGCCTCTGCTCTATTTTTGACTATTACCCCTCTCATGGGCAGAGAAGCCAGTCACCTTGCTGGACCCACCGTGCCATGAGGATCAATAATGGAGCTAATTTAGTTCTTTATGGACCAAATATCTAGACAGTGGAAATGGGAATTAAGTTAATGATGCCCATGGATGGGAAGAGGGGCAAGAGGGGCACCAGGGAGCACTTTGCTTGTTTCCTCTGGTAACCAGGTTCGGGTTGCCCAGATGACCAATGTTCTAAATCCTACAGAACTCAGACACCTTGCAGAGACCAATATGGCCTTTCCAGGAGAGGGGTCATGCCCAATGGCTTGTGTCCACCTTCTGGGCCTCTCTCTGCCTTTGCCCTGCCCTAAGTGGCCCAGCAGGGGTGCAGCTCAGGATGAGGAAGGGTCTGAAATGCCATGGGCTCACCCAGCTATCAACAGTGAGGTGCTGGGGAGTGCCTCCAAGAGGGGCCCAACATAACTCACTGGAGACTGCCACTAGTACTCCCCTTTGCGGGTGGACGGAAGGTTAATGGTGATTCCCATATTATAATATTAGGACACATTTGAGATTTGTGGGGAAAGAAAAGGGCCGGGAGGGAATTAACAGCTTCTGGTGAGAAAGAGGCAAGGACCCTTGGTGTGTACAGGCTCTCAGGCCAGCTCCAGGACACTTGGAGTCTTTAGGGAGAAGGGAAGGTGCCAGGAAGAAGAAGGGAAAATATGGGTATAAGCAAAACACTTGGGAAGAACCTGAAGGCAAACATGGCCAGACTGCATGTGTGTGCTGAGGGCTGACCACTTTATCTACAGTGTGACTCTCCTACCTCGGCGATGTCGAGAAAAGCTGTGTTCACTCCAGCCAGCTTCTATTACTTATCACATCTGACATGGCCAGAACCTGGGAGGAGCTGGCTGTAGCCCCTGAGGTATGGTCAGGATACCAGGATACGGCTCTCTGAAGCTCCTTGCTGCATCCCATGTCCTCAGAAGATACCATCAGAGAATGGTCCTGTCCAGGAGGAAATGTCTCTGGAACTCTCTCTCCAACAAAATAGAAGGCCACAGAATGCCAGCATCATGCTGTGTTTGTGTGGAAGTGATACAGGCTCCTCTCCATAGGACTCAAGTGAGTCCCTTGGGCTGGACTGGGACCAGAACTAGTTCTTGGTCCCTCCTCCTTGCTTCAAGTACCTGGGCCAGATGGATGGACATAACTACTACTTCCTGACAGCCACCCTAGGCTCCGAGCTCTCTCTGTGGACCAGTTTCCTGGGCTGACTCATGGTTTTTCTGTTTGCCTGTAACATAGGACTTACATGCTTGCCTTGCACAGGACTTTTGACTTGAGTCCCAGCTTTTAATAGCTTCTGCCTCAGCTCCCTCCAGTGTTCGGATTCTGTTTCTCAATAGCCAGGAATAGTTAGGAATGCTTTCAGCTGCAAGGAAAAGAAAACCAACAAAGGGTTCAGAAACACAGGAGGCTTGTTTTACTCATACAGCAATTATTCTGGTTACAGATATTTCAGTGCATCAACAATGCCATCTGCACGGTCTGTTTTTCTCCTCCGTCCTCCTCAGCTCATTGGTTTTATTCTCATGTTTGCGGCCTTGTTGTTGCAAGATGGCTGCTCAACCATCAGGTGTCACATCTACATTTAACGCAGGAAAAAGAGAGAGAAGGGCAGTGGCAATTGCCTTTTCCATCCATCTGGGGATGTAGCTTTTCCATCCATCTGGGGAAACAAAGACTCCCTTGACAGACAGGCACCTCTCTACTGGCTAAGGTTGTTGGGGACCAACCATGCAGTGGCTGGATTTTCCTAGAGCCAGTCCAGTTCTGGTATGTACAGGACACTTATTGCAAGAATATACTGAGTGTCAGGCCCTATCTTAGGCTTTTGGGGGAAGGAGGGGACAGAGGTTAATGGATGGCAAGCTCATTTTCACGGTAGCCTGGGAGAAACTATGGATAAGAATGCTGCAGACAACATTGTCCTCCTCCTGTCAAATGCTGCCAATCCTTAACTAGTGAGGGTGAATGGTCTGACCTTAGGGCATGACTAGGTTCAATGCCCCTGATGACTACTGGTGGGGAAGAGGACAGAGATGCCCAATACTGGACCTGGCTGTGTCACTTCAAGTCTGCCTGGTGTGAATGCCCCCCGTCTTCTTCCAACTGTCTGCTATGCAGGGTGAGAGGTCGGCCCAGCCCCCTCTCTACCCAGACGGCCTTGCCAGCCCACATCTTGCATTCAGACCCGGCTCTGAGGGCAGCGGGCAGGCAGTCACCACCCTCCAGATGACCAATTCAAAACACATGGGGACCTTTGCAAGCCCTTGGAAGACATGCTATTTCTCTCTGCCTGCATAATTGTTGAGAAGGAAGCCAGAGACGGTGTTCTAATTAATTAGAGAAGGTATTTGAGGATGCCACTGTGTGCTGGACTCAGGACCAGAATCCAAATGTCCCACTTATCTGCCTCCACCACTGCGACCCTGAGCTGCCCCTCTCCTTCCCTGCATTCGTATTTGTGTGTAAACTGCAGCTTGTGACCGAAGCCTTATTAGTTGGTCAAAATTTTACTTTTAAATGGACCATTAACCTACTCAGAAACCAAAGCACACTGGTAATGTAATACCTCAGCCTCCTGTCGGGCCTCAGAGTGAACCAGGTCAGAAACGACGTCTATTTCTCTCCATTATCCCACAGATATCCGGAGCACGTTCTCACCCACAGGACTTCTCAGTCTGGAAAGACTTTTCCCATGCAGTTTGTTAATCCAAGCTGTGCCATTGACTTGGACAAGTCACTTTGCTACCCTAAGCCTCTGAGTCCCCATCAACAAAATGGAACTAGCTGTTTTATTAAAAAAAATAAGTAAATCTCGTTGACCATCAGGGAGGTGACAAGTCACAGAGCTGAAACGAAGGTAGCTTGGATTCCACTCCATTCTGGGTTGGGAAGTTGGGTGCTTCCCACTGGGCAGTTCTTGAAGCTCCCTTCTCTGAAAGTGGGGATGAAGACATGGATAAAGGTCCTTAAGACATAAGAGCTCCTTCCAGTCTCGTGGGTCTTCTCGGCAGAACCCTTGCTTGGCTGGAATTCCATCCACTCTCTGCAAGGCATAACTTCCTGTTTCCTAGGGAGAGGGGCTTATAAAAAGGCATAAAAATGAGGCTTCTAAAGACATCCTGGACGTCAACTAGATGTTGCAAAATTACATTTTGATGAGTTCAGTGTAAATGAACCAGAAACATATGGATTCAATTTCCCTTGGAATCCACATGGGTTTAAAAACCAAGGGGGCGGGGGAGAATGCATTTGGGGAAGAGCATTTTAGGTCTCACCAAAATCCCCGCATTTGTAAACAGCAGTTTGAGGTTTATGATGATTGCGTCCCGGGCTGGGTTCCTTTCCTAATAATAGAATGTACAGGATGTCTTGCAGCAGCCTCACAAAATGCTTTCAGGGAAAAATACCCAAACGCTGCCCTCTCCCTGTGCTCCTGGGTTCTATGGAACTCTGCGATGGCCTCCCAGATTTCCTGCCCTGGGTTTGACCCCATAAGTACCCTCTTTGCTCCTTCTGCTTCTGCAAAAATAGCATCCCAATCAGGTCCACACAATCAGTGACTGTCAAGTGCCAGGTTTATCCTAGGGATTTCAGCAAGTGCTACATTTAGTAAGGTGGGCAGCACCACCCCTGCTTTAAAATAAGAGAATCGAAGTCCAGGACATTCGGCCCAAGGCTGCTTAGCTGGTAGGTGCCAGGGTTGGCATGGGAGGCCAGGGCTTCTGAACTGAAGTCTGGAGATCTTTCCACCATAAAGGATGCATTTCTATTCCTCAGTTTCAGAGAAGGCTAAGAAAGGTATCTGTTTATCTGGAACTGCTGTAAGGTGGTCTACCAGGAGGCTGGAGGAGGGGCTAATGCAGCCATTTTCATGGTGGTCCCAGAGAAGTGCTTGGAATTCCCCATGGTTCCTTGGGGAGTTCCCTGGGAGAAGGAATAGAAAAGCTGAGAGAAAGAATAAACTTACTGAACCCCCAGGCCCCTGCTCCCATCTAGGGAAACTTGCTCTCCTCTGTTCTACCTATTGAGCTTTCAAATATGTATTTGATTATAGGAAGTTTCACAGTTTAAGTTTCAAAATCATGGATCCTGAGGATTTTTGGTGGCCCCCCTTTTCCCTCCTGCCAGTCAATGGGTTAGTGTTGGCTTCTTGTCTGCTTTTGTGCTGGGGGGTTCTGTACCCACTATCAGATGGGATTGCTGGAACTGTGGATGGACCCACAGAGCCCTTTGAGGGATGCTTTCGTGCTCAGTCCTCTGACCAGGCAGGAGGCAGAAATGCAGGATGGGACCCTGCCTCCAGCAGACTTGAAATCTGATTTTGTTGAAAAGACAAAACCCGCTTCCAGAAGTCACCTTGGAAAGATGACCATGTGAGATAATGGGCAGGCTGGTTCTGGGCATGGGAGACTCCAGCCCTGTACAGCCATACACTAATCAAACAATGGCCCAATAGAAGGCAGTTGGATGGGCCAGAGCTTTGGAGGTAGTGCTTCTGAATGACTTGGACCAGAGCACAGAAGGGACAGAGACTTCCTGGCTCTCAGCTGATGGAAGGAGCCACAAGACTCCACTGTATTGGGTCTCCCAGGGGAAGAGCTGCCTGGCCCCGCCTAGGTACATCCTGCAAAGCACAGCCAGGATGGAGATGGGCTGGAGGAGCCATCTGATTCTTATTAGGCTGTGCAACTTTCTTTATTGGCAAACAGTCTGTCAGCAGCTTCTTCCTGCAGAGCGGCCCAGATGTGCTTACAAAGCGTTCTGTGTCCTTCCCGTCCACACCCAGCCCCCGCGCGCATTGCCACTTTGCCAGACTTCGTCCTGGTCCCAGGAGTCCAGCTGTGGCCAAAGCAAGGCTTAGTCAGGAGCCTGAGGAAAGAGGCTCGCCCCTCTGGGTGGCCTCATGCCAGCCACCCCTCGCTCCATGTGCATGGGTCTCATTCCCCCTCAAGGTGCAGGAGGTGCCCTGGGTGGGGTTGGGGGGGGGGCCTGGCCTCACTCCTTGGGGTGGGGGTTGGGGTGGGGCAGACAGAACCCTGCCATGAACTTATGTTTGCACATGTTCATCTTCAACTTGCCATACTACTAGGGTGGCTTTCATCTGTTATTGGGTCTAAATCTCCTCTCTGAGAATTCTCATGGGAGAACCACAGAAAACAGGAGGGCTGCTGGCCTCTCATGGGTGTTCAATAGGAGGGCTGACCTCAGAATTCACTCCCATGATTGTCCAAGTGGCCTCCCCATGTCCCTCTTAAGAGAGTTCAGTCTCAAGCATGTTTCTCCCCTTGAGAAGCTGGAAAACTGGTGCAAAATTGTGCCTAAGCATACCACGGCCTGGGGGATATTAAATGTTTGGAACAATTAAAGTCCCATTACATGAATGTCCATGGACTGTTTTCCTCCCATCCCACACATATTGTCTTTCTTTAGGTCACAGAATCCTGAATTTCCCTTGGGGGAACCATGCTCCCTTGACTGTCATACCCTGTGGTCATATGAACCAACGCATTCCCTTTCTTTACCTATGTTAGTCTCGCCTGCCTCTCCCACCACTTATGGCCAAGGCTCTAGATGGATTCAGGGCCCCATACCCACCATTGACACTGGCCTGCCTTTTCCTGGTCATTCTTGTGTGTAAGTAACCCTAATGAAGAAAAATGAAGTGAGGCGTGGGTAATTTTCCTTCTTGCATCTCCTGTGTTCTTCCTTAAGTCCTTCAAGTCTACATGAAGTTTCTCTTCTTTTCTTTTTTTTTTTTTTCCGGACTGTTCTGATGATCATAAATGAGGATGCATACTTCAGCCACAAACTTACTTCATGTCTGATGTTATCAGCCTTAGAGATACCCTTGCCTATGCCTTCTTGCTTAGAGGGGAAACAGGTCTGGAAAGAAGACAGGAGTTCTCAGGGTCATCCAGAAAGCCCACAGCCAAAGAAGACTTTCAGAAGCTGCATTGGTTGCAAAGCATCACCTTACCAGCAAAGGCTATTACCTGCTCAGATGTCACCCCAGATCTCACCAAGCCACCCTTCTTGGTCCAAAAGTGCTCTACTGTGAATGTAGTCTTGTAGGAGTCTTGATGATGAACTCCTCACCATCCATCCTCTCTGATTTGATAAAAGTAAACCAATTGTGAAAATTAACCTCAGCTCCCAAGACATTCATTGGCATAGAAAGAGAAATAGGTCTTCCTTATGGCCAGTGAGACTTAAGTCAGCCAGGAGTGGGGCAGAAGATAAGGGGCTTCTACAAAAGGTTCCCTTGCTCCTAAAAGGAGATATAAGAGAGAGGCAAACCCTTTCTTCTTCTGGACCTTATTATTTCTACATGTGACTTTTGTACATTGAGAGCCAGCCATCTTGAGACTCGAGGAAAGTGATCTTGACACCAAAATCTGGGTGTGCTGGGAGGACAGAACGGTGCGATGAAAGGTCCCTGGGCAATGAGGACTCCCTGAGTGACAAAATCATCAAACTCCAGAGTCCTGGCTGTTTCTGGACTTCTTATTTTATGGGATATAAAAGTTCTTATTGTTTGAACCAGACAGAATGGGGGTATCTTCTTCTTTGGTACTGGAGTTGCTCTGGTCAGAGTAAGAGACCATGTGCCTTAGTCAGCATTACAGGGCATGGGCATTTACAGCATGAATTGCCATCTTTATTGACCTTTGTCTCTCTCTCTGCCTCTTTGCTCTTAATCTATGGCCTGCCTCTCCCCCGTGTGATAGCTGTTAGAGCTGTGAGGAGCCTTAAAATCTTCATCTGGTTGGGGTAGCTGAAGTTCAGAGGGAGGAAGGGACTTAGGGGCTTGCTCACGATGCATAGAAAGTGTGGATCCAGCAGGAGAACTCAGGTCTTTCTTGCCCAGCTCTAAGCTTTCTCATATTGCTCAGCTGTTTGCTGTCCTGCTCTGTCTGTCTCTCTGTGTCTCCTCCATACACCTCCTCAGGTCTCCTTCTCTTTCTGTCTCCTCTGCCCGAGATAAAGGGACCCCTTCACTTAGAGCTGGATGGGGCAGCTCTGCTGGGGACTAGGGGGGTCCGAAGGAGCCTGTGCTAAGGAAACAAGCTGGTGTTGCTGGAAACTATGTCTAGATGGTCACAGAGCAGCAGGATGGGGCACTGGGATTCTGCGTGAATGGCCATCAGGTGGCGGGACGCATGGACGGCTCACCAGCCTTGGGAACTGGCAGTGCTGCATGGCCCAGCTCACGGAGAAGGCTCAGCTGTGGCTCCTTCCTAAGCCATCCTGCTTCCCACTGACTTGGAGAGACAGCCGGTTGGTGCGGGGTTTGTGTGGGTTTATTTACTCTTAATAACAAGCTTATATTTTAGATATTCCCCCTGGGTATTTCTGCTCATTTGGGCTTCAGTACAAAACCATGAATCCACACACAAAATGTGTGGATCTGAAAATTAGGATTACACCCCAGCATCCCACTAATAGAGGCAGTCTTCCTTTGAAGGCGCCAGGGATCTCTGTCCTGCCCTGGCTGGCCAAAGGAAAGCCACGATGGGGCCATGCTTGTTACCAGCGGGTTCTGGACGCATCCACCACCATCAGCATCTGTTCTCCCCTTGGGTCTTCATTAATTCAGTTAAGGAAACATTTAATTAGCAACTGTTGTGGTCGGATGCAGCAGTCCATCCTGGGTAGAAGATACACAATTCCTTACTCCAGGAGCTTCCATCCATATGCGGAAGTGAGAAGGAAGAATGTATGCACACTGGGGCATGTAAAGCTCTGCCGTGGAGAGTAGAGCTGGTGGGTAAAGGAGGCCTCCAGGATCCATGTGACCCTGCCTGTGGTCAGAAGACTGGTTAAGAAGGCTTCCTCGAATGGGTTCTCAGCTCCAAACTCACGCATGCCTGCAGTCCAGTTTCTACCGGAAAAGTTGTTCCTACTCTCAACAATTCCACCTGAAGCCCTCTCACCTAACCTCCGGCCTGCTCCCAACCCTCCCTGCACAACCAATGAAAGCTGGCCTCAAGTACCACCAAGAAAAGCAGAGGCCTTGTAAGGAGTCTCATTTTCTTCCCCTACCACCAGATGGCGCCCCAGCTTGGCCTCCGCACTGATGGGACTCTGAGAGAGGAAGCGTCCCTCTTCATGTCTAAGGCCAATCCCTCCCCATGCATCCTCAATCCCATCTCTCTCTTGTTCTCAAGGCCATGGCCTCATTCGGGGTCCCCTCTGGCACCTTGCAGGGTGGATATTCTACCCCCTTGGACCATGCCCATCTACCTACGAACACCTTCACTCTCCACCCCACCCTAATCCAGTTTGCATCTCGCCACACTGTCAAATATTCATTTGGTGAATGTCCCCAGTAACCTCCATGACGTCCACCAATCCAATAGATGTTTTTTGTGTGTTTCCTTAGATGGAAATCCTACTCCCACCTTATGCACACGCACGTTCCCTCCCTGGCTCCATGTTGGTTCAATCCCCCTCTTCCACTCAACCTCCAAATGTTGAGTTCCTAAAAACTCAGTCCTACCCACACTCTCTCTCAGGTAAGCCCACCCATTATCCCAGTTTTAACATAATGACTGCTCCCAAATGTATAGTTTTAGTCCAGACCTGGCTTGTGTATCCAACCTTGACTTTTCTTATTTCACTCTGGCTGTGTGGCAATCCTATCAAGATTACCACATCCGAAACTGAACTCATAACTCATAATCCAGCCCCAACCACCCCCATGTGACTGGTAGAATTCTAAGACATCCCCAAAGTTTCTCACTCCTCTCGTGCACATGCCCTGTATGATCCCTGGGTCTCTGAGTGCCATGGATCTTCTTTTGATGATTAGGTTATGCTATACAGCACAGTTGAGTTTAATAAAGGGAGATTATTCAGGTGGGACTAACTTAATCCAGTGAGAACTGTAAAAGTAGAGAGATTTCTCCAGTTGGTGGCAGAAGAGTTCAGAAAAACTCAACTCAAAGGAGGTTTTTAGTGCTGTTGATGAGGCTCCAGGAGTGGCCTCTAGGAGCTGAGCATGATCTGTGGCCTGGAGCGGTAATCAGATTGAGACTTCTGTCCTACAACCACGAGAAGCCGAACTCTGACAACAATAGTGAGCTTCAAAGAGAACTCTCCAGATGACAACCACAGCTTGGCTGACACCCTGATGGAAGCTCCATGAGACCCTGTGCCCAGAGACTGACCGATAGAAACCGTGAGCTCATACATCTGTGTTGCTTTAAGTCATGAGATTTGTGATAAATTGCTTTGCAACAATACAAATTAACATATTTCCCTATAGCTTTTCATCTCAGTAGACATCACCATCATCCACCACATTGGTTAAGCCAGATATCCTTGAGTTTTTCCTTTCTCTTACTCCCACATCCAACTCCTCAGCAAGTCTTCCCTCTTCTGTTTTAAAAACTCGTCTTGAACCTCTCTATTTCTCCCCATCTTAGCTGCTCCCATCCTTCCTCAGACTCTATTACACTTTGCCCCATCACTATAGCAGGTGTTCACCTCCATACCAGGGTGATTCAATCCATTTTCCATTCAGCAGCCAGAATGCTTTTCTGAAACCATCAATTGAATCATGTTATCTCCTATTTAAAATCCATCAGCACCTTCCTGCTACATACACATCAGGTGACATCCAAGCTTCTCACTGCATTCTACAAAGTTCCCAAGGACCTGGCCCCTGCCTGTGTCTACAAACTCATTTCATACCCTCTCCCTCTTGGCCTGGCAACACCAGTTATTTCCTTCATAGCACACATCACAAGTGTAACTTAGCTTATTTAAGTGGTGTGTGTGTGTGTGTGGGCGTGAATGGGTAGGTGTTTATCTTTTTCTACTAGACTGTAGACTCCATGATGGCTGAGATCATTTCTGTTTGTGTTAACCATTATCATATACAGGGAAACCCCTTGCAACACGATTTTCCTTTGGGGCTGAGGTGGAACAAAGGCTCTTTCCCAGGCCGTTGATGTGCTTTGTAGAAAGCAGGAGCTCCCCGTGAAGCACCCAAGTACAAAGTGTACTGATGGGGGCCAAGGAGGGGGGTGGGAAGGGGAACAGGGGTCTCAAGGGTTCGCTGACCATGTGAGGTTAGCTAGACTGGCCTCTGGATCCACTGGGGTCCGCTAAAGCCCTCTCTTCCATGGGGGCAGTCTCAGATTTCCTACCATGGGCCTTGGGCTTCTGTCCCTTGGTCCTTTATTTCAGGTGCCCCACAGAATGGTGCTGAATGGTTTGCAGGGATGTGCTTCTCTTCTGTTCGCTTAAGACCTCAAACTGAAAAAATATGAGGGTGGGCGGTGACTCACTGTTATAATCCCAGCACTTTGGGAGGCCGAGGTGGGCGGATCATTTGACGTCAAGAGTTTGAGACCAGCCTGGCCAAAATGGTGAAACCCATTGTCTATTAGAAATACAAAAATTAGTTGGGTGTGTTGGGACATCCCTGTACTCCCAGCCTGGGAAGCTGAGGCATGATAATCACTTGAACCCAGGAGGCAGAGGTTGCAGTGAGCCGAGATTGTGCCACTGCACTCCAGCCTGGGTGACAGAGCAAGACTCTGTCTGAAAAGAAAAAAAAAAAGGAAGGAAGGAAGGAATGAAGGAAATGAAATGAAAAATATGAAAATATCCCTCTGCCCCAAAGCCGTCCTACTAGAACCAGTCATGACCTAATTCAATAAAACCAGCAGCTGGGAAATGCAGACCTCCACTTTATCCTCACACTGTCTACACTGGCATCCTTCTGCCACAAGGGAGATTCTGTGAGCTTTTGTGGACAAAGCTGGGTCTGGACACCCCTGGAGATGAGAAGCTATCCTGGGATAAATTTGACCCTTTGATAGTGGAGAGTTGCAAAGCCACTGATCCACTAGGCTTAGCTGCTACACTACTGGATGAAGAAAATCGCCTTCATGAGACACAAGTACAGGATGCTTTCCTTGCCTGGCTGAGGGAGGGTCTACCGGAAACCCCCTACAGACTCCTCCAACCCATTGAATCTCCAGTAGTTAAATGAAAGCACCAGACATTTGCAGCTAAGAGACTATGGGTCTCTGGAGAAGTGCTGGTCCTCTCTGAACCTCAGTTTCTCCACTGTAAATAGGTTTACCTTTCTTCCCCCTTGCCCCTGACCTTGGAGACCTATTGCAAAGATGAAATAATATGCGGAAGTAAAAGGCCTGGTACAGAGCTTCATCCCCAGCAGCTAAGCAGAGGCTTAAACGATGGAGTCTATCATCATTGGTGATATCATAAATGAACTCCTTGGCAGCACCTTGTTCTAGAGCCACAGCTTTGAAACCTGCTGAATTGACAGAAACAGCAATAAAAAATTAAAAGTCAAAAGGCTCTGGAGTACATTTCTTAAAGTATCAGGCTGTGTTTTTCCCCCTTGTAAGTTTGCTGAGTCTCTGGAGGTCACCCTGCAATGGGCCATCCCTTGGGAGTAGGAAAGCAAGTTTGAGGCCCTAGGGGAGAATAGCTTGGGCCCGGGAAGGGGAGGTCCTGGCCTGCCTTGCTCCCTGCAGAGCCTGGGGACCCATGTGCCCAGCTGAGGGCCCTCTAGGGGGAGAAAAGCAGGAGGGGAGGAAGAGATATCAGTGTTTTCCAGGCCTTGCAGAGAGCTGTGGCATTAAAGGTCTGAAGAAGCCTGTTGGGGAACTTGCCCAGCCCTGGTGAGGCTCACAGACCAACTCTCTGGATTTGAACATGGCATCCTGAGCTGTTTCTCCTCATCCTCAGGGCTTCTCCACCGGACAGGGCTGCATTCACGCAGCCCACAAACCAACTGTTCTAAGAGCTGGTCCAGGAAGTCTTGTCTCTGGCCTGAGGTTCATTCAGGGTCCCCATCGTCTCTCACATTCAGGCTCAAAAAAGGTGCAGTGGCCAAACACGTGAATAGTAACATACCTGCTTTTGTGACACGCTTGTCCCCTTCTTGGGTGGCAGGTCCCAAATGCAGATTGTTTATGTAGCCAGTTGCAGTGTAAAGGCTGTCATGAGAGACATGTAAGAAATGGAGTGAGAGGGTTCAGAAGCATTCTATCTGAAGGGGAGAGCTCTGTATTAATTAGAAGAAAAATATTGATTGGTTGTGTGGCCTCAAGGGCAAAACCCCAAAGACCTGCAGAGAATCAGAGATGGCTGTTAAGCTGCTCTAAGTGGTACAAGGAAAATATCTGTGCCCCCAAGAGCAAATGCAGTGAATGGAATGGGATGGATGTTCAAGACAAGGTGCTGCTTGTAATGATCCCTCATCATGACCCTGTGACTTCAGTAAATATGACTAAACTAATAAAATGCCTAGTAAGAGTGGAGTGGAGGTGGAAACCATACATAAAATCATGTTTCAACTCAGGTTTGACTCAAAGAGAAACAGGAAGCTAGCACAGGTCAGAGGAGAGGGTGAGTTCCCGGAAGCTCCCACAGTTCATGGAATGTGTTTTGGACTTTCAGAGACTGGGAAAATGGGGGTAGGGTGGAAATTTGGGTAAAGGGTAGTCAGATCTACGAGAAGCAGTGACATCCCAGGGAATCTCAGGGTTTGATATTATTGCATAATAAAGAATTTAACTGGCCTCTGTCCCTGGTTCTGGGGATACAGACTCAACATCCTTGGAATTTTCCAAGTATTAGGAGAGTGCCTTTGTTCTTCATGAGCTCTTGGATCTCACTGGAGTTCATGCCCATGAGATAACTCAGGATAGGGGCTAGTCAGTCACCAGAAAGGCCCATCATGGTCTTTGAGCCAGCTGGACCTCCAGGGAGGGGCTGGAGATTGAGTTCAATCACCTGGTCAATGATTTAATCCATGAGACCTGCATTATGAAATCCCAATAAAAACTTCGGACATTGAAGCTCAGTGGTGCTTCCTGGCTGGTGAACACATTGATATATTAGGAGGGTGATACATCCCGATTCCATGGGGAGTGGGTCTGGAAACTGTGTTTGGGACTATGTAAGGTATCACTCTATGTATCTCTTTATTTGGCTGGTCCTGGTAATTTATCCTTTGTAATAAAACGTAATCATAAGCATAGTGATTTCCTAAGTTCTGGAAGTAATTCTAGAGAGTTATTGAACCTGAAGGGAGTTGTAGGTCTCCTTCAGAGTTGGTACCAGTTGGTCAGAAGTGTGGGTGCTCTGGGACCTCTGAATTTGCAGCACGTATCTAAATAAAGTGAGGGCGGTCTTATTTAGCCTGTGGAGTCTATACTAACTCCAGGCAATTAGTGTCAGAATTGGACTGTAACACACCAGTTAGGTAATAGGAAGTGAGTCTTTCATTATGTGAGTCCTTCTGCTTCCTCAAACCTATTTGGTAAACACTCCAAGTATAATTCTGAATAAGAACAAGCCTTTTTGTTCCCCACTTGGGTCCTAGGACCTGGCAAAATGCAGCCTTGGGTGTAGCTACATTGTTTTGTAGCCTCATTATGTCCCTTCTCCAAAGACAGGGTGGCATGAGCTCAGGGAGGGGCTACTTGTTCTGGGGCGGGCTGGTTCTTTGGAAGGGCACAAGCAAACCATAAACAAAGCTCCACCTTTGCAAAGGCAGCACCAGGACTTCTGTTTGGGAGGTCCTTGGGATGACAAACTGGTTCTGAGATGTCTTCAAGATGCTTCTGTATAACAAGCATATGTTTTTGACTTTGATTGTATGTTTATTTAAGGAGGCTCAGGGAGGGCTGATGGAAGTTATAGGGTGGGGACGGCTCTGATCCAACCCAAGCAGCTCCTTGGCCCAGGCATTTTCCCTTTGGTGAGGCATGCAGTCCCTAAAGAGGTAAGTGTCAGAGAAGGCCCAGATTATAAATCTTTCCCCCAGAGCAATGCAGTTTCATTGTACTTAAAAATAATTAAACAAATCTGTAAAACATGTTTCCATTGCATTAGTTTACTTCACTTGGCCCCGCAATGTGAGGATCATAATTACTTAAATATTTCCCTTTACTATTTTTCAAAACATTTTTCTAAATTGTCGAAAAACATTCTGGAGACAGTTGGATAAAAACATAGTGAACATGTGTCTGATTAATTTTTTAAGACAATCGAGATCAAATGCAAAAAATGATTGGAAATGGTTTCAGAGTGACAATAAAAGACAGAAATCTCAGAGCGGGGAGTGCGGTGACTCATAAGGCAGAAAGGATTTATCATTTTTACTACAGTATTTATTTGAACGCACATGACAGGGAGCGAGCTGGCCTGGTGTGCAAATTGCCAAAGGTGGAGTGTGGCCCGAGGAGGCTGTGTCCAGTTAGGGCCATTCCCCCAAGTGGGCTCCAGGACCAGGCTCTCTCCTGATGCCGAGCTTGTAAAACAAGAGATCACTCTCAGCAGCCATTCTTTGTCTCCTGTCATTACAAACAACTCGAGGGCAATCCGCTGGCTTCTCGACAAGCAGATCTGTCCCTCATCTGTCAGCTGACAATCAGGCCACCATCCCGAGGCCACCGCTCGGGCTGCCGGGTGATGGAAAGCCACTTGTCAAAGGAGGGTTGATGATGTTTACTTACAAGCACTTCCTAAGCTTGAACTGAATTTCATTTGACTTTATTCAGTTTATTTTGTTGAGTCCTTTTTTTAAAACTTATTTTTTAAGTTCCAATAAACAATAGAGATCACGGAATGTGATTTCTTTTTCTAGCAAAACAGTCCTACCCTTCTGCCCTCCTTCTCTAGCATCCATTGTCTGAGAAATGTCACAAGGGGAAGAGAGGCCGGGCCTCCCTCTGAATTCTTTGCCCTTCCAGGGGTGATACGGTTTGGCTGTGTCCCCATCCAAATCTCATCTTGAATTATAGCTCTCATAATTCCCACGTGTTGTGGGAGGGACCCAGAGGGAGATAATTGAGTCATGGGGGAGTTTTCCTCCACACTGTTCTCATGGTAGTGAATAAGTCTCACGAGATCTGATGGTTTTATAAGGGGTTTCTGCTTACACTTGGCTTGCATTCTCTCTTACCTGGGTGCCTTGTTGGAAGTGTCTTTTGTCTTCCACCATGATTGTGAGGCCTCCCAGCCATGTGGAACTGTGAGTCCATTAAACCTCTTTTTCTTTATAAATTACCCAGTCTCGGGTATGTCTTTATCAGCAGCATGAAAACAGACTGACATAAGGAACTCCAAGAAGGTTCCAGGCGGGGACACTGCAGCCAGATCATCTATCAGTTTGAAGGATACAACCCCTATTTTGCTGAATGAATTTGGGTCTCCAAGCATGGAGGTGCGTACGCTAGGGCTCTACCCTAAATCCCAAACTGGAACTCTTTTGAAGGGACCTCAACATATTGAAGGTCATGGCCCTATCAATCATTCTCATATCCCCATGACATTTTCTTTATTTTGTCCTTAAGACAATTTGTATTATTTTTTATAGTGCAGAGACTAATATGCCTTTTTGTTTGAAATGGCCAGATATAGGAGGTTGTTGTCCCAGGTTTCACATCACAGATAAGTATCTTTGTTTCAACTGGAAGAAAAGGACAGGCAATGGGGGCCGGTCTTGCCCGTGATGTCCCAGGCCATTCTTGGCACCTGGAGTTGGTTTGAGTAGGACCCTAAGTCCTGGATTCTGGGAGCCTGGGCCCTGTATCATTTGCTGAGGGCAGTTAGGCATCGTCTGCTGGAAGTTGGGGTGCTCTTTGGTGGCCCATGCACAGAAGGGAATTGTCAGGCTGGAGTGAGATAAAGTGATTGTCCACCTGGTACTCACTGGCCCATAATCTATCCCTGGGAAGCTGTGTTCAGGGCTGGAAGGTCAGCTTTATTCCCTGGTCACCCATGCTCTTACTGCTTCTGAACATAAGGAACAAACAGCTCACCTTGGCCGGAGGTATAACATGTTCATGGAGGTGAACCAAATAGTTAGAATTATATACAATCATGGCTTGGCCCCTTGATGTTCATTCAAGTCAGGTAGAGGGTGCTCTAGGAGCTCACAGGTAGTGGGGGATGAAAAGTGGATGTGGGTGAGAGAGGGTTGAACACACACACGCCACACTCAGGTGGTGGGCTGGGCCAGTGAGCACCTTAGGCTGGTGCCTAAGGAAGATGTGGGAGGGGCTGAGGCAGGGAGTGGCCTGGGAGGATGATGGCTTCAGGGAGAGCTCCTGTCCACACTGCAGGGATATTTGCTGTGCTGCCCTGAGATTTCCAAAATCTAACGCTGAACTTTATCTTACTTCTCTCTTCTCCAAGACTTGAGTTTCTAAGCTTTGAACATTGTGGTGGTTTGGATGCATTTTGCAGCCATAATTTGGTGAGGATTTCTTGCCAATCTTTGTAATCATTGGAGGTCCTGGATCCCGAAGATTTAAGGGTAGGGGCCCAGACCTACCACCCAGAGTGCTGAGTGCCTGTGGAAGCAAGAAGCAGAGAAGGGGGTTGGGGCAGGGAGCTGCAGCCTCACGTGAGACACCTCTGCCCTGCTGGCTGCACCCCTCCCTTTTGTTGCCAATTCTTTACCTACTAAGGTGCAGCCAGATGGAAAGAAACCTTGAGTTTAACTCCTTTCTTGAGAGTGGCATCAATCATGTGCCACCTTTGCTAGGGAATCCGAGGGCCTCGTGAATAATTCAGAAATGCTACATAGAATACTTGTTACTCCCAAGTGTTAATGAAAATATCAAGGGAATTAATTAACAGTCAATTATATCAATTTTAGAGTTGGACATTGATTCTGATGCTGAGAGCTAAATCTGAATTTTTGCTACAGTTCCTTTTCCTAATTCTCAACTTGTCTTTGTCATTTCTAGTCAAACTTATAGGGGGGAACATGTTTGAATTATTTTCATTGCCTTGCTGTATTTCAGCTTACTTCTGATAAATAAAGATTAAAAAAAGAACTGGTCCAGTATTACATATTTTCTACAGCTGTATGTGTACATGTAGAGGTGTTATCTTGGTCTTTGTATTAAACTGCTTGGGGGAAAAGGGAGTTTCAAACTATGGATAATACATTACCAACAAAAGCGAAAAAGCAAAAATAACATGCATACTATTTGCATAGAAATGTACATATTTTACCCAGACCATCACATGGAAGAGCTCACAAGAGATGAGAAGATGGAAAAAGAAAATTGCAGGTAGTGTTTTCACCAGTTGTTGATGACAATGGGAGCATAGGAGTCTGTCCATCCTGAATGTGTGACAAGTTTTCTAGGCATTTGTTAAACTTCACATATGAAGAGATTTTTCAACCCCTCTCTGATCTTTGATATTAAGAAAAAGCATTTCATTGAAAACAGTCTTTGCAGGATTTGGCACGAGTCGTCTAGACTGCTTTATGAAAAATGACAGCTAGTAGAAAAGTAATTAAAGATGTATTTTGCTGAAAGCAAAAGTATTTTTGGAATCAATACCAACTATCTTTAATTTGCCAGTTCTTTCCACAATCATTGTGTGTTATCTGGAGGATCTCAATTCTAGAGAACGGAGGTGCCAGCCCCTTTCTGGTCTTGCTTTTACGTCCTCTGTCTGCTTCCTCACCATCCTCAAGTAAGGTTAGAGGAGGGCTGGGCAGGGAAGAAGAGGCATGGTCACTGTGGTGGAGCAGGAGCCAGTGGATCTCTCCCAGGAAAGCCAGCTGCTCAACGAGCTCCTCCCAGGGCAGCAGAGATGTTTGAAAAGTAGCAGCAATGAATCCAGGTGCAGCAAAAGAAGCGGTTGTTGGTGGTGGTAACTCTGGTTTTAAGTTGGAAACAAAAGGGGAAGGCAGCTTCATTTATGCTTTTGAGAAGTTTTGAGGCAGAAAGACAGCCCTCCTAACTCTTCTCCTCTCTTTGTTGTTGTTTTGTTTTTTTTGAGACAGTCACTCTGTCACACAGGCTGGGGTGCAGGGGTACAATCTCAGCTCACTGCAACCTCTGCCTCCCAGGTTCAGCCGATTCTCCTGCCTCAGCCTCCCAAGTAGCTTCGATTACAGGCATGAGCCACCATGCCTAGATAATTTTTGTATTTTTAGTAGAGACAGGGTTTCACCATGTTGTCCAGGCTGGTCTCATACTCCTGACCTCAGGTGATCCACTTGCCTCAGCCTCCCAAAGTGATGGGATTACAGGAGTGAGCCACTGCGCCCGGCCTCTTCACCTCTCTTTATGGGAAGCATTTGCCTTAGCTGGTTGGGAGCTCCCTGCAGGTGGTCAGGGCTACTCTTCCCATTTCTGTGCGAGATACCAGGTAAACCACATGTACTCCATATGTGCTTGGGTGTGGCTTGATTGATGATGACAAGATTAGGCTCCCAGCCTGCAGGGTCCCCTTTTTGGCCCTATTCTCCCCTTCTCTCCCTCACATATCCTTTCTTCACCTGCCTGACACTCACTCATCTTTCAGGAGTCAGCTTAGATGACACTTCCTCCAGGAAGCCTTCTTGGAATGCCTCACCACCCCAGTTGCATCTCAGAAGATCAGCTCTTTTTCCACCCAATTCCATCACGCTGTATTTGGTTAATGGTCTAACTTCCTTAGAATTTCTGGGGACAAGGGCCAGAATTTTCTCACCAATTTTCTCCCTTTCCTAGTATGGGGCCTTGTACTGTACTCCTTGTGTTTGAGGGAGTCAGAGGCAGGGGCTGAGGACAACAGACAGCATATTGTAACTGCAGTCATGTTTCTGCCATGTGTTTCTCTCACCCTCTTAGCCTACAGGTCTCTGGGTCCATGGGAGTGGTCCCAGGGTTTGAACAGACTGGCCTTTTCCAGGTCTCTCTGTGTTAGAACATGAAGGCCTCTTCCCTCTCAGCACCAGAGAAAAGCTGGGGTCAATGGGCAGTGAGCCCTCCACCACTAGGAGGACACTGGGAACCCGGCACTCGTTAGGACTGATGGGCAGGTGGATTGAGGAGGTGAGGTGACTGAGGGACTGAGGATGCCTGGGTAGCACCATGGCTTTGTGACACTTGAATCTGCCACAGCTGTGGGGCCTTCCCAGGCCACTCTTCAGGCCATAGAGCCCTGCACTGGCCACCTTCCCCTCCACAGGCCAGGGGGTGAACCCCACCGGCATGGTCGGGGGTCTGTGTGCTCTGATCCTGGAGTTGTGGGGTTCCTCTGGGGGAACTCAGAGAGCATCATACTAGAAGTGGAAGGAGGCTGAGCGCAGGGGCTCATGGCTGTCATCCCAACACTTAGGAAAGCTGAGGGGGGAGGGTCTCTGGAGGCCAGGAGTTTGAGACCAGCCTGTGCAACATAACGAGGCCCTGTCTCTATTAATTTTTTTTAATTAGCTGAGCATGGTGGCATATGCCTCTAGTCCCTGCACCTTGGGAGGCTGAGATAGGAGGATTGCTTGAGCCCAGGAGTTCAAGGCTGCAATGAGCTATGATTGTGCTATTGCACTCCAGTGGCTGGGCGTGGTGGCTCACGCCTGTCATCCCAGCACTTTGGGAGGCCGAGGCGGGCGGATCACCAGGAGTTTGAGACCAGCTTGGACAACATGGTGAAACCCCGTCTCTACTAGAAAAATACAAAAATTAGCTGGGTGTGGTGGTGCACGTCTGTAGTCCCAGCTACTCGGGAGGCTGAAGGGGAGGATCTTTTGAGCCCAGGAGGTAGAGATTGCAGTGAGCCAAGATCGCACCAATGCACTCCAGCCTTGGTGACAATGTGAGACCCTTATCTTTTCTTCTTAAAAAAATAAGAAAGAAAAAGAAGTGGAAGTCAAGAGCACCTCACCTGGCCCTCTGTTCCCTCCTAGCTAGAACAAGTCTGCTTCTACCTTCTTTGTTTCAACAAGAGTTCCTGTGACACACACACTATATATATAATTGTGAAATACATAACATATATATGTGTACACACATCATGTGGTGTATATGTGTGTATGTATAAGCACATGAACACATACAACAAACTCCCACTCATTGTTTTGCTTGCGACCACGTCTGTGCAGCAAACACATTGAGTCTTAGCACTAAAGTTGTGTCAACATACTCAAAGTCACATGTACAGCTGAGCTGAAGGGAGGGTGCTGTCATCTGGCCCAATTTTCAACGTCTGGGTGATGTGGATTTTCATTGCTTTGGATCTTAACGAGGCATTAATTTTTTTCCCTCATTGACATGCATAGTCAGACATAGTTAATCTTTGGGACACTTGCTGGTCAGATGCCTGGGATAAGTATGGATTAAGGGAATTCTGATTACCCAGAGTGCAAGGAAACTTGGGAATTCAGGCAACGAGGGGGTGTTTTTGTAGGTGGCAGAGCTGCCCGTGGCAGAGCAAGTTGTATCCAGAAAGGATTTTGATCAATGAAAGTTTCTGTGTTGGCAGCATGTGGGGTTTACTGGGAAGATGGGCCCCCTGTGTTCATGTTTGCTTTTCAAACCTGTCTCTATATAGGGGTGGAATCTGAACTCAGCCTTCCTGGGACTCTACCTTCGGCTCTGGTTTTATGGCCAGGTGCCACATCTATGGAGCAATGCTGCTGCCTCCCCATATGAAAATCCTTAATCTACTGAAAAACCCAGTCCTGGACTAGCCTGGATAGAGAGGCAGTTCTATAAATCACTATTTATCACAAACTTTATTGTTAGTGTTCCACAGTGGAATGTAAACTCCATGAAGGTATGTCTTAAAATTATTTGCAAATGAATGGCTCCTCATTGAGAAGGTTAGCTCTAGACCTCAGCCAGGATGTGTGCCTGTCACCAAGTCCTTCCTGCACTCACAGTGCCCTCCACGTTGTGCCAGGCCCTAGGTGGTCTGAGTGGAACTTGACCAAAAGGAATCTTTCCTCCAGTCTGGCCTCAGACAATTCACCCCCACTGTGTGGGGTAGGATGGATGCTCTTAGGTTTTCTGCCATGATCTGATGTCTTAGTAGAGCTGTATGCTCCTGGATTTCAGTCTTGCCTTTCCCAGAGACATTCTCTGCTGTCATAAAAGATCCTTCCTTTCTCTCACACACAGCATCAGTGATGCTACTTCTACTTGAGGGAGGTGTGGTGTCCTCTAACTTCAATTCTAAAGTCAGCCTGTTGGGCTTGGTTAAAAAGGTGCTTTAGCCCTTCTTGGGGAGAATGGAGACTCTCATTGGAGATCCTTGTGTTGGAGGAGGATGTGAAAGTGGATTTTAAAGTTAAATATATGTATTACTTTGTAATCTAGCAAATTGACTTCTTGGCATATCTTCCTTGTACTTTCTTGGATACGTGAAGGCAGATACAAGAATATTTATTGCAACATTTTTGTAATAGTGAAAAATTGAAAACAATTTACATGTCCATTAATATAGGAACAAATAAAACTGAATGCAGCCATACTAAAGAATCTTATGCAGCAATTAGAAAGCATGAGATAAATCTATATGTATTAATATGGATACGACTTCAATGGATATGGCAAGTGAAAAAAAAGCATGCTATGGATAGCTACACTGGTTTCATGAAGTTTATGTTAAGAGAAATAAAGAATAAATAAATGATTTTGTATTTTCTATAAGAATATATATTTTCATATATTTGTAAATGATTACAAAAGGCCTAAGAGTCTACACCCCAAGTGGATTCCAGTAGACACTTTTTAGGAAGGAGAAATAGATTTGCAGAGGTGGACAACAGGTATAGACTCTGTTGTTTCATACATACATATATATATATATATATATATATAGTAAGTGTCTGGGTGCAGTGGCTCACACCTGTAATCCCAGCACTTTGGGAGGCCGAGGTGGGCGGATCACCATGAGCTTGAGACCAGCTTGGACAACATGGTGAAACCCCATCTCTACTAGAAAAATACAAAAATTAGCTGAGTGTTGTGGCGCACACCTGTAGTCTCAGCTACTCGGGAGGCTGAAGGGGAGGATCCTTTGAGCCCACAAGGTAGAGATTGCAGTGAGCCAGGATTGCACCACTGCACTCCAGCCTGGGTGACAATGTGAGACCCTGTCTCAAAAAGAAAAAAAAAAAAAGAAGTGTATCTTCTTGAGAAATTCAACATTCTATAAGAGTTCAAAGAATTCAACCTGTCTTCAAGTTTACTCTACATACAAATCTTTGTCCTGTCCTCCAGAGGACTGAGGCTTTAAGTGACAATTTGTGCAGCATGAGCTGTGAGTGGATTTGCTGTGAAAGAGAGAGAAGATTAAGACAAGCCTTTGCCTTCCAAAGCAAAATGTTTAGAGAAGGAACTAAGACTTATGCCGAGGAAATAGGGGGCAGAGAATCCCAGAGAGGTGCAGGGCAGGAGGGTAAGGGATCCTTCTCCCCAGCCTGGCCCCTGGACTCCTCTCACTGCTGGTTCACCAGCTCCCCAGGATGGGACTCACCTTTGGGCTCTCTGTGCCTGGGAGCCACTCCCAGTGATCTCCTCAGACCACTTCTTCCGTTAAAGCATGGATTAGTCTGTGATCCCTGGGTCCAGAGGATGGAATGGTGGGTTATTGGGAAGGGCAGGAGTTTCTGGGAAGGTTTCCAAAGGGGAGGTTGCACGGAGCCTGTAGGGACATCTTTGTTGGAGCAGGTCTGCATTCTGGGGGAGAAGCCTGGAACAGTCAGGGATGTAGTGGCATGTGATTTATGGCTAAGACACACGCCTTGTCTACCAGCCAGTGGTTTTGCTTTCAACAGATCAAGGTGGCCTTGCCACCTAAGCATTTAGCGAAACCCTCTTTCTTGTACCAAAAGCCTGGCTATGGCCCCTCTGCTGCTGGAGCTGGATTGGGGTCAGGGCTTCCTGATATTTGACTTATAGAAGGTTCACCAACTCAAATGCACTAGGGGACAGATAACAGATGCTGGCAAGTGCCCCTTAGAGAGAGGTAGAGACTGGAATAAGCACACACCCTCTAAATACACACAGCCGAAAAATTGCCTACCATTCCATCCAAAAATGCATGCCATCGAGCCAAATTTCCCATGTTGTGAATCCTGGTTAAAGGGGAGCTAGTGAAGGGCACAGAATCAAGGTTTGTGGAGTGTTGGAGTTGATTGCTGGTCTCATTACTAAGTGACACTGACAAGCACCTAACCCTCCTCCTCCTGCTGCACGAGCCTTGGTTCCACCTGCAAAATGCAGCAGGAACACAGCTGAGCCACAGGGCCGTGGTGAATGATTGTGACCAGGTGATCCAGTGTGGAGCGTGCCTTGCCCTAAGAAAGGAATTACACTGTGCTTTGCTTGAAACCAATAAACACGCAGTCTTTCATGGCCTCACTCCTCTTACATCAGCTGAAGCCAACTGCTAACTCTCTGCCTCATTTTCACTTCCTAATGAAGGGAAATCTAATATCAGCTTTAGGCTGGACGTGGAAATAACCTAGCTCCTCCGATGTGAGGAGCGGGTGGAGGAGCCGCGGCTCGGCTCCTGCAATCCTGCTGCATTGTCTGCCATCACCGCTGGGGGCGTGGTAGGGGAAGAAATGGTGCTTAGCCTGTGTCCTGGTCCCCATGCAGTTGGGAGATGGCTGGAACCCCTTCCACCTCCTTCAGCCGAGACTTCTTTGCACCATCCAAAAGGGTTAGGACTCCCCTCCTCACCATGCGGAGAAAACTTTGGGCGGCTGACCCCAACTCTCCTCACGCACAGCCAATCTCCTTCCAATTCTTTCATCAGCGTTGGGACTGTCAGCTCAAACCTGACAAGTGACAAGTCTCGGGCTCATGCTGACTAGATAATCAAAGTCTTGTCAGGGCTGTCAATACCCTGCAGATAGGAGAGGACAAAGGGAGGAAAGGTTTCTACAGAAACCGCTGCCTTCACACAAACGCTGTCGAAGCCTCTTACCCAAATCACCTGTTTGTCCCTAAACGTCATTTACTGCTGAATCTATGGGCTCAAAAGCACAAACCCTGAAAATGAAATAATAGCCTGATATTATACATAGAAAATGCAAATTTTTCTATTTTGTGGACGATTATCTTGTAATATACCATCTAAGAAATGCATACGTGTATTTTTTGGTAACAATCGCAGTAACTTGGTGGAAGAGATTTTTTCCAGTAAAAAAAAAAATACATAAAAAATCTAAACTGAAATATGCCAATTATGTAGCATAGACTTACCTGTGTTGCATCTTTCTGGTAACACAAGTAAATGAAGTATGTATTGCAGCATCTAATAGATGCAGTCGCACAGGTGCATAAATGTCCTCCAAGACCCCACTTTGGTCTCGCTAGCAAGGATATGCAGGTTGGTGAGCTAACAGCCTTTACCTGAGAGTGGTGGCCCCTTGTCCATCTTCATCCAGACACCAGCAGAGACTGACATAGGCCAACCAGTCTGTGAAGAGGAAGAGGATGTCAGGGTCTTAAAGCCAAGGGCTCAGGGAGAACAGGGGTTCTGGCATGAGCCCCGTTTCCTCTCCTCTCCTCTTTCCACACCCAGGTCAGTGTCTAGCCTTCACCCTCAAATCAAAGCCTGTTGTCTTTGTAAAAGGGCTCCTGTTCAGTGATACTAAGCCAGCTTCCTTCCCTGGACTGGTGGAGCCTCCGGTAAATGCAGGTTTAAACGTGAGTGTGCAGATGACATTTCTTGGTAGAGAGATGGCCCCTGGAGAGGAGACTTAGAGCCCTTCTTGGGCCTGTGCCTTGGCCTGGGTCAGTTCGTCCTGGGAGCACTTGGTCTGGCTGCCCTGGCTTAACCAGGGGAGAATGGTGGGCCCCTGTCAAGGCAACTGCTGAGGGAGGCTGACCCCTTTTCACTGGAACAAACCAACCGCCTCTCCTGGCACCGGAGCTCCTGTGCACCAGCCTCCCACCCCCTACCTCACCTCCCCCTAGCTTTTCCTCTCCAACCACTGTGGTTATTCCTTTTGTTTCAGACGATGCCTATGTGGACCCACCCAGGATCCCTGCACTTGCTGGTGCCTCTCTTCCCTCCTCCTGGCGAGGTCTCAGCAGGGATGTCTCTTCTCTTCTCTGGTCAGCTCCTTAGCGGTCCCAGCGTCCCAGAGCCAAGGTACCCCTCCCTCCCTGCCACTCTCATTGATGGCCCTTTTTGAGCATCTTGGCAACACTGACAGCTCTCTGCAATGTTCTTGCTCCTGAGTTCGCTTCCTTGTTTATTACCTCCCCTTCGCAGAGGCACACAACGCAAGTCCAGCGGGGCAGGGGCCTTGTCCTTTTGCTCTTTGTCCCTTGCTGTTTCCCAGCATCATGGCAGTGCCTAGAAGGTGGCGGATGCGGAAAGATGACGCCTCTGCCTGTGGCTGGAGTTAGGGGCTGAAGACACTGGGAACTCCTGCCTGTCGGAGGATGCACAGGGAGCTTCTCACCCCAGGGAGGGCCACGGGCATCTTGTCTGTGAAGTTGGAACTGAGTTTGTCTCCAGGCCTCAGGGACTTCTCATGCAATCTTATCTACTGTGTGGGCCCCAATCCTCACCCCAAGGGAGCACTGTGCATCCTTAGTGCTCATTGCTGCATCTCCCTTCAGATGCTCCTGGGGGAGAGGTTCAGGAAAAGGTCCAGTACCCATCACAGCAGGTATCATCTGCTTCTTCACATTGCCCACCCTGCTCCAAGGCCTGCGCTAGGTCTGGGGCTTATGAATAGAAATAAGGCTCTATCCCTGCCTTCCAGCAGCTTATGGTTTAGCGAAAGAGACAGGCACATAAACGTGTGAGAGATTACAGCGTGGTCAGGTAGAAACAATGAGGAAGGGCTCACACTCAGCATGGAATATCAGGGAAGACTTCCTGGAGGAGGTGACACTTGACCTGGAATTAGATTTCAGAATGAAAGCTAAATAGAAAATGGGCCAAAACCTTCTTGGCACAACAATAATAATGGAGTGTGTCTTTGTGGGTGCCACACCTGGGTTGCATCTCTCAGAGGCTGGTGAAATCTGTAAGCACCTACACTGCGGTGGGAAAGGCTTGGTTCTTATGCAGGAAGTGTCACTTCTCAGACCACAGTGCTTTTGATTCCTGTGGTTCTGCATTCATCAGGAGCAGGTGAGGCAAAGCTCTCTGCTTCAGCCCTTCCTGCTCAAGGCCCTGCCTGAGTCGCTCTTTCTCTCTGGTACTTCTGCAAAGTTTTTTTTGAAAGCTCCTCTTTTCTTCATTGCTCTGTCCTTTCCCAGCCAGTACTTTAATTCCCCCAAAGCTAAAACTGACTGTGTCTCTCCCATCTGCACCAGCAATTACTCTGGCCTTGCTTTTATGGTGCTGGGGATGGCAGGATTTCTTCCTGAAATATCGCTCACCATCCCCAGGCCCATCAAATTGCAGGCGGCCATATTTAGAAGGGATTCGGAGTGGGAACAAGGGGTGTGCGTGAGTGTGGAAGCCAATATTCCCCTGTCTAATTTATATTTTACATTTCTGTAAAATCATGCTTAGAGTATTTTGGTAATCTCTGCAGAGATTAAGTATAATGCTGTACATTTAATTGATATAAGTGGTTTCAATTCTCCTTAATATGACAAATCTCCAGTGTGAAATATTCTTTGTTAATGATCAACATAAAATAGAGTTCATTTTTAATGTGAGCACAAGATTTGAATTAATTTGTAGCTAAAGCAGGGTTATTAAATTTTGTGTGCATTCTGTGCACAGGCACACGTTCGGTCATACATGTGGACCAGGGCATACATGCACGTTATGGGTAACGATGTGAGGTGTGTGCCCCTTCTGGTCTGAGCTGAGGCTGTCTATCCTTCCTCTCTCCCTTTGTCTTAGAAGCAGTACAAGAAGGGGCTGCCCCACTGGGGTCTCTATCTCTGCAACTCCTTGGTCTTTGGTACAAAGGGAGCTTCCTGGTGTCCTGGGTTGTCTGGCCTGAGCCTAGAAGCATGGCAGGTGTCCTATCAAAGCTGGACAGAGTCTGCACAAGCCATAGCAAGGTCATCTCCTCCTCCCAACTGTGTTTCTGACACAGCATTTACTGGTCTGAAAATTAGCATATTGCTTTACATTATAAAAACCATATGATGGTTAACATCATCCAGGAGAGTTCAATGAAAGTTTTGAGTTGAAAAAGTTTCTTGCAAAGTCATGTCCAGGGAGAAGGCCCCGGAGCAGAACCCCAGCAGTGCTGATCAAAGCCAAGAGGTTTGCATTCCCTAACCTCAGCTGAATTCAGGGCACATATGGGCAAGTGTGCCTTCCCAAGACGCCTGAGTTAGGGAGCATTTACAGAAAGCCAGGGCCATGATCTTTGGCTCTCAGATCCAAGGTAAGGGCACTCTCAAAAACCACAACTGCCTCCGTCAGAGGCGTTCGAACCAGTGCGGCTCCATCTTGAACAGGGGCTGGGTGAAATGAAGCTGAGACCTATTGGGCTGCATTCCCAGGAGGTTAGGCATTCTATGTCACAGGATGACATACGATAGGAGGTCGGCACAAGATACAGGTCATGAAGGCTTTGCTGATAAACTAGCATGCTGTAAAGAAACCAGCCAAATCTCACTAAAACTAAGATGGTGACGAGAGTGACCTCTGGTTGTCCTCACTGCTCATTATACACTAATTATAATGCATTAGCATGCTAAGAGACACTCCCACCAGTGCCATGACAGTTTACAAATGCCATGGCAACATCAGGACGTTACCCTATATCGTCTAAAAAGGGGAGGAACCCTCAGTTCCAGGAATCACCCACCCTTTTCCTGGAAAACTCATGAATAACCCATGCCTTGTTTAGCAAATAATCAAGAAATAACTATAAGAATCCTTAGTCCAGCAGCCTAAGCTGCTGCTCTGCCTATGGAGTAGCCATTCTTTTATTCCTTTGCTTTCTTAATAAGCTTACTTTCACTTTATGGATTCACCTTGTATTATTTCTTGCATGAGATCCAAGAGCCCTCCCTTGGGGTCTGAATTGGGACCCCTTTCCAGTAACACCTCCTCTGCTTTGAGATAACAGAGGGTAATTTTCCTACAACTGTTAACAGAGAAAGGGGGGAAATAAAAGCTTCAGGGACAAGTGCCAAAGTGAATTTGAATATCGTATAAACCGTGCCTGGGATGAGGCAGCAACTTGCAGGAAACATCTGTTCCGACTGGACCCTCCGCTCCTCCTTGCAGCTGGAACACAGAGCTAAGACTCCTTAAACTTTTCCTTTGTGATGCAACCCATGGTGGGGAGACAGCTTTCAATATGCAAGCTGACCATGCAGCTCTTCAATATTTCCAGTTTGTAGCCACCTTTTTAATGATGATGGGAACTGAATCCCAAAAACAATGAGACCTCCCCACGTGCTCCTAGAGACAAGGCAGGGGTGCAGGAGGCTGCACTTAGGCATGTTAAATTTCTATTGGCTTAAGCAGCTGCAGAAACAATCTTTAATCACGTATACAATATTATTGGTGACACCGTGCAATAAAAGGGCTGAATGCTTCATTTTTCTAGATTTCCTTTTATATTTCAAAATCGCTTTTCTTTCAAATTATTGTTATCTTATACATTTACTTAAAAGGAATTACTTATGGCTTCACTTTTTTTTTTCTTTTGTTGGCTGACCATTCCTTTTTTAAATTACCACCTCACAGGGACTGCAGACTTTCAAACACTTTGCATATGAAATGAAAGGCTTGAGTGTATTATGTTGCAATTTTTAAGAATGGCATAATTTTAATTAGAAATGTATAGATGAATAAAAATAATGCTGCTGCACGTTACTAATTAGGTATTTTATTACTCTTTGATTTAAAAAAGAAGTATACCTGGTTCTAAGGAGGCAGTGCCATCAGCTTGTTTGAAGCTCCTGGAGAGGAAAAGGGCATGAGGACCGGTGGGGTCATGGTGAAGGGAGGTTGGGGGACCTCTCCCGTGGGAAAGGTTGGGATTGAGAAGGAAACATGTGCCCAAAAAAAGACAAATGAAGAGATACTGCTGAGTGCTGTGAAAATGATCTCTCTTTGAAATCAGTCAGCAGCAAACACTCTACCATTCTGAGCATCTCACCCCTCTGCTAAGCTATTATCCAGGTAATACTATCCTCACTGAAGCTTTTTTCCCCTTGAAATTTATAGATAAATAAATAAGGGGCTAGCTCTATAGCACCTGCTGTCTGCTTCAAAAGGAGTCTGTCTTTTGTGTTTAAAGCAGAGACATGTATGATATGTGATTGTCACCTCAGGGCAATCATTTTTCCCCTGGTTTCCTGGTTGGCTCAGGTGAGGGTATTCTCCCCAAGCTCAGCTGTGAGCTCTCAGCAAGGCTGGAAACCTGTAGCTCTGCGTTAAGTCCCTGACCCTGCCTGCCATGCTACCACGCTCCACCTGAGCTGAAGATAGTATGATTCAGCTGTGGCTTTGTCAGACGCATTTGAACCAGAGCAACTCCATCTTGTATAGACACTGGGTAAAATAAGGCTGAGCTACTGGGCTGCATTCCCAGGAGGTTAGACATTCTAAGTCACAGAATGAGATAGGAGGTTGGCACAAGATACAGGTCACAAAAACCTTGCTGATAAAACAGGTTGTGTAAAGAAGCTGGTCAAAACCCACCAAAACCAAGATGGTGATGAGAGTGACCTCTGGTTGACCTCACTGCTCATTATATGGTAATTATAATGCATTAGCATGCTAAGAGGCACTCCCACCAGCGCCATGACAGTTTACAAATGCCATGGCAACGTCAGAAAGTTACCCTATACAGTCAAAAAGGGGAGGGACCCTCAGTTCTGGGAATTGCCCACCCTTTCCTGGAAAACTCATGAATAATCCACCCCTTGTTTAGCATATAATCAAGAAGGAACAATAAATATAAGCAGCTGAGCGGCCCATGCTGCTGCTCTGCCTATGGAGTAGCCATGTTTATTCCTTTACTTTCTTCATAAACTTGCTTTCACTTTACTCTATGATTTGCCTTGAATTCTTTCTTGCACGAGATCCAAGAGCCTTCTCTTGGGATTTGGATCAGGACCCCTTTCAGGTAACAGCTTGATGGTTCAGTTAGTGCTTTTGGTTGCTGACATGGTAAAGCTATGGACCTCCCACTGGTAGGAAGGCTCCTCTCTGGGATGGTGGGTGAACGTGAGCAGATCACGGCTGATTCTCTACTTCAACTGCCTTTGCAGCCAGGAGGACCCATGGTGAGAGGCCGTGGCTGTGGTCAAGGACCTCTGTGCCCAAGCAACAAGGCACATTTCCTAGACTGAGCAAGAGCAGTCTTTGCGTTGGCCCTGCCAGATGTGTGTGGTTTGCATATGGTCAGGGCAGACCCTCCATCCTGTAAGAAGCATAGATTTCTTCTAACTTGCCCAGTTCTGAGCTATCACAATCACTCTCATCTGTGTCGCTGAGCTCTGCTCGGCAAGTGTGGTTCCTCCCAAAGACATCTCACCAGGCTGCACCAACGAATGCTAAGTCCATATACTTAGCAGCTTCGGGCTACCAACCTTGGGTTGGTCTTCCCTGAGCCCCTGCATCTGGAGCCAGGTGCACTGGAGGAATTATGGGGTTAATAGAGGAACTTCCAGAGTGTGGAACTTCTGCAGAGGGGCATCTTCCAAGAAAAGCAGAGCGGCTTCCCCCATTAGGAATGGTTTGTGGCCAGGAATCTCTGGGCTGTCACATCCAATTATGCAGCCTACTAATCAGCAGAGAACTTGGGAACATCCTGACTGGGGAAGTCGGCATCTGTTCTAAATCTTGCCCTCGGAGCAGGAGCAGTGCCAAATACCACAAAGACTGCTTAGCTGGGTACAAAAGATGCTGTCAACAGGCCAGAAATGGAAAGAAGTCCTGATTTGATTTGAATGAACTATTTTTTTTAAATGGGATAGGGAAAAAAAAGTAATTGAATTACCTCCAATAAAAATAAGCTCCCACATTCTTTGAGAAAAAAAAATATACACAAGTTGTGTCTGGTTAGAAATAGAGATATTCACTGCTTTGGTTTCCAGTATAAGTAGCAAAATTCATGACCTCCTCACTCGGGTAATAGTTTTAAAAAGCTGTTTCTTTGAGACTGCTTGGCAGGTGATGTATATTTCCCCAAACCTAGGCTCTAACCTACTTTGTCAAACATGTCAATCATTTCTTCTTTCAGCAATAGCTAACCAGGGGACATGGCACACTAAGAGTGACAGTTGCCTGTGCATTTCTGTGGTGTGAGGTTGCTTTGTGCCTCAGTGTGGTCCCTAGCAGAGGAATGAACCCCTTCTCCATCATTGGCCTCACTTTTCCTAACTTTGGCTTATTATTTTGGTCAATAGACTTTTTTTTTTTTTTTTTTGAGACAGAGTCTCACTTTGTCGCCCAGGCTGGAGTGCAGTGGCATGATCTCAGCTCACTGCAGCCTCCACCTCCTGGGTTCAAGCAATTCTCCTGTTTCGGCCTCCCGAGTAGCTGGGACTACAGGCATGCACCCCCACGCCCAGCTAATTTTTGTGTTTTTAGTAGGGGCAGGGTTTCACCACATTGGTCAAGCTGGTCTTGACCTCCTGACCTCAGGTGATCCACCCGCTTCGGCACTGGGATTACAGGCATGAGTCACGACGCCCGGCCGGTCTGTGGACATCTAACAAGAAAAACAAAAATTTGTTGAAAGCCTTGACTTGGGTTAAGGCTCTGTGCAGTTGCTGGAAGACCACATTGGCAGAGGGTCATGATGGAGCTCATAGGCTACTTGATGAGATAAAACATTCCTGTTTGCAAACTCTCGTAACAATACAAAGGACAAAGGGTGGCTGCATGGGATGGTTCATCCCAGGAAAGGGATGGAAATTATGATCTGCAAACGTTCAGAGAAAGGCAGAGTTGGGATGGTCAGGAAGGTCTTCAGAAATGGGATTTGAAGGGTAGGTAGAATGTAGCAAGCTGAGAAGGAAGTGGGCATGGCTATGAAGGTTGTGTGCTGTGTTCACCCACAAGGCTCCTTGAGAAGGTATTAGTTAAAAAATACTCTAGTTACATGATTTCCAACTTTTCAGTAATAATCACAATAAGCCTGTAGTAAAGTTCTAATGGCATTGGTTCCTGGACCTGGTTATATGGCCAGCTTCTTGGTTCCTATTAGCATAAATAAGCTGCACATATGGAGATGAGGTTGCATGACTTGATGATTTCAGTCAATAAAAAGGCACTGGAATGGACTTTCTGGTTTCTTGATTTGTAAAGAAGGGCGTGGCATGGACCAGGGGCCATAGCAATGATCTCCACTCTTTATGCAGGGCACACACACGGGGTGAGAAGAGCTCCAGTGTCCTGTCCTAGGCATTGGCAAGCCAGAGGCACTGGGGAGGGCTGGCCTGTCTCTGGTCTTCCCTGGTTTGCATTGACATGTTGGTTGGCTGCTTTCATATGGGGACATGGAGTCTGATAGCTACATTGCTTCTTTACCCCACATAGGGCTTTGGGATCTTTTCAGAAGCTACTGCAAGAGACTGGGCCATGGGCTGACCCTCCCTAGACTTGAAGACATTGCCCTGCTTTTCAGTCTGTCTCTTTCTCCCTCCTTGCTTTGTTGTTCTAAGACCTCTTGTTCCAAGAAGTTCACATCTTTTCACATCTCTGTCCCAAGCACCCAACATACACTGGACAGGGGGATTTTTTTTTAAGAATTTCAACTCTTATTTTAGATTCAGGGGTACAAGTGTAAGCTTGTTGACACGGTTATACACATGATACCGAGGCTTGGGGTATGATTGAAACTGCGACCTAGGTAGTGAGCATGATGCCCAATAGGTAGTTGTCAACCCTTGTCGCCCTCCCTCCCCCTTCCAATCACTCCCAGTGTTTATTGTTTTCATCTTTATGTCCTTGTGTACCCAATGTTTAGCGCCCACTTATGAGTGAGAACATGCAGTTCTCATAACTGCATGCAGGTTTTCTGTTCCTGCATTAATTCACTTAGGATAATGGCCTCCAGCTGTGACCATGTTGCTGAAAACGATATGATTTCATTCCTTTTTATGACTGCATAGTATTCCATGGTGTGTATGCGCCACCAAAAGCCTCATCCAAACCATAATGATTTCAAAAAGAGAAAGCAATGCCGGCCCCTTCCGATAAGAAGGAATCAGCACAAGAACTCTGGCAATGAAAAAGATCAGAATGTTTTCCTACCTCTAAAGGATTGCACGAGCTCCCCAGCAGTGGATCCTACAACCAGATTTAAATGTCTGAAAAGTCAGGCATAGAATTCAGAATCTGGAAGGCAAGGAAGTTCAGTGAGATTCAAGAGAAAGTTGAAATTCAATCCAAGGAAGCCAGAAAAACCACAAAGGTCTTATGTTTCTGAGTGGCAGAAAGAGAGGCTGACCCCAGGTTGCTTCTACTTTCAGCCCTGCAACTGTCCCAATATAGAGACCACTCAGGAGCTGAAATACAAACTCACATCCAGTTAAACAATTCTCCCATCCATGTCTGAGTCACCTCCCTGGATTTTGTCCTGTAGTTTTATGTACCCTGCGCTTCTCTATGTTCTTTATCAAGCCTGTCCTCCAGGTAATCAATTGATGCAATGAGTGATTAGCAAGCTGCTCTTCACACTAGCATCCACAGACACCAGTGTCTCTTCCTGGGGCCTTCTCCCTGAGGACCAAAGCCAGGACCTTCTTGGAACACACCACTTCCCATGCAGCCTTTCTTGGTGCTGTCTCTGTGTTTCTCACAACCCACAGATCATGGTTTTGGGAAACAGTTATTGAGACATCATAGATTGCCGTCACTACTTCTGGAAAATTAGGACCCTACTCCTTTGTTTATAAAATGAAAATAAAATCCTGTTCCATCCATGGCCCTGCCACTGAGCTACAGCACTCTCATTCCCTGCTGGTCACCATCTCTACCTCTGGATCATGCCATCTCTGTCATTGTAGACTTCAGCTCTTTGTTCAGTTATCTCCATTACCCAGATTCTTCCCAGGACTCCATGTGAATTTGGGATTCTGTATGAATGCTCAGCGCAATGTATGATCCTTTTATCACCTCAATACCCTGCACTACAATGGCCATTTTTTCCACCCAGCCCTTGACTACCAGTCCTTACAGATGTACCGTCCTTATCTCTAACTCCAGCCTCTTGATTTCCTAATGAGCTTGCTTCATTCCTTGGGTCATCATTGTGGTTGGACCTTAGTGAGGTTTCCAGCCCGCTGAGTCCTGCCTTTCTTTCTGTCATTCTTCTCCAGAGCTCTCTCACTCCCTCCCCCAGCTTTGATTCTAGAGCTCGTCATTTAATAATCTTTTTTGTGGTTTGTCTTTAATGCCTTTGGCCCAGGAAAGGCCCTAATACCAGAAGAACCTCAGTGTTAATGTCTCTTGTTCTTATAAGCACAGCTGAGTCTTGCTAGAGAAAAATCACAAAACAGGACAGAGTGGTGGTCGAACAAATGTTGCACAGCAAAGGCAGCTTCATTTGGGCCCCAGCTCTTTTCCACAGCCTGTTATATTTGAACAGTAAAGTTTAGCTACTACCCTATCACACAAATTATTCTTGCTGAGGTGACTCACAGCCTGTTGGATAAATGACACTAACATGTCAGTCCAGCCCTTTGCCATCTCTCACAGAAGCCCAGTCTGCGGCAGAATTATCTCACCACCCTCCAGTCCACTATCGGAGTCCTAGAGAATGTTCACCAGTGTTTTCCTGTATTTTCAGGCAAAGTATTTCACCTTACAGCAAGTCCAGAGGATGGCAGAGATTCACAGTGGCTTCTCTTACTGACCTAACCTGTCGCTGAGCTCTGTCTATAGGAACTGTGCCAGACAGCTCGGTTCTCCTGCTCAGTGATCCCTCCTGCTCTCCTGCTGGGTCCTCGAGTGGACTTGTTCTCTTCTTCCCTCTTGAATTTAGGCATGGCTCTTTGATTATGTCTGACCCCTAGGCTGTGGCCAGAACACTATTACTCATGCTGGTCCTTGCAGATCCACCCCTCTTGTGCCATGACATGCACTGCAACAGACTTTGAGATGGAGCCCCCATCAGCCAGGGTCCCTGGAGAGTACGATGAAAGAGCCCCCTGCTAATGTGCATAAATGGGGAGTAAGAGCAAGAAATATATTTATCTTATTCTTCTATTTCGGTTTTTTGTTACTGCAGCATAACTTAGCCTAACTCGACAGATCCAGAAGCTGCAAAAGTTGACCCTTGAACGGTGTCACAGGTGTCAATCCTATGACCCATTCTGTTGCCAAAGACCCTTAGCGCTCCCTACTGCCCACTCCTCCCCTGGGGTCCCCCTTCTCTTATGTCTCTCTTATAGCCTGAGATGTCAATCATTCTCTCCTCTGTCTGCCACGCTGATGATGGTCTTTGAGGAGGGATAACAAGGATCAGTTGAGAGAAGAAACAGAGCAAAATTAGGGCTTAGAGCCCAGCTGTCAATCACAGGGATGTCTGGTGCAGGAGACAGAGAGCTGCTGTGGGCACCGTGGCCCCTCCAGTGGGGGCCCACAAGGTGAAGCAGGACTGGAGCAGGGAGTGACGCTGAGAATGAGTGGCATCGCCTCTGGGGGAGCTTGCACACCCCTCCCCTCCCAGTGTTCCCCCTCCCACCCCCCCCGAGTCCTTGAAAAGGGCTTCCGTGGCCTGTCTCCACCCCTGCTCTTATTTGCCATCCTCCAAAGAGAAGCTATTAGCCTAGGTAAACACTCCCTCTCCCGAGTGACTTGATCTCTGTACTCCCTGATTCAGTTCCTTTGCAAGGTAAATAACTATAAATACTAAAACATGTCAATAGCTTTATTAATAAATGACTTCTGGCTATCTTAGAGATTCTGTGCTGTGGGCTTTTTCACGTATTTTATGTGGCTTAACCATTGCTGGCTGAAGGATGGCTGGAATCTGTCTAGCACATCAGAAATCACAGTACTTAGACTCCCCAAAATGTTGGCCATTCACGGTGTTAATGCTTTTTTTTCTTGGTATAATTTTTTTTTTCATTTAATTTGGAGCTCACGTAGCTTATACCCCAATGTCAATACCATAAGGCACAGTGATTCAGTCATGCCCATGCCCATCTTAGCGTTAGAATTTTAAACTTTCGAACCCTAACTTCTCATCAGAATGAAGCCTAATAAATCCTCCTCCCAAGAGCATTTTCAAAAATCCTGTGATAAAATACACTTATTTCTCATTTGCAGTTAACTTGAAATAATTTTCATATTTTTTTCCCAAAACTTTATCCTAGTCATTTTTTTCGGGAATTATCAAGTTTTCTTCAAGAAAACTGAGAATTGCAATTCTTAAAACCAAGTCAATTTTCTAGATAATGCTTTCTGAAAATCTAACTCAATGTATCTTTTTGTCTTTTTGTCTGGTTTTGAGTCTCATTTTAGAAGAAGGCCTCCAAGGAACAAGAGTTTCAAAATTTTCCAGAATGAGATTCTCTATTTTTCTTGTGGATTTCCCAAGATCCATATGCAGCCTTGGAGCAAACACTGTGAGCCCCATGGTTTTGACCTGGGCAGGTGGGTCTGTCTTCAATGCTCTGGGCAAGTCTCTGGCTACGCAGAGCTCCGGTTGGAAGTGCAGAGCTCTGACCTGAACTGCACATTGTGGATGTTGTCTGATCTCAGTAGCAACACTGACAGCGTTCTCAGACACTCACATTTCTGTAGGCAAAGGGAAACTCTTTCTCCAGTGTTTCCTCTGAAGACACTAAGCTGCATCGATGTTTTCTCTTCTTCTTTCCCATTATCCAGCAGGTTACCCTCAACCTCCTCCCAAGAAAGGAGACTGAATGGAGCACAGAGTTGACCACGTCAGACTCACCTGCGGGTCCTTCAGTTACTAGCTCTGCTCTGTAGTGACTCTCCCTAGAAGGCTGGCAGGGGGCAGGTGCCATGAGCTGCCTCTGTCTGGGAGGTAACAGATCTGACTTATGCCATTAAAGGACACTCTGGTGGATGGACAGATAACTGGGAGGCAGTGGCAAGAGGGGAAGCAGAGAAGTCAATCAGGAGGCTATGGCCATAGCCCAGGTGGAAGATGGTGGTGCCAGACTTAGTGGGATGGTGAGGAATTTAGAGAGGAGGAGAAGGATGCATTGATTCAAGGGGAACTTTGATATAAATGGCATGAACTTCCTTGCATAGACTAAGTGTGGGTGTGACGGGGAGGTAGGAATTAGGTGTGTCCTGTAAACTTTTGGCTTGACCAGCAGGGTACGTGGTAATGTTGAGATGGGGAAAATTGGGCAAGAGATAGGTCTGGGTGGAAATAAGTGTTCTAGTTGGTCATGAAGGATTTGTGAAGCTGACAGTGATATTTGTAGCAGAGAATCCAAATAGGTAGTCACCTGCGACACCTGGGGCTCATAAGAGAGATCAGATCTAGAGATCTAGAGGCACTCTCAAATTGATGAGATTCAAGTCCTTGAACTGGCTGAGAGAATGACAAGAGGGAATAGAATGTGAGTACAGAGTTAGCTTGAAGATAATAGTTATTCATTTAAATATTACTGTAGTCTTTTATTTATTTATTTATTTTTTAGAAATGGGGTCTCACTGTATTGCCCAGGCTGGTTTCAAACTCCTGTCCTGGCTTCAAGTGATCCTCCTGCTTTGACCTCCCAAAGCGAATAGAATTACCAACATTTTAGTCTTTAATTATAGGAGACATGGCTCATTTTCAAAATATTGATCAATAAAATGGAGTTCCCTTTGGACCAACCCTAAATTCCTGTCCTATTTTCATATTTATTCACCATAACCAGCATTGCATATACCTCCTTTTGGACCTAAAATGGAGTACATACATTTATATGAACATCTAGATATATTTAAATAGCATATTTCCATAGAGTACTGTCTTTTATTTTCATTAAATATGTATCTTAGAGATCTTCCCATGTCAATACATATAGATTTAACTTGGTGTTTTAGGGTGTGCTACTTGATATTTTATAGAAATATATATTTAATAGAGATAGGGTCTTACTACTTTGACCAGGCTGGTCTCGAACTCCCGACCTCAAGCAATTCTCCCATCTTGGCCTCTCAAAGTGCTAGGATTGCAGGTGTGATCCACCACCACTGGCCTGTTACTCCATAGAATTAATGTGCTACAGTTTACCTAACATTTCCCCTACTGATGGACATTCATATTGTTTCTAATGTTGCGCTTTGCATTCCAACATCTAGAGTTTGTGCGGAGGTCGTGTGGAGCTCATGTGGAGATGGAGGGCCACCAAAGGACCCTGAGATAGACAGTGTGACTAGAGAGGAGGAGGAGGAAAAAGAGGAACATTTACAATTCTGGAAGCCAAGAGTTGAGAGTATTTTGGAAAGAGGAAGGGGTCGAATATTTTGAACACCCACGAAAGGTTAAAGAAGTTTAAGATCTAGAAGTATCCATTGAATTGGGGAACATGGAACTCAATGTTGACTTGTCAAGACTGGATTAGGAAAATGTGGCACATATACACCATGGAATACTATGCAGCCATAAAAAATGATGAGTTCATGTCCTGTGTAGGGACATGGATGAAGCTGGAAACCATCATTCTCAGCAAACTATCGCAAGAACAAAAAACCAAACACTGCATGTTCTCACTCATAGGTGGGAATTGAACAATGGGAACACATGGGAACACATTTCCTTTATCTTTACCAAACATGGACACAGGAAGGGGAACATCACACACAGGGGCCTGTTGTGGGGTGGGGGGAGGGGGGAGGGATAGCATTAGGAAATATACCTAATGTTAAATGACAAGCTAATGGGTGCAGCACACCAACATGGTACATGTATTCATATGTAACTAACTTGCATGTTGTGCACATGTACCCTAAAACTTAAAGTATAATAAAAGAAAAAAAAAACTAATTCAGTGGACAGTGAGCATGAGAGCCAGACAAGAAAGGGGTGCAGAGGGAACAAAGGGGGAGACTTGGCCAAGGCAGCCCTCTTGGGTGCTACTTAGAGAGGTCGCTGTGAACATGAGCTGGGAAATGGGAGCTAGAGCTGCGGAGGAAATGGGCTTAGGGAGATTCCCCCTTTTTTTCCTTCCTTCTTTCCCTTCCTCCCTCCTTCCTTCTCTCCCTCCCTCTCTTCCTTCCCTCCCTCCTTCTTTCCCTCCCACTCCCTGCCTCCTTCCTTTCCTCCCTCCTTTTCTCCTCTTTCCTCTCTACTTCCTTCCCTCTTTCTCTCCTTCCTTCTTTCCCTCCTTTCTTCCTTCCCTCTCTCACTTTCCCCTCCCTTTCCTCCCTCTTTCCTTCCCTCTCTCTTTTCCTTCCCTCTTTCCTTCTCTCCCTCCCTCTCTTCTTCCTTCCCTCTCTCCTTCCTTCCTTTCTTCCCTCCTTCCTTTCTTCCCTCCCTCCTTCCTTCCCTCTCTTCCTCTCTCCTTCCTTCCCTCCCTCTCTCCTTTCTTCCCTTTCTCTTTTTCTTCCCTCCCTTCTGCCCTTCCTCCTTCTTTTCCTCCCTCCCTCCTTCCTTCTTTCTTCCCTTCCTCCCTCCTTCCTTCCCTCCTTCCCTCCCTCTTTCCTTCCCCCTCCCTCTCTTCCCTCTTCTCTCTCTCCTTCCTCCCTCCCTTATTCCTTCCTTCCCTCTCTTTCTCTTCCTTTTCCTCCCTCCTTCCTTCCCTCCCTCACTCCTTTCTTCCCTCCCTCCCTAGTCCCTTGCTTTCCTCTCTCCCTCCTTCTTTCTCTCCCTCTTTTGTTCATTCCCTCTCTCCTTCCTTCCTTCTTTCCCTTCCTCTCTCCCTTTCTTCCCTCTTTCCTTCCTTCCCTCCCTCCATCCCTCCTTTTTATTCCTTTCTCCCTTCCTTTCCTCCCTCCCTTCCTTTTCTTCCTACCTCCCTCCATTTCTTCTTTCCTCCAGTTGGCACATGTGTGGCACTGCTGAAGTCACACATTCTCAGACTCTATTTCTGGGTTTCACATTGGAATGACAGTAATGATGTCTGTGAGCACATAGTAGGCATGGTATAAATAACGCTTGAGTAAAATCAGGAGCAAAGTGCACCTTTTTTGCAGAGTTGTTTCCTAGGAGGAAAATGTGTGAAGAGCCCTTAGAAGACCATGGGCACCCAGGCCCACTCAGTCCTTGTCACTTGTGGCCAGTGACTGTCACAGAAGAACAAAGCCTTCAGCAATGCTCCCCGTTCCCAGGCTTGCCTCCTTTTGGCTCATAAACCAAAGTGACCGAGGCTTTGGGCTGGATGTAGTGAAATGCACTTGGAGGTGCCTCTGGTCAACCGGTCGAGGAGTGGTGGCTCCTCCAGCTCCTGTCCCGTTGTGTGGTCACCGCCTCTCCCTCCACCTCATACAAGTGTTTCTTCAGCAGCTGCATTAGCTCCGTAGAGTCAGCAACACGAATTTTTTTTTAAAGTAAATTTACTTCTGTAGAAAAGAAAAAGAATGTGGCTATTTTGGACTTTGATGAGATGCACTTTGTATAGCTGGAAATATGAGTAGAAGTTTTCGTAATCAAAAGCGACCAAGCAGAGGCTCCTGGCCAGGGGATACGCTGCAGGAAGTCTGAGCCCACCTTCCAGGGAGGTAACGGTCTCTCCACATCCAGGGCAGCAGAGGTGCCGTGGAAATAGTGCTCCGTGCCACTTGCTAGATCTGACCACTGTGCTGGGCTCCAGCTGCTCAAAACATAAATCGTCTTTAAACACCTGGGGCCTGCCTGCCTCCCGCAGCCATCTTCGGGCCAATTTGTCAATCCTCGCTCGTTCCATGGTCCTTTTTTTGAGCCTTGATAATGCTTCTGAAAGAAGCTGGGGACACTTTTGCCATTCATCACCAAAGAACGCAACATTCTGTACATTTATTACAGTATACATTATGAGCACACTATTAACTAAAAAAAAAAGCAAACCCAAACCTTTCATTTCTCTGAAGTTTTCCTTTATCTTTACCAAACAGATACCGAATATGACTGAGAATTTAATACCCTAAAGTTTAAGACGGGTTTGTAAACATGGTCCCTGCTGGCTGCTATTGATCTTTTGCTATTTTAATGCATTTTTACTGACCGACATGTCCTGTGGTAAGGAATATTGCCTAAATTAGTTATCTGATTGGTTCTTTTGATTAATGACGGGCCTGTGCTCCATTACACATGACAACATGATCAGAATAATCACTATCGCTATCCAAGCCAGGCCTGGCATTTTTTATTCCTTCATTTTTAAAGTTCATTTATAAAATTATTTAATGTATACGTCCTAAGTTGTAATTTATTTACATGACACTTTTTTCGATGGGAACTGTTGTACTGTGTCACAAATGGCTAAGAAAACAAGGTAAACTAGATGTGCAGATCAATGTCTCTTGGCTCAAGGGGAAAAAAACATAATCAAGATTCAGGAGCTGACCTTGTACCAAAGTCCAACCTGTCACAGAACAAACACTGAGATACCCAACAAATCACCAGGCATGGCAGGACATGTTCTCCTGCAATCCCTTCTCTCCATCACCTTCTTTCTGCCTGGAACTTCTAGCCCTTGGACCTCTCAACTTCCTTCCTTCTGAGTGTAAAATAAGACAGTGCAAATTCTTCCTGGCCCTGGCTGCAGCCTGTGTTCACCAAGCGGGCTTCTTGTGCATATGATAATTTGGCAAGAGGCCCTATCAGGGATCCAGAATATTCAAAATCAGAATGTGGACCACATCTGAATGAGAAAATTGTGTGTGTATTTTAAGCAATGACATGATATTAGTTCTGGAGAAATGAAAAGATCTGAATTTAGTCTATCCAATGATTGGATAACACCACTCCTCAGAGGATCTGCTTTAATGTAATTATGGTTTGGCTTAATACAAACTTGGCTGGGTAATAAAATGTAAGTTGTGAGTAGGTCTGGAATCTTTGAGGCTTCTCAAGAAGATGGCTGTGTTCAAAATTTTTCTCTCACCCATGCCCTGCTCAACTTCGAAGGAAGATCAAGGAAGAAAAGCTTCAGCCCTGCTCCTTTTTGAGTTCTATCATTTTGTGAATTTCTAGAGTCCAGGGTAATAGGCTTTTTAGGGAGCCAACACTGGGCTTCCAAGAGCCAGCTGTGCTTTTCCTAAAAGGCCCCACCTCTCTGAGGCAATTTGGCAAAGCTTCTAGCCGCTTCTCCATTAAAAATTATTACTTGAGTAAAATCAGACAAGCCTAGGGTCATGCTAGATGTATTATTATTTCAAACAAAATTTGGTTGCCTCCCTATCCTTGTCTTGCTCTTCCTATCTCCCCACACCTGCTCTCACCTGCAGTTGCCTCCATTTCTTCTAGAAGAGTCCTTGCCATGTTTCTCAAGCTCCATTCTGCCCCTAAGACCCACCCCGCCCCCCAGCATTGGTCTGACTGCAGGTACCAGGGACCCTGGGCACTGCAATTTCATGTCAACAAATGGCTCCTAATTCAGTATCTAACACTGAACGAGATGTATGAACGGTATCAGAGCCCAGGAACATAGAACCTTTCCGTTGATCTCGGAGAATCCTTTGCCATCCTGTTAGCATGATGTTGTTAGAGACTCTAGCATTTCCCGGTGGACACGGTGGGCCCTGGCCAGGCTGCTGTTGAACTTCAACAGAAAGTTCAACTTCTTGGGTAGAAGGTCGGATGGGTTGCTGGTGACCAGTGAGGTGGTGTGCCGGAGACCCTACAGAGTGGACAGCACATTTTTTCCCACACACAATCCTCAGGGGTGACCTCTGTCTCTTCTCAGGTCCCAGGGAGATGGTCTCACCTCCTTCTCAATTCACATGAGGGAAGCTCCTTTCTTACCAGGTGGAGTTGCAGCTCTAAGCCCTCTGTTTTCTATGATCCTTGTCAATTCCTGGCACCTTTGGCATGTTACCATGTTACAAAAACCAAACAGACCTAAAGCACCCTACGTTTATGGGTTCAGTCTTTTACACTCTACCTGAACTTCAAAGTCAATAGAAGAACAACATGTGGGTTTCCAAGCGAAGGCACTTAAAATATAGTGAAGTGGATTTACATGGTCTTTTTTACCCCCTAGACTTAATTAATGTTGTAAATAATACCTCTTATCTTCTTCATAATGATTTGCTCTGTTATACTATTACAAAATTTCATTCTGTCAATTCTCACAGTCATTTGCACAGCTCAGACATGAAATAGAACTTTGGTGGGACACCTACCACAGGAAACGCCTGCAAGTGTGTGCAGAGGGTGCACGTGTATGTGTGCCCTTGGACTTGGGAGGCGTTCTGGGGTCTAAGATAAGCAAGCAAGTGAGATTATGTTGAATATGCAAGATATGTTAATATGATTAAATGACTACTGGATCGCCCAACATAATCAATTGAAATATTCACCAACTTTGTGTTGAAATTGGAAGAAATTATTACCTTGAGGCTGCCAAACACATTTTGCAGCTTTGAATTTGCAATAATGCGTGTCTCACTTAACATTTAAAAACATATTTTTGACTTTAATAAAGTAAGATGAGTCTATTAAAGAGATATTCACCAGAATGGAAGGAAGATTCAACCAGCAGAGGCGACAACGCAGAGAAAGACACCTGGGCAGTGGTGGGGACTGCTTGTCTCCTCCCTTCCTCCCTCCCTTTCTCTGTCCCTCTCTCTCTTCTTTCCTTCTTCAGGGACTTGAGGCTGAGTTTTCCAAGGGGAAGCATCCTATTCCAAGCCATTCTTGTTAATTTATCATTGCATTATTTGCCTTCACTCTCAAAATCCTGCAAAATGATTTAGTCTCTTGATGTGATTTACTTGTGTTTTAAAACTCCATGCAACACCATCAAGATCAGAGGGATGTAAATGTGTCTTCTCTCTCACTGAACAAGCACAGCTAAAACAAATGAAATCAAAGATGCATATTCCTTTGCCGTGGCTTTGCAAAATGTAAGTGATGGAGGAAGGCAGTAGTCATTCAGCTCTGTTCTATTATTGACAACAGCAGACGTAGAAATTAGAAAACAAATCCCCTTTTAAATGAAACGAAGTAAAAGGCCTCCCTCACTCAGAGGAAATACTAATTGGAGCTACCTTGCTAATGCTAGCGAGTCACAGGAAGGAAACATTAAGTTATTATTTTTAATAATGCTTACAAGTCTATCCAGCCATTTCCAGCCAGTGAAAGATGTCAGCCTTGGCCGAACGTGGCAGATCTACTTTTCACCAAAGATGCTGCTCGTCTTCCCCCTGATAGCAATCATTAATTTTATTTTTTAACCCAGTCTTCAAATGAAGACAGATGAGCTGGAGAGTTTTAAATGCAGGCTGCTTATGTTCAGAAAAATGGCTGTGAGATGCCAGATCACGGCATCTAAGCTGAGGCCAGTTACTGTTTGGGAAGAAAAGAAAAACAAATGTAAGAGGAGTGGCAGAGCCAGGCCTCGGAGGGGCTGAGAGTGAGAGCAGAAAAGAAAAGGGTGCGGGGAGCAGGCCTGTCTCCTGGTCTTTGGGTCTGACCATTTCATAATTGTGTTGGAGAGTTACAGATACAATTATGGTTGATTGATCTTGATAATTTTAACATTACATTTTAATATTTATTTTTTATTAACAACCTTCTCAGTGTCAGAGATCAACATGCCTATTAGATATCACATCATTGATAGCATTGTGCCATGTCTTTAAGAAAAACGTTTTCTTTATCCACGTAATTTCATCCAAGCCATATTTTTAGTCGAATGTCAATTAGCCTGATTTGATTGCTATCATTTTATTTTTAAGTCAAAGATTGTGACTTGATCTCACTTTAAGCTGCTCCAGACAGATTTCAAGTGACCCTTAGCTTAGAGGTTGTTAAGAGATCTGCTTACTTGCATTCAGTAGATCATCTGGTTCTCAAAGGAAATAGGATTAAAATGCATGTGGCTCCATTTGGCAACTGGTTTGGGGCAGGCACAAGGAAGAAGAGAAAAAAGGAGAATATTGTTATGAAAAGTGCTTCTAGAATGGTGAAGTCCGGATAACTGCAAAGCTGTCCCTTCATAAAAGCAGTGAGAAAAATGGCAGAAAGAAACTGTCAAAATCAACATTTTCAGAACTCTGGAAATTAATCAGTGGCCTCCAACCATCTGAGGAGCATTTATTCAAGATAAATAGCTGAGTCTTGGTGAGGAATAATGAGCATGAAGACATTTGAATTTGCCGTTTCCTTTGCCCTCTTCCCCGTTCTGTGGTGGTCTAGGGAAACATCAGCCTCACAACAATAGTAGGCATGAAAACCAGCAATGTCATGGCCACTCAAGGGGCAGGGAGTATTTGTAGCTCCCCTAAAAGGTCCCATTCCCAAGAGTTCTTAGTATGTTACCCATTGGGCAAATCCATAGAAAAGTCCCATTCACTGGGATGGTCTTTGGCTCAAAGATCCCCCAGTGGGAAAAGCTCTATCTCCAGGGCATTTGTTGAAGACAATTAGTGGTCTGACACAGTAAGACCAGTTGGAGCAAACAAGAAGCTGTTCCAAAAACTTCAAAGAAAAATCTAGAAATGAGATGACTAGAAAAGGCTTTGAAAAGATCCAGCACCTTCCTGGGGATCTAGAAGACCTGTCAGAGCTTTTGAATGCCTCTTGTATTTAGCATAGTACTGTGGGTTCTTACCAGGGAAATTAGGTAAGAAACAATACAGAAAAGACATCCAGATTGGAAAGAAGTAAAGCTGTTTCTATTTACAGATGACAAGATCTTGTATATAGAAAAATCCTTAAATTTTTATTCTACTAAAAAATTGTTAGAACTAATGAATAAGTTCAGTGAGGCTGTAGAATTCAAGGTCAATATACAAAATCTATTGTATTTTTATGCACCATTATTGAACAATCAAAAAATAAAATAAAAAATAAATTGTATTTACAGTAGAAACAAAAAGAATTAAAACATACTTAGGAATAAAATGTAACAAATAATTGAGACACTTGTATACTGCAAACTATAAAACCTTGCTGAAAGAAATTAAAGACGAGTTAATAAATGGAAAGACATCCCATGGTAGTGGATAGGAATGCATTGAATTAGGCAATGGTTTTAAAATTGATCTACAGATTTAATGCCACATCTACCAAAATCCCAGCTGCCTTTTTGCAGAAACTGACAAGCTGATCTTGAGACTTACATGAAAATGCTGGAGACCTAGAATAGCCAAAACATTCTTGAAAAAGAAGAACCAAGTTGAAGGCTTCATATTTCCCAGTTTCACAACATAATACAGAGCTACATTAATCAATGCAGTGTGGTGGTGACATAAGGACAGACACATAGGTAAGTGTAATAGAATTGAATGTCAAGATATAAATCTTTATATTTACTATTCTTGGTCAATACATTTTTGGCAATGGTCCCAAAACATTCAATGAGGAAAGAGTAGTCTTTTCAAGAAATGGCACTGGGGTAACTACCATTTGAGGCATTTGAACTTGTCCCATTTCTGTCCCCCTGCCCCAGTTCTGTAGTAGTCTAGGAAAACATCAACCTCCTAACCATAATAGGTGTGAAAACCAACAGTGTCACAGCCACTCAAGGAGCAATGAGGAACCACATGCAGAAAAACGAAGTTGGACTCCTACCTCAAACCATATACAACACATAGTCAGAAGTATTCAGAAATGTAAGAGTTAAAATTATAAAACTGTTAGAAGAAAATATAACAGTAAATCATCATGACTCTAGATTAGGCAATGATTTCTTGATTATGAAACCAAAAGCACAAGCAGCAGAGGAAAAAAATAGATAAATTGAACTTCATCTTACTTAAAAATTTTAAACAACACTATCAAGAAACTGAAAATACAGCCCACAGAATGGGAAAACAAAGCATTTGCAAATCATGTACCTTGTAAGGGTCTTGTATCCAGACTAGGTAAGTAGCCTTAAACTTAATGATAAAAAGATATCCAGTCTATTATTGATTTATAATCCTTTGGGTATATACCCAGAACTTAAGTATAATAAAAAAAGATAAATAACTCAATTAAAAATGACCAAAGTATTTAAATAGACATTCCTCCAAAAAAGATATACAAATGACTAATAAGCATATGAGAAGCTGCTCAATATCATCAGTCATTAGGAAAATGTAAGTCAAAACCACAGCAAGGTACCACTTCATGCTCACTAGGATGGCTAAATTTAGAGACAGAAAATAACAAGTACTTGCAAAGCTGCAGAGAAATTAAAATCATTATACATTGCTGATGGTATTATAAATCGTTTAACAGTTCTTCAAAATTGTAAATGGAAGTTACCATATGACTCAACATTTCTACTCCTTGGTATTTATCAAAGAGAAATGAAAACAGATTTCCACAGAAAAACTTATATGCTAATACTCATAGTGGTAGCCAAAATGTGAAAACAACCAAAATATTCATTAATTAATTAATGGATAAATAAAATATATCTACATAATAGAATGACAAGAAAAAGGAATGAAATACTGATATATACTATGATTGGGTGAAAATATTTTGCTAAATCAAAGCAGCCAGTAACAAAAGATCAGTTATAGTATAATTTTATTTATATACAATGTCCAGAATAGGAAAATCCATAGAGAAAGATTAGCATTTGCCAGAGGTTGAGGTAGGGGTGTAGGGACTACTAATGGCTATAGAATTTCTTTTAGGGATGATGAAAAGGTTCTAAAATGAGATAGTGGTGGTGGTTACATGACTGTGAGTATACTAAAATCCACTTAATTGTACACTTTAAAAAGGTGAATTTTATGATATGTGAACTATATCTGTACAATAAAGCTGTTATTAAATACCTATGATGATAAAAGAGAAAAGACCATTTCCCAATTTTTTTAATATAATTATCAACTTTGGACAGAGTAAAACACCTAGAAAGGATATGTTTAGTGTATCCATGAGGGTCAAGAAACCCAACATTTGATGCTGTTATCACTGTTCTTGTTATGGTGTGGGGCATAGTTCACTTTCACAGTGAGTGGGGCAGCTCACTAAAGCCGGGGCTCCCTTGCTCTTCTTTGTCTCCTCCCATGACACCCTACTCCAGGCACCTGCCATAAAGCCTTGAAAATATAAGGACCTTAATAAGTAATAGGTGAGTAAATTGGCTAACCGGTGAATGAATGCAAATCATTAAAGAGGAATGTGAAGTAGTGGTGTTGATGATGATGATGATGATGATAATGGCGATGATGATAATAATGATGATGGTGATGATGTTGCTGATCAAGGTGATGGTAAGATGATGATGATGATGGTTATGATGATGGTGATGGTGATAGTGATAATTACCATCTTTGTCCCTATTAACAAATGGTGGTGATGATAATAATGATGGTGATGATGATGGTGGTGATGATGGTGATGGTGATGATGGTAATGATGGTGGTGATGGTGATGATGATGATAGTGGTGATGAGGATGACAATACTGATGATGATGACAGTGATAAGTAGTAGTAGTATTTCTGTAGAGGCTATCAAGATTAGCTTTGAAAGAACTCTTCAGAGATAAATTCTAAAAGCCATTTATGCAATGGATAAATTGCCAAAATCAGTGTTAACCTTCCAAAGGGTTCTACTGTAAAGCTCAGCTCTCGTACAAAAGTCTATGGCTTTTAAAAATATTTATTAATACTTTTCCAGCTGATATGTAAGGCTTAGCAAAGAGGCTGGGCACGGTGGCTCACACCTGTAATCCCAGCACTTTGGGAGGCCGAAGACAGTGGATCTCTTGAGGTCAGAAGTTCGAGACCAGCCTGGTCAACGTGGTGAAACCTGTGTCTACTAAATATACAAAAATTAGCCAGGCATGGTGGTGGGTGCCTATAATCCTGGCTCCTCGGGAGGCTGAAGCAGGAGAATTGCTTAAACTCGGGAGGCAGAGGTTGCAGTGAGCCGAGATCATGCCACTGCACTCCAGCCTGGGTAACAAGAACAAAACTTCGTCTCAAAATAAATAAATAAATAAATAAATAAATAAATAAATAAATAAATAAAATTTAAAAAAGAGTTAGCAAATAAGGTGAACACAAAAAAGCGATTTTAAAACCATTTTTCAAATTTTACTACTCTTTGATATTTATTTGTGTCCTTTCCTTCCCTTAACATTAGTTTTTATATTTTAGAGGAAAGAACTCAGGTGAAGACCATAGCTGGTCCTCCTGTGTCACTGGGTTATGTCTGTCCTTGACTACCAGCAAGGCCTCCTGCTATTGGTTAGATTTCTGATGTACCATACTCTTTTGTCCTGTCCTCTAGTATTTTGGGTCAAGTGAAGGGAAAGTCACTGAGTCTGCTTGTTCCCAAATGTCTCACCTCAAATCTTCTCCTCATTTTCTCTCTCCACCTGCTTTCTCTTCCCCCATTGTCTTTTTCTGTAAGTGAGAAGGGTAGAGGGGACACGGAGCCAGCCCCCTTTTCAAACTCAGAAAACAAGGCTTACCAACACACATAGAGAATATTTTTTAAATAAAAGCCAGCATCAGGATGGGTGGCTGAGAAAGAGGGGTCTACATTAGGGAGAAGATAATCTTTGTCCCTATTAACATTGTCAGTGGCAGTAATTTAATAGGATTCTGTGCTATGTCTGTAGGAAATTCCTGATATTTTTCAGGTATAGAAATGATTGCAATGACACTAAATGTTCTTTAGTGTCACTAAAGTTTTGCCTACCTTCAGTACTACATCATTAGAAGATTCACCTCCTTTTCATCTCCGTTGAGTAGACAAGTGACCAAAATCCCAGCATAGCTATGACTGTTTCAATCATTGAAGAAAATTTGCTGGCCACGGGACAAAATTGCAGTAGAAGTGACTTTATGTGGTGATCCAAAAATGAGATAACTGTATTCTTCTCATTCCTAGCGGAAGTCAACTCTGCAGGAAGAGACACTGCTTTTGGGAGGCAAAGTTGGCAGTTGGTTTTCTGATCTTGGTTTGCCATTGAATCACCTATTCCTTGAGGACAAAAAAAGACTTGTGTCCAATGACTGGTCAAGATTCATCATTCCACTGGTCCATTTTAAAGGCTTATCTCTCATGCTATCTATATAACTGACTCCAGGACCATCTCCACCTTTTGGAATATCCTCTGATTACTTCATTTCTTTGTTTGATTTGCATTTAGTTTTTGTAAGAAGAGCACTTGATGGGGTTATTTTCCTCCTGAGCATCTCACAGTGGTGTTGCTTTCCCAGCTCTGTCCATCATTGGTTTGTGCTCATGGCTCTGTAATGTCCCTTTGTCTTTTGCACTTTGCAGAGAAGGGTATGGCTGGCTCTACCTATGAGTGCACCAGGGTAGTAAGGCAAGCAGAACAAGAAGCTATTTGCATCTGTTTTCTCATGAGGTAGCTCAGTCCCCATAGTTACTATTCCTCTTTCCTGGCCATTTGCTACCCTAAGGCCAGCAAATCTTTTAAACATGAAAATCTTATCATGTCATTCTCCTGATTTAATTCATTAATGGCTTTTCATTTCCTTTAGGACAAAACTAAAAATCCTTAGCCTGGACAATTAGGTTCTTCATGATCCTGGCCTAGGCTAGCTCTCCAGCTCCATCTCAAGTCATCACTCTCCATTGTCTAGGAATGCTGGCTTCCTTCTTCTCCAAAGGGAGGGAGCTCCCTTCCATCTCTGAGTGTCTGAGCCTTGGCAGTCGCCATTGCCTCTTCCGCTAGCACTCTGTCCTCCAACTCCTCGCTTGGCTCACTGTCCAGGTCTCAGTTAACTGCCACTGCCTCAGGAAAATTTTCTGTGGCCTCCCACACTGGGTGCCACAGTAACACATTGATCATAAACCTCTGCTTTTTCTTCAAAGTCCTTGTCAAAGGTCTAGTTAAATATTAAATAAATACTAATAAAAATATGTTTTCTTAACATAAATGTGAATTCCATGATGCCAGACTATGTCTCATTCCTAACAGCATCTCTAGCGCTGGGTACAGTGGTGTTCAACAAGCATTTTTTGAGTGAATGACTGAATAAATGTTTTTTTCTTTGTCCTTCTCCATAAGCTCTAAGAATCATTTGTGCTGGGATTGTGTCTTAATATTCTCATCTCTATGCATGGCATTTTTCCCAGAGCTGTTGGCTGACGACTGGTCAAATCCAAGACCTTGATCTCATTAGCACTATCCTCCCACCAGCTCCCAGTCGTCCTAGAAGTGCTTAGAGGTGGAGGCACAGCCAGTGCCAATTCCAAGATTTCTCAAAGAAGTCTTAGGAGGGTAATACTTTCCTCACTGTATATTTGCTATATAGAGCTAGCGCTACCCAGTGGGACAGTGGCAAACCCTTTTGGTTGCCTAACCAACAGCTCTTCCCCACTTCTTTCCTGTTGGCAGGGACTATGTTTATTTGGGTACCCAGGTCTCCAGCATGATTTTTAATTGGGTGAAATTATCCCAGCTGCAGAGGAAAACCCCAGGTGATATGAATAAATAGTTCTCAAAATGTAATCTGTAGAATACCAGGGATCTCAGGGCCCTTTCGGGGAGCCCTTGATGTCAAAACTATTTTCATGATAATACTAAGAAATCATTTGCTTTTTTTCATGTTGACATTTGCTCTGAAGGTAAAAAAGCAATGGCGAGTAAAATTTCTGGTGCCTTGGCACCGATCAAGGCAGGGGCACCAAACTATACTAACAGACATTTCATTCTTAACTGCCATACTCACAGTTAAAAAGTTTCAGTTTTATTTGAGAATATCTTTGATGAAATAGCAAAAACTATAATTATTATTAAATCTTGCCTCTTGAGTACACGTCATTTAATTATTCTAAGTGAAGAATGAGAAGTACAAAAAAAATCATTTCTGCTGCATACCAAAGTACAATGCATATTGACATCTCAAGGAAAAGCCCTTGGGCAATGGTTTATGTTGTAAACTGAACTAGCTGGCTTTTATCACGGAACACTATTTTACTTTATAGAATGTCTGACCAATTATGGCTATTCAGATTATGGTATTTGGCATTTTTTTTTTCAAAAATGAAGAAAGGAAAATGGTTAGTAGTATTTCTTGCCAGTGATAGAATTTAAGTTTTAAAGCAAAATTATAATTTTTAGAAAAAATTGTATTTGCCACTCTGAGCTCAATAGCTCTGCAACATCTTAAGAACTTCTGATGAGATGGGTGAATATATTAACAAATATGATTTTTCAATATTGTGTAACAAGAAATGTCAATAATGAAATATCTGCATAATTCATTGAACCACCGTATTGCCAAACAATCAATGCACGGTGTTACAAAAACATACCTGGGTAAAAATTATTTTAAAGAGCAAGGTCGATCAATAGATATCAATGTAACAGAATATAAAAGTTCTTTGATATGGCCTCAGATTCTACACTGTATCTAATCTTTGAAAAGCTACCCCTTGTAAAGTTTTAGTGTAGTATCAAAGAAGAATGTTCACAATTGTCCAAAAGTATTATTAAAATATTCCTCCTTTTTGCAACTACATAGCTGTGTGAGGCCATATTTTTTCATGTACTTTAACCATGCAACATATTATAGCATATTGGATGCAAAAGAAGTTATGAGAAATCAGCTGTCTCTATTCAACCAGACATTAAAGAGAGTTACACAAGTAAAAAAGAATACTAGTCATCTCATCATTTTTTTCATGTTGGAACACATAGTTATTTTTAATAACTGCATGCTCTTTGTATTAATATATGATAAGTTTATTTTTTACAAATAATTTTTTTTTAATTTTTTTGGTTTTAATTTCTAATGGGGTAAATTGGCTGGGTGTGGTTGTTCATACCTGTAATCCTAGCAATTTGGGAGGCCAAGGCAGGCAGATCACCTGAGGTCAGGAGTTTGTGACCAGTCTGGCCAACATGGTGAAACCCCATCTGTACTAAAAATACAAAAATTAGCTGGGCAAGGTGGCGTGTGCCTGTAATCCCAGCTACTAGGGAGGCTGAAGCAGGAGAATCACTTTAACCCTGGGAGGTGGAGGTTGCAGTGAGCCGAGATCATGCCACTGCACTCCAGCCTGGGTGACAGAAAGAGACTCCACCTCAAAAAAAAAAAATTCTAATGGGGTAAACATATGTATAAATAATATATAATACAAATATTTATTATATAATATATATAAATATATAACAAATATATGTACTTTTATTATAGGTTTATTATAGATTTAGGGAGTACAAGTGCAGTTTCGTTACATGTGAATATTGCGTAGTGGCGAAGTCTGGGCTTTTAGTGCAGCCATCACTAGTGTAGCCATCACCCAAATAGTATACATGGTACCCATTAAGTAATTTCTCATTCCTCACCCCTCTTCCACCCTCCTACCTTCTGAGTATCCAATGTCTACCATTTAATGGAGTAAATACTGATAGACATAATTTACATAAACAAAAGCTTGATAATATCTGGTCAGGGCCAATCATTGTGGTTCTATTTATTAACGGTGATTGCTTTGGGCATAGGCCTGAAATGAGACGTAGTAAGGAGTTCTGCTAGGCGGAAAGTTTACTTTTATAGTGACACACGAGAAAGAGATGGTCTCTTTTCGTCCACTAGCCATCACTGGGTTGGCATGTGACAGCTAGAATTGTGGCAGTCTTCTTATATGACCACAAGCTGACACAAAGAAGGTAGTGAAGTGAAAGAATGAAAGTAACGTGGGACTTGGTCAACATTGCTGCACTGCAGGATTAACCAGCCCTGGAGCCATCTTGTCCCTAGAAGTTTTGTTACTTGTGATAACAGGGTTCCCCTATTGCTTAAGCTGTTCGCGTACAGTTTCCCTTAATAGCCAAGAGCATTCTGATATAGGAATTTGTTCCTAAACTTTAAACTTATAAAGTAACTCACAACTAGAATAAAGAGTCTTTTTTTTTCCTTTGACTTTTTTCAGTATGGAGCTCACATTCATATCAGCCTCCAAGATCATTAGTGCTCTATGCCCAATCTCTTGGTTTTATATATTGCAGTTCATATGTGGGTATATGGGTTTTCCTCCTCCTAGCCCTTCCCACCATCCAAACCAGCAGAAAAATAAATAGCCATATAAAAGAGGTGAATGTTATAGACAACAAAAAACTGCCGGGATCTATGCTGCACTTCCCCCAAAGAGTCATTTCAGTCTATTAGGCACATAACGCATGTTTTAAAAAAGAACCAGTTGTAAATACATATTTGTTCAGATGGACTGCAGCACAACAGAGAGTCTCCCGGGGAGAGAGGATGTATTTTACAACCTGCCAAAAAAGATCCTGCGAAAAGTAAAATAAGGACAAACGGAAAGGTGGAGAACCCCTCTGCCCCCAGAAGGCTGATGGAAGCACAGTCCCTCCGCAGTGTTGTTATGGTTGGCCTGACATTCTGATGCCCGGATCTCAGAGGCAGATCTAAGAGCCACTTGTCTCCTTGATGCCTGAGAACCATTCAGCCCAAATGTGGGATTCCAGGAAGGATGATGGAGTGAGTATTCAAGTGAAAGCAGCTCCAGGCAATGTTCTTGAGCCCCAGGAGGGGGCTAATTCCTCTGGTGAAGCTGGAATGGGCTTTTTTTGGCTGTGGGGGCATGAACAGACGTGAAGAACCTCAACTCATCTGGGGTTGGTTCCAGTTGCCTCCATCAAACTTAAAGTAGCTCAGGACCTACTTTTTGTGTGTGAGTGAGGTGTCCTTATGCCAGACTACTGTCTATTACCACTGCTTTAAATAATAGCTATAGCCAGGACCCCTAGCGCCTTACACTGGAACATGCCTAGGAAGTGGCATTAGCTCAATAATTAGTCCCATTCAGGAGAGAACCTTGTGGCAGAAGCAGTGTCTAGTGCTGAATGTGAGCCCCTCGAAGTGGGGGGACCTTCTCCTATCTTTACTTTGTGGATATACTATGCCCCTTCCCTTCTGCATTTTGCCAGGATTCATGAGCTTTGGGGTATAATTGGAATCTCCCTAAGAGTAATAACTTAGTTAAAGATGTACATTTCCTATGGAGTCAGGAGGAATGTGACTGCAGTTGGTCCCATTAAGTGATGATGCTAAGGTTGTTCACCTGGTGAAAGTGGTGACTGCCAAGTCTCTCCCTTGAGGAGGTTCCTTCTGCTTTTTGTGATCAGTGAATAGTCTGTGGGTTGATACTTGGACACCATGTAAATATCCTGTTCCCCAACGATCTTTTGACTAATGGTTTTTGGACCTTCCGTAACTGAGTCAATTATTACATTTTTGGTTGCAATATGGTGATTTTTCTAATTCAGTCATTACTTCTACAGTTATTAGCTTATGTTGATAAGGAACTAAGAATCTATCTCCATAAATTTGTGGATTATTTTTCTGTCAGTATGCTATAATCCATTAGCATCACTATTCTTTCTGACATTAAGATTGCCTTCAGTTTGACCAGGGAGATCTCCTTCAGCTTTGAGCACCTCCTTATTTTCTGTTCCAAGATCAGCTTGTCTATTCCTGCCTCGGACTGGAAATGAGTCATTGCTCCAAGGATCCTTGTTTCCTTCCAGTGGGGAGTGGCATTTAGAAACCACAATCTGGGTACTGGAAGGGCTCATTGGTACTGGAGGGTCATTGTTCCTAGGACATTTCGGTCAAAAGAACTAGAAAATGTAATGTTTCTTTTTTAAATTAATTAATTAATTTATTTTTTTTTGAGATGAAATCTTGCTCTGTCACCCAGGCTGGAGTGCAGTGGTGCTATCTTGGCTCACTGCAACCTCTACCTCCCGGGTTCAAGTGATTCTCCTGCCTCAGCCTCCTGAGTAGCCAGCATTACAGGTGCATGCCACCACACCTGGCTAATTTTTGTATTTTTAGTAGAGATGGGGTTTCACCATGTTGGCCAGGCTGGTGTCAAACTCCTGACCTCAAGTGATCAGCCTGCCTCAGCCTCCCAAAGTGCTAGGATTACAGGTGCCAGCCACTGTGCCTGGCCCCATTTTATTTCTTTCTTTAGCAAAATCGGGAATTCATAATAAGCCCTCCAGATTACTTCTAATAACATAGGCGTTTTCCACACTTCCTCTAGTCTATATTTGTATCTCCTTTCTCTCTTAAGGAAAGTTCTAGTTTCCAATAACACTAATATATTTACTTATTTGCTCTGTGCTACAGTACATATACAATAATTTCAGATTTACTAATCGTTGATGCCACAATCAACACAATCTTGCAAACTAAAGTTTAAGACAGCTTTGCCTTGTGGTCAGTAGTTGTCTTACCAATATGTTGAACGTAACTCCATCCATGAGTAAATATCAAAAAAGTCTAGATTTGATAACGTTGCAGGGGACAACTGGCTTGGATTCTTCAACAGAATCAATATTATGGATGTAAGAAGAAGAAAAAAGGTAAGGGAAATGGTATAAGTAACAGAAGACAAAAGAGACATGGTGACCAATTGCAATGTCAAATCCTTGGTTGGATCATGGGGAAAAAAATTCCCCAAAGGACAAACAGCTCAATATAATCATGGATTGTATATTACATAATATTAATGTTTTGATACTAAATGTGTTGGGTGTGGTAATGGGACTGTGCTATAAGTTGCATTTATGGATGAGGGCTGCATTTGGTGACAATTCTGAGTCAACAATAATGCTTATTGTTTTCCTTATCTTCCTTTTAAAGACACAACTCATGAGAAATTAAAACAAATACATAACTTCAAGTTTATTGATAGCTGATAGGTACATACTTTTGATGTTTTATCTTAAACTACGTTTAATCTACTTCTTAACCCATTCACTAATTTTATTGACTACATTTTATTTCTAGAGCTTTATCAATTTGATTCTTTTTAAAACATCTTTATGTTCTATTTTCAAAGTATCTTGCCTTGCCTCCACCCCAGGAGTTTAATTCTTTTTAAAGAATGTCTTAAGTGTTGAAGATCACTTAAACAAATCTACTTTATCTATTACTCTTTAAATTGACATTCCATTATCTCAACTTTGAGGCTCTAGTCCACCTATTCATTGTTTCCAAGGATACTCCTTTCTAATCTGTGCTTTCTGGTCTGCTTGGTAATTTTTGATTGAGAGTTCATTGCCATTGTCAGTGTGTTTTTCTTTTTTTCTCATGAGAAGCCCAGGTGGACAGTGTTATGAAGTTATTCTCACAGAGGTTTTATGTCCTTGGCTTCTTCCATTGTCTAGGGCCATCACTAGCTCAAGGCAAATCTTATATTAATTTTGGAGGGCTTAGAGTTTTCTGGATCCTCCAGAGATTGAAAATTTAAACTCCAAACAGTCTTAGGCTAGGGTTTTGAATTCTCAAGCAAGCATTTAGACCCAAACCAATGAGTAAGCTCCTGTCTCCTTTCCCCATGATGGTCCATAGTTTTTGTTTTTTTTTTTTCACAGAGCCTTCCTTTTAACTGAGAGTGTAGCTTTTTAAGGATCCCGTCTTCAAGTAGGGATTATGGTCCATCTCCTCTCCATACCAGCCTAAGGCCTCATCTTTAGTCTCTACATAGCCTTTAAAACTCCAGCCCTGGGGATTGCCCCAAGGAATACTATTATGGGTTGAATTATGTCCCCTTAAAATTAAATATGTTTCAGTCCTAACCCCAGTACCTCAACAACATAAGATCAAAATGTGACCTTATATGGAAACAGGGTCTTGCCAAAGGAAATCAAGTTGAAATAAGATCATTAGGGTGGGCCTTAATCCAATATGACTGATGTCCTTATAGAAAGAAAAAATTTGGGCACAGAGATAGACATGCACAGAGGGAGGAGAACTTGAAAACACACAGGGAGAGTGTCATATGAAGACAGAGGATGGAGTGATGTGTTTACAAGCCGAAGAATGCCGAGGCTAGGAGAAGCTAGGAGACAGTTGAGGCACGGTTCTTTCCTTGCACCTTCAGAGGGAGCCTGGCCCTGCGGACTCCTTGTTTCCCACCTCCTGTCCTCTGGACCTGTGAGGTGATACATTTTTGTTGTTTTAAGCCCCCTGGCATGTAGTACTTTGCTACTGCAGCCCTAAGAGATGAATACAGAAAACACCCTCCCCAGTTCCTGCCCCTCACTCTGAAGGCAGCCCTGACATCAGCACCTCACAACTCTTACGTTTAGTTTCCTCTTCACTTCCAACCCACGAAGATTCCTTTTTTCCAACCACAGCTTTGCATTGTCAATATTTTTGGATAGTTGCATGCTATGCAGTGTTTCTCTGCACTTGTAGTGGGAGAGGTTTCATGTTATCTTAGCCCCCCCTCAGCTCACATTATGACCTTTTGGGCATTAAGAACCCAAGAAAAAATGAGCCAGGCATTTCTAGAATAAAAAGGCAATTTCTTCAAGCACGCCGCCCTCTAGGGCCATGCTGAGCCTCGCCAAGGGCAGGGCCTGGGGCATGTTGTGTTGTGTTGGAAGTGCCATGAACACGAGGCTGACAGAGGCCAGGCAAGTGACAGAAATATGCAAAGCTGGCCAGGTATATAACAGGCCAACTCTTTTGAACCCCTCAGGCTTCATGACATAGCTTTTATTTTTCTACTTTACCTTTCTATTTTTAAATAAATTTATTTTATTTATTGTTAAGAGGCAGCCTTACTCTGTCATACAGGCTGGAGTGCAGTGGCATGACCATGCCTCACTGCAGCCTCGAACTCTTGGGTTCAAGGGATCCTCCCATCTCAGCCTCCCGAGCAGCTGGGACTAAAGGCATGCACTACCATGCCTGGTTAATTTTTCACATTATTATTATTTTATTAGAGAGATAGGGTCTTGTTCTGTTGCCCAGGCTTGTCTGGAACTCCAAGACTGATCTATCTGCCTTCACCTCCTTATGTGCTGGGATGACAGGCATGAACCACCACACTCAGCCTGTTTTTCTACTTTGATATTCTACTGAATATCACTTTGTTTAAAATTCTCATCTAAGGAGAACCATCATGCAAACTTAATGCTAAATGGCAACTGCCTCCAAGATCTAGAGATACTGGTGAACTCATTGTGTCTACCTAAAGGGCAGCTGCCACTCAGTACCTGCAGCCATTTTGTGAAATATTGTCAGATCTCTATATCTTTCAAAATAAAACAGGAATTCAGATCTTTATGTGAAATCTCCTGATTTGAAAATGTTGGCACTAAGAAAGGATTCAAAAGTTTTAAAAAATGCTTTCAGGCCCAACAACATATATTCACCTACTACTGACTTCACCAGTTTGCTAAACACAATTTGATGATTGACTCTCCAAAATTACTAGCTTTATAATTTTACTGAAAAGAAAACTATTCTATGAAGCCATGGTAGAATTTTGCAGTTCTCTCTAAACCCCTTTGAAACAATTTACACATTTTTCTGTGGCAAAAAAAAAACAAAACAAATTTTCAATGGTTGCACTTTTCTTGGTTATTTATTTCTTATAATACAGAGAAGTCTTTGATTCTAAAGGCATGTGTTTCTTTAAGGAAAATGATAAAGAATAAAATTAATTGGAAACAGCCGTTGCTTGACCCTCAAGTTCTGAAAACAGACGGAACACTCAAGGTCAACATTGAAACTCTGAGTTTAATTTATTCTGTTGTTTTTCTTCCTTCTCCTTCCCCAGAACATTCCATATTTTGTTAGCTTCTGTCAGAGAAATATAGCTTCATTTTTATCCACCTCTTTGGGCACAGGTATTAGCCAATTGTGATGCTGAAGAGAGGTGTGATTGCCAAGTCCCTGCCGTTGGCACAGTGAAGGTGGTGCCTTCATAATACCCTCCTTTGCAGTGAAAGTCTTTTTCCTTCAGTATTGAGCAGTTGGGTCTCTCAGAACCCAACTGAGGTTGCCCACAGCCTCCATGGATGATATGTAAAATCTGCTACTTTGTGAAACACCTGTGTGGATGCTCAGTGTTGGTTACAGGTATGTCTTTAAATACATGCCTTCTTTTCTATGCCCACTGACCTTCTATGTAGATATCCTCAGGACCTGTGGGCCCCTCTCTGACTGTCAATCTGTCTACTGTCTCACACCATCATTCTCATGATGCAGCTGGAGTCATTGATCATGACCTTGTCAATCAATCAAGTCAATCACAACCTTGATTAAAACCTTTGATGGGCTGGGTGTGGTGGCTCACTCCTGTAATCCCAGCACTTTGGGAGGCCGAGGTTGAGAGTTAGAGACCAGCCTGACCAACATGGAGAAACCCCATCTCTACTAAAAATACAAAATTAGCCGGGTGTGGTGGCACATGCCTGTAACCCCAGCTACTCGGGAGGTTGAGGCAGGAGGATCTCTTGAACCCGGGAGGCTGAGGTTGCGGTGAGCTGAGATTGTGCCATTGCACTCCAGCCTGGGGAACAAGAGCGAAACTCCGTCTCAAAAACAAACAAATAAACAACCTTTGATGACTCCATTACATAAATAACAAAGACCAAAACCCACAGCAGAGCACTGAAAGGCCTTTATAATATGTCCCTTACCTAATTCACCAAGCTTTCCTCCTGGCATGATGCCTCCATTCGTACTGCATTGAGCTCTTTTCTGTCTCCCCTGTCAAAGTGGCGTGTTGAACTGCATGCCTGAGTTTTGAAGAAGTACCTTTATGCACCCAACAGCATAGCTCCACACATACAAAGCAAAAAGTAATAGAAATAGAGGGTGAAAGTAATAAATCCTCAATTATATTTGGAGATATTTCCCTGAACTTTCTCGGAACTCCATAAACTAAAAATACACAGATTAAAAGAAAAATGAGTAGTGTTATTTAAAAAATAAATAATACAAAATAAACTTGACTATATGTTGAGTGTATATGCACACACTTACTGAACAATAGAAAACACTATTTTCTTTTTTTTTAAGCTTTTATTTTAAGCTCGGGGGCACATGTGCAGATTTGTTACATAGGTAAACTTGTGTCATGGGAGTTTGTTGTACAGATTATTTAATCACCCAAGTGTTAAGCCTCGTACCCATTGGTTATTCTTCCTGATCCTCTCCCTCCTCCCACCCTCCACCCTCCAATAGGGCTAAGTGTGTGCTGTTCCTCTCTGTGGGTCCATATGTTCTTATCATTTAGCTCCCACTTGTAAGTGAGAACATGCAGTATTTGATTTTCTGTTCCTGCATTAGTTTGCCAAGGATAATGGCCTCTAGCTCCATCATGTTTCTGCAGAGGACATGATCTCATTCTTTTTTATGGCTACATAGTATTCCATGCTGTATAAGGACCACATTTTCTTTATCCAGTCTACCATTGATGGACATTAAGGTTGATCCGAAGTCTCTGCTATTTTGAACAGTGCTGCAGTGAACATATGTGTGCATGTGTCTTTATAATAGAATGATTTTTATTCTTTTGGATATATACCTAGTAATGGGATTGCTGGGTCAAATGATATTTCTGTCTTTAGGACTTTGAGGAATTGCCACACTCTCTTCCACAATGGTTACACTAATTTACACTCCCAGCAGCAGTGTATAAGCATTCCTTTTTCTTCACAAACTGGCCATCATCTGTTATTTTCAAACATGTGAAATACATACAGAAATGATCATGCATTTAGCCCCAAAGGAAATGTTTATAAATTCTTCAAATCAGAAATCATGAAGACAGATCATGTTAAAAATCCAGACTTCTAAAACAATCCTTGAGTTAAAAGAGATCAAAATAAAATAAATTCACAACAAAAATGAGAGTCACCCAAATATTTTAAAAAATAAAGCTAATGGTAACAATAAAAAACTTAAGTAAATATACTGGAAAAGAGAAATGGGTGCAATTAAATTAACATGCAACTCAAGAAGACAGAAAAGGAACAATATTATAAACCCAAAGAAAGTAGGACATGGTTAATGATAATAACAAATCTGAAATTAATGCAGTAAAACAATAGCTTTAATACCTGATTCTTTGAAAAGACAAAAATATCAGATCTATATGGTCAAGAAGAAATAGTATATACATAAGATAAATGATATTCAAAATGAGGAGGATAATATAACTTCAGATAATGAGGAGATTATAAAATTAAGTGGGCATTATTACATTCTAAAATATAGTCACAATCAAAGTATTTCTAATAAATACAAATTACCAAGATTGAATCAAATGGATGACCAGAAAAGCCCAAAATTTCTGAAAGAAATTTGTAAAAATAGTGAAAATAATTTCTTAAAAATTGCATCAGACCTAGAGTATTTGCAGATAAACTGTACCAAACCTTAAAAACAAACAAACAAACAAACAAACAAACAAACAAACAGAAAATCCTATATTCCAGGGCCTGGAAAACCATGGAAACCTTCCCAACTTATTTTACAATGGTGATATTTCCCTTCCCTATTTCTCTTCTACAAGAGTAGAATAAATTTTTAAATTATATGTATGAGCATAGATACAGAAACTCAAAATAAAACATATTCATTTTGCTTTTTACTTAGTTGAGTTTATTTTAAGAATAAAAGGATAGTTAACCTGATGAAATATACTAGTATCAGTAACAAAATTCACAATTTAAAATAGAAATCCTGGTCAGGAGAGGTGGCTCACACCTCTAATCCCAGCATTTTGGGAGACCAAGGTGGGTGGATCACCTGAGGTCAGGAGTTCACGACAAGACTGGCCAACATGGTGAAACCCCGTCTCTACTAAAAATACAAAAATTTGCCAGGTGAAGTGGTGCATGCCTGTAATCCCAGCTACTCGGGAGGCTGAGCAGGAGAATCTCTTGAATCCAGGAGGCAGAGGTTTCAGCAAGCCAAGATCGCACCACCACACTCCATCCTGGGAAGAGAGCAAGGCTTTGTTTCAAATAAAAAAGAAAAGAAAAGAAATCCTATGTAAAGATGCACTAAATAAAATTAATCTCTCATTTGTGAAAGTCACAGTAAGCTAAGAAAAGAAGAAAACTTAACCCAATAAAAAGTTTGAGAAATCCAAATTCATGCTGCAAAATTTAAAAAAAAAATGTTTTATTTGAAGTCTAGAAACTAAACAAGATGCTTATTGAAATCCCAGCCACTGAATATGGAAATAGAATTATATAAGTGGATAAATAAAACTACCACCATTTTTAGCTGATATGTTTTCATAACTATCAAATCTAAGTAAATTCCTTGGAAATATATTTGAAGGCAATTGGATACAAGATAAACATACAAAAATAGTTTTTCTAAACAACAACAAAAACAACAATTAGAAAATACATTATGAACATATCCCATTTAATAGCAACAAAAAACATACAGCATCTAGAAATATAGCTAACAGAAAACATGCAAGACTTGTAACAATAAAACTATAAAAGTTTATAAAGGACTTAAAGGAGACTAGTTAACTGAATAGTAGTTAGAGATGAGAAGGCTCAATAAGCAAAGATGTCAGACCTTTCAAAATTAATTTTTCATTCAGTTAGCTGATGCTCTTCTCTCTTGGGCTGGAGACTGCTTTCCCAGGAAGCAAAATCTGCAACCAAGACTTGCCTGCAGGTAGGTTATTTTTAGGAAATGTTCCAACAGTGCCTGGAGTAAAAGGGATGGAAGGCTAAGGAATAAGAGTGTCTGGTATAATTGCCAACCGCATCTCAGTAAGAGGTTTTTAAAAGAAACACAAGAAGCTGATTCTAGAATCATTTCAAAGAAAGATTGGAGAAGAATCATGAAGATTTTTCAAAAAGGAGACAAGTGTCCAGGCGCAGTGGCTCACTCCTGTAATCCCAGCACTTTGGAAGGCTGAGGCGGGCGGATCACGAGGTCAGGAGATTAAGACCATCCTGGCTAACACGGTGAAACCCTGTCTCTACCAAAAATACAAAAAAATAAAAAAAAATTAGCCGGGCGTGGTGGCGGGTGCCTGTAGTCCCAGCTACTCGGGAGGCTGAGGCAGGAGAATGGTGGGTGAACCCAGGAGGCGGAGCTTGCAGTGAGCCGAGATCGCACCACTGCACTCCAGCCTGGGTGACAGAGCGAGACTCCATCTCAAAAAAAAAAAAAAAAAAGGAGACAAGTAAGTTAGGAGGACTAATTTCCCCATCAAAATTCCACACTTAATCTAAGGGTATAAACATTAAAACCATGAGTATTAAGGAAGAAAAAAAAATCAATGGAACAGACTAAAGAGGGAAGAAATAGAATTATGTAATTGAAAGTTTAGTTTATAACAAAGGTGGCAAAGAATGAGCCAGTTAACTAATGATGAGGACGACTCATTGTTCATTTGGAAAATTAGACCTCCATTTCATAATATGCAAAGTTTCACCTTGCATTAAAAAGTTCATAAAAGTTATCAAAACAATCTTTTGATGTAAAACATATTCTGCAATAAGATATGAATCCCAGAGTATCTGAAGGAATAAACTGACATATTTGACTACATTAAAACAAACAAAAATCTGAACGAAAACCAAATGATGGATTGGGAGAAATATGTATAACATAAATAATAAAACATTAATTACTATTCATAATTTCTAAAACACTCCTAAAACTCAGTAAGAAAATTAAATAATTCCATGGAAAGATAGACAACGAAAATGATTAGGCCATTCAGGGAACAGAAAATACAAATAGCCAACACCTACATTTTAAACATTGAATCTTTCAGAATATCAGAGAAATCCAAATTTAAACAAGATTGCCCCTTTGTATACATTAGAACAGTAAAATTTTAAAAGTCTGGTAAGTCCTGAGCAGGCTGGAATACAAGAGAATATACCATGTTATCTACCACTCAGGAAATGTCAATTAGCCCTTTTAGCAGAAAGAGCCTGCATTTAAAATGTACACAGCTTTCAAGAAAGCAGTTTTAATTTTAGAAGTCTAATCTACAGAAACACTTTCAGGATTGTTCAAAGATTTATACACAAGACTGCACACCAAAGCCTTATTTGTAATAATGAAAAATATTACGAGCACCTTAAATATTTCATAAGTTATGGTATGTCCATGCTATGGAATACTAAGCAGCTGTTAAAGAGAATAACGGGTATTGTTTTGAAAGATCTTTGAAATACATTAAGTAAAAAAAATTCAGGGTATATGATAATATGTATAATAATGTATTCTCATTTATGTGGAAATCCAATTATATAGTTATATACACATATTTATAGAAATGAGTAGAAAAAATGACTGCAAAGGTGCGCATCTGATTGTTTTACAGTGCTTACATCTGAAAGAGGGGCATGGAGGTAGGGTTAAAAATATATTTGGGGGTTTTCACATTTATTCTGTGTATTTCAGTGATGTTTAAATTTTTTACCATTTTATGATGATGTATTACTGAGGTTAAATTTTTTAAAAAAGATATGCAATGTTATTACTAAATATTAGTTATTCCTATCTTTATTAAATCAATGCTGAACAAATATTTCAACACATCAGTTTGAAGCGGCCCATGATCAGTGACTTGTGGAGGGCACCTGCAGGTCTCCATCTGCTCACACTGGGGTGCCTCCAGGTGGGATAGGCTAAAGGTATGTGGCCAGGCCAATGGGCCGGAGCCCTGTGGAGACATATAAGACCCTGATAGGCACGTAGTAACACAAGCTCGCAGGACATACATAGCACCCCATGTAGGGGAATACAGGCAAGCACCATAGTGAAAAACAGCTTTTTGCTGGCTCAGGACAAGCGAAGCTTCCAGGGGTCTCATGTGAAGGAAGTGCCCCGGCTCACCACCAAGCCCCTTGGGGTGGCTGTGCCCGACCTCCCTGTAAACACAGTATGGGTGAGACCTTCAGTGCTCCTGACAGCATGACCCCAGGGGCTAGCTGGGAGCTGCATGGCAGGAGTAGAGGGACCAAAGACAGCACTCGGACCAGCATCCTGGACGAACCTCCTGCTTCATGTGGATCCAGAGCCTTGAACCCTGTACCATCCACAGGGCCTCCAGCATGCAGGCTGACAATGGCTGGGTGCCTGTGGGCATTTTGGGAATCCCTGTGTCATTAAAGGAGCTGGGAGACAACTGCTCTACAGAGCATTGAGAAGCATATTTCATTTTCCAAATGCTTTAAACATCACCCCTCCGTTTTGCAGGCACGCCGAACCACCGTGTCCCTGTGTGGGTCCTTGAGTGCTGGATAGTGTCAGGGACCTCGGATGTCTTGCCCTCTCATTTTCTTTGGCAACTTGGCAACCCAAACAGTCACATCTACTGATGAGCTCATCCAATAGAATGAATAAACCCTTATTTCTGACCTTAGCACATATCTGAATCGTCCTCCAATTTTACCCTCCCCATAATGGGCCTTTCTATTTGTTTTCTCAGTGTGAAAAGAGATATAACTTGCTACAAAGAAGCTTCCTGCAAAAGCTCACTAGTAAGGCATGTATGCATCTCTAGAGTCTCCAGATGGTCCTGGATGTGTGAATTCTGCCCATTGCTGGCCGTGAACATTCAAGGGTACGGCATGATGTCACAGCTGAGTCACAGGCCGAGGAGTTCTTGAGACCAGAGCTGCATTCCACCCTGCCACTTGCAGACTCTGTAGCTTATGCAAATTACTTAGCGTTTCTGAAAATGGGGATACTAATTTCGACTCTGCGTGGTTGGTGTTCAGATGACAGACAATGTGCAGGAGGTGCCAGCATTACCTGGCCCTTTAAGACGCTATAGATTACGTCTATTATACTATTATCCCCAGGACTGCCACTTGCACCACTGGGCCTCTTTCCATAGGGCAGGTCAAGGCCCTGGTGAGGAAGACCAGAGCAATCTAAGAAAGCATGAATTTTTCCTCTGAGAGACATAGAAATGAACTTCTAAAAGTGGAAAAAATGTTTCGGTCCACGGCACTATCCCAGGCTCTTTGGAACTCCAACAGACCAGCTCACAAACAAAAAAAAACCCTAATATGAACCAGGTACTGTAGCTCGTACCTACAATCCCAGCACTTTGAGAGGCCAAGGCGGGAGGATTGCTGGAGCTCAGGAGTTTGAGACCAGCCTGGGCAACACAGTGAGACCCTATCTCTACAAAAATTGCAAAAATTAGCCAAGCGTGGCGGTGCATGTCTGTGGTCCCAGCTACTCCGGAGGCTGAGGTGGGAGGATCGCTTGGGCCTGGGAGACAGAGGTTGCAGTGAGTCGTGATTGTGCCACTGTACTCCAGCCTGGGTGACAGAGTGAGACTCTGTTTCAAAACAACAGCAACAACAGCAAAACCCTCATTCATTAGAACTGTTTTCTCATATTAGTATTATTCATGTAATGTTCTTTTGAAAATAAACATTTTTTTAGGCCGGGCAAGGTGGCTCATGCCTGTAATCCCAACACTTTGGGAGGCTGAGGCAGGGGGATTACCTGAGGTCAGGTGTTGGAGACCAGTCTGGCCAACATGGTGAAACTCTGTCTCTACTAAAAATCCAAAAAATTGGCTGGGTGTGGTGGTGGGTGCCTGTAATCCCAGCTTCTCGGGAGGCTAAGGTAGGAGAATCACTTGAACCTGGGAGGCAGAGGTTGCAGTGAGGCAAGATCATGCCCCATTGCACTCCTAAAATGTGTTTTCTTTTGGGAGAGGAGGAGAGAGTATAATGTTGCCTTGAGGATAAGGCAATTCTCTCACTATTGCGTTTCTCTGACCCTATACGGAGAGGCAATGAGGACATGCAGTTCAGTGGTGAGGAGTGTATCTCAGGGCAAGCCTCTTGTGTGGGGGGTTGGGAAGTTATGAGGCTTTCCTAAGTCTTATGGAAGAAATTGTGATCGTTGTTTCATTTCTTTGATTTTACAGAATTGTTACCATTTTTTCCCCTACGGTATCTTTTGAGGGTGGGAGCAGATTCAATGAACTCGACTTACATCACGTTTCTGTTTAGTGATCCGAATATGAAGCAATCATTCTTCTCTGATTATCTGAGTCTTTCCAACCCTTAACAATTCTATGGCCCCTCTCTGATGTCTCCTCCCACAACTATTAAATATTCCTCCTTCCTCTGACTTAGAGAAGATTTCCTGTATTTAAGGTCCATTTGGTAGGTGTGGTCCTAGTAAGGAGCGTTTTGAGTACAGAAAATGCAACACTCCCCAAGCTTGCTTAAGCAAGACAGGGGTTACCTGGGGGTCTATAGAGTTATTTTCCAGGGGACATGGGTAGGAAATGCCCCCGGGAAGCAGGGGGCCTGGAAACAGGAATTGAGATGTTCCAGTCAGGAAATACAGCCACCTGTGCTGAGGCCAGCTGGTCTTGTTTTCTGACCTCTCGCTACACATCTGTATTCCTTGTCTCCGTCTGTTTCTGTCTCTGTCTCTTCCTCCTTCTCTCTCTCTCTCTCTTTTTTGGGTGGGGGGATGGGGGGATGGAATTTTGCTGTCTTCCAGGCTGGAATGCAATGGTGCAATCTCAGCTCGCTGCAACCTCTATCTCCCTGGTTCAAGTGATTCTCCTGCCTCAGCCTCCGGAGTAGCTGGGATTACGGGCATCTGCCACCACACCCAGCTACTTTTTATATTTTTAATAGAGACAAGTTTCACCATGTTGGCCAGGCTCCTCTCAAACTCCTGACCTCGGGTGATCTGGCTGCTTCGGCCTCCCAAAGTGCTGGGATTACAGGCATAAGCCACCATGCCTGGCCATCCCTCTTATCTTACCCTCTTCTGCCTTCCCAAGACCCAGTCCAGCCTAGACCCTACTTACCTTTACAACTAATAGGCACAGAGACTTGACTGGGCCATTCTGTGCTTTACTTCCAAATCCCCAAGAAAAGGAATCTAAATCATCTAACCTGTCCTTTGGGTTGATCCTTACTGAGCCAGGGAAGCTGCCTAATCTATCTGTCTAATCAACAGCCACAAGGAGGGAAGGTGCAGTTCTTTTTCTCTGACTAATAAAAGTTCCTTGAGGGCCGGAACCAGTATTCCCACGTGGCCTAACACCCAGTAGGTACTCTGTAAAATTGATTGATTGGTTGATTGATTATATACCATACAACAGGCTTGAAAACTCCTACAGTGTGAGCATAGCTTTCAAATTGTCACTTGTCCCTTCTAATAATGAATGTCAGATGATCCAAGCTGAACAGAGTGTTGGATTCGTTTATTTTACTTTCTGTAGACCTTCTGGGTGAAGGGCAGGCTCATAAAACATGTGTATAAGATGGAAAACTTGGGGTACTTGCAGCGATGAAATGTAAAGCATAATTTAACATTACATATAGCATTGAGGCTCTTGGTAGGATGTGATGGGTGCCCAGCTGCTGTATGTTTTGATGTCGTTGGAATTGCGGGTCCTGTAAGGCAGCAGTCCCCAGCATTTTTGGCACCAGGTACCGGTTTGGTGGAAGATAATTTCTCCACTGACTGGGTAGGGGGTGGATGGCTTCAGGATGATTCAAGTGCATTACATTTATTGTGCACTTTATTTCTATTATTATTACATTATAATATATAATGAAATAATTATATAACTCACCATTATGTAGAATCAGTGGGATCCCTGAGCTTCTCTGCCTGCAACTAGATGGTCCCATCTCGGGGTGATGGGAGACAGTGACAGATCATCAGGCATTAGATTCTCATAAGGAGCGCACAACCTAGATCCCTCACATGCGCAGTTCACAATAGGCTTCGTGCTCCTATGAGAATCCAATGCAGCGGCTGATCTGACAGGAGGCAGGGCTCAGGCGGTGATGCGGGCGATGGGGAAAGCCTGTAAATACAGAAACTTCACTCGCTTGCTTGCCTGCCGCTCATCTCCTGTGTGCGGCACTCGTCTGTACCCAGGGGGTTGTGGACCCCTGCTTCAACGCACTATTTTCTCTCCCAGACAAGATATTGAGAGAAGGGGAAGAATTGAATGGTCTTTCTTAATCATCAAAAGGGACCACACATTCCCAACCTGATTCTGTTCTCTTCATGGTCTCTCTGAGCTTTGTAGAGAAGGAAGGAAAAGGTACGAGAAGAGAAATAAGGAAAGGCAGGGGAGGAAGAGGGGGCCTCAGAAGCATCTTCAAAGGGCTGGATTTACACCCCACCGCCTGTCTTGGTGCCCGGGGGCTGGGTGCATTCAGGCTCCCAGATGAGCCACAGCCCTTGGCCTCTTGGGTCCACACCTTCATGTTAGCCAACCCTGATGTCTCCATCACCCCTAGATAAATGGAATCGGGCATGGAGGCATCTAATGGCTAGGCAGATTAATCATATGCTTGCTTGCTTTTTGGAAACCCCAGAGGAAATATCTGCAGATTTAATTCTCAGTTAAAGGTGGAAGTGTGGGTTTGAATCTTCTATCAGGCATTGCCCCTTCCTACTCAGCATATCTTTGGAAAGGTCAACTCTGGGAAAGATTGGAGTGTCGGCATCTTCTACCTGGTGCTGTATAAAGACTTCTGACCTTTCAATGGTCCTAATTCCCCCTCTTCCTTCTCTCTGAATATTCCCCTCCTCCACCTTTTTTAGCACGATTATTTATTAAAGTTGCAAAGGTCTTGCATTCCCACACACACACACATATACACACACACACACACACAAATATATATATATGCCACATTTTCAAATAATGAGTTACCGTAAATGGCACATATGAGTACTCCTCAAAATTGTCAAGGTTATCATAAACAAAGAAAGTCTGAGAAATGGTTGCAGCTGAGAGTCTAAGAAGACATGACAACTAAATGTAAGTGCTATCCTCGATGGGATCCTGGACTAGAAAAAGGACATGAGATAAAAATGAAGAAAATCTGGATAAAAGATGGACTTTAGTTAATGACAATGTGTTAATATTTGTTCATTCCTTGTAACAAATGTACTCTACTAATGTAAGATGTTAATGATAGGGGAAATGGGGCATGGGACTCTATACTGTCTTCTCGATTTTTCTATAAATCTAAAACTGTCCTGAAAATAAAGTCTATTTTAAAAATGGAAAACAAAACAAAACAAAGTGGTACATGCTACAACCTCATTTCAGCTGGACAATCACAAAGTATCACCTTGGACATGCAGCTGAAACGGCCAGGGTGGAGGTGGGGACCCAGTGAGCTAGTCCTCGGTAACAAGGAGGTAACCAAGCAATGAGCTCATTACGCACAAGCATTTCAGGGCTTGCTTTAAAAGCCAGAAATTAACCATTGAAGATGACTCCATATGGTCGGTTTCCTTAACCTGTTAACTTCCAGAGTGAAAACATGGCAAAAATGATTCCTGAAAGCAAGGAAGTCTAGGATGAGCTGGAAAAGAGGGGGCAGTTTCCACCAGAGGGCTACTTTCTTTTCTGAGACATGAGAGATGCTGCAGTAGATGCTAGAGATTTTCCAGCCAGTGTCAGGTAGGTAGCTCGGATGAGTTCAGGTGGCCCGAGGCATCTGACCTATCCAGTCTAATTTTATGCATTAAGGATATTGAAGTGGGTCACAAAAGAAGTTCCATTTATTTATTTATTTATTTATTTATTTATTTATTTAGATGGAGTCTCACTCTGTCACCCAAGCTGGAGTGCCATGGCATGATCTTGGCTCACTGCAACCTCCGCCTCCCAGGTTCAAACGTTTCTCATGCCTCAGCCTCTCGAGTAGCTGGGATTACAGGTGCCCGCCGCCACGCCCGGCTAATTTTTGTATTTCTAGTAGAGACGGGGGTTTCACCGTGTTGGCCATGCTGGTCTTGAACTTCTGACCTCAGGTGACCTGCCTGCCTCGACCTCCCAGAGTGCTGGGATTACAGGCGTGAGCCACCTCGCCGGGCCTATTTATTGTTTTTGAATGTTGCATTTCAATACCTCACTGACCACAAGAAATCTACAGCTTTTTCTCTCTGGATTCCTTCAACCTCTCCCAAATTGAGCGCCTGTCCTGGCCCAATCGGGCAGGACTGAGGTGCCTGGTGGTCACCTCCTTAGAAGTCTGCTTCTAACTCCCCTCTGTGTGTGTGTGTGCGCATGTTTTCCTTTCTCATTGACATTCCAGCCCTTGAAACAAGGTCTTGGCTCCTTTCTTATTGCAGGATTTCGTTTTGGGGGAGCTGGAACACCTGTCCACTGATCGCCTGCCACTCCGCATCTGGGCCTGGCTGACAGGCTTGTCTGCTTTGACTAATGATGTGATTGATGGACAAAATAAGGAAGAACATACAAAAAAACATTTCTGTCTGGTCTGGTGTGTCAGCAAGCCTTCATCAAGTGGCTGCTGAAGGTATATTTTGCTGCATGGCTCATTACACAGTAATGGCATTCCCAGGCAAAGCTGTTTCTTTTCATGACACAAGACAGCAGGCAGCTTTATGGGCGTTGGGCCCACCGAGCCCGGAGGAAGGAGAGGCGCACTAAAGAGCGGTCATTTCCAAAAGTGCCTCAAGTTGCTTTTTTGTTGTCATGAATTTAATATGAATCAACACAATATGAAATGGGCATGAGGGATCTTAGTGACTAGTGATTTTTTAAGACTGCTGTCTAAACAGCCATCAAGGAAGAAAGGGGAGGGTGAAACCACAACATTTTCTTTCTCCAAACCTGTTGCAAAAAGGAGTCATCTGTCAATTTTATTGCATTAAAAAAGTACACAGAAGCATATAGTCCAAACAAATGTCTTCTTTCAGGCTAAACATGTGGGAAATGCCACATAGCTGATGCCAGAATCATCTCACTCAGCAAACTGAGTATTCATAACCCCCATTCCAATGGCCTGCTGCGGATGGGGGTGACATTCGTAAGAATTACAAATGCTACTCTGTTGCCTCTTTGTGCATATAATAATGATCTGAACATCAGTTCTGGCTGGAACAGGAGAGAAGCAAAGAACTGCTTCATTCAGCTAACAAGATACCTGTGGGTTATAACCCAGTGCTGGAGGATGAAAAGGAATCACGATTAAAAACAAGAAATAGAGTAGGTAAATTCTTGGCCTGATTTTTTTTCTCCTCTTTCTTTATTAGGGTACAGTTGAGAGCAGGAACGTTCGGTTTGGTCCCAGAGTTCCTACTTCATTTTTGCAAAGTATTTTAGCTGTCCTCGATATTATTTCTTCTTTCTTTTTTTTTGTGGCAAATTTTCTTTGCCAAGGTATTTTATTACACATACTCCTCTCTTTTCTTTAACTTGCTGGACTGTCTCCAAAGAGAAATGCTTAAAATGAAGTTTCATTTTACAAACACTTTTTATTCTTTCTTGCTAGCCTGATGAGTCTTTAGTGGTGGGTTATTGTGAATAATATGTGATTTTAATGAGTTGTGATTAGACAAAACTCTCTTCCTATAATAAATACTAGATAATAAATTAGAAAATATATATGAGATCTTTATTCCTATTTTAAAAGGGTGAAAGACATAAATGCAAAAGCTTGTTATGATAAATATAAAAGATAATCTTTTAACGTGCATTTAATTGACTGTGCTTCTAAGAGGCGGTGGTTTGACTTCTGTGCTGATGTTAACATTGCACAGCTCCAACCAATGCAAACTGGCACTGGGATGACAGCCACCTTTCCACCAGGGCCATTAGTCGCCAGGCCTTCAGGGGGCAGGGATTTTCATGTAGGGCAGAGGCATACAAATTTAGAAATGAACATGTGATCAAATCCAAACAGTCAGATGACTTCCTATATATACAATAATGAGTATAAAAAGGAAAAGAAGGAGGGAGGTGTATTTTGTGTTTTTTTCATTGAACCAAGGCAGAAGTAGTTGTCCAACAGCTTTTGTTAATTTCCAAGATCCATCCATATTGTTCATTACATTTCCATATCAAAATAACAAACTGTAGAGCAAAAGGCTCATGGCATTCTGTTGACTTAAAAGTTAAAGCAGAGGGAAGTGCCCATCAATGCAGTAAGAGAGCAGGTTTAGCCAGAATGAGCACAGGCCAGCCAATGCCAGGAACTTAGCCATTTAGAATTGGGAGGCAGGTGGGTGGTGCCATGGCAGCGACCATTTAATTAGGTACACTTTTCTAGGCTAACCTTGGAGCGGAGGCCTGGTGTCGGGTGGGGGGTGCTGTGTACCCCCACTTCCTGCACTTCAGGTCTGAGAACCATTAGCAAGTCCTGTTTTTTCTCCAAACTCCCACCTTTTGCTGCCTTTGTGGCCTGGCAGAATGTTTTGCTGCCACTTTCTTGAGTGACAACTTCAAAGCTAAGCAGTGAGATGCTTTAACCTACACATCCCCTCCCACTGCTTGGACCCAAAGGCTTCCTCTGCAAGTGAGGGCCTCAAAGGAGACCTGGAACCTTTATTCTTGTCCTGACTTTCTGTTTTAGAATCAGGACCTTTTCAAAACCCCAGGAGCAGACAGAGGGGGTGTGGCATGGACTCTATGTGAGGGTCTCTCGCATGCCAAGGCTGCAATCTATCCATTCTCCAGCGAGGTTGTTTGTTTCGGAGCTAGTAGCTGCAGGAACTATTGGGGAGCAACATCATTTAGCAGCAAAGATATTCTTTCTCAGCAAATTGCTTGAAGCCAAGGGGAAGAAGCTTCCAGGTTGGTGATGCTAAGCGCAAGAGTGGAAGGGGAAGGAAGCCCTAACCTGGGGTTATTTTCTTTAATCTTATAGGAGCCAGCCACCCGTACACAGGCTGCTCTATATATTACAGCATACATTTTTTCTGTTCCTAATCAGGTTTGTGTATCTTCCTGGATTGATTTTCTTTCACAAAACTCTTAATATTTTTCCAGATGCCTCCTCTCCTACCTTTTGTCCTTCCCAACTGCCATTCACTAAAGAAAGACTCTTTGGAAAATGTTGGCCTGGAAGCATGTCTATTCCTATTCTAGTTTCTGGATCCTGTCAACAATTTTTACTTGTATGATTGTCTCATTATTTTTATTATTTTAATTGAAGTGGTGGCATTATGCAATTTGGTGAAGAACTCTCCAAATCCACTTGGTTCTGGTCTCCATAATTCAAAACAAGTTATTTGATGGGTGTGTGACTTTTAAGATTAACGTTAAGATTGTTTGTTTAATTTGTGGGATTGATTTGGTAGATGTTTTCGTGTTGAAAGAAGGCTGATTGGTTTTGGTTGGGAAATGGAATTCTATTGCGTTCCCAGAGAGTCTGCCATCCAGAGCTGGGCAGCTTCCTGGAAACTGTCTGCCCCAAGCAAAAGAAAGTGCTGTGTTGGCTGCCTGTTGTCTGAAGTGCAGAGTCCGGGGGACTCTGGGAGCTGCTACCAGATACTTGCCCCCACAGTGCCTTTGAAACACTCTGCAAGGCAAGATGACCCTGGGGGAGGAGCGGTCCCCACCTGAACCCACAGGTTGGAGGCTTCTTCAGGGAGAGGTTGACATGCACCTTTTTAATGCATACACATTAAAACACAGGTTGAGTGATGTGTGGATGCAGGGAAGGCCTTCCTAGGGAATGACTTCAGATGGCTTAATATGATTCTCTTAGCCTGGCTGCTACTTCAGTTGCTGGCTCCTAATGGGGTCCCCCTTCTTCACACAGGCGCAACTGACATTATCTCTAACCTCCGCCCCAACGATTCCCTGTTTATCCCAAATTGTGGAAAGCCTTAGAACTTAATCGGCACCCACATTTGCACATCCCAGAAGAGTGGGAGCCTTAATGTCCTATGGGGCAAGACTTTGAACACTTATTTCAAGTTATTTCTTCCACGTCTGTGGTCCTCCCCGCTCCCTGCTGATGGATGATCTTGAGAAACGCCGTTAAGTGGTTTCTCAGATGACAGTCTTGCGAGATTAAGCGATCGGTTGTGCTCCAAGTTGACCAGCTGGAAAATGCCCTCTCATGTGGACTTCACCTCCTTCCTCACCTCAATTCCCTTTGCTCTCGCTTCTGCTTCCTAGGTTCGTACCCTCTGGCACTTTGGCAGCACGTGAGCTATGTGGGTGCTCTGGGGATGACCAAAGACTGGATGCCAAATGGTATCAGAATGACTGGGCTTGGCAGTTCCTCATCAGTTATTCTGCTGGAGCTTTCAGGGACTATTAGAGGCTGAATGACTCCATGCCCAGCAGGTACTTTCAGAAGGACTTGAGGATATAAGGGAATGGGTCAGGGAAGTGTGGTACAAAAAAAAAAAAATACTTGTTTGTTTGTAGCTATGCCAAGATATTTCAAACCCAAAGCCTGCCTGGATCAAACACGTGACTTTGTCTCCATGGTATGTCAGATGGCAGGTGGGCCAAGCCTGAAGAGGCCAAGACCTCCTCCTGCTCCAGCTGAACACATCTGCTCTCCACCTTGGAAGCCCCATTCTCATGGCTGCAGTCTTTGAACTCTGATGAGGTGTGCGAAACACCCCATCGACACATCATATCAGATATCTTTTGAAATAAAAATCTCCTAGATCAGTTTCAACTCATTCCAAATGTCATATGTATCCTCCAGGGTGGAAATCAATCTTCCCTCCACCCTCAAATGTTTGAAATGCAATGTGGATTTTGGGTGAAAAGCTGGCAAATGTTGAGTTGGGGATTTGAGTCAGGGCTTGATTCTGCCAGTGCCATGCCTACCAGGGCACTGGTCTTTCTCCATCCCATTTGGGGTGTCCCTAACTTCCCCCCTATAAAGCCTGGGCTCCTCTGCCAGGCATTGTCCCCGTCTCTCAACCGCCTCTCTAAATTCCCTTTGTCTTTCAAGGGTCAGCTCAAGCCCTGTCTTCTGCATCACACTAAATCTGATCCTTGCATTCCATCCCAGTTACCCCCCAACACATATGATGTGAGCGGCACAACCTAGCCCTGCCTTGCCATATTCTTCAACTGGTTCATGTGTGTGAATCCATCTCTCTAGCATGCATCATTCTTCTGTGTGCCCACATGAGTGTCCCTTTTATTGCTAGGCCCTGGAAACTTGGTAAATCTTTATGGACTGATTTATAGACATTGGGAAAAGGAAAGAGATGTTCCCAATATTTGTTCTCCCTCCTCCATCTTATACAGAGTCCCTTGCCTCCCTCTTTATTCCTGCCACGTGTTTACTTGTGGAGATTTATGCAGACTCACCCCTGACCCAGGGGATGGCAGTATCAGACTCACCATCGGAAGGTTTGGTTAATCACCTGATATTTCTCCAAAGGCACTTGACATAAAACAAAACAAATCAAATGCACAAATCATGTCATATATAAAACAAAAATGAGCACCATAAAAATGGAGAAAAAAATGTAAGCTACAATGCATACTAACTTTAACCTATAAATAAGACCAGGGCTATTTTCTGATCCTCTTTTGCAATGAGAGCTATTGCAAAATGCAGAAAGAAACTTAAAATAATAGCAATTTAAGGCAAAGTGTGTGTTATTAAAAGTTTGTGATGTTGAAGAGCCAAACTCCTATTCCAGTATTGAGATTTAATATGTACTTCATACAAAAATAAATCATGTAATATTTTCATGGCAGGCATAGAATTTTATGGCTTTTATGACTATCATGGAATTGGGATTCATATTTTATAGACAGCTCTAATAACATCAAGAAAATGCTCTGGGAGAAATGGGGGCTTAGAGAAAGACGAGTGATCACTCAACAGAAGCTGGAATCAAGCGTAATTAAAGCCCAAAAGTAAGGATGCGTCTCCACTCCATGGGTTCGAGGCAGGGCCCAGGCAGGAAGAGTGGGGTGTGGGAAGATAGTGGCTCCATGGAGAGTGATCTTGGCAAAATAGGACTCCCCTGGTGCTGACTTACTTGATCCTGCAAATGTCCACTACGGAGGTAGGAGGGCAGGCAGAATAACTTACTCAAGACATGAATACATTAGGAAGGATACTCTCACATTTGATTTCCTGGATATCTAACCATCCTCAGCAGGGGAATAGGCTCCATTTTTTGCAGGGGGCAGATGCAATTGTGGAGGGGGACCCTAGGACCCCCTACCTCACTCACCCATCATCCCAGCAGGCTTCTGTTTCCTTGCAGCAGGACTGTCTGAGAAATTAAGGTAGCCAAAAATAATCTAACAGCAACCACCAGTTGTCAGGTGCTTTGCTGAGCTTTGCAGGGATGGTCTAGATGAAGTCTCATAGCCATTCCATGAGGTGGAGAACTGGACGTACCGCTCTGTCTTCCCCACCTGGGCACTAGCTCCCTGAATGCTGTGCTGATTGGTAAGCACAGTGGAGGACCTATGTCCTCGATGAGCTAAGCTTTGACACATGATTCTAGAACTCCTTTCCCCTCTGAGGCACAGATTGCAAAATAACTTCTAGTCCTGGGGTAGGCTGACCCCTTATTCCAGCTGCAGGTAGACTCTGACTCCTGTCCCGTCTCACCACTCGGCCCAGGCAGACCCCCCAGTGCAGTCCTGAGGCAAGTACAGCAGTGGTCCAAAGTGACACCAGAGACCTGTGCCATGGCCACCCCGCATCTGTCTACAAAGGATGCCACCTTTCCATGATTCCTGGAAACCTTCCTTTCCATATCCTTTAGATGCACATTTCTCTTTTAAGCTCATGATGTGCTGAGCTTGTCCCAAGTGGGTTCTAGACCCAACTCAATGGCTCTGTGACCTTGGGCAGGTCCCCTCATGCTTCCCGGTCCCAGTCACCTCCCCTGTGAGAAGGGGATGACCTTCAGGCTCTTTGTCTTTGGGACATTGTTGTGGACTTCAAGGGTTAGCCAAAGTGAAAGCTCTCTGTAAATTGCAATGTGCTTCAGGCATGAAGCGTCCACACATAATGACTTGAATTAAGTGTTCTTTTTATTTCTTTTTACAAATATAAACCCAGGCGAGCATAAGCCAGGCAGGGGGTGCAAAGCCGGAGTATGCATTTGGAAGCCTTCGCCTGGTGTTTCAGCCTCTCCATACCATTTCGGATGCAACTCCTCTGCCCACCGAATACTGCTGTGCATTGGCGAATGGTATTTTGCAGCAATATTTCTGCTCTGCTCTCAGAAATATGCGAGTCCTGCCTATTACAGCATCTGTAGAGACACACTAGGGAGGAAGCATTGGCTCCGAAGGGCTGAGAGCCAAGCAGTCCCCTTCCCTAAGCTGGGCCCTGGCCTGCCTTCCCATGTGGCACTCTTGTAAGGCCTGACCTCCTCATAACCCTGGCCGGCAAGCTGTGATGAATGGGAGGTCATGGTCTCAGCAGAGGCGCTGGACACAAAGGACAGCAGTGGCCCTCATTCCCTGGGAACACAAGGATCACATATCCCCATAAGTTGAATTCTAGGAGAGATGGAGTCCTGGCTGGGCCCGCGGCCAGGGGTGTGGACTCTTCTAGAGGCTGCAGCCCCAGACCTCTACCTCCCCCAGATCCTGGCTCCTTCTAAATGGAGGAAGAGCTTTCAATGGCTGCCTGGGTGGTGCAGCTCTTTAGGATACTGGAAAACCTCTCTTTAAAGGTTCATGGTCATTTGCATTCTTATTAAATTGCTTGGATAAAATATTCAGCCACAACCCCCTCCATTTGACTCTTAACTTGATAAGACATAATTTGCAATTGATTATTGCTCAAACATTCCTGGTACCACATTACGATCTGCTCATACATCTCACCCTCTCTCTGCCAATTTAGAATGAAGGAAAAATGGTTTCTCTGACCTTTGACCTGTCTGAGGTGGGACTGTTAGGTCATTAGGGCCATTAGGAATCAAAACACCCCAGTCCATAGCCAACAGAGACAGAAATGGATGTGTGCAGCAATCAGCTGAGCTTATTTTTTTTTTCTTTTCTTCCTCTTGGTAAGATACAGGTATTTTTCAGAGTTGGAAGACGTCTCGAATAAATGAGCTTCGTATATATATGCTTTTAATGTGATTTGCCTGTATTTATTTGGGTGATCACAATTTATGCCAAGTGAAAAGGTTAAGAGTCCTGGAAACTGAATTATTCCATTTATTTGCAGACATGATACAGTGCAGGGCAGCAGAAGGGCTCATCCTCATCTTGCCCTGCCCCTGACCTCACCCCTGACCTGGAGATGGGCATCGCGGCTCTGCACGGAGAGTCATCACCTTCAGGGGCTGGCTCAGGAGCCAGGCAAGTCCCCCAGGGCAGGCAGCAGTGTCCATCTGTCATGACTGACCTGAATAAGCTTTTATTGAGTAGCTTCTGTGCACCCTCTTCTTCCTATCCCAGGGACCATTCTCCAGGCCTATACCCCTGTGAATTCCCCTTGAAGGGTTGGCCAATGAGTGGCACCCATAATGGCTCATTTCTTCACTGCATTTCAGTTTGCAAACTTATCTTCCCCTGGATTATTTCTTTGCACCCACATAAGAGCCTTCGAAAAATGCATGCAGGATTTAGCCCTCACTGCACAAGGGAACAGGGGCACAGTAAAATGTCCCACCTTGTTGGGGGGTGAGGTCTTGGGCCACGATTGATGGGCAGGAATACAGGTCTCCCAGGCCCTGGCAGGGCACACTGTGCTTTCTCCCCAACCCTCAGCAGGGCCATCCCCCAGGGGCCCTCTAGCAGACAGTTTGCAGGCTTCTGACTCCAAGGAAAAGCTCTCATGGTGAAGGAATAGCTTAATGGGAGCATTGGTTGGAGACAGAGTTTGAGGCTGTGGACTCCTCATGCCCCCACCATCACACACTCCTCCTGTGTGCTTAGCCATGCTTCAGGGCCGGAGCCAAGCCTCCTGCTTCCTCTTTGTGCCTGACCGTCCCTGGGCTGTGTCCTCTTGGCTTGCCTTCTCATCACTTTCAGATTACCCTGGAGTAATTGGATATTGGTAACCAATTACTGAATTTTTCACATCAGCTTCATCAGTGACTCAGACAACTGCACCACAGTTTCTTTCAATGAAGAGAAGAATTATAATAATTTGCATTAATGTTCTATGAGACGTGGAAAGCCAAGGTGCTTGGCCTGCCGAGTAGGGGAGGGTGGAAGCTGGAGGCTGGAGGCCTGGCCCTTGACGCAGGGGTGTCACCCCCCAGCCTCCCTGACTACACCCTAACCCCAAAGCTGTGGCCCTCTCTGCCCCTACCAGAGCACTCACTTATTTGTCCTTCCCTCCTTCCTGATGAGAGAGGGTGCTGCTGCCTCTGGGTGGAGAACTTGGGGAAGGCTTCCTGAAGTCACTATGTAAAACTGGGCCTTGGAGACAAAGAATGTGGAACTGCAGCTCTGGGGGAAGATATTCTCATCTGTTGTAGAAGAGGATGCAATGGAAGGCGGGGCGTGGTGGCTCATGCCTGGAATCCCAGCACTTTGGGAGGCCGAGGTGGGCGGAGTTTTTGAGCTCAGGAGTTTGAGGCCAGCTTGGGTAACATGGTGAAACCCTGTCTCTACTAAAAAAACAAAAATTTGTCTCTACTTAAAATATAAAAATTAGCTGGGCATGGTGGCAGGTGCCTGTAATTCCAGCTACTCAGGAAGCTGAGGCAGGAGAATTGCTTGCACTTAGGAGGTAGAGGTTGCAGTGAGCCAAGATCACGCCACTATACTCCAGCCTGGGTGACAGTGTGAGACCCTGACCAAAAAAAAAAAAAAGGCAATGGAAGGAAAGAGTGGGAAAGCTGAGGATGTAGAGGGAGTTGACCTCGCAGACCTGGGCATATTATCCCCGGGCCCACCTTGGAGGGCACTAGCAGACAGTCCTGCAAGCTCATGGCTTCCTGTGTCTGTGTTGGAGGGTTCTCTGGCCGAGGAAGTATGGGTGACCCATGCCCAGGGCAGACCAGAAATAGCATGGGGGTTAAACAGCCACGAGCAAGGATGACAGTTAGTGAATAAATACCCTGGCTTCTTCCCTCTCCGTGAGGCAGCTCCAGGGGCTGCTCCTCCCAGCCACTCAGAGGTTGCCCAGCAGGATCGGGCCCCAGTGGCCCATCCTGGCCACCTGCTCCTAAACTCACCCTTTGTTGGATTTCTTCTCTTCCCTAACTTGTCTCCCTACTTTTTCAACAGTGCTTCCTGGGATCCTCTCCCAAATCAACGCATTGCCCCCATATCCTTCTCTTAGGATTTGTTTCTGGAGAAACTTGAAAGAAGGCTGCTTTGCATGTCAAGTGCAAGGTGTTCCGGGTTGGGGTGGTATTGATTGACTGGATTGCTGGGAATTTTTCAGCCTTGGGAACGGCCTTCCCTTGGATGGGGCAGAGGCCCTGCAAGCCCACCTTCCCCTGATCCCACAGACTCCGCCTATCTGCTCTCCCCAAGCCCCCACGCAGCCCACACGTGCTCTGGGTGGTGGGCAGCCTGATTTATCTGGAGTGTCTGGGCTAAGGAAGGGAGGTGAGCACTTCTCGCTGGGAGGGATTTTCAGCTCATTTCACAGATAAAATCAATCAGATCTAAACCACATTCATTGTGGCCATGAGAAGGGAGTCTACACAGCAGGGGCCAAATGGGAGATCCTTTCCTCCCTTCCCATCTGGCTCTGCCTTAGCCTGGGGGCAGCAGGAGCCCCAGGCCTCCAGGCTGTGGGAGGCACTGTTACCTTCCAGCAGTGCTGCTGCAGAGACACTGGTCTCTGCTCCAGAGTAATTGGCATGGCCCTGACTTGGGAAACATGGACAAAAGACAGGGCTGCAGCTAGGGCATGGGGAAGAAGCCAGGCAGGTGGAAACCTTCCATCAGTCCCTCCAACATGGATTTTTTTCATTTTCTGGATGGTAAGTTAGCCGGGAACAAGAAGAAAGTGAGGGTATAACCACACGAGCATAAATGTACTAATTCCTTTTGCTTTCCTCCATGATACTGAATGGAAGAAAGGAGTAGCAGAAGTTGGATGGCTGCATGGCAGTGCCTAGAAGCTGCCCTGCTGGGCTGTCTGAGGCCTTCGGCTGTTGAGTGGTGGGGATTTCTCTGTGTTTTCCAATTGTCCTCATTGAGGAAAAATGTTGGGCCATCCAGCTCCTTTCTAGATGGCTTGAGGTCAGTCCTGCAGCTCAGGAATGGCATGAACTTGGACCCCTGTTAAGACTTGCATCTCCCTGCCTGATCTCTCAGCATTGTCCACCCATGGAACTTAAACATCTGGAACATGTCTTTTCTCTCCTGTAGTTCAGTGTCCCCAAACAGTGCAGCAACTCCAACCAAGCAACTCAGGAGGCTGAGAGAGCAGGCACCCCATTTCCTCCTCCAGTTGGAGGATGACAGCCTTGGTCTCATTCCATTTTCCAAGCTGCTTGCATGTGGGAGGGAGACCACTGCTTCTGTATGAACGGTTTTCTCTATAGTTTCTTTATAGACCCAGATGGGCTAGGTTGGAAAGGCCAGTATCTCCTGCAAGTGTCTCCTGTTCTCATCTAGGGAAACAACTGTGCTTTGTAACTTGCACGTGAGGGGCCAGGATTAGTGACCTTGAAGGCAACAGGCCAGTGAGTATGCAGGGAGTGAGCTCCAGCTGCCTGTCCAGCGTCCATGACCTTTCTTCTAGTACCAGTACCCTGGTTTATTCTACAGAACCATCGCTTCCCCTTCCACTTCATGTATTTCATCTGGACCACCCCAATCATGGTCAGATGACTTAAGCTACACCAATCAGAACATATGGGTCTTTAAAGGCAACAATTGAAAGGGAGAAGTCATCTCTTTTCCAGTTGCTACAAAGATTAAAATGCAAGCCCAGTGCTCTGGCAGCCATCTTGGCACCATGAGGCAAAGGTCTGCCTGAGAATGGAGCTGAGGCAGAGGGAAACAGAGCGAACAATGGAGAGAGACGGACTTGAATAACATTGTTTGAGATCAGGGCTCCAGATCTAGTCTTGGACTCATATAATGTGAGCTTACAAATTCTTTTTTGCTTACACTAGTTTGATGTTAAGTATTCTTGTCATTTGTAACTGGTCTACGGGCAAATACCCAAGGCTCAAAGGTAGCCCATCATATCCCCATCCATCCGTTTCAATGAAATTTATTCCATTCAATTCAATTCAACTAACATTTATTCAGCTCCTTTTAAGCCCTGTTCTAGATGCTGAGAAAACAAATCAGATTTTTATCCTTAAGGAGCTTATAGTCAAGAGCAGGAAGCAGAGACATTAGAAATTGCCTCCAATCTAAGGAAGCAGATACTCCAAATGTGCTCTTAAAAGAGTGCATACAAATGTACATATTAATTAATACATGCTAATTAGAAGCTGAACACAGTATAGTGCAGGAACAGAGAGGGGTAGGAGATTAATTCTGACTAAAGAAACCTAAGAAGGCTCAAAGGAGGAGGCAGGCTTTAATCTTGGCTTTGAAGAATGAGTAGGACTTTGAGAAGAGAAGAATGCATGAGTAAGTGAATTAATAACTGAATGCAACCTAGGTTTAAATTATCTGTCACGTGCATGGGTGCCTTGTGAAGCATTAGTAATGAAGAGGCTTTGCGTATAGGTTATGCCTGCTCCGGGCTTCCAATCTAGCGAAGAAGGTAATTCCTGCTGATTATTTATTTATGTATTTATTTACTTTTTTTTTTTTTTTTTTGATATGAAGTTCTGCTCTTGTCGCCCAGACTGGAGTGCAATGGCGCTATCTCAGCTCACTGCCAACTCTGCTTCCCAGTTTCAAGCAATTCTCCTGCCTCAGCCTCCAGAGTAGCTGGGATTACAGGGGCCTGCCACCACACCTGGCTAATTTTTGTGTTATTAGTAGAGATGGGGTTTCACTATGTTAGCTAAGCTGGTTTTGAACTCCTGACCTCAGGTGATCCATCCACCTCGGCTTCCCAAAGTGCTGGGATTAGAGGCATAAGCCATCACACCTGGCCCCTGCTGATAATTTATAATGGAAAGTGGATCGTGTGGAAGAACGGCTTCCAGCTAGCAGCCTAGGAAAGGCATCCGGGGAAGGGAATGAAGAGGCGCCACTCATTCAGCGATGAAGTGGGTCATCCTAAGACTAGAGACCAGTCCTGGAAAATATTCAGAATTGGATAAATGAGAGAAATGGGAAATGGATGGCTACCTTGAGCTGGGACCTGACTGTGAGAAGGGAAGTAGTGTGTAAAGGGTCTCAGAGAGGCTTGAATGTTGGGCTAAGGATTGTGATGTTGTGTGATGGGTGAAGGGAAGCCACTGGAGACAGTGACCCTGAGCATGATGCCAGAGTCTTATCTGGGAAGATTTGTCTGTGCAGGGGAGAAGGAGAAATCGAGTGAAGGAAGGCTGAACTCTTGAATGCAAGTAGGAGAAACCCAAGCCGGACTGGACATTCAGTATCAGGGAAAGAAGTGACATTGCTAGATATTCCTTGCCTGGGGCCTGGCTCAACACTGCAGCCTTTCCTTCACCAATGGCAGCCCAGATTTCTCTGCACAGTGGGTGGGAAATGCACCTCTCGGTGCTTCTGCTCACATATCCTTGTTTCAGCTCAAGAGAGAAAGGGATTCTCCCTGCTGTCCCAGTTTTCTATCATTCCGGAGAAGAGCACTGACAGGTTTTTCTTAGGTCTTGTGTCTACTTGCTGAGCAAGGAGAGGCTAGGATGGAGCATTAGTGATTAGCCCAGCTTGGGTCAAGTGACCACCTTTAGCCAGGACACAGCAACCAGGGATGAGGGGGTAGTCCTTACTGGAGCAAAGACTCCTCTCTCCCTAAAGTGACAAATCTCCCAGGCCTGGCTGCTGGGGAGGTTCGTGTGAGTCATGAATCCCTGGTTATTTGTGTCTGTTTCCTAGAGCTGGGCTTATTCTAGGAGGGACTAAGCGGGTCCTGAATGAGATTTATGGGAGGAGAGAAGTAGAGGGTTAGGGAGGGGCAGGGAAGGTGGCAGTGTGGGTGAGTGATGAGCCCTTGGAACCTGGTGTCTCTCGCACCTTCCACATGAGCCATTCAAAGCCCGCGATGAAGCTGGGCATCTATGTCTGCTGCAGAGTCTCCAGGTACCTTGTTCACACCGGAGGGGGCTACAGCTTCTGCTATTTGCCTTTGGGCACCTAGCCCGGAACCTACAATTTTAGGAGGGGAATGGAATACTCTTGTTAGTCTGTTCAATATTTTGTAATATGACTTGGATGTTACGTATTCTATTAACAAAGGTCATAAAGGAAAAATCACATTTAACGGGCTACCTCCTTATCTCATATGAGGCCATTCTCCGTGGAGAAATGGTGCTGTTTTAAACAGTAGGAGCCCTGGAGGAAAAGCTCACCCATTTGGGTCCTAGGGCTAACATTCTTACAGCACACCAGCCGGAATTATCCCCTCCGTCTGAGGTACCAGCAATTAGGACAGCACCCCCAGCCAGGCCCCGAAACCTGGCTGAGAGACACATCAGATTAATACATCACCAGGTATGAAAGCGCAGTTAGAATTTGACTGAGGCACTTCCAGCCTGAGAAAGGGAACGATTTATCAATGCAAACTTAATAACATCTATTTGAATCTAACTAAAAATCAATATTTCATTACCAAATTGTTAGTGAGAATGAAGAAAAATTGCGGAAGTCGGGCAGTTTGGTGCTAGGGAAGCGTCAGGAGTTCAATGTGAAGACGGAATGATTCATGAGGCCGCACCGGAGTAAGGGTGAACGAGGACGAGTGCGGAAAACTTGGAGGGGCCCCCTCGCTCATGACCTTGGCCGTGACGGGGGGAGCACGAGAAAATGAGAGTGACTGTCAGTTCCCTTCAGGGATGGAGCCCTCCATAAATCACAGGGAGAGGAGAAGAGCAGGCTGGGGTGGAGGTACACGAATGGGGGTGGCAATTTAACTCTTTGGACCCTGACATCTAAGTGGCGCTTCCCACGATGGGAAGAACGAACCGAATGGGTAAAATCCAAGGGTTGGGGGAAGTGGTGCCTCGTGGTGAGTTTCTGCAAAACAGAGAAGAGAAGAAAGAGCTAGCCTGTGAAAAGTTGTCATCCACTAGATTCAGCTACACTCAAGACCAGCTCACCTTCCGTTCCCATCAGAAAAGTGGAAATGACAGCCTATGTCTTGTCTGACATGAACATAAATCAGCGATTTGGAAGGTCTGTTCTAGGTGAGGGTTTGGTGAAGATTTTCACCCTGAATATATTGATCCGAAAATGCTGTGTAGTGCCATGACTAGTGGCATTCATTCCCCATACGAATGAAGTCCTTGCATTCCTTCCCAAATCCGAGATGCGGATTAAACCTCAGGGCTTGCTGTTGCTTTGATTATTGATCTCGTTCCATCCTGTGTTTGGTTTCACTGCTCTGGCCATGTTTTGCTGGCAAGACATTCAAAGAATATGCATTTGTCCTTTAGCAAGGAATGGAGGAGAATCACATAAGATTTGACTCTTATATGTAATGCTCCATAAATTAAATTCGGGCCTCTGCTCACTTTATTCATTGAAGAGTTATGCATAGGGACCCAGCAGCATGTCAGATGAACACCTCAGTGCCTATCTGCGTTTGAGAAATCATGGGAAAGGAGGTGTAGTTGGCCCTATTGGCCTAAATCTCAGGCACTAATTTCAGTAGAATTCCTTTTAAAAAGTGAGGGTTAGCCTCTCAGTCCCAAAAGAAAATGGGGTGTATTTTGACAGAAGATGGTAATGCACTGTTTTACTCAAACTTTTTTTTTTTTAAATCAAAACTGGTCTGCATGGGATCCAAGGATTTAAAGATGTGTGGGGGGCATTAAGTAAGCTGGCATTGCCCTGGAAATATGATAGGAAAGGCAAGAAAAGTCTTCCACATCCGCTCTTTATGGGAATAAAACATGCTCTGGGTCACACTGTGAGAAAGGGTGGTGGGGTGTGTGGAGCTCCCAGAATTGAATTTCTCAGCAGCTCAGGTTTCCTCTACTCACTGCTAGGAGTGACCCATGCTAGGCTACATTTCCCCCTTGAGAGCGGTCCCCAAGATCGGGAACCTGTTTAATCTTGTGAGTGTGGAGTTCCTTGTGACCCATCTTACCCTACCACTGGGACACATATGGCCTTATGCCTCACAGGAGCAAAGCTCTTACATCCCACACGCAGTGGTCGTAAAACATTCGGCAAACACTGTTTCAATGCTAGGAACCCTACTGAACTCTTCCATGAACTTCCTCATTTACAACTCTGTGAGATAGGTTCTATTACTGTTATCTCCACTGTACAGAAAGGAACTAGGAGTTAAGGAAATCAGGTGACCTGACCCAGCACAGACAGGAAGTGGCAGAGCAGGATTTGAGGCCCAGTTCACCCTCTTGGCCCATTGCCCTCCCGCCCCCACTTGTGAAACTGCCATGAGGTCCAGGCCAGGTGGTTTTGGCTGTGACAATGTCCTGGTTGTCTTGAACCTCTTTAATGGGATGCACTGTTGTCCTGAGTCAGTGTCCCATTGTTGTGTGAGCCAGCAGCCCATGTGGTGCCACACAACTGAACTGCTGTTGAGTGTCCCTGCTCATCTAGTTCACTATCTGCCATGGAGCCAGCACAACGATTGTTGCTGAGAGCCTTCAGGCCACTGCTTGTACACTGGCCCCAAATACACACTTGAATGACAAGGAGAGGAGTCCAAAAAAGAGAGTCGAGTTGCCATAGGCTCTGCCAAGCCACTTCTGAGTACATCTCAACAACTGAACGGCTGCCCACCTCTGTGGCACGAGCAATCCCTCAGTTTATGGCATTTGCCCAAGCGCGTTCTGCAGAAATCAATGTCCGTGACGTGCTTCCCAGGATTTACATGCTGGGAGGATTTCCCCTGTGGGGTTTAAGGGCCAGTATCTCAGGGGTTGGCCCATCAGTGTTTGAAAATATGAGCTGGAGCGGACTCTGGAAATCAAGACAAGTGTACCTCTGAGAATATTATTTATAAAAGCCTTTTTCCAAACTTTAGAGTCTTGGTGCATTTTTTTTCAAGATGGCATCAATTGCCTGGCTAGGAATATGCAATAGAGTCCCTGTAGAAATGACTTCCATTCATCCTCAGGGACCTGGCTGTGGGGAGCCTTTAGGGAAAGCAATAGGGATCCCCTATTGCTAAGGTATGGCATCCAATGACTGGCACCAAGGGTGGTGACCATTGCTGAGAATTGGCTGTAGAATTCCCATTTACATTGATATCTTGACTTGCTAGCTGGACAGATAACTATTTCAAAGTAGAAAAAAGCAGACAACACAGTAAGCATCGAATGAAATAATTTCAGCTCAAATGTCCTGACGTGCACAGGAGGCCAACACTAACAGGCAGAAACTTTTAACCGGCATGGGAGGGCAACACCACACACTAGCACAGCTCAGAATCAGCAGCTGCAACCCATCAACTCGTGGCTGAGCATGCTGCGGGAAGGGTTTTTGGGAAACTTGACCTTGTCCAAGCTTATCAACACCTGTCTGTCAATGATACTCTCTTGCACTCATCACTCACCAAGGGCCATTTTGAGCTAAGTGCCTTCGGTTGCAATACACAGAAATGTTTGGGAAAGTTTGGATGTGTTGGGTATCACTGAAGAAAAGAATATTTGAACCCAGGTCTCCCAGATCAGTGTCCATAGGCTGCTATATCCACACGGAAGAAAGTATGTTTCTCATGTCTCATGTATGCATTGTGAAATGCTGCAGATAGCAAACAAAAATAAGTAATAGATGCAAAATGCTTACCCCAGGTCCTGGCACAAAATAAGTGATTGATATGCAACAGCAATAATAATTGCTTCATTATTCTCTAACTACTGCCTCTATTCCTACTAGTACTTCTCCTGTAATTACTACTTCAAGTTAAGTCCAGGTTTGCTTCAGGGATCCTTATCTAAATTCACTGTGGCCTTCCACAACCAAAAAGGCTGCGCTTAAATGCTACACTTCATGATTTGTAGCATTTCACTCTAGATGGCTCTCTTGGTTTTAAGAATGAGGGGCATTCCAAGAGGGAGGACTCTGCAGCTGTAAAAAAGAGTGGTGTCTATCTCCAAGAAATATACTTCTGTGAAACAAAGCAAGATAGAGAACAGGAGGTGCTGTATGCTCTTATTTATTTAAGACAAGGGGGATGCCAATATACATTGTATATTAAATAAATAAAGTTAAAAGTCATAGGTGTGGTTATAAGGGGAAGAAAGGGAAAGAGTACAAGGGACAGAGAGAGAAGCTAGACTTGTCTGAATAGACCTGGTTTGAGTAATTAATTTAGGAACCCAATAGATATTTTATATAATGATCAAACACAATTAATTCAAAATTTTAAAAAATCTATTCCTACAAACCAAGGGCAAAAAAAAAAAAAAAAAAAAAAAAAGAAAGAAAGAAACCAAAGGAAACTAACTACATGTTGATTTGATTATGTAACCTACAGAGATAATTTGCTTTAGGTGAATTCAAAATAGCTTCCCTAATGGGTTATATCCTAAGGGCAAAAAGGAGCTGCCAACATGGTTTTCAGTATCATATTATTAGTAATCATATTGGTATTGTCATTCTGAAATTCTCTTTCTTTCACACATGTATGTAGTAGGAAGAAGCAATGAAGTAATTATGCTAATGCCGCTAGAAAAGTATTTGCATAAGAAAAGAAATACAAATGGAAAATCAAAATTAAAACCTAAGTTTGAATGAAAAATGTCAGTTTGAATTTGTGATGTATTTTCTTTTGGGAAAGGAGAGTTATTTCCTGTCTGTTCACTGAAAAGACCTGAAAATGATGACCAACCCAGGAGTGCTGGGAATCTCTACAGCCAGATTGTGGTCTCTAAATACCACTTTCACCAAAACGAATTGGGGCTCCTTAGAGAAATGTCTGATCCCAGATTCAGGGCAAATCCTGCAGAACACGTTGTCAGATAAGAAAGCAAGAAGGCTCTCCAGGATGCCTGACATGGTGTCAAAAAAAAGTAAGAGCCAACATGAGGCTTCTGTTGGCCAGAGACATGGAAATTTACATGGTCAGAGAGTTTCACTGTGAATATTAACCACAATGGCTGAAATCACATTAAACGTGTTAAAATCCACTTGCTCGCAGTAATACTTAAAAAATCAAACAAACACCTTATTAGTCACCTTTGGAGGCCACATCATCCATTCATTATTGTGAAAACTGGCAAAGGCAAATAAAAAAGAATCCAGCATTTAACTTGTGTTTGCTGTGAGAACTATACCTCAGGCTAGCCAAATAGTTGAGAACAGAAATTACTCTTTATAGAAGTATGGCAGCTCAAAAAGGAAGAAATGATGATAGATTGTTTAATTCCCAAAAATAATGGATTTAGGTTATAGTTATTAATGGCTATTGACACGACAAGAAAAGAGTTAGTTGGGCATCATGTACTTCCAAGCCTGAATCATACCCAGCTTCTAGATCTAAGTATCAGTTTACAGGAAATAAATACAGGGGACAGAGAAACATGTTAAAGGACACAATAGAGATGAAATCAGCAAAATCCAGAATGAAGAAATTTCTGTAGGACAAATGACATGTTTTTTTCAAAAAATAAAAATATAGAGGAAAGACAGGGAGAAAAAATCTAAGATTAAAAATTGAATAAACCAACTGTAAGCCAACAAGTAATAAAATTTTTCCTGTTGTCTATTAAGTTGTTTTAAATTTGACTGTATATTTGATGATACTCTGCTCTCATTAGATAGGATGTAATGTTGTTTTTTTAGAAGTACAAACTGACATATTTATTGATGAAAGAGTGTAATAGTTGGGGTTTGTTTGTCACAATACTTTGCTTTGGTGGTGGAGAGTTGGTGCAATTGATGAAACAAGACAGGCCATGATGATAGATAATTGTTAGAGCTGGGCAGTATGTAAATGAGAGTTCATTATGTTATTCTCTTTATTGGGTGTGTGTTGGAATTTTCCATAATAAACGTTAAATAAACGAAAGAGTGTGATATGTGATATAAGCCTTTTTTTCCTCACACATCTATTGCATACACATATTTTGTCTGGCACCGTGCTAAGATAGCAGATAGAAAGTTTGCTATGATGCAGTCTTGTCCTCTAGGGACTCGTGGAAGTTGGAGAGACAAGGCTGTGGTCCAGAGAGCACAGGGTTTGCTGGAACCCTGCAGGAGGGCACTGCTGCTGTGCTGGAAACCTGCTTTCTGGTGTGATCTGACACCAGCAGCAGCCAATTCTCTAGAGCCCACTGCCTCCTGAGGACTCAGCAGAGCCACAGAATGAAGGAGGTGGAATTATCTCTATTGAGATGGGAACACGCACTAGTATTACTGGCCACCTCACCGAGGGTACTCCTGGCCAGGTAAAAATACACCTTGTAGAATCAGATATAATGCATTGGTGTAGAGACCATGTGCTCACTGGCACACATGACAACTTTAATAAAGTCCTTCAATTATCTCACAACTAACTGAGCATTGCTGCTCCCTGATACTACAGGGAGTCAGGTGGGTCGACCAACACCTGCTGATGTAATGCAATCCCTTCATGGGCGCTCATGATAATTCTAGTTTGGGGAAGTGTGCCTTGAAATGGAAGGGGGAAAAATCACTGCATCGGGTAACTAGGAGGGCTATTGTGTATCCCAGGGGATGCTGTAATCCATTTAAGGCATTTTTAGTTCTTAGCCCTAGTGTGTGCCTATAGCCTCATGCTCTGTGGTTTAGGATGAGCTGAATGGCTGCTCTTAGAGGTTGCTCTGCTCCTGCCTAAGTCTCCACACCCAGGAGAAACCCACAACTCACCTCAACCACGAAGACAAATCCATATACAGTGGCAGCAGCTCAAAGAAGCAAGTGACAACACAGCCTGTCTAGCACTACCCTGTGCAGTATCTGTTGTGTGCCAACCCATCAGCTTTGCCAAAGATGTCTCTTTGTGGCACAGGGAGTCTAAGGTGGCCATTTTCTCCATTTCTGCTTGCTATGAGATGCAGCTAAAGAGTTCATCAGTGATCAATAAAGAGCCACATGCTTATGTTTGCTCCTTGGATCTCAAGGACACTTTTTTTTTTCTTTAAACCTCACCTGCTTTTAGAGGAGTCCCTGCTGGGAGGGAAAGAACAAAATACTCTTAAAGTAGAAGAGCTTCTGTAGAGGTCCCTGGTGTCTCCTTGCTCCCTGAGGACAGCCACAGCTCTGGCATCTCTACATAGTTTTCTTTGATGGAGCCTGCACTCCTGCAACAAAAGGGCCTCAGGTGAGCTCTCCATCTGTGGGGCTTACCCCACGCTCTCTAAGGGCTTGGGGGCATAAATCAAGCAAGTGGCGATTACAATAGTGGGAGACCCAGCTCTGCCTCTGGGCAAAGTCCTGCCCTTGGGGATGCAGAACACTGAGCTGTTCTCCATAAAGTACAGCTTGGAATCATGGAGCAGGTCAAGAAAATGCACACATTTGAAGAAAAAGAACAGAGGACAGAAGGTAGAGGTGGGCTGTTTTCCAGGAACCAGCCAGAACTGTTGAGGGGAGAATGGGCTCATCCAAGGTATTCATGTGCATGTATGAGTCCTCCAAGAGCACAGACAAGTGCCTGATCTCTCACTGTGCCACAGCCATGACAGCACAGAGACTTTGACACACACTTCTGAGCCTGAAGTTACTCCTCCCTTCTGCACATCCTCTTCCAAATTCCCCTTCCCATCTTCCCCTCTTTAACATGAAAGCTACCCTTGACTGTGAGATAGCATGAAAGTTTGGGCAATTTCTTGAACACACATGAAGAGTCCTTGATGATTCAAGTTCCATTTGGTCCCCATACACAGGTCTTTCCACAGACAAACGAGATTTCTTGGGGATTTCATATGATACAGTTGTTCCTTCTCCATGCAAGTTGTAGTAAGTCTTCTGGCTTCTTCTTACTTTTTACCACCATGTTCATTGTCAAGGTGTCACAGGTCATCACTAACCGTTTTAATGTCTTCTATGGACACACAACTACTGGCATTAATAGGCCAAAAAAAGCGCTGCAGTGAACAGTCTCTCTAAGTATTGTGTAGACCACATTGGTTATTCTGTATATTGGCTATACAGAAAAATGTGTGTGTAAATGAGTATGTGCAAAGTAGACCTATTTCATGTTCATAGAAGAGTCTGAGAAGTAAGGTTTTTATGTGGGATTTCAACACTTTCATCTCCTGCCTTAAAAGCTATATGGTTTGATCATCTGTGTGGATGTGATACAGAATGCACCCAAAACCCTTTGACTAAAAGCTTCAGAGTGTAGCTGTCTTAATTTGGTTTTTAAAATACAGAGATATGGGAGCCTCTGCGATATCAAATTCCAGAATTATTTGCAAATTTCAGAATATGCTTGAATTTTGCCTTCTTAAGTATATGTAGTTAGGAAACAATATGAAAAATCCACTTAATCATGATGAGATTAAAGGATTTTTAAAAGCTGAGTTGCAGACACATTTACATTCCCCGATAATTTCTTAATTTTCTTTCAAATCACCTTTCATCTTCATAAAATGAACTGTAAAAATCCTTCTGAATTCCATAATGTGCCAAGAAAAATGGGGAAAAATTAAGGAGGCCCCTACCTTTTAATCATTCTGTTCATAAAGTGCTTTAACTGCACGCCAGGAAAAAAATGGAGGCTCTGGTGTCTGAGGTATTCTGTGCCATAAACTCCCATAATAGAAACAGATGGTGAAACTGCCTTGGAAGTGAAGAAACTAGTGTACACGCAGCTCACCCTAACATATGAAGAGATTCAGGGCTGACACATGAAGGAATGCATTTGGCGTGGTGCCAGCAGTACACTCTAATTCAGCCGTGAGTGTTCAAGCTTGAGATGGGAGACCCACAATTTCAGGATCTGGAATGCCGGCAGCTCCAGGATTTAGAATGCCGTGGAAGGTTCTTGGGCTCTTTCCATCCTGCCATGGAGGACGGTGTTCTCAGTGTTTCAGGTGACCGTGAGTTCCAACAGAGAGCTCTTCCTGGCTTTTATAAATGGTTCATAAAAACAATAGTGGAGAAATGCCAGGTTTGCTGGAGCTTCCTTTAACTAAGTTAGGATTTGCTTTTTACCTAGAGCTGCCGCCAGTGGATGCTGAAAGAAGAGAAAATGTGCAGGACAAAGAGACATCAGTGAAAATGATATTAGACGGAAAGGGAAGGACCCTGGTGCCAGCCCCACCTGTGACCCTAGTTGATTGGATGGCACGTGCAGGCAAAGGAGCCTCTCTTGGATATCGTGTTTTCCCAAGAAAATTGAACACATTTCCATGTTGTATCCCAATGGCATTAATACATGCATTTTTTTTTCTATGTGCTGTATTAGTTAGGGTGGGTTAAATTCTGTTACACAGACCCCAAAACGTAGCGATGCAAACACAATGGAAGTTTACGTGTCCTGTATACAGCAGTCTAGGGTGTGCAAAGTGGTGGGGAGGTCTCTGTCCACCTTGAGGCTCCCCATCCAGCGGGGTCTTTTCACCTCCAGCACCCAGCAGGTGGGAGGGAGAGAGCACAGTGGAGGCCCACTGCTGCCTTCAGAGCTGATTCCCAGAGTTCTACATTCCCCTTCGACTCATAATCCACTGGTCACAAGGACTTGAGTGCCACAGCCTTGCACGTAGACAGAGAAGTTTTGATGGACAGCTGCATTGTGGCACGTGGATGTATTAACTAGATGTTCTGTCGTCCCAGGAGGGTCTTGCATGTTCTCCCCACCTATTCAAGCCTGTCTGAAATTGATGCTCTCTTTTCCCTTCCAGGAAATGTGGTGTCCTCTGATCCTCCTTCCTTCCTGAGAACTGGGGTCCTTGCAGATCCGCCAAGTCCAGAGGTGCCCAGTGGCCCTGCATTTCCTTCCACCAGAGTCAGCTGAATTCAGATCAAAACTTAGAAGAACGTTCCTCCCTCCACGGGACTCAGCCCTGAGGCTGGGGTGGAGCTGGGGACCAGACCCAGTGGAACCCTCATTGTTTATCCTCTCTCATCTCTGATCTCAGGCACTCAGGTCCCAACCGTTCTCTTCCTAGCCTCTTTACTTCTATGGAAATCACTCAGACATTGAGAGACCCCTGTTGTGAGAGGTTGGGAGACTCAAGCTCTACAAGCACAAGCCAATCTCAGCTGAGGCTGAGCCTGAACTATTCCTTGTGTCCCTGCAACAATTCTCCTTCTCAGCACTGGCAAATGATGTTTGTTTCCCAAAAGCAAGGAACATGTGAGGAGCAGAGTGATATTTCCACTTAGGACCAAACCTTCCAATAGGTACAACTTCCCTCATGCCATTAGCCCTCCTTGATCCAGAGAGGAGACAGCCAGGCAACTTTAGTCTCTGCAGGGCCTAGTCCTAAGGTGATTGTGTAGGATTTGGGAGAGGAAGGGGAGAGCTGACCACTCTGATGTTACCCTGAGATGGCTCCTGTGCCGTGACTGACTGTGCTGTGACCAGGAGACTCAGCTTACCTGGAGTGGGGCTGTAGGGACACATGAGCCAATTTCCTACCTTAGGCTGGCCAGAGGCTGGTTTGGGAGCAGGACTAGGTTTTGAGGGGTGCTAAAGCTTAAACAGTTTGAGAGGCCCTCTAAGAATAAGAGTATACAATTATGAGTGCAAAACTGCTAGAGTTCCTCCAGGGCCTGTGCCTGGTGGGTGGGGCAAGGGGTTCCCCAGAGACTTGAGCTTCATAAGGACTCTGCTGTGTATGGAAGTAGGGGGTAGGGGGAGAACAGGCATCGTGTCTAGGTTGTGTGCACCAGCCAGTTAGTGCTGGTAGCATGAGGCAGTTGAGGACATCTGGGGCTGAGGGTCTTTCTGAGAGCAGCTGATGGAGGAAAGGGAGGCCCTTGCAGAAGAAAAGTCTTTGCTGCTCAGGGATGGGACTGAAAGGCTGATTGTACAGATTCCTGACCCCTTCAGAGCTGATTCAGCACTTCTGCATCACCTGAAGAAAGAGAAAGAGCGCTGGTGCCCCTTCTGCTTCTCCAGCCTGCTTTTTCTGACTGACCATTCCCTACCCTGGTCACCCCTTCACCTGTGGCCACAGACCTCTCTCCAGTAGGACTTATAGCTGGTTTCCCATTGGCCATGTGGCTTCCATGAGAGCATGCATTCTCAAGAGTAAGCCCAACACTGTCTTTCCAGGAGGCTCTCCTCACCCTCACTCCCCACCCCACTTCCTGTACCTGGAATGGTGTGGGGAACAGTACCTGGAATGGTGTATGGAAGAAGCCTGATTAGATGCATGGAAGGATGAAAAGATGGAAATCTTTAGCAGGTTCCTATTGAATGGAAGGATCAGACACTGCCTCACAGCTGCTTCTGTATTTATCTTTCTTCTTGGCAAGTCTTGCTTTGAATAGACTGCAAGCCCCCTGTAAGCTGGCTGTGTGTCCATTGCATTATTGTTAATCTCTCACAGCCTGGTAGAGGGCTGAGTGCTCAGAAGGATCTGAGCAGGGCTGGTGGTGCAGCTGACTCCATCAGTGGCTGCTGTTGACATTTCTCTAGCATGGGAAGACAGTGGACCCTCGGTGTGCAAGGGAAAGATGGGCTGCCTCAGGCATACAGGAAGCTGCTCTGGTTGCAGGTATACTCCTAGAAGACTGTGGGGGTGTGGCAGCCATCTCTGCAGGCACCAGGCAGGGGTAGCTAGGGGTCAGCCTCCCATCTGTTTCTGCTCTTCTTATCCTCCTGTTCATAGCCAGCTCCCTTGAGAGCCTTATTCAGGCTCCATGAGGCTCAGTTAGATTCTAGGGAAGCTTCTTTTTTCCCATTGCAGAAGGGTCAGCAGTGGAGGACAAGAGGCCAAGTAGCCTCAGAATATTGGGGCTCCAGGACCCCAAAGGGATGTTTCCCAACTGATTCTCTAGGCCCATAAACAGATGGGTTCCCTGAGGGCCCTGCTCTGTGTCTGGGGGAAGGAAACACCCAGGACTGGTTGAATTCCAGTGAGAACGATGCTGCCGTTGATTTGTGGTTTGACAGTCAAAAATAATCCAAGCATTGCTTTGCATGTGATTTATACAAGTGTCTTAATTGGCATCTTGATTATATGATTGCGTGAAGGGCTGTTTTCAAGAAGGTGTATCTCTAAATAGAAAAAAGAAGAAATATACAGCTGTGAAGTGTGCGTGAAGCCCCCCAGGATCTATGCCTTCCCTTTGCTTTTATGCACTGACACCACATTTTCCAGTTTCTGCCCCTAGACTGGACCTTTAGTGGGAAACATTTCCCCAAATTGCATAAATTTTTCCTGCAGACATGGAGCTTGGTTTGCAGTTTTTCTCTGGATCTGCTGCATTTTTCTCTGTTACACAAACTTAGTGATGTGGTCTCTCCTAGTCTGATTACAGCTAATTATTTTAGAAATATATTTTAAAGGCAAGTGATCTTAACTTTATGGCTAATCCAATGGAGAAGATCTAAGAAAGACCTGAAAATCATAAAATGTTCCAGAACATTATATTTTATGCAGTCCAGAATGTGACACATGGGGTCTTTAATAATTCACTGCTTGTTAACATTAAACAACTGTTAACATGCTCAAATAATTAGTTATGCTTGCTTGACATGTTTGCATCTTTAATAATTGATGCATTTATCTTAATTACTAACAGTATTATGGTCGTAATATGCATCTTTTTTCTATCTTAGAATTTTAACAAAAACTGACTTTTTGCCAAAAATGATTATGCTCTAAGTTTTAATTACTCATTGTAATTAAATTGCAAGCTGCAGTATTTTACTAAAATATCTTTCACAAAAATATTTAATGGAAAAGAGGTGATTTGTTGTTTATGTAGCCAAGTTAGTAAATATTTCATAAGTTTGATATTACCCTTTCAGAGTGGATATAAAATAGCATTACTTTCAAGATATGAGTCAATTTAAAAGTCTTCTGTAGCTTAAGATTTTTCTACCATTTCTACTCAAAATGTCATTCCCCCGCCAATCCACCACCACTATAGAAATCTGGTACCACTCTTTGTGTGGAAGAGAAAGGTTTCTTTAACCAGCCAGGCAAGTAGGAACTTGAACCTCTGTTTCAGGAGGTGGTGTTGATTGGAAACCAATAGAAAAGCGATGTCCACACTTTCCCTCCATTTCCTTTCTCCAGCCCTGTTTATGTAAGCTAGTCCAGAAGACCAGCATTGGGGTGACTGTTTGATTAAAATGCACCTTAATAAGGACGCAGACATATGTCCCATTGTTTAAGCTTTGTCCAGGTGCTCATGCATGACTGGAAGCTTACTATTGATTGAGAAAGACCTACTGCTTTTGAGAACATTAGCGCTGTAAAAGCCTGGGAGATTATGAGAAGCAACCACTTCATTTACTGACAGGGAAACTGAGGCTTGCAGGCCTTTGGCCCAAGCTCACACAGAGTGACCCAGGTAGATAAGAACTTAGATACTCAGATGACATGTCCAGATCTCTGTCTTATACACCTACAGGCCTTTCCTTTAGCCCGTTGGGCTATCTTTGAGGATTCATCAGGGTTCCTGCACTAGGCAAAATCTATCAGCACAACTGGTCAGTTCCACAGAAGGCAGGGTTATGGGCCAAGACCTTGCCATTTCTTAACTTTCTAGGCCCCTTACTGGGATTCCATTCATCTGGGCTCTATTTTCACTGTTCTGGGGCTCACCTAGGCTGGAAGCATCAAGAAGTACACGTGGTTGAGATCTGGGTGATGCCCCAATGTGTTTTGCTGGTTAATTAGTTACTGCTGTAAGTCATCAGAGGTTTTCAAGATGCAAATCAAGCAATTATGGGGCTATTTGGAAATGACAAGCAGACCAAGAGTAAATCTCAGCCCCAGCAGAATGAGGCCCGGCTTACTAAGGACCCGGAACTCAACCCACTCCAGTCTGCATCCTGAACACACAAAACTCTTTTCTTCGTCATCAAAACTGCCTGACTTCTTGGGGACCTAAGAGAGGGGCAGGGCCACTGGATCTGTAGCATGGGGAGGTGTCTCAGTTCTTCACCATCAATTTCAAAAGCACCCAGATCAATTAAGATGCCTTTAGTCATAGCAATGAGCACAAAATCTCAACTTATATTGTCTTGAAAAATGTGGAAATTTACTATTCCACAAAACTAGGTATCCAGAGCAGTGGGGAGGAGTGAGGTAGAACGCCTCCATTCACAGCACAGTAATCTCATCAAGGACACGGGTTCTTTCCATCTCCCCAGTCTACCACCCTCAAGATCTGCTTCATCACAAGCCTTGGCCCCCTTGGGTCACACAATGGCTGCAGCTGTTCAGCTACCATGTTCAGACACAATATCCAGAGGAAAAAGGTGGCACTGTCTGTCTCTGTGCTTTCCATGTAGGAATGAGAAAATCTTTCCCAGAGGCCACAGCAGATTTTCACCTATGTCTTTTTGGCTAGTTCTGGGTTGGACACTTCCTCCTGAACCAGTCATTAGCAAGTGGAATGAAATGACCAGGATTGGCTTAAATTTGTCATCCCCAGATAGCCTTGGCATAGTGGAGTCAACCACTGTATCCAATATGCTCCCTTATGTCAATCAATCACCCCTTACTCAGCAGTCATTCTCAGCTGGGTATGTTCTTCATGCTGGGTACAGTGTAAGGCACTCCAAAGTAGATAAAATAAATAGACACAGGCTCTGCCCTAAGAAAGTTTTTGATAATAGGGAAATGAGACATAGAAACAAACCACTAAATGGAAACCTACTGCAATTGTTTAGAAGAACAGCTAACAAACGCTGGGCTCAGTACAATTCATCAGGGATTTTCTAAACATCTTCTATGTGCATAGATATAGCTTAGGTGTTATTGAGGAGACAAAAGAACATAAAAATGCATTCTTCCTGTTAAAGAGCTTAGTTAAGGTGTCCAGATATGCATACCAGGGACTTTCTCTGTCTTTCCCTTACTCCAGACAGAAGTACAGATGGCTCTTGGCGAGCTTAAAGGAGTATTTATGGGGAGTAATTTCAGAGCTTCTGCTGGGCCTTTGCATAGGTAAGAGAGTGGCCATTAAGATGTGTCTGTCAGTTGAGAAAGCTTTTCACTCTAAGTAATAGAGAACCAGATTAACTGTGTCTAAAACACCGAAGACATTTATTGTCACAAAGTCTCCAGGTTGTTACTCAGCTCATCAGTGCAATCAAGGTTTCAGAATTTTTCTCTTTCCCTTCTCTCACCTTTGGATTGCTAGACTTTCATCTGTCTTTTTTATTTTTTTGTTTTGTTTTTTCCCTCATGGTGGCAAAATGACCATTGCAGCCCCAAGCATCAAATCTGTATTCAAAGCAGCCAGTGCTCTGCGGGCACACTTTCTCTTTGTTCCTGTTCTTTTTATCAGGAAGCAATATAACTTCCTTAAAAGTCCACCAATAAACCTCCCTTATATCTTGCTGGTCAGAACTTGGCCTCCTGGGCATTGCTGTGTGCAAGGGAGACTGGAAGACTACAATGAGACGTGGAAAAGGAGTGGGGTGTGAGGAAGGCAGTGGATTTGCCAATCCATCATGCCTATCACAGGAGGCGTGGCTCAGTCATATGTCTTTCTTTCATAACAGGCAGGAGGACCAAAGGGGCACAAAATGAGAACAGAAAGTTGGAGGAGGGGACCCACTGTGCCATTCAAGCTCTTGTGAGTCATTAGTTTCATCGTAAGAGTTTCTTTTCAAATTGTGGAGCAGTTGGGCAAATATTTCTTTCCCCTATTATATTTTAGATGGCACTGTCTAGGATAGTTGTTGGCTTTGGTTAGGAGTGTGTGTGTGTGTGTGTGTATGAGTCAACCCATTGGGCAATTTGAAGAATCAAAACAAAACAAACCGACAAACAGCCTCAACCCCTGGTACTAGAGACATCTGTGCATGGATGGCCTTGGTGTATCTAACCCTGTGGTTCCCTTTCCATCTCCATCCCTCTACTTGTTGCAAACGTAGGGAAAACCCTGGGACACTGAGAAACAGGTGGGGCATGGGTGATTTGCGGGGAGAGGGGCATTCTTTCACAAGATGTGGTAGAGATAGCTGAGCCTTGTGCAAGAGTAAGACTGATTTTCTGATCACATAAAATGCAAAGACTCAGCATTAGAAAGTCTGATGCAACCTTCCCTACCAGGATAAAGTCTAAACACCTTAACCTAGCACTAAAAACCCTCCAAGATTTGGACCCTGCAGCTTCCAGCCTCACCAGTCTGCCAACAGAGACAGTCTTCATCTCCACATCGCCCTCACCCTGGGTTCCTGTGTGTCTTCACATCTCCCTGTTTTTATTCATGCCCCTTCCCGTGTCCAGAGCTCCCTTCTGCTCCCCGTCCCTATGCTAAGACAGTTCATCTCTCCACACCCTGCTGGACCTTTCCTATCCCTAAGCACAGACCTCAGGGCCTGGGCCTCCTGGAGCCACCCACTCAGCAGAGTCACAGCAGCCTGGGGCCAGGACTTCCCTTCCAATGACTTTGCCACAGTTTGGCTGCACAGAAAGGTCTGTTTCCTGCATGCCATGTCTGTAAGAGTCTTGACTGTGGCCCAGGTGCAAGAGACAGACATCCTTTTGTTGTGATGAGAGGAGTGATTCCTAGCCTTGCCACTTCTTAGCTGTGTGAGCTTGGGTGAATTATTGAACCTCTCTGTGCCTATATTTTGTCATCTATAAAATGGGCATAACAATAGCATTTTACACGTGTAGGAAGCCCAATATGGCCCTCTTCAGGCTCTCCCATTCTGTAAATTACTCAAGGGTTGCTTCCACAGGACAGGGATGGCTTAGAAAGTCCCAGCGTCACTTCCACCTGTCTCTCCTTTCTGCTTCTGATGAGGGCACTTCACAGCTGGCCTAGGCTTGCTTCCACTGCAGGCAGGGAAGACAGAAGGCAAGGAGGCCTTCTTTGCCCAGCTCTCTGGGCAGAGCCTTGCTGATGCTCCATGCTAGGTATCCACTTTACTGCTCCCCTTGTTCTGAGAGCTGCCTGGTTCTGCTCAACACAACAGAAGGGCTGGTCTGGAAAGGCCTCCTGCCTTAGACTCCCACTGGCCCAGAGCCAGGTCTTTCTTCTGAGCCAGTGTCAGACCCCCAGGCCCTAATCACCCTTGCCCTGCCTGTTTCTCAGTGTCCCAGGCTCTTCCCTACATTTGTGATAAGTAGAGGGATGGAGATGGAAAGGAACCGTGGGATGAGATAAACCTATCCGCGCAAAGATCTCTCCAGCACTAGGAAATGAGGCTGTTGGTTGGTTTATTGTCTTTTAATTTGATTCTTCTAATTGCCCAATGGGTTGAATGCCCAAAGGGCATTCCTCTTTGGAGACTTCTGTGTCCTTTCTGTCCTGTAGGCTAACTTGGTCCACCCCGACAGGCTGCCTCGACATCAGTTCTTAGGATGAAGATGTTACAGGGGCAATCAATGGGCTCTCTGCCCAATGCACAGAGAGGCTTTTGAGAAAGGAAAAGTTTTATTGTGAGTCTACTGGCAAGGAGACAGGAGGAAACACTCACTATGTCTCTGGAGCTGAGGGCTGGGTTGGATTTTATAAACATAGAATAATGAGGTGTGATCTGATTAGATCTTGCAATGAGGTGATGACAGGCAGCATGATCTGATTGGATCCTACAATGCGGTGATGCCAGTGTTTGATCTGATTGGATACTGGATCCTACTATTCATGTCTGCTTCTCAATTCAGTTCGCACTCCTCAGTCCCAGTGCTTAGGTTACCCATGGTGGTTGCACAGTTGGCTCATCTGGGCATGCTCAAGTTATGTGACCTTCCACTTGGGGTCCATGGCCACTGAACAACAGCTCATAACTTTGTTACAAGAAAGTTGAGCCAGATTGGCCTCGTGTGGTTCCAAAGATAGTGGGATCTGTTTCTCCCGCTATAAAATGAGTAAATGGCATGTAGTCAGTGGTTTTGAAAAATTATGTTAATCACTGCAAACCTTTACAAAGCATTTCCAGGCAATTCCATGATGGAAGCTGGATTCTCTGGGTCAAGTAGGGCAGGCATGGGCAGGGGAGGAGACGTTTCCCTCCCCAGCCTCTCTGCCAACCGCCCACTGGAGATTTGCTTGGGAAGAAGGTTCTCGGAAGCAGGTTCTGCACCAGGATGTGTGTGCAGGGACATCCTGAGGAAGGGCATCCAGGGAACTGGTAAGGGAGGGGGAAAAACATGGAAGAGAAGGAAACCACTCAAGGGCGAGAGTTTCTGAAGTCCCTCAAAGGGTAGCCACAGCCTGATCCTGCTGGGGGACTTTGCAGTGTTAGTTACAACTCAGTGTCATACACTTCTAGGTAAGGGACCGCAGCTTTCAAGCCTAGATTAGGAATGACATCCAAACCCCATGGGGGAGGTGAGAATATTCCTCAGCATTTTATACTCAAAGAGGACAGAGCAAGGCTTGCAGCCTTCTGAGGGTGGTCTGCCCAAGATGAGCTGCTGGTGCTGGCTCCTGGAAGAGAAGACCCACTCAAGTCATGGGTCACACAGGAAATGATGAAATTGAGTCCCCAAGGAAATCCGGGCAGAGCAATGACATCATGTCTCTGTGGGGAAGGTGCCTGAAACCGAGCAGATGAGGGCCCTGGGGCAGGGGGCACAGGGAGAGGTGGGCTGCCTCTCCCTGGACGTCCACTTGTCTCCTTTGCCAAGCACCTAATCCCAAGGATCTGCAGAGCAATGGAGGGGGCAGCCGAGAGGAAGGGCGGACAGCAGAGTGAGAATAGAGGCTGTGCCCCTGCAGAGCACTTTTCCACGGATGTGTTTTTCTTTCAGACTTTATGGTTAATTTATTTATCTGACCACTCGGGAAGGGAAGAAAAGTACCATTTTATGAGCGCAGGACAAAATAAAAAACAATAGCACATTTAGGTGCCTTAATTTTTCTGTTCCTAGAGATTTATTTCATTGTATTATATTTGACAGCAGTCAACAAACAGCAAATAGGCAGCCAAGTGCAGTTCTCTTAGCCGTAATGGTTTGTATTCTCTGCACAAGGCAGAGTTTTTTTTTTTTTTTTACCGCATACATCATTTGGAACTTGATACATTGATCCCAAAAAGTAATATACATTACTTTTGTTCTCCTGACATAAACCAGCAAAACAAATCCAGTGGACGGAGTGGGGTGGGGCCAGACATAAGGGTGTGACTCCCTTTGGGAGGGGATTGCTGTGAGTTTAGCACGTGTGTGGGGACTACCCGAGAATGTCAGGGCTGGTGAGGCGCAAGCATGTGATTAGGTGAGGGCGTTGTGTGAGTGTTCAACTGTGCAGTGTGATGGGGTTCAGGATTGCTTGTCTGTGGGTCTAGTGGGAAGCAAAGTGATGTTAACTTTTCTAGTAGATATGAGAATATGCAGCCTGGGAAGTCTTTGTGTTCGGGTGCATCCAAGCACCCTGAATCTGTTAAAGCTTACATCAATGTCGAACAAGTGTTCTGGCTTTAAGGGAGTGGTCATAATTTGGGCAACCCTTATGCCCCAAGATTGTCAGCCTGGAAGTCACATGGGGGCCACATCTCCATTCATATTTTAATTCCTCCTGTTCCATGCTCTGGGATTCCAGTCCCTACCTTAGAACTCCTTTGGTTATCTCAGCAAGTTCCTAGGGTGCTAGTATTTCTCATGGGTTTCTGCACCCACAAGTCCTTACTGCTGTCGTTGCTTGGATCCATGTGGATGATGTCTTCTCTGCACATTGACTCCTCTGGCATCTCAGAGACTACTCACCTTCCACAGCTAATGCTGGGCTGGCCACCAGGAAGGGAATGGGTCCTTTCACTAATGACCTCCAATGCAGCTGAAACCAGGCTGCAACTTCTGGCAAGACTTGACTGAGGGGATGACAGCATCAGGAAATGAAGTCACAGCATGGCAAGTAGATGCGGCTGTCTCCATAGCCCACAGGCTCAGGCCCATTCTGCCCTAAGAGGCTGGTTGGTGCAGCCTGCCAACTTCCTGCCAGTGTGTCTCCCTGTGCCAGGAACTGGCTTCTTTTGTCCTGACAGTGGCAAATCCACATGCATGACTCCATTTTTTTGGAGTCCAGGTTCAGTTTGCAAAGAGGCCAGAGAAGAAAACTGTTCTTGGGCTAAGGCCAGTTGCTGCTTCTTGACGCCCTCTCTTATGACGGTTGACAGTGGGTGAGTCCAGTTCCTTCAAAGGAAAGTCTTCCTCCTCCCACCTCCAGCTTCCTTGAATTATGGCCACAGAGGATCAATGGCATGAGAGTGACAGAGACTACTTGGGAGACTGCATTGTTTGATCTGTCCCCCCGACAATAATAACACATAACACGCTAGTCTTCGTCCTGCCTGGTCAGGGAGGAAAGCTTTGACCATCTGCTCCCTGCAATTGGAGTGCCCCCAGCTATGATCCACCAGCAATCGCTTATCCCTGCCACTCAGCCATTTATCAGTACTGTCCTGTCTAAATCCCAAAATACAAAAGCTGTACTCCCCCTAGAGGAACAAAACCTTCTGAGATTCGGTGCTGGATTGATCCCAAATACCAATTTACTTCCCCTGAACGAACCTCGAGCTCTGCTTGCCCAACAATGGTGAGTTCTGCTTTCTCCAAAACACTGGGAGAGGATGTGCTTTCCATTCACACCCTGCAGGGCCATTCAGGTGGATTTACCCCAAAGGAAAGCAGATGGAGTCTTCTTCATAGGCATTTTCAAATGTCTTCCTATTCTGAGAGAGAAAACTTATGGAACTATTGAGGGAACAGTTATTCCAATGCTTTTTTTGTTCCCAGGGAAAACTGAAACAAACCTTGTAAGTCTTATCCTGGGAACCATGTGATGTGTCAATTGGCTTAGGCAGGAATTTAACTTTCAGATGGTATAGAGCAGCCACAGTTTGGCTGGTACTGTGCCTGGCCTTTGAGGCTACAGAGATAACCGGGAAGGGTCCCAGCCCACAGGGTACGAGTGCCAAGGAGAGCACGGGTGAGGTAGGAGGTGGGATTTGACTTTGGAGGCAGGGCTCAGGCACTGGACCAAATTGATGACTAAGGGCTGGGGCAGAAGCAGCTTTCCATAAGACACACCCACTAATGTGCCATGTCAGTTTACCATTGCCATGGCAACACCTGGAAGTTTCCACCCTTTTCCACAGCAATGACCCAATGACCTAGAAGTTACCTCCATTTTCCTAGAAATTTCTGCATAGGTCACCCCTTAATTTGCACGTAATTAAAAGTAGGTATAAATATGAGTGCAGAACTGCCTCTGAGCTGCTGCTCTGGGCACACTGCCTGTGGGGTAGCCCTGCTTCACATGGAGAAGTACCTCTGCTGCTGCTGTATACTGCAGCTTCAATAAAAGTTGCTAAGACCACCTGCTAGCCCTTGAATTCTTTTCTAGGTGAAGCCAAGAACCCTCCTGGGCTAAGCTCCAGTGTGGAGGCTTGCCTGCCTTCATTACAAGCTTATCCTCAGAGACCCCACAGTGAGTGGCCCCTGACAAATGCCAGAACCAGGATCCCAGAGAGTGACAAGGAAAGGGGGAGGCAGAGATAGACCCTGGCTGGGGAGGTAGCTGTTTGTCATGAATCTTATTTATTGCTCTCTACTTTAGGAAAAAGAGGTACAGAACAAGCTGTCTGTGTACGTCAAAGAACTTAAAGGGCCAACAAGTACCTCTGAGTCCAGTTGGGAGTGAAAAGAACCCAAACACTGATCCCACTTCTTTTTTTTTTTTTTTTTTTTGAGACAGAGTTTTGCTCTTGTCGCCCAGGCTGGAGTGCAGTGGTGTGATCTCGGCTCACTGCAACATCCGCCTCCCAAGTTCAAGCGATTCTCCTGCCTCAGCCTCCTGAGTAGCTGGGATTACAGGTGCCCGCCACCATGCCCAGTTAATTTTTTTGTATTTTTAGAAAAGACAGGGTTTCACCATGTTGGGCAGGCTGGTCTCGAATTCCTGACCTCAGGTGATCCACGTGCCTTGGGCTCCCAAAGTGCTGGGATTACAGGCATGAGCCACCACACCTGGCCCCCACTTCTTTTTAAACGAGCATGTGGAAATGACCAGAACTTCCTTTATTCTCTGCAGGTACCACTAGAGGTCAGCTGTGGAGGGTTACAGAGCAGCTCCACCACTTCATCCCACACAGACCCTGCCAACCACGGCAGAATGGAGAGGAGCCCCCTGAACCTCCACCTAGCCGTGTGATCTGCTCAGGGTTCCGTGTTTTGGGGGAGGGGAAAGAGGCCGCCTCTGGGGACACTCCACACTCTGTTCTTTCTGCCTCACAGGGTCTCAGAAGCTTCCGAATGATGCCCCACCACTTGCAAGAGGGGCAGGTGGTATGGAAAGGTCTCTTCACAGGCACCCCTCTGCATGTGCGGCCCTCAGCCCTGCGGCAGGACACCATGCTGTCCATGTCAGTGAAAAGAAAGGGGGGCCAGTCCACGCTGTGTTGGAACACAGGCCCCACACATGTGGGCATGTGTTTCTGGGAACCACATGGTGTCAGGCCCATGCTAGCCACTATCACCACCCAATCTCTGCCTGGTGCCCTGGGGCTTCATTTGGAAGGAGAAAGAACCTGGGCTGTCAGAGCCGAGACAAGCCAAGCTATAGGGTAAGGCTGTGGGCCCCAGATAAGCCAAGCTACAGGGCAAGGCTGTGGGCCCCTGGATTCCCACAGAGGAGCCAAACAGCCAAGAGACGAGACTTTATTTACAAGTCTCTCTGTCCCAAACAGCCCAGGCAAAATGTCACGGGTGAGTTGAGGAGCCGGGAAGTCACTGCTCTGCCCTGAGTTTCTTCAGGTACTTGCTGGGCCAGGGACAGACCTGGAATGGGGCTCATGGTGTGATCATTTTATGAGTTGTGGACACACAAAGAGATCTCCATCAAGTCACCTTGGGTCACCTGGGATATTCACAGAAGTCCCACACCAGGCTCCATAACTGTACTGGGACCCCAAGTCTCCCCCTGCATTCTTCTTTGAGAAGTAGACCCTCAGAGGGAAAGCCCAACAGGGTAGGAAGACCCAGGTTCTTCCACTGTCATGAGTGCCCACAGCCTTAGGTCTCTGGGCCATAAGAACATACGCTACCTGGGGCTTCTAGCCCATATCAGAGAGGGGACTCTGAGTCCCAAAGTCAGAGGTTTCCGGGAAGAAAACATTGTCTGTCTTTTCAATAGAGACCCAGAAGTCTCTGCCCTGGGAGACCCCAGGTGACAGTCTTTCAGAACCCCTGTGGGTCTGGCATTCATGAAACCTGAGACACTGAAGATGTAACTTTAATGGTCTCCACTAATTCATGGTCTGCCTTTATGCACTTAAGAAGAGAACTCTTCCTTCTTATGACACCTCCATTTATTCAGAATTAGCATGTAAAGTCCTAAATTAGGCATTCCGCACTCAGGTTCTGACAGAGCCATTACTTTTTATGCTGAGAGAGTTGAGTTAATTTTAAATTATTGAGGCCCAGCACCTGAGTGAAGTGAGCGTCTTCACAGAGATTGGGCATCTGTAGGCCCTGCTAACACAGAGACACAACTGGAATGAAACCCATTTCTCCTCTGCTGACCAGATGCATATACACAATGGACCCAGAGAGAGGTCTGGCATTGCCATTAATTTTGCCAGAATGGATTTTGGGCAGAACCAGGCTTGGGTCTGCCTCTCAGGAAGCAGAAGGCCGACTTACAGGTGCAATCTGCTTGCCCGACCCAGTTATGGAGTGGAAGGGCCTTGCCTTCCCCAGCACCAGTCTCTAACAGCCACAGTGCTAGGCGCTGAGACTGTGTTTCCAAGGAGTCCTTAGTGGCAGAGACACTTGGGGTGAATGAGAGTCACATTATAGTTGGACAGGAGAAAGGAACCAGAGCCTGTTGATCCTATTCTCAGTGCATAGCCTCCTCCCTGGCACCTGCCTCCCAGCAGGGCAGCAGAGAGCTGTCCATGGACTTCAGAAAGTTGCTTCTGGAATCTCCCGAGGCCTCCTCCTCATTGTATGCGGCCAGCATCCTTTATAGGGTGGTCACTGCAGGATACCTGCTGTTCTGTAAAATGTCTGTGACCTTCCCCACCACCCAGGGTGCCCCCAGTCCCCCTCGTTAGATTGAGTTAAGATGAGCCTTGCATCTATTGGACAGAAATCGGCAACAGAATTGGCCAGCTGGAACACGGGCAGCTGCCTCCCCAGCTGCCAAGGCTGCCGCCAGGATATGAGGAGCTTGAGCCTCCAGCCAGCAGATCCCAGAGATGCCTGTCTTCAGTGCAGTCCTCATTCCTGGAGGACCCTAACTCCACTGGGGCATCTGTATTCCAGGAGAACCCCTCTCCTCTCCCAGTAGCCCAAGTTTTTTCCAGAGAATTCCTACTCTCGTTGGCCCCTCCCACTTCCTCACACCACACTGCCAAAACAGCAGCACTCCCAATTGTCTGCCTGTGTTGTCTCCAGGGTCATAGAAGGTGGGATGTGGGACCATTCTAATCAGATGCTAAACAGTTTGAAATTTGCAAATAATCACACTGTTGACATTAATTGCTATTTTTACTATCTGCAAAAATTTGACCCATTGTCCAAGTAAACCTAACAGATATGTGGATTATATCAGTTGGGGCTGCCAAGGTGACACTGTCAAGTTGATTTCATGTCATTTTAATGTCTTCTGTAGGCCCTATACTCTCTCAACCAGAGGTCCTCTGGCTAGAGTGGAATGGTCAGAGCTTAGAAGCTTGTTCTGCCCATAGAGGCAGTTGTTAGCCTCAGACAACCGGGGACTTCCAGGTGAGAGGACTGGAATTGTTGTCTGTCCTGGAGGCTGGGAGAGTCCAAAGTGGGGACAGTGTGGACAGCAGAGCCATGCTCTAGGATCAGCATTCTGCAGACTGCCTGGAGCAGCGCGGAGCCTCCTAGGAGCTTAACTTGATCAACTTTCAGCCTGAGCTGGAACTAAATCCAATAGAGATTGGCTTGGAGCAAGAGACAGCTGGCTGCCTGGGCCCTCTGGACAGCGGCCCCCTGAGAGCGGCAAATCAGAAACAGGCGACAGGCCAAGCCCAGCCTCACCCTGGTGTGGAACACAAAGCAGACCCACTGCGCATTGTGGAAGACTCCTGTGGGTTTCTGCTCCTGACCTTGAGAACAGGAAGAACCCAAGGTTCCCACTGCACCTATCCCAAGAAGTCCATGGTCTGGCTCAGGCCAGAAGCCAAAGGCCTCCTGGCCACCCTATGCTGCAAAACACTCACATTCATCTACTGGGAAACGGGCAGCATGGCACCGAGGAGTGTCGTGTTCAGTTTTAAAATGCCACAAATAACAGATTTATAGATTTTTCTAAATACATTATTTTAGCTTGACAGCATTAATCATTCATGCTTCCTTCTTTCATTTTTCTACCTGCAATGGATTATTGAAACAGAAAATAACAACGAGAAAGGCTAGCAGCAGTATCAAAATGTCAAGTTTGTACTTACAGTTGTATGGGCCCAGACAGGGTCAAGAGCCCCAATTATTTGTGTATGTACACAGTGGTATGACACGAAAGGTTATGTCACCTGCAGCTATTTTCCTGCAGATTTAAATAGGACTGATATTCAGCTGTACAGTGAGCTGCTGACATGGAACAGAAAATTGTAAAATACTGCAAACTCTGGTGTCAGAACCTAAAATATGAATTGGGTGATTGTAAGGTATAGCTGTGGGCAGTGCCGCATGTCGTGGTGCAAATCCGCTCAATTACTTTGGGTTATTCTTGGCCTGCACTTTTTCATTTAAACATAAGGCAAGAGTGAAATCACAGGACTGGGCTGAGGGTAAAATGTCAGGTCTGTCTACTTTGCAAGATGCCTTCTAGAGACCAAGAGTGCACACACCAACCAGCCTGGACAGAGAGAACAATATGCATGTGAATCTACAAGGGTGACCTGGGGCACCCCTCGGCTGGTGAAGTTGGATAGATGATGGGACAATAAAGGCCTATTATGCATATTCTGTAATTTTTTGTTTTCTTTTAGAATGTAGCCATTATATGGAAAGACCTGCAGGAACGATTTGCCATTTGGTCAATAAATGAAACGTTGATTTTTTAAAAAATTAATTTTATTAAAAAAAAAAAGGCCCGGTGTGGTGGCTCACGCCTGTAATCCCAACAATTTGGGAGGCTGAGGTAGGTGGATCTCCTGAGGTCAGGAGTTCGAGACTAGCCTGGTTAACATGGTGAAACTTTGTCTCTACTAAAAATACAAAAATTAGTTTGGCATGGTGGCACGCACCTTTAATCCCAGCTACTCAGGAGGCTGAGGCAGGAGAATCACTTGAACCCAGGAGGTGGAGGTTGCAGTGAGCTGAAATCACACCAGTGCTCTCCAGCCTTGGCAACAGAGAGAGAGAGACTGTCTCAAAATCATAATAAATTTTTTTTAAAGATGGAATCTCACTATGATGCCCAGCTTGGTCTCGAACTCCTGGCCTCAAGCAGTCTTCCCGCCTTGGCCTCCCAAACTGCTGAGATTGCAGGCATGAGCCATTGTGCCTGGCCATTTTTTTTTCTGTCAGTGAATTCCAACCCTATGTCTTCCTCACAAGGATTCTGTGAGTATCTGTGGTCAATAGACTTATGGTATCATACATGGGAATAAAGCCCTAGAAGGTACTACAATATCCTTTCGCAGACAGCTCAATATCTCATTTGATCACCACCGCCACCCAGTGAGATATGTTTTAGACAAGACAAACAAAACAAAAATAGGATAAACACAGATATAGATAGGACATGGTTGAGAAAAGAATCAAATGTTAAATGCCACTCAGCTATCAATTAGCAGAGAGGGCTCCACCCCACATGCAGATTTCAGTGCCCCAGGTGCTGTGGATAACTTGTGAGAGCACCCCTTCTGTCCCTGCTTCAAAGGGCAGTGGGTCTGCATAGGCTAACTGGTCCTAGGAATGGCACAGACTCTTGTTCCTGGCTTTCCTACCACTGGGGCTTTGGGAAGCAACTAGCTTGTTTTAGGTCAAGATTTTACGGTTTAGCTTACCAGTAGGGAGGATAACTCAAAAGGCAGTGATTTCCAATTCTAACATATTTTGTAGTGCCACAAAAATGCCCCCTCTAGACCAACAGAGATAGAGAGAAGTTGACTTTTGGACCTCAGCCTGCCTAGTAGCTCTTTATCCCGATGCCATCCTATCTCTCCATGCATGGCACCCCTGTTCTCAACTTCCCATGTGTTGGGTGAGCCACTCTCCTCCAGTGCTTGAGAACACCGCTCACATCTTTGCTAGTTCTGTCTCAACAGTCTTAAATGGCTTTCCTCCCCGCCTCTACTTTTTCCTTTCCAACTATCAAATCCTTGCTCTCTTTTTCCTGGCTCTGCTCAAGACCTCACCTCCTTCAGGAATCTTATCAGGCAATTCCTCCTGAATTACTTAGGATGAATACAGAAATCAAAGTGAATTGCCGTGGACCTCAGCAGAAGAGAGCACTTATATCAGGATGTGAAGGATGCACAGGTTTCTCTAGGAAACAAAGAAAAAAAGATATTCCTGGGCTTCAAAGCTGGATGAAGTGAATAGATAAGAAGGTATGTTATATCCACACAAGAAATGAAGGACTGATACACGTTATAAAATGGATGGATCTTGAAAACAAGCATGTTAAGTGAAAAAAAAAAGCAAGTTGCAAAAGAACAAGCTAGGTCCATATATTGTATTACCCTATTTACACAAAATGTCCAGGCAAATTCATACAGACAAAAAGTAGATTAGTAGTTGCCAGGGGTTGAGGGGAGAGGAGAATGGGGATTGACTGCTAATGAGTCTGAATTTTCTTTTTGAGGTGATGGAAATATTCTGAAATTAGTTGTGATTGTTGCAAAACTCTGTGAATATACTAAAAATCACCGCATTGTAGAGTTTTAAAAGGCACATTTTATGGCATGTGAATTATAGCTAAAAAATGATGGGAACGGGAACCAGGGACAAGATGTTCCCAAGAGCATTTCCTCTTTTTTTCTCATCTGTTTCCTTCTCTCTTCTGAGCAGCTTGTTGGCTTGCTTTGCTCCCCAATCCAAAGTAAAGAAAATGGCCTCCCATAACTCCCAAACTTCCATTCCTTTGCACAAGAGACTAATCAGAATGAGTCAGGAATCTCTTAGTCCTGATTCCAGGTTTCCAGGAGAAAAGCTAATTGGTCCAAATTGGGTCAAGTTTCTACTCCTGGACCATTCTACTGCAGTTAGGCAATCTGGCTTCTTAATATAATTATAGGAAGTAAGGGGAAGAGGTGCATCCAGAAAAGGGGTAGAGGAAGGATAGGCTATCCACTATATTTAGACTATCCACCGCTGATATTGATCTTCCAATTACAATTAAGGTGTTAAAACCTGTTATATAGACATAGATAGACATGAACACATGGATAATTCTCTTAACTCTTCTGCTACCCTTTAGCACACTTTCCTACATGCTACTTCTTGACCCTATCTTTCTGTGACTTTTTTTTTTGCTATAGATAGTTTCAAATATATTAAATTTTACCCTACGCAAGGGCCACTGTCTTTCTTTTGTCTCTATCTCTGCAGCATTAGATGCATCCCTGGAGACTTACACTAGAGTTCAGCATGGGGAGTGAGGTTCCGGTCGGAGATGGTTCCAGATTGTATACAAGCTTATACAACTTTGGAGGATGTCTTTAAGAATACATTACATATACAAAATTAGAATTGGAAGTAAATATTTACTTAGGATGAGAAAAGAAATCGCCAAAAATATACATTTGAAACAGCTAACAAGTATCACAAATATCTCAGGAAAAAAAAACATATTTTATTAATCAATTTTTAAAATTAATTAACATTCTGACACATCTCGATGGTATATTTTTTTCCTACCGTTTTTTCGGCCTGCATTCTCTTTGATCAACAATTTTATAATGTCATTTTCTATAGTGGGACTGAAAAGATCCTTCCTCTAGCATGCATAAAACATGCAAATTCACACTCAGATGAATTTGCTGAGTGACGTACTGCTACAGATTTGTGCCTTACAAACATATGAATTCTCATACATTCTGTTTCTCTTATTCCTCATCAAAAAGGAAAAGGAAGTATGGTATGTTTATAATTGTATGTTTTATGTTAAATATATTCCTTATGGGAGATGATTTCCATTTTGACTATGCATCAATAATAACCTATTCTACATTAATAATTTTACATGTCTAATGACTGGAAGAATTTCCATAGACTAGCTTCTGGTTTCATACACTGCAAACCATTTTAATTCTCTACAACCCTTTCGAGGTGCCACTGGATACATGCATATGTCTATAGAGACTCTGGCCTTGCGGTTTCATGGCTTGCATGGGGGTAGATTGATATAGAAGGCAAATCATTTCTGCAAGCCATCAATATGGCAAGCATACAACTACACACAGAATTGACTACAAATACATTAATGCATCCCTCCAAACTCAAAATGAACATATCCACATTCAACCTGTCTTTACCCAGATCCCAAAAGTGTCCATAGCCTCTCTAACTCCAACTGACACTAGAAGACTTATGGTGGAGAGGAAGTTTGAGTGGGAAGAGACAGTGTTCTCAACAAATTGTAGCTAAAACCTTTGGGATCTTCCAAAGTACAGGACCACATTCCTAAGGTTTAGGGCTTAGGAAGGCACCCATGCAGGCAAAAGGCCATGAAGATCAAGCTGTATCAGTGTCAAGGTAAAATGACTTCTTTTTATCAGTGTAAATGTTATGGGATATTAGAGAAGGGAGAGATGGGTGCATTTGCTGGATGGATTACAATGGGGTACATCTTTTCATTTTCTTCTTAAATGATATTAAGAGCTGGGGTTCAAAATCTAATAGTCTTAGCCCAATCTCTTGAAGCACAGTGTTCCAAATAATGGAAGAGGGGATCCATGTCTCTTGGGTCTCCCCATAACTCCATGTCTACCACCTAGTAGGACCTAGCAGATAGATCTCTGCACAGAGATCTGATAGATGGGAAATGGATGAGGGCTGCAGCTCTTGCTGTGAGGATCAAACAAGGTAATGGATATGGAAGTGTTTTACAAATAGAAAATTTCTGTAGCAAAATATGTCTAACAAAAGAGTTCAGTTTGGTTGAGATGCTCCCTATACCATTGATTGAGGATAATCGTTAGTATTTTTGGAAGACATCTTCCCCACCCAACAAATCAATTTGAAAGAGGCACACCACTTTTAAGAAAGACTAAAGTCTCTTGCCATCTTCTGTTGTCTTCTGTCATCAGGAGATTGTGAAGAATGGGTGGGAAAAATTCTTAAACCATAGTCCAGGTTTTATATAACACCAGTATTTTTAGACATGTGCCTGCTATGAACTGAAGTGTATTTTGAAAACTTAATAAAAAGCAGATATTAACCCACAAATGTTTCATTTTAAAGTGAGATGAATCTTCTTCCCTGCCCCATCACCAACCCTCTGCTATTCTAAGTCTCTTATTCTAGCCAGGATTTTTATTTGTTTAAGGTGACTTAGCAAGGTATCTATATTGAAGTAATGCATCAGCCAAATGGGAGAACTGCTTTATCAGATACTGTGCAAGTGACCAAAGACTCTTCACAGAGAAGCTTAAATAAAAAAGAGAATATTCTTATTGGATTATATAAGTTATATAAATGGAAACTCCAGAGTTAGAGGCTCAGGCACAGCTGGGTTCAGAGACACATGTGATATCGCTGGGACCTGGTCTCTCTCCCACTCAGCTCTGCTCCGTCTGGTGCCAAGGTGGTTGCCAAGAGCTCCAGATCTCCATCTTCTTGGTTTTGAGTACATGGGAAAACAAGAGAACTTCGTCCTCAAAAGCCACAGCAAAGTTATCATTGTGACTCTGAGCTCTGATAAGGTCGTGGACCCATCCCTGAACCTATCGCTGGGGACTTCAAAGTGTGATGATGTCCCATTGGTCAGGACTGAGACATGAGTCTGCCATGGTGGGAAAAGGATTGCCAGTCCCAATCTGAAAACACAGATGGAGAATGGGAGAAAGGCGGTCCTCCAAAACACAGATGCTGGGCAGGATGTCCACCAGCCAACCACCAACCCAGGGCTGACCCCACTCCAAGCCAGCTTTGAAACAATTGTTCTATGACTTAGAACCAGGACTCGGTTCTAGCACACTCACTAAAAAAAAAAAAAGGTCTCTGAATCATCCCCTATGGTGGTCAACTGGCAAGAGAAAGGAATCACTTCAACAAAGGTTTATCTTAACCAATCTACCCAAGCAAAGGTGACAGCACCAAGTCCCCACATCCATTGTGTGTGTGTGTGTGTGTGTGTGTGTGTGTATGTGTGTAGATATACAGAATGTACTTTTTCATAGATGGCTGTTAATTACGATTCTTCACCAAGGTGGTATAAACAGATCTCTGCCAATAGAAACTTTTAATTAGATTTATTAATTCCAGAATGTAGTTGAAATGTGGTGAATATTGATTGTAATGGCCTCTGTTTTAAATATAATTAATTCACGATCTGCATAATTGCTCATTACCTGTATCTTAATTATGGGGCATAAAACATTGTTTATCACTAACATAGTCCTAATGGGGAGAGGAGCTCACTCTGATAACTTAGGATTCTTGGTATTTTTGTTGAAGAGAGCAATGAGACATTTCATTTTCTTTAGAGGGAGAGAGAAAAAAAATAGAAAGCTGTGTCTCCAATGACAACCAGTATGCACAGACAACCTGATAAACACAGGGCATTTATGATTCTTTTATGACTACATTTTCTGACAAGATAAAGTAAATACTCTTTTGTGGGACTTTACAACTGCACAAGGCTAAAGCTACTGTCCAAGAAAACTGAAAAATTTGAGTATAAATATACTAGTGTGTTTAAGGCTGGCTCATGGGCAATGAGGATATCCTAGCAGCTTGACAATTTTCATATAATACCATGAAGAATTTCATGGTTTTTCTTCATCTTACTGCTAGTACCAGCACAATACATCTTTTCTAGAAAAAAAAATTATACAAATCTATGGCACTTTCTGTTTTTTCCCATATACCATAAATCCTAAAGATAGTTCATGTGCCTATTACCGTTAGCATTTTTTTTTAAGTCCGAGCAACAAAACCTGAAATATGCCACATATACAAAAAAAATCAGGTTGCCAGGAAATCTGAGTTAGGTGAGATTTTAGTGGTTTTTGATTCTGTCAGGTTTTTTTGGGGGGGAATTTCTTTTACAAAGACTGTGGTCTGTGGACATCCATCTGTGCCTCTTTGTGAGCTCAGCACTTTTCCAGTGGGAAAGAGTTGTGTACCTGTTTATAGGAGCTTGCAAATGTCATCTATGGTAACTGACTTCATTTGGTTATAGAAACAAAGCAAGATTAGCGAGAAGAAGACACGGTACTTTTGGGCCACCTTTTCCTAATGCTGCTTAGCCCTGTAGGGGAAGCTGGGGAAGGTAACCAGTAATTTTAGATCATCTTCTCAAAGTAGGGAACTCTTTACAACAGAATTTCTCACAAGCCCTCATCATTGACAATGCATTTTTGTTCATATTTTTTAATGCCTGCATACATGTCACAGAATACTACTACATGTCCTTAATCCTAAAACCAGTTGGCTGCCAGTCACCTGAACTTGATGATGTAGTCACTGTAATAATCCACCAAATAATGCATGACAGTGAGCTATTTACTGAGGACAGTAAGTGGATTGGTTTTATCTAAATGTACAAATCTGTATTAGGTCCCAAGAAGCTCTGAAAATTGAAACAAAAACTGAAGAAAAAATGGACAGTCGGGAAAAGGGAGAAACATGTTTTGCTGCACTAAAAGCCAGAAAAAGAAGCCATTGCATATTTTTAGCAAAATGCTTAAATTTCATCCATGTACATTTCCTCTGTCTTCAGTTAAGTGTGAGCGACCGGTTAATAGTATCTAGGTTTCTGACAAAAAAAGCAACAAAATAGGAGCTAATTCTGGATAAAGGAAAACACTATGTTCAAAGCAGGTGCTACTTCCCTCATACTGATCATCAAGGAAGAAGCCTGTAATTTCTCTGAATAGAAAATCTCTCTTTGTCTAGCCCCCAGTAAATACATGCTGACAAATATTCACATGCTGTCTGAAAGGTGCCCAGAAGGTGCACGTTTTCTGTCTGGGTCCCCAGTGAGCGAGGAGCTCCATGCCTCTGGAAATAGGGCTGTTCCCTCCGAAATGGGAACTCAGTCTGGCCAGACCCCTAACATTGTGAATTACTCTGCTGAGCTACCATGATAGTGCACTATGGACGGGCTGGTTTAAACAACCAACATTTATTTTCTCACAGTTCTGGAGGCCTGAAGTCCAAGATCCAAGTGTCAGATGTGGGCAGAGTTGGTTTATTCTGAGGCCTCTCAGCTGGGCTTGCAGACGGCCACCTTCTTGCCCTGCCTTCACCCTCTGTACCTGTTGGTGTCCTAATCTTCTCTTCTTATAAGGACATTGACAAATCAGAATAGGACCCACCCTAACGACCTCATCTTAACTGAATTACCTCTTTAAAGATGCAAATACAGTGACATTCTGAGATACTGGGGGTTAAGACATCAACATATGAATTTTGGGGGGAGGGCACACATCAGCCCATCACAAATAGTAACATGAAAAACGTAAGCAGAGGTATGGAAAACTGCTCTGTCAATTATAAACTATTAGATAAATACAAAAGAACGTCCCCACATTCCCTCCCAGTGCCCACACTAAAGGGTGCATTTTGAGCAATGGTTCTCAATCGTGTGAGTTGTTGTGGTGGTGGGGGGGGAAGTTTTTTAGGGGACACTTGGCAACATTTGGGGACATTTTTGGCATTTCTGGTTGTCACAGGTGGAGGGGGTTGCTACTGGCACCTAGTGGGTTGAGGCCAGAAATGCTGGTGCTAAACAAGCCACCATGCACAGGACTGCTCTCTGCAACAAAAATTACCCCATCGCAGATGTCAATAGTGCCAATGCTGAAAAACCCCAATCTAGAAGGATCTGCCCCCTTTCCTTTCCTTTTAACCTTCTTCTTCTTCTTTTTAAATCAGTGCTCTCACTTTCATGGAATAACCTGCTTCTTGAAGGCAGAAGAGAATGGCGTCTGAAAAGGAAAAGGGAGCAAAGCCTCTTCCAGGAGGCTGCTCCCAGGAGCCGCAGAGCCTGCTAGCGGAGCTCCTGTGTGACCTGCAAGCCACCACCATGCCCAGGCTGCCTTAGTGCTTCTCCAAGATCATTTCTCTGAAGTTAGCGAATGCTCCACTTTTCCCTCCACCAGAGTTATGATTGCTTTACTCTTCAGTTTTCTGGAAAGCTCCTCTCAGTGTCCAAAAAGCTAATAATGAAATGGATGCCTGTGACCAGGGGTTACCTCCATGAAGGCCTTGGACAGCTGGGGAAATAATTCTGCTCCCTGCATCCAACCACACAAGCATTAGGCCTGCCTCATTTCCCCTCCCCCCTTCCATTTCATCCTCTGTTACATCTAAATTTAGCCCTCTCCCCAGTGACCCAGGGAAAGATCAAAGCTCTCTTTGCATTCCTGCAATCTGGAGAGGAGGGAGCAGAACAAGTCCTGAGAGTAAATGGGGCAGGAAATGGTAGAAGCAGAGAGGGGGGAGGCACACAGGGATCTCCAGGGGCTGGCCGACCCCAGGGATATCCCTGGAGACCAGAAGGCCCAGGGAATTGAAGGGGAGGTCTTGCTCCTCCATGTTCTAGGTCTCTGGAAGTGTCAGGGGGGTGAATACCTCCTTCCAGCAGACAGGGCTCTACTCAGCCCACATGGTGAGATCACTGGCTGGGCCCCTTGGCTCAAGCCTCCCACCTCAGGGTCCCTTCACCCCACTTCCCCACTCAGCAGATTCCCTGGGGCCTCCCTTCCAGTCCTGATGAGGGAGGAGAAACCATTTGTCTTCTGACTAGCAGAAACAGAGCCTCTGTCTCAGGCTGGGTTCCCTGGGACGGGCTCAGGTGTTGAGTAGCAGGCAGGTTTTTGGGGAGAACCCCCTGTGAGGAATGGAGGAAGGCAACAGGGGCAGAGGGAAAAGCTGACAGCAGCGCCTCTTGAGTGAGGCCTCGGTTGGTCCCTGGGGCACTCTGGGGTTGGGTGGGGCCTTCAGAGCTGTTCCAAATGGAGGCAAGGGGGCTGGGCCTTTGTACCCTATGAGTTCATCCCAGAGAGAGGTGAGCCATGTGCCCTGTTGCAAGCTGGGGCATCCACAGGGGGTCATCTGGGCAGAGCACCTCACTATTGATACTAGCCTCTTTGACCAATGCAATGGAGAGTTTTAAACTCAGACAGGTGCTATCCGTTGGCCCTCCTCTGGCCATCTCCCCAGATAACAAGTAAGCATCAGAGGGAAAATGCCCGTTTATGGTTTGACTTTCACTGAGAAATTCACTTTATAATCATATCTTTGAGAAGCAAAGGTTGCACTGGGAAGGGGCCAGGGAGGGCTGAGTTGGGGCAGGCCTTCCCCGGGCCTCACACGGATGGGAGACTGCAGGCCTGGAGTGCAGGCTTGGAGGGTGGGAGACCACTGTGGGGCAAGTTGGGCAGGAATGGAATGGCCACAAACCTCCCCAGACTTGAGTCAAATCGCTCTTTTGTGAATTTTGTGGTTCAAATAAGTGTTTTCTGTTTTCGTTGTTTTTTTTTTGAGACGGAGTCTCTCACTGTTGCCCAGGCTGGAGTGCAGCGGTGCGATCTCAGCTCACTACAAGCTCCACCTCCCGGTTCACGCCATTCTCCTGCCTCAGCCTCCTGAATAGCTGGGACTACAGGTGCCCGCCACCACGCCCAGCTAATTTTCTGTATTTTTAGTAGAGACGGGGTTTCACCATGTTAGCCAGAACGGTCTGGATCTCCTGACCTCATGATCTGCCCACCTCGGGCTCCCGAAGTGCTGGGATTACAGGCATGAGCCACAGCACCCAGCTCTGTTTTCCTTTTTGTATTTTGAGACAAGGTCTTGCTCTGTCACCCAGGCTGGAGTGCAGTGCGATCACGGCTCACTACAGCGGTGACCTCCCAGGCTCAAGCAATCCCCCCTTCTCAGACTCTCCAGTAGCTGGGACTACAGGCATAGGTGGGACTACAACACCACACTCAGCTAATTTTTAATTTCTATTTTTTGTAGGGATGGGGGTCTCACTCTGTTTCCCAGCCTGGTCTCAAACTTTTGGGTTCAAGTGCTCCTCCTGCCTTGGCCTCCTGAAGCGCTGGGATGACAGGTGTGAGCCACTGCACCTGGCCCAAATAGACATTTTAATGCAAGTCATCGTGAAGTGGAATAAAGATAGTTAACAACTATGGTTAAGAGGCAATGTGTGCTTATCAAATGCCGGGCCCTGCTGTGAGCAGTTTCTGTGTGTGACACTCATTTATTCTCTCTGTATCCTATAAGGTAGATATGACTGTTAATGTCTTGGTACCTTAACTTCCCACCTATAAAATTGGCCCAAGCAACTTGTTGGAGCGACTTAACCAAGTAAGCAGTGGAGCTGGGCTTTGGCAGAGGCTGCCTGTTGTTGGCTCCTGCAGATTGGGCCACTGGGCGGCCCTCCCTCCCATGCTGAGAACAGGCTGAAGGAGGTCTTTTGACTATGACCCTGGGATTCAAATTTTCAACATCCAAGAGTAGGGACAGGAACCAATGTCCTGTTTTGTAAACCAGGAAACAAGCTTAGGGAGTGTCTCACAATTACTACTGGTACAGAGGCCAGATGCCAGGGGCTTTTTACAGAAAATCATGCTGCCCCATGCTGGGCACTAACATTCATAGGTCCCTTGGACATCTTTGAATGAATGATAAAAATGCAAGTTTCTGTTGCTGTAAAATATTGTTCAGTAATAGTATATTATGTATTCATATCATAGAATTCCAAAGTGGGAGAGGGCCTTAGAAAATATTGGTTTCTTCTCTATCCTTGCAGAGTGAGAAACTGAGGCACAGAGAGGAGAAGTCACTTGCCTAAAGCCACACGGCAGCTAATTACAGAGCCAAGATTAGGTTTCTGGATTTCTGCCTCTTAGTCACAGTCCTATTCGGGAAGCAAACTGTTTTGGAGGATGGGGAAAGAGGAGGAGATTACTTGGCTATCAGTGAAATTGATCAACAGAGTCAACATTTAATTAAAAAATATATCAAAACCTTTCTTGATAATGATCGACCTGTTACACTGGCACAATTAAAGTGGTGATTTTATTCACTGAGTTACTGCCAACTCCTATGATTTTTTTTTTGTAATACCCTTGTGATAATTCAATTGGAAATATGTGGTAAGATGCAGAAATATAATGCCTTTTCTTAGGATAACTCATGCCACAGCCAACCAGGGAGTTGATCTGATGGGTCCATTGCAGAACTGAGGTCTCCTTGGTGCCATCCTATCTCCAATGGCTCTAGAGGGACACATCAGGGACCTTAGACAGGGCCCATATTTGAACTGGTGAAACGCATCCCCATGTGTTCAACAGCACTGAGGCTGCTGCACGTTAGAGGTAATTAGGAATAGGCGCTTTTTAAGATTTAAACGATAACTTTTAAAAATTAAATTTTCACTTAAAATTTCATGAGACAGAAGGACAGCTACTATGATATAAATGCTTGCATCTCCTCTAAATTCATATGTTAAAATTCTAATCCCCAGTGTGGTAGTTGTAGGAGGTGACGCTTTTGAGGGGGGTGATTAGGTCATGAAGGTACAGCCCCAATGAATGGGATGAGTGCCCTCACAAGAGGCCCCAGAGAGCTGCCTTGCCCCTTTCCCCATATGAGGACACAGCCAGGAGGTGCCATCTTTGAATCAGAAAGCAGGCCCCTGCAGACACCAAATCTGCCTGTGCGTTTATGTTGGACTTCCCAGCCTCCAGGACTGTGAACAATAAATTTCTGTTGTTTATAAGGCACCTGACTTACGGTGTTTTGTAATAGCAGCCTAAAAGGACTAAGATGACAACACCCCCACTCCGCCAACTTCCTCATCCCACTCTGAGAATCTTCCAAGGATGGACAGCCTACAGCTCTCCAGGCAGACAAGCTCACAGAACTACTGGTGGTGGCTGCTTCTATTCTGATGAGCAAAGGCCTAAAGCCATGTGGATCTTGCACTTTGAAAGTGAAATCATGAGCCCTTAATCACTGAAAAACATAATTGATTCCCATTTCTCTAGTTAGGTGTCCTGGTACACTAATGCCTCAACACAGTTTGTTGGGGGGTGGATGAGAAAGAATTCCATGATCAATTAAATTTGGAAAATGCTACATACAATATTGCCTTCTTGGACTCACATACTAAAAGCTCTGGGATGTTCTGAGTCAATGAATCAATTTAATTTTTGGTTCATCATTTTCCAATTTATCTGACCGCAGAACGCTGTCTTCATGCATACCTATGAAAAACGTGAAGAACCCATTTTCAAAAACTCCTAATTGGGCAGAACTAGACTGAAACTGATTATTAATCAAAGGAGGCTTAGGCAATAGAATGAACAATCTGCCAGGGGTCAAAAGACCCGGATTCTGGTCTAGACTCTTTCTTTAATTAGCTGTGTGACTTTGGGGAAATCACGTTCTTCTGGGCCTTGGTTTCCTTGCCTATAAAACAAGAGACTGAAATTAGATCATTCCAAAGGCCCCTTACAGGGGCGATATACAATGATTTTTCTGATTTGTGAAGACTCATCTGCTGGTAGGCTGTCTACTCTCTCCTTACCTATCACAGCTCCTGTTGGCACCTGCAGGGCCTGCAGGGTGGCCTGGAATCTGCTCCAGGCCGGGGGAAGTGCATTATAATCCTTGAGGACATTCGGATAGGATTGTTGTGTGTTCCTGGCCCACCATAGGCTGGTGGCTGTGCCAGTCAGTCTCTCTCTCTCTCTCAGAACTCTTCCCTCTGTGCAGAATTTCATGGTAAGTATTATGGGATGACGCAGGAGACCTGGACCCTCTACCCTCTGCCCCTAGGATTGTGAGTGTCGAAGGGGAAATAAGCCAGGTCCACACACAGATGCAAGTGATCACACGCAGCAGTGGGTGTCGACAGGCCAGGTGCTTAGCGAGATCTTAGAGGAAGCTTCCTCCTCAAGGTCTGGGTCATTGTAGAGACCTCATGGGGCATGGAGGACTTCACAAAGCCAGAAAGATTTGTTGAATTCAGGGGTTCAGGGGCCTGGATAGAAATGAGGATGGTCTCAGTAATGCTAGGACAAAACAATACCAAGTATGGTTAGCGGCTGGTGAGTCTCTCTGCATGAGCATAAGTAGGCAGAAGGAGTGGGAAATCAGGTGGGGCCGGGGGCTTTAGACAGAAGACAGCAGCCTGTGAATGCCAATGCAATCAGGCTCTAGGGTCACACAGGCAGTGGGTATCCATTCTTCAGGAAAAAAGAAAACTACAAAATACTAAACATAATACTAGAAATAGAATAATTCAAACAAATATGATAATAAAGTAAAAGTAAGCTCTTTCTGCCTCTTCCAGAAGATCAACCAATAAGACAAGTTCCCATAGAGGTGATTTAATACACTGTCATGTGCAATGTTTAACATCAGTAATAATAAATCGTAAAGGGGGCTAATGCTTTACATGGTGGAGCATAGAAAGAGGAGTGAGAGGCTTAGATGAGGAAGGGAGATGGAACCTCTGCCCTGTGAAAGACCGCAAGGGGTAGCTGGGCACTCCTGCGGGAGCTTTCCTTTCATTCTCATAAAATGAGAAACAGTGAGAGTAAACAACTGTTACGGTAAATACTTAAACAATGATTAAAAGACAAAGGCTGCTGACATCAGTCTTAGTAGAGATGCTACTACATATGAGTTCTACCGTCAGAGGGCCTAGAGCCACTCTTTGGAGGCACCTGCTTATTTCTCCTGCCTGTGTGCTTCCACTTAGGAGTCTAGACAACCATGCTCACAGGGTCTGTCTGCAGGTCACTGGATTGAGCAAGGACTCTCAAAATCAGGAAAGACTTCCTTAGACACCCTCTCTTGGGTTCTTTCTCCTTCTTCCCTGTGTTCCAGGTTTTGTGCTCAAATCTCCAGTGTTCATTCCCAGTGTCCTCCTTCCCCGCTATGCACTGTCTGCTAAAGGCCTTCAGGAGTGTCTCATAGTGGTCATGGTCACTGTTCCACTCACCTGGTGATAAGTAGAAACCTCCGGCCAAAGTCTCTGGGCACAAACCCCAAATACCATCCTGGGCTTTCTGTTAGAATGCCAGGTGGATAGAGTGTGTGTGTGTGTGTGTATCTGCAACAATGCCTTTGCTTCCAAGTGACAGGAGCTCTAACTGGTAAGAACAACAAAGGGGATGTATTGGCTCATGTAGTGGGAAACCCACTTGTAGAGAGGACTTTAGGGTCACTGCAATGCTTTTCTTTCTGCCTCTCTATTCTGGCTGCTAGGACGTCAGCTTCATTCAATGGCCGCTTCCTCTCTTTGAGAGAAAGATGGAAGCCAGCAAATCAGCTGGAGTATGTTTTCTTCCCCAGGAAGGTTGAGATTGTGAGAGAGAGAGAGAGAGAGTGTGCTTCTGTTTTAGAAGAGTGAGAAAGATCCTTTTACAGAAGCTCCAGGAAAAACCTCTTTTCATATCTCATTGGCCTGAAATGGAACCCAAAGTCATTCCTGAACCAATCACTGTGGCTAAGACTAGGGGGCTGGGCTTCTTTTCTTGTCTTGCCAATCAGCACCTACCACCAGGTGCTGGGGAATTGGTCAATTCCCAGTACACATTTAGTACAAAAGAAGGAGAGGAAACTCTGCAGGGGAAAAGAAAGGATTTTCAGTAAAAGTTTAAAATGGGTGCTGGAAAGTCAATCAGGAGCTGTCCCAGGACAGGAGTTTGACCCTATGAAGACTACTGCCCAATCATTCATCATTTCTGAAACTCTTCTTATACATACAAGCCCTTAACTGGGCCCTTGTGTATGTGCCTAGATCAGTTACGATGCTTCTGGCTGCAAGTAACACAAAATCCTGACTCCATCTGTCTTAAATAACCAGAGAACGTGGAATCTCACATTCGGAGTAAGGACGTCTACCGGAGACAGCCCAATGAGCTGCTCAGTAGTCAACAATGGCCCAGGTTGTTCCCGTCTCTCTTCTCTCTTGTCCTCACCATCTGTTTCATCCTAAGTCTTCTTTCTTTTGTATTTTCGAGGTGACTGTTGCATCTCTAGACATGACAATCCAGAATAACAAGGAGAAACCATCTCTTGTGATTTTTCCCTTGGAGAGAGGACATTTTCCCCAAAGCACCTGGGCTGAAATCCTATCTCCACCACTCAGTGGCAGGTGGCCTCAAGCAGCATCAAAGGGATAATAATAGTCCTTGAATCCTTATGAATATCAGTGGAGTGATCCCGCTGAAGTGCTCAACACCAGCCCTGGTACACTGTTGTTCTCAGAAACGAGGAGCTTGACTTGCCTGGTGTGTCCTGCTAGTTGAAGGTGTTTCCATGCTCTGGCATGGATTGTCTCCGAGTATCCCAGTGTTCAGTACGCCTCTTTCAGGTGTCTACAGCCAAAGTCAAGGTCAGAAAATGAAAGCTTTGGGGGCTTCTCTCCCTTTTGTTGAGCCCTTTGATCAATCTCACCCTCCACAGTTCCTCTACTTATTAACCCTAGGGTGGCCACTTTGCTCTAATCATCATGTTTGCTGAAAGGCCCCAATCTGCAGTTCCCTGTCTGAAAAAAAAAAAAGAAAAGAAAAAGGAAGGAAGGAAGAAAGAAAGAAAGAAAGAAAGAAAGAAAGAAGAAAGAAGGAAGGAAGGAAGGAAGGAAGGAAAGAAAGAGAGAGAGAAAGAAAGAAAGAAAGAAAGAAAGAAAGAAAGAAAGAAAGAAAGAAAGAAAGAAAGAAAAAAAAAAAAAAGACAGGCTAACAATATATGTGTCGGGACCTATTTTTAGTGCTTTACAAATCAGATCTTCCCTCCCGGCCTCCTCCTGTCCCTCAGGACTTTCAGATTTACTACTTAAATATTTATAAACTGTTACAATTATTTATTAAAGGTTTATGTTGTTATTATATTTAGTGTGGAATATGCATTTCGTCCTCCAAAAATAACAGGACTTTCCATTAAACGACATCTGTTAATGATGCAGTAAATTGACTCTTAAAGCAATAGAGAAAGTTCTCTTCTCCTTTGACAACCCTAAGTACCCTTATTTAAAAGTAGAGGCCCTACCTCACTGGAAAATACATTACTTCTGACTCCCCAAATGTTACTCTATGCAGATTTAGGAAATTTGTAGTGCTTACACAGAGAAATTTTACCCTCAGCTATCACCATCTAGTCAAAAGCAACAGATGCCTTCGTAGTTGGTAGCCCTTCCTTTCCTCCAAGGCTTCTGTTGGTGCATAAATGTGCACACACATGTGTGCATGTGTATGTCTTTGTGTGCATATGTGTGCACACACGTATGTGTAAGAGAAGCCCTTGTCTCAGCTCAGATTTATTTGTTCATTCATTCAGTTTAATCCACTCTGTGTTAGGTGTCAAACTTAAGGAAATGGATAAGAAACACTGCCCTGAGAGATTCACAGGACTAACAGAAGAGCAAAAAATAAGTAATAAAATATCAATGGTACATAAAGAATTATTAAGCAGTGTAGATGTACATGTGCAATGCCATGGAAACAAAGAAGCACTAATTTTGTAGAGGGATTTTTTTTTGATGTACATGTAGCTCTATGTGTAATAGCAAGGCTTAATTTGAGAAGAATTATCTGGCTTTTTTCTTGGAATGGGACTTGCCTTCCATCACTAGGTTGCTAACCCATCCATCTGCCAGTGTTACCCAGACCATGGTCTAGCCTGGTGGTTCTCACCCAGGGGAGGTTTTCCTTCTAGAGACATCTGGCAATCTCTGGAACCATTTTAGGTGATGAGAGGGTGCTACCGGCATTTAGTGGGTAGAGGCTAGAAATACAGCTAAGCACCCAGCAATGGCCAGGACAACCCACACACCAAAGAGTTCTCTGGCCCCAAATATCAGGAGTGTCCAAGTTGAGGTTGAGAACCACTGTCTTGCTCAAAAGGGTCCTGTGGGGGTGGGAGTCATTCTGAACAAGGCCAGTGAAATTGGCCTGAGTTTCTTGGAGGAGAGCTGAGATTTGACCTGGAGAGACAGTTAAGGGTCTTAAAATGACCACTGCCCCTTCCTCTTGACTTGGTGATTTACCATCCAGAAATCTGCCTACGAAAAATTGGTCAGAATGGCTGATACCGAATTATGCACAGAGATGCTCCAAGCTACAAGAGAAACAGGAACAAAAATAATAAAGTTAAAAACAACCTAAATGGCCAACACTATAGGTTGGCTCAATAAATTAGGATATATTTTTAAGATTTTAAAGATGTCTGCAAGTAACTTTAATGACATATACAATGCATGTAATTTTAAATTCAGTGAAAAGGAATGTCCCTTCCCCAATCTCTCTTTTTGTCTCACACACACAGAAAAAAGGATGGAGAGAAATAAACCTATGAGTTAATACCTGTTAGTAGATGTTGGGATTAGAGATACTATTTGTTTTTAATTTTACTTTAATTTTTCGGTATTCTCTAGATTCTCAAAAATCAACAGAAACAATTTTCTTAGTTGTTTTCATTTTTTAAAGATTATTTTAGACTGGGCACGGTGGCTCACGCCTGTAATCCCAGCACTTTGGGAGGCCGAGGTGGTTAGATCACTTGAGGTCAGGAGTTTGAGACTAGCCTGGCCATCATGGCAAAACCGCGTGTCTACTAAAAATATAAAAATTAGCTGGGCATGGTGGCAGGCACCTGTAATCCCAACTACTCGGGAGGCTGAGGCAGGAGAACCACTTGAACCCAGGAGGCAGAGGTTGCAGTGAGCCAAGATAGTGCCACTGCACTCTAGCCTAGGTGACAGAGTGAAACTGTGGGTCTCAAAAATAAATAAATAAATAAATAAAATAAAAAGATAAAATGTTGGTTATTTTCGAAAGATGGCACATCAGTTTAGAAGCCAAGAGACCAGGATACTGGGCTTGGCTCATCCCCCAGTAGATGCCATGATGTCAGCGACCCATAGCCCTTCCTCACCTTCCTCAGTAGATCTGCTTTTGCACTTGGTACCAGGGGATGCCAATAACCTCCACCTTCCTGTCTTTCAGAGTGGCTCTGAGAAGCCCAGGAAACACCACATGGGAAAATGCAAAGCTGAATAAATGAAATGGTTGAAGATCGTACTTCTGGTAGGAAGAAGTTGATAAATTCTTCCTATGGGGAGGGGAGGGTAAGGAAGGGGAGGGGAGGGCAGGGCAGGGGACGGGAGGGGAGGGGAGGGGAGGGATCTGGATCTAGCCTGGTTTTCCCTTTGCTCTTGGCAGGTCTTGGGGCACCCAGGAGCCACCATGGGGCATTGCACTTTACAGATGAATTTCCCTACCTTTGCAGGAGGAAAAGCAGTGGCCCTCTGGTTACTTGGTTGCCTAGGATTTAAAGCTGGGAGTGGACTCCACAGTGCGTTTTTGTTTGTGGTTGGAATTTTTGAGTTATACACTCCCTGGGCTGTTAGCTGAAATATTAGTGCATCCTCACAAATAAAATCACTCCAGGAAAAGCGTTGCTAGAATTTCCAACAAAGGCTGTCTTTGCCCTTCCGCGTACTTCCTAGATGGGGGTTCTTAAGCCACTCCTCGGAATCTGAATCCTACCAAGTGATGCCTGCCTTCTGCCTGCTACCCTGGGCCCCTGGATCTGCTGTCCTCTGGCACAGGCATCATTTGCTCCCTGGAAGCTGGGGAACCTTGCTTGGCAGTCACTAGGAAACTAGCTTAGAAAAACAGCCTCCCCGGCACCTGTGCCAGCAGGCAGGAATCCACCTGCTTTTTCCAAAAGTGTTTGCCTGTAGGGAGACTGCCTGAGGCCCACGTAAATTCAGAAATTTCTGGGGTTTGGCTTAGCAGGCCCAGAGGGCCCCGGAAGACACTGAGTGATTTCCCTCTGTGGCGTCCGTGAGAGTCAGTGTCACTGCTGGTGAGTCCATTTTTCCCACTCAGAGAGTTGGGGCACCCCCTAAATAATTGAAGTATTAGTATCAGTTTCTTTCCCCTTCTGCAGGCACTCCCAGAGGTCTGCCGTTTTCTTTGCAAGAACAGTTGGCATTAAATATGCTGGGTGTCAGTGCAGCAGTTAGGTGGTTAATTTTGACTGAATATTATGCTATATAACCACTTGGCATTTAACTTGAAAAATGGCTTTCTGCTTCACCTGTCAGCATACCCAGTTCTCATCAAATAAGTGAGTGAGAAAAATTTTTAAATTTCAATTTCCTGATGCTATTAGACACTACTTCTTCCATACTTAAACAGTTTAGCAGTGCATGTGCAGGTTTTTGTATTCAGACCATGCCTGAGACTACATGCTATTACAATAGCTTTTTTGTTTAAAGGGTAAAGAGATGCATGGATCTTTATCTTGAGGTTAGGAAAATGTATTGCAGGAACACGGCCAATCAGGTTCTGAATAACTTTGAAACATGGTGCCATCACCCCAGTGTAGTACAAGGAATTCCAGTGCCTACAGTAGAGGATTTGAGAGTGTCAGAAGAAAGCCTTAGAAATGAAGTAAATGTGCAGAGTAATCCCGCATGGTACTTCAGGGGGAAATTGATCACTCAGGTTAGCATTAATCTATTTTTACTGTTTCTTTTGTCAATTATAATTCAGTAAACCATGCCAAGGACTTACATTCATGAACTCTCTATGTTTAAGATTAAAACCCCAGGCTCATCCACTTATGTGAATTAGACATCTCCAGTTGTTCGTAGTTCAAACAGGTTGATTAGTGTCACCTCATTTTGTTTATACATCCCGAAAATGAAAAGCCGGCAGAGGGAAGATGACAGTATTTGATTTCTATGTCTCAGAACCACTTTGTCATAACTCATTTTTATGGTGGATGTGTTGTGAACAGGATGGGAAACGTGCCTTGTTTGTTTAAGAAAGGGTCAACAAGCTATGGCCTGTTGGCCAAATTCAGCCTGCCTCTTCTCTGGCCTGTTTCTGTAAATAAAGTATTATTCGGACAGAACCACACACACTTATTTATCGGTTTATCTGTGGCTGTTTTCAATCTGCAGAGTTGAGTTGTCCCAACAGACACAGTATGACTCATAAAGCGTTCTTATCGGCCCTTTACAGAAAAAGTTGTCTCCCTGTAATTTCAAGCTTCAAATGCTCATTTTCTTCCTTTTGTGATTCCAGGCCTAATTTTTCCATATCTTTAGAGGGCACATTTCTAGAAAGAGTGAATGGCTTGAGAAGTTTTGTACTTTTGAAGAGGTTTTTTTTTTTTCTTCACTTAGGCTGGATGAGGGGGATGTGAAATCATTCTGTTTTACAGATAAGAAGACTGAGGTACAGCAGGGTTCAGTGACCTGTTACAGGCCACATAGCTGGGAATAAAAAGACAAACTCCATTCTTCATGGGAACTGTGGGGATTAAATACATCAGTAAATGTAAATGGGTTGAAAAAATGTTCCCAGCATAGAGCAAATTTGCAATCCTTGCTAAATATGATTATTCCCTTTATTTTCATTGTTCCAGGGCCCTCACCCTGGTATACCAGGCAACCAGGAAGAAGGGATGCCTGCTGCTGTAAGCCTGTGCCAGCAACACAGAGACCCAGGCCTTCAGCCCAAGCGGGGCTCTGTGCCTCCATCGGAAACATGAACCAGATTTCCTTGTAATGGGCTCCATATTTAGGCCCAGCAGCCTTAGATGTCTGGCCAATAGGAAAGCTATGTCCTTCCTGCACAATTTCAGCCCTAAGAATCTGTGACTCTCCCTCCCTGGAGGCCTAGAGAACAAGAGGAGGGAGGGCTTGAAATCAATAAATGGATTGCACACCTGCAGGGCTCTGCCATTTGTCATCTGTGAGCTACGCAGCCATTCTGGGGCTTACGCTATCCTGAGCTGCGTGTGTTTCCATGGTCTCCCATTATGCTCCACTTTGACCCCTCAAAATATTGTTTCAACTTCCAGGAGGCTGGATGATGGGGAGAGAGAGGCAAAGAGAGAGGGAGGGAGCAAGGGAGTTGGCAGAATGAGAGAGGGAGCATGTCCAAAAATGCCGGCTCCAGCCAACTGTATCAGATGCCAGCTGCCAATACCACCCTGGTCCCTCTGAGGTCAGCCAGGTAGCTGGAGCCCTTCCTTGCCTTCCAGGCAAACAGGCTGCTACTCCAAGGGAAAACAGCCCTCAAATGCAGCCCTGCTCGGCTTCTCAGAAGGCTAGGGAGGAGAAAGGGGATTGAATTAACCAAGATATCCAACATATCGTCTCCAGGGTGAAGTAGAAAATCAACAGCATGACCTTTAAGGCCACTCACTCATTCACTCCAAGATAAATTCTATAGGTGCCCATGGTGTGCTGGGGAGGAGAGGGGAGGGGAACGGACAGCTCCTACCCCTAGGAGCTTTGTGTCACCCATGTCATCAGCCGAAGTGCTGGCTTAATAGACGGAACTTGTTCTAAAGGTATGAGAAGAGTAAATTGGAGATGGTAATTGCAGGAAGTGATGGCAGAGGGAAGAAAGAGGTGGTGTTTTAGGAGTAGGGTCTGGAGCTGTTCCCATAAACTAGGGCCATGGAGGAAGCGGCTGCCCATGAGGGTTGTGAAACCACAGAGGTGATGCCGCTACAGGCAGATATGCCACCCCTCCACAAGCCCAGACTCTCAGGGGTACTGCAGACAGTTATCTGGGCTCATTCCCTAAGGCCCCTTTTAACGAGAGAGTCTCAAGACAGCGGGGCTGGGAGCCTGTGAGGCAGGAAGAAAGTTCCAGCTAAAAAGACAATCCCCATTAGTTCAGCTGGGACTCTCAAGAAGATGAGCGCTTTCCTAAATGCAATGAAGGCAAGGAATAAGAAGGATGGGCTTTCCTCCCAAGGCTGCTGGGAGCTCACTTGGTGAATATGAATTGGTCTCCTTGCCAGGCGGGGCCTCAGCTCCCCGACCTGTAGCATGGGATGACTGGGTTGGCTCAAAGGTGTTACCCATCCATGTTATCAAAGAGAACAGTTTTAAAGCTCACCACTTAGAAGATGGAGCTTTAGAGAAAAGACAGTACCCAAGGACTCTCAGGAGCATCGTGCATGGGGCCTGATATGGCACCACAGCAGCTGGGGTCCAGAGACTCTGGAACTGAGGGCTGAGCCTGAGAGACGTGGTGTGAGTGTGAGTGAACAACGCATTGGCACGGTAGGTGCGTGTTTATGCATGACAGTCTTCAAACCCTGCTTCTGCAGAAAGCACAGTGACCATAGCAGATACTGAGTTCTGTCGTGGTAGGGACCTGCGCCACCAGGGCCTCCCTTCGTCCCCAGCAGCCTGGAGCAGGGCCTGCTGCGTCCCTCCCCAGCCCTCACCCCTCCCAGCCAGTTAAGAGAGTCTCCAGCCAGGAACTGATTTGTGGATGTGCCTCAAGGTCCGCCAGTGTCACAGTCCCGTGTGATTTATCGCCTGCTCCACACCTCACACTTTCTGTTGTGTGCTAATGCCCCGTCCTTCATATCTTTCTTTAATCATGAGAGAGTAATTGTAGATATTTAAACACTTGAGTTTCCTGCAGGAATTTCGAGACTGGGTTTTATAGGCCTTTTATAACAGAACAAATCACAGTTTGGATGAAATTCTGGGAATTCTCTTGCAGGATAATCATGTTCAGATTGCCTCCCTACTGCTAGCTTAATGTGGCTGTCCAAGTTTGGGATTTACTGGGGAGCCAATTTGTTTTAAGAAATTAACAAAACCGATACCTAAGTACCGCAGTGAACATAAAGTTTTTATTCATTTTGGTGAAAGGGAAAAAAAATACCCAACATTCTGCTACTCACAAAACAGCTCTTGAAAATCATCTTTATGAAATTGAATCTCTCTCCCCAAATGATTCCCCGATGCTAAGCGGGATGGCCTTGTAATAATCACTCCCTTGTATTCGTGCGTTAACCGGTTCAAACTTCACAGGCTTTGCCCAACCCAAGGGTCTCATGGCACCGGCTTTATACTTTTTAAAATTTTATTTATTTATATTTTTATAGAATGCAGGGAGCCACACAGATGAGAGAGAATTCTCAAGTGGGGAAAGTCATATGTGGACTGTGAGATTTAGACACAAAAAAGGAATGTATCTCTCACACCCCACACCCCACACATACACAAAGTAGATTTTTTTTTTTCCAAAAATGTGGTCTGGAAAAAGGAAGGAAGAAGGATGCCTGTCATGGAGCTGGATGTGTGAAAACCTCTTTGAAAAGCAATGACATTTCCTCCTTGGGGGACCTCATCTTCCCTTTGCTCCTACCTGGTGCTGAACACAGGAAGTTCGTGCTCTCCCTTCACCATCACAGCTGCTTGGGAAATAAACCACATTTAAATCAACCCCTTTGTATCTGCCAGCAGCTGCTAGGCCTCTGAAGGAATCTCTCCTCTCAATTCCCTTTTGGTGAAAGAAAGGGAATTTGCACCCAGACAGGGGAGGCTCCCTGCTGGGCACGAGCTGACTGAGTGCCCTGGCCCAGGGCAGGTGTGGGTGTACGGAGGGGTTTGGGGAAGGGCCCTGAGATTCCATTTACCCAAAGGGTATTATGACTCTAAGGTGCCTTCTTAGTCTGCCTGGAGAGTGGGGAGCCACCATGGGAGTCCGAGACCACGGACAGGACAACAGAAACTCACTGCTGGGGCTCATTCCCTTTGGGCAGCCCCAGGCAGTTACAACCAGGATGACTGCGACGCTGTGGAAGGAGCTTGCAGCCAGTGGCCCTTCTGCGTGGGCCTCTGTGCGGAGCATGGGCAGAAAGAAAGGAACCAACGTACTCAGCAAACAGTGCTCGGTGTATCTGCTGCCAGGCCCAGTGCTGAACCCTCCAGGTGAGACAACTCGATAAGACACTACTGCCCCGCCATTTGCACCTGGGGCATGCGTCACAGGTGTCCCAAGACCTGCATGGATTGATTTGCTCTCTCTAGGTAAGGACACTCCTTAGGATTGATGCCACTGTCCAACCTGGCCTCCTGAATATGCAAGACAGAGTGTGCCAGGGAACAAAGTTGCCACATTTCCCACATGGTCCAGCCCTGGGTAAGGCATTTCCTGGGCAGTGCAGGCCTCTATGGCCCTGTTCACCTCATTCCCTGGAGTCTTGTACCCTACACACACGCCCTACTGTTCCCTCTGCTGCCTGGGACTCCCAGCCGTCTCCACCAGCCAGGGCCTCACCGAGGGTCCATGCAGATCTTAGCTATTCACACCGGATGCTCCTGGAGCCAGGATGCGGCCCTTCAGACCTTGGCCATGGTCCTGTGTGGCCCATAGTTGTGGCAGGCTTCCACATCTATTCTTTCCTAGCTGGTGCCAGGTCCCAGCCCTGAGGTCTGGGGTAGAGGCTCCCTGGGCTGCCCTGGTTGTGACACAGATGGCTCTGAATGTGCTTGGCTTTCCAGAGCCTCTGCGGCACCTGTGCTCTGGTCCTGCCTGGCCCTGTAGGCTGCGACTTCCCCAGGAGGCCCAGCTCACTGTTGGAACCTACTTGCTACCTGATAGCCTTTACTGCAGTTCTAGCCTAGAACCTAGAACCTTGACGGTATCAAGACAGTCAGATAGTGGTGAAATATGAGGCAGGGCAGCTGTTTGCTCCACGTGGGTGTGGGGCTCCAGCCGGGGCCTCAGCATGGCTGTTTCTCCCTCAAGTCGCCTCCTCGGTGCCCCCTGCCGACCCGTTGAACTCTCCACGGCCTTGAGCTGCACCCACCTCCCTTAACAGGCTTGCAGGGTCCTCACCAAAGCACAGGGCTGCCCCTCTGGAGGGAAAAAGCCTCAGGTGGTGCTGCTCCTGCCTTCCTGTGAAGTCTTTCCAGTCTCCCCACAAGCATGGGTTGAGCACCTACTGTCTCCCTTCACAAGGCTAAGAGCTGGGGATACAGCAGAGACTAGACAAAGTCCGTGCTCTCCTAGAGAGTAGAGCTCAGTAGCGGTGACAGATCACCCAGAAAAAGGCAAATGAAGATCATTTTCCACAGTGAGAAGGGCCAGAAATGAAATAAAACAGGGTGATCAGGATGGGATCTGGGGGTGCAGGTGCCCACATTAGACATCATAGTCACGGTGAGTCTCTCTGACACTTGAGGAGGTGACCCTTACAAAGTGTCAACTAAGGCCAGTGCTCCTGCCTGTAATTCCAGTGCTTTGGGAGGCCGAGGTAGGAGGATCACTTGAGCCCAGGAGTTCGAGACCAGGCTGGGCAGCACAGCAAGACCTCATATCTACAAAAAATTTAAAAAATTAGCCAGGCGTGGTGGCACACACCTGTAGTGCCAGCTACTCAGCAGGCTGAGGCAGGAGGCTCACTTGAGACCAGGAGGTCGAGGCTGCAGTGAACCGTGATGGTGCCACTGCACTCCAGCCTGGACGACATAGCGAAATCCTATCTCTAAAAGAATAAATAAAATAAAAATTTAAAAAGTGGTGACTCAGTGAGCGGGGCAGCCAGCATGCAAGGATTGGTGGGAGGGAATTTTGGGCAGAGGAAACCGCAACAGCAAAGGCTGGGAAGTGGGACAGAGCTTGCCTAGGGTGGCCGGGGCTTTAGGGTACGAGGGGAAGAGTCTGCCCACTGAGGCCTCCGAGTCTGAGAGGGAGGCAGGGGCCAGATCACAGGGCACAGCCATCAAGGTGAGGAGAAGTCGAGGCTGGGCTCCATCGTCCTGCCCTGCTCCTGGCTGACGTGAACCCGTCACAGCCTGGAAAACACACACTTGACACAAGCCTGTGCCAGCAGGGATTAGGAGAACATTGTTGTCTTAGAAGAATACGTTTTTAATTAACAGGTTTTATTTACCACCGTGCGTTCTCTCTTGCTCACATGGCCCTGTTAAAGAGCATTTTAAATTATCAGCTTTTATTTATCACAAGAAAGTCTCCCCAGTACGGGCACTTTCCTGTTGTTCCCCATGCTGGCCTGAGCGAGCAGGGAGATGGGGAGACCAGGAGTTCAACCCTGTCCTCTGCAGGCCTGGCCCCAGCCTTGCAGTTGGACACACATGGCCTTCTCCTCTCCTCTTTCCTGGCCGCTGACACCGGGGCAGGTGACAGTCACCTTTTCTGATGTGGTTTGCCCAAGCAGTGTCTGAATTAAATCTCGCCAGTTGAAGCCTGCCAGGGTGCTGCTGGTCCAGAGAGCTCACTGGGGCTGGGCAGGAAACATTGTGGCTTTTGCACCCTGGCTAATTCCATTGCGCAGCTTTCAATGCCACTCTATTTAAATCCCTGTCAGAAAGCCCTTAAGGACAGCCAGTTTTATTTACTGTCAATGTAACCACTCCTTTGGTTGATACTGGCCTAAACACCTCCAGGAAAGAAAGCCCGGGCTCATCAACTGGACCTCCATCCTGCCGAAGGAACAAAGGAGGCTTCCTCCTCTCCTTGGCATATGTGCATATTAAAAAATTTATTGAACCTATTTTAATATCCTTCGACTAATGGGAGAGTTTTAAGACCTTTCTAAGTATAGTAGTAGTAAATCCTGCTGCGTATTTCACCCAAATATCCAAAATAAAAATACCTTTGATTGAGAGAGGCGAGTCGCCCACTGGGGCCCATACCTTCAGTTTCAGTAGCTCAGTTCAACATCAAAAACAACAACAACAACAACAAAAACCACATTGTAGCAATCAGCCCTCTAATAAGCCTCTAACTCGGTTTCTACCTTATCCCAAAGGTATAGGAAATAGCACTGCTTTTTTTAAAATATCAAGAAAACATCATTTGCTCTAAAATGTCCCTAAAAGCAGGTCTAAATTGCCAATAAAGGCTAGGTAATTGTATCAGCATGGATCAGAAAGCATTTCTCAGGCCCGATGAAAGAGTTTGCAGGGCTGAAGGACTCCAAAGCTGCTGCCCAATCCCCCCCACGCTTAGTCAACAGCCCGCACCAGCAGTTCGAAGGGAGATTTTCAGCACAATGCAATTTCCCTTTTAAAGCCAAACGCCTCTCTACTCCCCCCATTCTCATTTTGTTCTAATTTGTTAAACTTAATTTCTTCTGAGGAGTTGTCTGGAAGCTCAGGTCAAATCAGAGAAACTTTCTGGCTGTTTGTTTTTGAAAAGCAGAACGTTCTCCTTCCTAAGCCTCTGGGTCTGAATTACTTAATTATTCTCTCCTTTTCCTCCTCGTCCAGGTGAATGATATATGCACTGAAAAAGCAAACTGCATGGGTGGCTTGTCTTCTTAACCACATCACCAGCCTCGCTCTCCACCTTAGAGCACTATAATCACTTGACTAGCAAACACATATACAGTATAAATATTTAAGAAAAAGTAAATTCTATTAAGCCACTGTGTGATAGATGCAGTGGTAGGTACTTATCTTTGAAATATTAAACTCTAGACATTTATATCCATACAAAAAAGAGTTTCCTGCCATTTGATGAGAATTATGTGCCTGGCACTAATAAAATATTAAACTCCAATTTAAAAGATAAGTATCTTATCCACTTTTTTCATAATAAAACATTTTACAGTGCTCAAGAAAGCCAATATGCATCAGAATTTCCATACAATACTGTATTTACAAACTTTCATAAAAGTTTTGTGTCTGCATTTATCAGTGGCTGGTTTCACACTAGCATCCTGATCATTCTCCCTAATGATACGGTGCATTTCAATAATGCATGATGGAAGGTGTACAAACAGCGCTTTGTTTTTGTGTATGGTAATTCCATATTTTTGGTTAGTGGTTCTCCCTGGCAATTAATTAAATGGAGGTGGTCACTAAGATTGCATTATCCCTTTTGGTCCCCATTATATAAATTAATGTCAAACTGATGCAATGTTTCATGTTTAAAATAACAGATACAAGTGTTAAAAATTATAGCCTGCAGTTTTCCTATTTGACAATGCATTATTTTCAGCTGCAAATGTCAGTTTCTAACCCCTGCCAAGAATATTGTGGCGAGGCAATGAGTAATAAGTGTTAGTTATCAAATTTAGTGTCTTTTGAAATTTGCCCGTGTTGCCAGGGTGGGGGTGGGGAAGCAGTCGATGCACTTGTGTAAATTTATGGAAGCTCCACTTCCAGAGCCCTGTGGGAAAGGAAAAGGATTCTAGCAGGCAGCTAGACTTTCCACGACATCAGCTGCCTCCAGCCACAGCACGCAGGTCCTGACGGAGGCCTGCGAGGGCCAGCCTTGGGTGTGGTCCCAGTGTCTCTTGGCCTGGGGATAGTTAAGAGGTGAGAACAGCTGAAACGTATATGACGTTCCCAAAGGGTAAAACATTTTCAAAGGGCCTCACCTAATTGGACCTGGACTGCATAAGCCCCAGTCTTTTCATTAAAACCTGATGTCAAAAGCTGCCTATTTGAAACCTCCTTTGCCTCGGATGTTGCGGGAACTGGGCTTTGGCCATGGATGGGATGTTCCTGAGCCCTCAAGACCATTTTGGTCTCTGGGAGTGGGATTCTCCCCTGACCCCTGGAGATCGGCCTTGACAACAGGATTTCTGTTAGCAGCCTCCTTCTCTTACCTCTTTGTTTTGATAGATGTCAAAAGACAGTTCTGCCTTGAAAAATGTAATTACTCAAGAGGATGATAGGAGGTAAAAAACTATATGAGAGGTAAGTTGCATGATGTTTTAAAATAAACAAATATCACCTTGGGCACAAATCCCCTATGCACCCCCACTTAGGTTTGGGGTTGAGAAGTGGAAGGTGCAGCCCAAGTCTGCGCCAGCTGACTCCTGAGCAGATAAAATATTTAGATTGTGTGATACGTGTAGAGCAAGACAAACTAAATGGTTCTAACATCTAGAGACACTTTCATTTCTCAGGGCAATGCCGGGTACCCCAAAACAGTGTTCCACTGGAAGAGACCTTTGCTCTTTGTGAAACTTGGTCACCATCAGAGAAGGGGTGGGTGGGCATGCCTGTCCCCTCCTCAGACCAACTGAAGCTTGGCCAGAGGTGTCCTGTGAACATCGCCCATTCCATGCCACAGAGAAAAGTACTGTCAAATTTTAACAGAGAGCAGAGGCGTCTCTCCACAGAGATTTTTAAATTAATAAACACCTTGTAGCCAAAGAAATAGCTGATTTGCAGGTCTTCTTTCTGTTGGGCATACGTCCGGATGCAGTAGATGAAAATATGTTTTATATTATCCTGGGAATGTTATCGTAAGTGGTTGCTTTTGCAGGTGTGAGGGACCGCGGCTAACAGTGACTGGTGACTGTTGTATCGTTTGGCCACAGACATCAGCTAAATCCTGAATAAGAACTCTTTCCGTTTCTTCCAGAAGATGAGCAGTGGTAGTGTTCCTTATTTCTGTAAATTACTGTAGAAACAATAGGCTGCAATTATCATCACGTTTGAAAAGCATCCACTAATTACACTCAGGATAAACGGCACTTAATACCTATGATATCTATTGTGAGCATATCAGTGTGATGCCCTAGCCTGCACTGATACTTTTATCTTCTAATATTTGGAAGAAATAATTGCTCTGAAAAGAGTACCTTAAAAGCTTGGCCTGCTGGGCTTCTCTTCAGCAGCTGTTTCACGGGCTGGGGTCTGAGGGGCACGACTCAGCCTGGACTCCTTTATTCTGGGGCAGAGACCGCAGAGTTCTGCCTCGGACACTCAACACTCACTACCTGTGTGATCTCAGGTGAGTTTCCTAACCTCTCTGCTGTTTCCTTCAACATAAAATGCGGATGAGAATAAGGCTCGCTTTGTAGGGTTGTTAGGAGGATGAAATGCATCAATACATTGAAAGCATTTAAATTGTCCTTCCTGTGTATGATTTCAAGGTTCCAAAACTTAGTCCTGGAAAGTTTTCCTAAAGAGCTTCACACCTGTGATCCGTGAAGCTGAAATTAGAATGTTGTTCTCCTGGTCTTACCAAGAGACCTAAATGAAACAAATCACATAAAAAGGAGCATTGAAGAGTGAATGGCATGCAAAAAAAGATACTGATAACAATAACACCATATCATTGAAAGCACAGCCCTAATTTATTTATTATTTCATGCCCGCTGTTCCCTCATCTCCAGCCTTTGTCTAAGATGAGACCTTGGGACTCATCTAAAGGCTTTTATTTGACGCTTTCCTTGCCTCTCATCTCACACATGGAAAAACCCTCCTAACATAACTGACTATTGGCAGCTTAACTGAAACCCTCCCTTGGTTCTCCATTGCCACAGGCTCAAGTTCAAGCTCCTAGTCTTCATTCTTCCACCCCTGACTGTCTCTCCAGCCTCATCTCTACAAAAAACTCCTCTTTCTCCACATACTCCAGCCAGATGGAACCTTTTGTAGTTCTTTGAATATGCCGTGGTCTCCCTCCATTCTTCCACTCCACTTTTCGCAGAGCATTGAATAGTTACAGGCAAGGACTCAAGAAGTAGACTCCCCGGGTTCAAACCCTTGCCGAGGTCTTCCAGTGAGCACCATGGGAGCCCCAGAGCCAATCGATTTCCACTTGGAGCTCTAAGCTTGGAGAAGCTGTGTGAACTTGAATAAGTTGATTACCTCTCTGAGCCTTGGCTTTCCCATCGATAATATGGGATATTTATCTCATACAGTTGTAATGAAGATTAATTGGTTAAAATATAAAAAATGCTAGGGGCATTGGGTGACTTTGTTATTAAGAAAGGGTAAGTCATAGGCAAGTTTCAAAGATCTGTCTCCTGAGATGGGGGAGAGGCCTCTTTTTTTTTTTTTCTACATGTGGATTCTAAGAGGTTTAGGTTCAAGCCCCCTCTTTCCCAAGAAGACTCTTTAGTTCTCCATCCCACATCAATTTATGCTTTCCCCAAATCCTCTCTCCCACTGTGCCATGCTTTAGCTTTGCATGGGTCAGTATTTGGTCATGACCTAGAATTATTTCAGTCTTATCTCTGCCAGCCAGTCAGATGCTGGAAGAAGGGAGTCTCGTCCCAGCTCTGCCCCATGACCAGGGCTGAGCACACAATGAACTTGGCCGTGGACTGATTGACACACCAAAGTCCCGCCAAGCCAGCCCTTTGTCCCATGGGATGGCACACACAATGGCCAACTCCTCCAAGGATCCTCCTCACACTTCCTAGCCTAGTTCACATCATCTCTGTTCCCTGTGCCCAAGCCAGCCAGGTGCCTGGCCAAATAATTACATAATGGGGCTGGAGGGAGATGGAGACACAAGACAGCCAGGGGAAGGGCTAAACCCCAGCCCTGCTGCCAAATCCTCCCATTCCAGGAGTCCACCTTGACATCCCCAGATGATCATGTCTCATAGGATGTCATCCTATTAGCACTTTAAGGAGGCAGAGAAGCGTGAAGCCAAACTGGTACTTGAAATGTCCATAATTGACCTTTTAAATCACTAATGTGTCAGATAACCTGGTACGTGATTGTAGAGTTGTTTTGGATGCTGTTCTGGTCATGTTCCTTTTTCTAATAGAAAAAAAGGTGGAGGGAAGTATGGTTCTCTATAATATGACTCTTAGTTAAGAAAAGTTACAAGAAGAAGAAAAGGAGGAGAGAAGGAGGAGAAAGGAGAAGAAAGAAGGAGCAGGAGGACAAGGAGAAGGAGGAGGAGGAGGAGGAAGAGATTAAAGAAAAGGAAGGAAAGAAAAGAAGGAAGGAAGGAAGGAGGGAGGGAGGGAAGGAAGGAGGAAAGGAAGGGAAAGGAAAGGAAAGGAAAGGAAAGGGAAAGAAAGGAAAGTTAAGTTAAGTTGAGGTCTCCTGCCTGGCTCTCTGGGACCCCTGTGTGGACAAGGAAGAACTGCCAGCTCACTGTCCTCCTTCTAACTTGAAGCTAATCTCATGGAAAATACGATGCCTCAAATCTGAATTATTTGTTCTGTGTGTCAGGGACAGGGTGGGTGGCTTCTGTCTGCAATTTAAGGTAAAATTAACGCATATGCTTCTCCAGTATTTTCACAGTATAAGACTCCCAGCCAAATGTGAGTGTTTCCACACACTTCCTTCTTGAGAAGACAGATTTGCATATGCATTAAGGCCATTTTATCAGAATGCACACACAGAGGAATGACACATCTCACTGACAGCGCCCGGGTGACAGATAACTCCACACAAAACATACATTTGAAAGGAAAATAGGAGGAGGAATAGAATTAAAGGCCGGTGTGAGAGTGGCATCGTGTTTTGAGTGAGGCAGCACAGATTGGATTGTTTGATTCACTTCCCGGCTCTGCGTGAGTCAGGTGGCGACAGGTGCTCCTCCAACTACCTGAGCTCCCCGGGAAGGTGGGGGGTGGGGGGCGGATGCTGCTGGGCCCCGCAGCCTTAATACTGCATGACCTCATCACCGAGGTACACAGTGAGCCTCTTCCCTGTGGCAGCTGAGGTCTGGCCCCTGACCACCTCACTATCTCACCTCCCTCACCTGTAACTTTGCTCCGGTGCTCTGGCCACGTGGGCAGGGCCTCTGGACATGCAGATTCCACTGCCCCAAAAGCTCTTTCTGCAGACTGTCCTGTGGGGGCCCAGAGAAGCTCATGCCAGTTAAGCTACGAGGAAACGCACTTGCTGGGTCCTGTTAGTGCCAGGGCAGGTAGAGGGTTCAGGTGGGGAGTGGAGACTGGCTGGCAGTCAGGAAGCATTTCTATGCTGACATTTCAGATGAAGACATACAGAACTCTCAGGAGCTCCTGAATCTCCAAGACCCAGGAATTTCTTGTGCTCTCCTCTTATTCTCAGTAAATATTTACTTTCATATGAATATTTTTCTTTTTATTTTGTTAATTTTTTTTTTATAGACAAGATCTCATGCTGTCGCCCAGGCTGGAGTGCAGTGGTGTGATCACAGCTCACTGCATTCTTGAAGACCCAGGCTCAAGCAATCCTCCTGCCTCAGCCTCCCGAGTAGCTGGGACTACAGGCATGCTACCACGACTGGTGAATTTTTGTATTTTATTTTTTGTAGAGTCAGAGTTTCACTATGTTTCCCAGGCCGGTCTTGAACTCCTGGCCTCAAACGATCCTCCCACCCCAGCCTCTCAAAGTGCTGAAATTACAGATATAAGCCACCATGACTGGCCTATAAATATCTTTCTCAAAAGGATTCCACAAATCGTAAAAGCCTCAGGACCCACAAATCATTGATCTGTCTTCCACAAGCTTCTTTCTGTTAATTTCACACAAATATTACCTTCTCCTATGGGCCTTTTGCAATATCGCTCCCATCTCTGTATCACTCCACCCTTTACCCTGGCTTGTAGAAATTAACTCTTCTCAAAATTTTGTTAGTTCATTCATTCATCCATGCACTCATTTGAGTTTTTGTTCTTCATCTGTTCTACATCTAGACTCTCCATGACCACAGGCACCTGCTCTGTTCACTCACCTGCATATCTCTGCATCTAGAACAGCTCAGGGTAGGTGTGGAGTGAATGGTGATTGCATGAGCGAATGGCTGCCAAGTCTACCCATGGCTTGCCCATCCTCTGGATACATCATCTACTTCTCTGGAACTGCAAGCTTTCTCATGAAATACGAACGGCTACCCTAGATGTATTAAGTTGCTCAACCCATGTCTTCTATGCCTCACAAACTGGGCTGGGTCCAGGGGTCTAGCAAAGAACAAGACAGATGTAGCCTCTGTCTTAATGGATAGTGCAGTTTGTGAAAGACAGACATTGAACAGAAAATCACACAATCATTCAGTGAAAGTTGAGATGGGATCATTGGAAGGCTTATGTGAGAGAGCAGCAGCATCTCTCTGTCTGCTGAGACACAAGCAAATGCTTCCAAAGCTCTGTCCACATCTAGCATGCATTTCTGGTGCTGCTCATCAACCACCAATGAGAGGCTGGGTTGTGCCATGGTGTCTAGAAGCACCATGTCCTTTGGTGTTCCTGAGGCTTTCAGCCTCTCTCTTCCCTGAAAGCTGGCATGGGGAGGAAGGGATTTTCTGCCACCCCTTTACCACTCCCCAACATACATATCTCTAAGTCTAAGGGTCCCTGGAGCCCCCAAATCCTGACAGCCATGTTACCAAATGAGGCACTTCTTCTCTCACTTGCCAGCTGAGTGACTGCTTCTGGTGATTAAGAAGAGTAGGAGTGAACAGCAGAGGGTGTGGCCGATGTGGAGTAAACTTACTTGATAGAAACCAACTTGGATAGGGTCTTCGCATTCTAAGCATTTGGGAAATTCAAGTTGAAAACTTAAACATAGGCAACATCTAAACCAGGGTTGTCCAATCTTTTGGCTTCCCTCAGCCACATTGGAAGAAGAAGAATTGTGTTGGTCCACACATAAAATACACTAATGCTAACGGCTGCTGATGAGCTTTAAACAAATTTGCAAAAAAAAAATCTCATAATATTTTAGGAAAGTTTACGAATTTGTGTTGGGTGGCATTCAAAACCATCCTGGGCCACGGGTTCATCTAAACCTTCCCTTTTTATTAGATTTCTGTATGATACATGTAGATAACCAATTTGCATTTGTTTTTTTCCAAAGCACTGAATGAGCTGTTCTGGCTGTCTTCTGTTTTATAAGTCTGTGCACCTGAGTTCCTTGGGAACCCTCTTGCAGAGTTTCACCACCTTTATTCCTTCAAAGCCACCAATGCCCTGAAGAGCAGCAGCTCAGCCACCTGGGCCAGGTCCGTGTGCTGATGAAGGTGGTGGCTGGAGTGTGATACCCATAATAAACCCTCAGCCAACCTTTGCCGGATGCTGAGATGCTGCTGTTAGTTGTGCATGCACCTGCTAGGCCCACTCATGTACTGTCCCCAAGTCACTACTGTAGAGCAAACAATGCAACTTGTGTGTTGGGGATTGACCTCAGCAAATTATAAGCAATTAACCAAATTTGCCCTACCATTAATCATATTATTCTGCATTGCCGATTCATATGACCCCAAAATTGCCAACTCTTTTCAGCTGTTAGAGATGTATATCCAGGAACAAATGACTGCCTTCAATTCTGTCTCCATCCTGTTCTTCGAGTCAGCACCCAGCTGAGGCACGTGGCTAACAGTGGGAGAACAAGAATTACCATAGATCTGCCAAGGATCCTTTGAGAGAGGACAAAATAGCTGAATGCAATTAAGCCTATTGTCAGTGGCTAAGGTACTTGGAATGACAGGTGTCTTTGAAGTGCAAGGTATTAGCGCTGTTTGTTGCTAAATTCCCAACCTAGAACTCTATCATTTTGCTAAGAAATTGCAGCAAACTCAATTTTTTTCTATCAAGTGTTTCCCTGGGTGCTAAGTCTATCACTGTTATAATATATTAATTTTTTTTCCTTTGGTGACATTGATGATGGGGTACGTCTTCACTCTCTCTCACCTGGTACCTTCTCCGTGTCTTTAGGAGAGAATTTGGAATTGCTGGAATATTCTTGGCCATCCTTCATTTGGAATTTATGTGGTAATTTCAGTGAAACCGAGACCTTGTGCAGCAGTTTTCATCTTTTTCAAGGCTGCCTCTCTTTCTCGAGAAGCTGGAGAGTTTCCAATTATTCCTTCTGGTCTCTTTGGATGTGAATTGTAACAGATCAGCTGAGAGTCGCAGTTCAACATTGTTAAGCTTATCAATATAAATATAATGTTAAACCCCTTTTAGATAATTGGAGCTATGTGTGAAAATGTGACCAATTTGTGCATAAATTGGTCCTACACTTCTTCCTGGCAAAGACAGAGAGAGAGGGAAAGAGAGACCAACCATATGTGAAGTTGGTTTGCTTCTTCTCGGGGACTTTCCACACCTTGAATTCTTGATCTGGCTTTGTGGCTGCTGACAGTTGGAAACCTGCACAGGTTATGCCAAAACCATAAGGTCCTTTGCCCTTTTGAACCAAATTCTTCTGTCTTAGAGGCTGCACGGCGAGTATCAACAAGGCACTTGCATATCACACCAATGGGAGGGTTGCAGACAGTCTTGAGAATTAAACGTCTCTGCTTGGACAATTACCAAATTCAAAGAACCAAATGGAGAGACTGACGCCCATGGAGGGGGAAGGGAGGGGTGCCGAGGGAAATCCTGGAACTAACTCATCCCGCTTGGAAACCTTGCTGTCACTTCGGGATCCTGGAAAAGCTCATATTCTCCTCCTGGCTTCTCCTTACTGTGTGTGTTTGGGGTGGGGAGGAGGGTAGGATGGAGGGTGCGCTAGTTCATTTTTCCAGGCGTAAGTCCTCCAGAGAGAGTTAGGAGGCCTGAGATAATTATTCTAAAACTGCCCACAGCATTTTACAGCTTAAGGCGAGTGTTTAACAAAATCAGTTCCTCCCAACAATACTGAGCTAAATATTATTATACAATCTCTACCGATAAGGAAGTTGAGGTTCTCAGAAGATTAAAACTAAAAACAAAAAGAAACAAAGAAGGCTATTCAAGGATACTTGGAACCGCTTCTGAAGTTCACTCTGGAGTTTGTAAATTTTTACGCAGTGCGTTTCCTTACCTGTAACAAAGCTGAAATGAGACCATAATTAAGGAAGAAAGTCGCTGAGGCGCTGCAGCCTGTGACGTCATCAAGCAGGCTTCTGGCTGGCCTGAACGTGGAGGTGGCACCGTGTTTCCATGAATTGCCAGCCCAAGATGTCCCTGGGGCTGGAGGCATTCAGTCAGGAGCAAAGGCTCCACCCCTCATCTGTTTACTGCTAGACTGCCTTTCAGGATGCAGAATGCAAGACTCACCCAGATATTACAGAGGCCTGGGGGAAAGACAGACAGGACCTCTCCAGCAACTGCTGTCTCAGATACCGAAAGGCTCTACGAGGCCATGGTCTTCGCGCAGAACCAAGCTTTGCAAGAAAGCAGAATTCTCATTTCCTTTACTCCGGCTCACCCAGAAAACAGAGTCTACCTGCAAGCCCTCCAGGTTTGACCTCTGACTTTAGGGATGCTCAGGGTGGGAGGACATATGACAGCCTCCCCAAATCCAAAAGATGCCCTAGCTGGGTACCATGGCTGACACCTGTGATCCCAGCACTTTGGGAGGCAGAGGCAGGAGGACTGCTTGAACCTAGAAGTTTGAGACCAACCTGGGCAACATGGTGAGACTTCATTTCTACTAAAAATACAAAAAAAAGTAATCAGGCATTATGGCATGCACCTGTAGTCCCAGCTACTTCAGAGGCTGAGGTGGGAGTATAGCTTGAGCACAGGAGGTTGAGGCTGCAGTGGTCATGCCACTGCACTCCAGCTTGAGCATGGAAGTGACAGCTTGCCTCAAAAAAAAAAAAAAAAAAAAAAGGTGCCCCACGATCTCATCTTTTGCCCTGGAAAGAGAGATGCTTTCTGGGAAAAATCAAAGATATCTGTTTAAACTCATGGTTATATTTCCAAATGGACCCCAGGATGTAATGATCACATGTATTTTCTCGACTCTTCACCTTTTCCCTCTAACTTGGGGAAAAGTAAGTGCATAAAGGGGTTTCTTGGGCATCACTTGCTCTGTTAAAGCAGCATGATGAGTTAAGCAGACATGAATCAGAAAACATATGGACCCAATTTTGGTTTAAAAATTAATAGGAAAACACATTCTCATCAAACTCAAAACAATGAAAAATATTTTTTAAGGAGGCAAAAAATCCAAAATACAGCTGGGTTTGCCCACTCCACACAGATTCTTAACACCCATGGTCTCCTTCCTTGGTTTTCAAAAATAGCAAATTGTGCTGAAGGTTGTGTGGAACCAATTAGGACAGCATAAGTGAGGTGTGGGCTTCCAGCAGGATGGACCACCCAGTGCAGGGGCCTTACAAGGCATTGCTGGTGGTTGATGCTGTATCTCTAGACCTGGTGGAGCAGACAATCAGGGCAAGTCCCCAGGATAGAAGAGATATCCACACAGTGCCAGAGTGAAGAAGTCACAGATGTGTGTGTGACAGGTAAGCTAGATTCACCTACTGACCAACAAGCTCACAAGATGGAAAAGGTAAACCAAACCCAAGCGAGGTTCATCTTCTGTCAACCATTAGATGTGACCTTACCCTAGGGGAAGGACAGTTTATTCTTCAGGCATCATTCCCAGCCTGTCCTCCCTTTGATAAAATTCTCTTCTCTCTTTCCCACAGCCCTCCAGCCATGGATTCTCAACATCCCAGTTGCTTTGAGCTGCCCCCTGGGATGGCTCCTCTGAACCAAAGCTGTTCCCTGGTGCCCCAGCATGTCCTGCCAGAGCCTCTAGGATGAAGGAGTTTGTTGGCAGAAGTGACAGGTGATGGGAGGGAAAATCAGAAATGTCACCCTCCATGGGTATCCAGCCAGCCAGACTGGAGCCTCTAAATGGCTCCAGCTCTTTCTAGATTTTCCTGGTTGATGACTCTTGGAGTCCATCCTCCTGGAAGCCCTGAGCCACCTTCTCACCTTGCCCTTCCTTCTCAGGAGATGATCTTGGTTTTTACTTTAAGGACTAAACAAAAGCCATCCGTTGAACCCATTGTCACCATACCCACCACGCTTCCCATATCTAAATCCATCGTTTTGTCTCTCCTGCCATGCGCCTCCCCCTGTGCAAAGCGAATCCCTCCAGCTTTGCACTGGGTTCCACTCTTGTTTCCTCCTCTGGGACCCTGATAACTTTCATCATTTGCTCATAGACTGCTCATTTCCATGTAAGGCATTTTCAGCATGGTGCTTAAACGCACGCTCTGGAAGCCAGACTGTCTGTCATTGTATGGAAGGCTTGGGGGAAAACCCAGCTTCCCTGCGCCTGGTGTCCCCATCTGGGAAATGGAGATAATAATAATTCCCATCTAATGGGCTTGTTTTGAATATGAAAAGGTTAATACATATAAAACACTTATACAAGTGGCTAGCACATCATAAGCATGAAATAAGTATAGGTTATCTTATTATCCCTGCTTCCTTCATGCCAACATTTAAATGTGATCATCTCTCATATTTAAGAAGGAATTCTTTCTCAACTCACATCTACAGCCAACTGCTGTCCTCTCTAAAAATTCACCCTTGCTATTGATTTTCTTGGGTGAGACAACTGTGTGCGCCTGTTGCTTTTCCCTCCTAATTTCTCCCTCCTTAGTCTAGGGTGGTCCAGCTCCAGTCCGTCCATTCTTGAAACTGCTTGCACGATGAACTTCCTGCCACTAAATCCAAGGAACACGTTTCACTCCTGTCTCTTCACCTCTATGCACCCTTGGCTCTGGTGACCTTTTTGCTCTCTTCCAATACTACTCTGTGGGCTCTCACACCCTACCCTGGGCAGTTCCTCCTTGGCTTCTTTTGCTGTGCAGATTGATAATGTAAATGCAGATGTTTTTAAGAGTCTGACCTCACCTATTCCCTGGTTGTTGGCCTGTGGTAACTCTTTCCAGCCAGCCTTCTCTCCTGAGCCCCGTTGGAAGTGGACCCTCAGATGTCTCATAGGCTCCCATATGAAGCCCTCCCCTTTATCCCCAAGCTGTTCCTCTGGGAGTTTCTATGTCAGTGGAGAGTATCAACTCGCATCCCATAGTCCAAACCAATGGTGTAGGGGTCATTCTTCAACTTTTCCTTTACTCTACGTTGATTCTATTTCCTAAATACCTATCAGGCCCCTCAGCATCTCTCCAGCTCCACAGCCATTACACCAACCTGGACTACTACTCTCCCTCCCTAGGTCACTAGGATCACCCTTCACGTGTTCTCTGGCCTCGCACCAGTCTCCCCTCTGATGCATGCCCTGCACTGCCCCAGGGAGATCTCCATCGAAAGTTCACTAAAGGTTTCCCATTGCCCTGATGATAAGCACCAAATTCCTTAACTTGCTTTTCAAAGATCTCGAAACCACTTTTGCAAGAATTATGACAGGGAGAAAAGTTTAACCTAACTGACTCCATCTTGCTTCTGACCTCCCAAGTTAACTGTCTTTGCTCATTCCTGGACACAGGCCAAGCAAACTGTGGGAGGAATTAGCTTATAATTTCTCTTTGAAACAAGGATGATCATAGTCCCTCCCTAAATTGACCCCCTCCGGGGACTGAAACTGCCTTTGTAAGACTAATGAAAGGCCACAAGTTTAGGATTATGGGTGTGGGTGCCTGAATTCTGCTAAACTATAGGTCCAGTGAAAGAATAACCAGCCATTGTTCCAGAAGTCGCAAGATTTGGAACTTCCCCAGTCACTCCTGTGGATAATATCACTATTGTCAAAACATAAGATTGGTCTCTGAGATATTTTTCAGACTTTTGTGTTCTGGTGACTGACTGACTCCACCTGGACCCATGACTCACAGCAAAGAGCTTATTCCTACCCAGAAACTCCCACCTAGAAAGTAACACAGTGCATTGAAGTCTGTTTGAACACCCCTGTGATTTCATCCCCAACCAATCAGCAGCACCCGTTCCCTAGCCCCCTGGCCAACATAATTATCCTTAAAAACTCTAGCCTCCAAGCTCTCAAGGTGACAGTTTTGAGAAATGCCTCCTGTCCTTCTGTTCAGCTGGCCCTGGCATTAATAAGCTATTTCTCTACTGTAACACCACGGCCTCGGTGAATTGGTTTTATTTGTGCAGTGGGCAAGAAGAAACTTATCGGGCAATTACAGTCTTGACTTACTGGCATCTGGTCTCATTGCCAATGGAAGTTCTCCATTTCATCTTTTATAGTCTGTGTTTCAGCCACATGGGTTTTAGTGGACTTTTGTCATGTATTGGTTGCCTAGCATCTGAATACTTTATTTTGATTTGGGGAAATTCTCCTGTGTGAATTTACACCAAAAGGGCTTTAGATACACCCTCTCCCCCTCACTGGCAACTAGCATGTGATCATGTGACTCAGACATGGCCAGTTAGGTGGACAATGATGGCAGTGCCCCGCCAGTATCATAATGAACCTTGACTGGGTTCTTGGCAGCCCAACTTCCTTTGGCTACTGCTTGATTCCTCAGTCGTCCTGTCCTTTTATAAGCTACTTAATATTCTTCCAACAAATTCCTTTTCCTCTGAAGTTAACCAGAGTCAGGGTCTAGTACTTGTATTCAAGAACTCTGACACTGACATAAATTTTTTTGCAAGCCCTCTAACGTACAAGGCATGTGTGATGCTATCTGTACACACTTCACTTAGTTTATTCCTACCAATTCTTCAGACCTGGATTTAAGATTTCTTCTTCATCTGAAACCTCACCCATCCCTGCCTCATTTAGACCAGATTTGGTGTCCTTGTGAATGCTTTCTGTAGCACTGGGTTTCTCTCTGTCATAGCACTCATCATCCTAAAATGTAATTGCTTATTAAGTTGTCTCCACTACTAGAAGCAAGGTGCTCAAGGACCCCACTTGTTTTGCCTATTCTTATATTCCCAGAACCCAGCATAGCATCTGTCACATAGTAGCTCTCACTAAATATTTGCTAAATGACTGAATGCATTGCAGCCTCATCCCAGTGCCCAAAGTTGTGACTGGACCCTCCTTTAAATTCAAATATCTTTAGAGATCTTCAGCTCCCAACATCCTACTGTGAATTACTTTCCAATTCATCTCCAAGCCCCACCTCCTAGCTCTCTTTACCCACTCTCTTAGAAGTCCACTGCCATGGCCACACTCACAGACCTGGATTCTGTCCTTGGAGAAGCAGATCTGTGATGTGCCATTTTGTGGTAGTTATGCATGAGATGCTACAGAGGCACTTGACCGAGAAACAAGCTAGAGGGAAACATCCTGCCAGAGGCTTTGGAAGGAGAAGTGCTGTGTAGGGATGGTAGGAGTGAAAAAACAGAAAAAGAACAAGGATGAGAAGGTGTCAGTCTCCCCCACTAGAATGCCAGTTCCATGTGAACTGAGTCCCTTTTTATCATTGCTGTATCCCCAAGTCTAGAGCAGAGCTTAGTGCATGGCAGGTACTCAATATGTATTTGTTGATTGATTGATTGATTAACTGATTGAATGCATATTACCTACAGTGAAGCAACATAAAATACACATGCAAATATCTTGATATTTCCAGCATGAGGGATTCAGGAAACATTCCATAGAGCAAAACATGCATACAGCTCTGCTCATTATCACTGATTGAAGATGGACAAAGTGTAATGGTCATGCCTTTATTTAGATAACACCAGAAATACTTAGTATGAACACTTTCACAGTGTCATTTAAACACATGGTCTTCTAACTCTCCTTTCCTCACACTATCTTAATTCATTGCCCTTGCAGTTTCCCAATTTGGAGTTTCTGTTTCAGAAGCGTGTCCCCCTGGGGAAGCATACAATCCTGTCCTCCTCCACCTTCATCCCTGGCCCCTCTCCACATAACAGTGTCTGATATTCCTTCCAGCCCATTCTTTATACATTGCCTTCCCAGCTGCTCCACCCCACTCCTACTAGAAGGCCTCATTCAAGTCTGACCTGCTCTGAGAAGCCTCTCTTCATCAACTCGGTCCTCATCTCCTGCCCTTTTCTGAACACTTACAGGACCTGGTTCTATATTGACTACTTCTGCTCTGTAGTTGTGTCATTTATGAGTTAAATCTGTCAGAGATAAAATTAAGTCTGAGACAAAACTCACAGCCTGTTTATTCATAAATACATAGTAAGGAAACCCATCAGCTGTCACTTTTGTGGACAAGTGTTCAGGGGTGTTAAAGGAGAGTTCTTACACAGCGTAAAAAGAGGAAATACAGAGACAGTCTCTGATTCGCAAATATTATGCTTAGGTGGAATTTTGGAAGCTGGAGAGACTTTCTAATTGGTCTTCAGGTACATTTGGCCATCCTTGGTTGGCGGTAATTTGGGGAGATTTCAAGAAAAGAAGGGTTGTTCAACATTGGGGTGGGGGTTTCCTGTGGCTGGTCATTTCCTGGAACTGGTGGGTGGGGTACTCGCCGCCGCGGCCAGCAGTCTCTCAAGTCTGATACTGTAGCTCATGGGCTGCCATGAGGGAGAAATCACGTCTCACACGTTGCTTGTATGTGCTTCCCGTCTTGGCGTACAGCCAACGTTCAGTCCTATTTCCAGATTTAACATGAGGACTTGTTGAATCGGCTTTGGAGAAGGAAAGGTAACTGTACAGATACATGCACACCCACTGTGTGTGCGTGTGTGTATACTCCACTAGAAAATGAATAATTGATATAGGAAAGGGACATGAATTGATATGTACTTTACATACTGCTCTCAGCATCTCCATCAAATAAATCCATCATATCTGAGTCAAAACTCATAGTCTAATTCATAAACATGAACTCATCAGCCATCACTTCTGTGGAGGAGGGTTTGACAATATTACAGAGTAAAAAGAGGAAGTCATGACTATATGTGCCCAGTGTCTGGCTGGTTTTGAGGTGACTGGGAAAGCTACAATCAGGCTGATGATGTCTACAGAGGACCATGCTGCAAGCCCCATCCCATGAGAAGAAACTGAGCTGCACTAGCTGAGTTTCTAAATGAGCCAGTGAGTATCTATCAGGACTGGGATGCCCTGGGAGAGGTAGGAGTCACCTGAAAGTTTGGAATAACCAGGAACAATGCATAGGAAGGGAATATTGCTGCAGCGCTGCCTATGCGGATGAAAATGGAAATTTCACAATGGCGTCATAGAGCCCAATGTGCTATCACTCCATTGGAAACACTAATGTGAAACAGAAGTCAGGGGGTAGAACCCACAGAGAATAAAAAACCTTTTGGGAAAATAGATGCTCAAGAAACATTTATTGATGAACAAAAATTCTTATCAGTGAGCACCAGATCACTGCCTCCCAGCACTGATGATGCCATTTTGCATTTTGGCCACATTGTGGATGTGGGGGCTGGTGACAGCACAGTGGTGACCAGTGAGGAATGGCATCTGGTCACTCCAATGGCCCAGCCAAGTGAGATACTCGGGAGCTGGGGTGTTGGGAGTCAAGGCAACACTTAACATAGCCAAACTATTCTGCACTTTAGTGACCAAGTACTCGGGGGTGGGAGAAGAGCACCCCGAGGGTAGATGGCATTGAATGTGGCTGCGTCTGCAAATGAACCCATGTGCAGCACAAAATCTCTCCAGTAGCTGGCTGTGACTTTGCATCTCCCCGTGGCGTTTTTTTTTTTTGCCTTCTCAAAATTAAATGACAGAGTCATTTTGCACTTGGAGTTTCCACAGTATAAATGCAATGGTCAGCCTTTTGATAAATAGACTTTGAAATGCTCTACATATGCCTACCACAAGCTTTTATCCATTTGGCTAATTTTATTCTTTGTAAGCCACAGAAGACGGGGAAAATGGCCCTGTGATTAGATCTAGCTCAGAGACTGGGGAAGAGAAGTGGAATTTGAGTCGTCCTGAAAAGCCTGAGTAAAGCATCCTTTGTAAGAAAGGTGGAATCAGAGCATCAAAGAATCTTGGGGCTGCGAAGGACCTTCGGGTTCCGCAAGCCCTATGACTCCCAACGCTAACCCTCCAGCCTGGGTGTGTGCTTTTTTCAAAGAGCTCCCTGGGTTGGCTTTGGGTAGGTGGCTGTATAACAAAACAGCCTTGGCGTTACGACACTGGGTTCAAAACTATGTGTTTCTACCACTGTTCTGTGCTTCCGTTTGCTTTTCTTACAAAAGGAGGGAACGTAGTATCTATCTCATAGGGTTCTTGTAAATAGTACACATGATCACCCCTGTAGGGTTTTTAGAACAGGATTTAGCATAATATGTCAATCATGATGAAGATCAAGACGAGGAAGAAGGGCTAAGTTGGCAAACCACTGATTCAACCTAGCTGCTGACACAGCCCAGAAGTGGTGTTTTGGTGTCCTGAAGGTGTCATGCTCTGCATTCCTGCTGTGGACAGCCTGGCTGTTAGAGTGTATCCTGATCTGATCCTATCTATAGCTCTGCCTCTGGAGACGGTTGCCAGCAAGCCTGGGTCCTTGCTGTCCTGAAAGCTGTTGCAGAAGGCCTGGGCTATGCTGGGTTTGACTCAGGATCTTGCAGGCTCACTATTTCCCTAAGAGCAGGAGCTCAGACAGTAAGTCCCCATGGAGGGCAGGTTCTTACGGGTAAAACCTCAGAGCAGAACATTTGCAGGGTCCTCTGCTGTTAACATGCAGGGATTCCTCCCTATCCTGGTGTCTTAGGTCAGATTTCCTCACCACCTCCAGAGCCCTCAACTCAGCATGTCCCATGAGCTAATGAGAATGAACCCTGTATTAGTCCATTTTCACACTGCTGATAAAGGCATACCCGAGACTGGGTAATTGATAAAGAAAAAGAGCTTTAAGGGACTCACAGTTCCACATGGCTGGGGAGGCCTCACAATCATGGCAGAAGAGGAAAGGCACATCTTATATGGCAGCAGGCAAAGAGAGAATGAGAACCAAGTGAAAGGGCAAACCCCTTATAGAACCATCAGATCTCGTGAGACTTATTCACTACCATGAGAACAGTATGGGGGAAACCGCCCCCGTGATATAATTATCTCCCACTGGGTCCCTCCCACAACACATGGGAACTGTGGGAGCTACAATTCAAGATGAGATTTGGGTGGGGAGAGAGCCAAACTATATCAAACCTCTGCTGTGGGATGTTAGGAAATGCCTATCAGGCTGTGTGATTTTTGTCCCACAGTGTACACATTTTCTGGAGAATCACAGGACATGAAAACAAATATGATTTCATTACATGAACCTTTCCAGTGTTTGACCAAATATTAAGCTTATCAGGCCAATTTAACTGACAGTTATAGCATACTTCCTGAATCCAAGACACAGAGCCAGGCACCAAGCAGGAAGAAGGTGGTGATATGGCCAACAGAACAGAAAATCAGAAGCCCTGTAGTGGTGGTGCCACGGAAACAGTGGAAGGTGAAGTTTCTGCATGGGTCAGGCATACATTGGTGAGGCACATTCGAGGCCAGCCTCATGGATATGTCACCTGTGTAGTCCCGCAGGTCTGTCACTAGGACCCCCCGACCTGGCTTATTGTCCTATTGTTGCCATTTTGAAATTCTTTTTTTTTTTTGAGACGGAGTCTTGCTCTGTCACCCAGGCTGGAGTGCAGTGGCACGATCTTGATTCATTGCAACCTCTGCCTCCCGATGTTCAAGAGATTCTCCTGCCTCAGCCTCCCAAGTAGCCTGGAACTATAGGTGCCCACCACCACACCTGCCTAATTTTTGTATTTTTAGTAGAAACCAGGTTTCACCATGTTGCCCAGGCTGGTCTCGAACTCCCAACCTCAGGTGATCCGCCTGCCTCGGCCTCCCAGAGTGCTGGGATTACAGGCTTGAGTCACTGCACCTGTCTGAAATTCTTAATCATCTTTGAACAAAGGTTTCTGCAGTTTCATTTTGTAGTGGGCCCTGCAAATTTGTAGCTGTTCTGGATTTAATTGTAAATGTCCATGGCCTGCTGACACCCACTGTGTACTGTACCTCTTCTTCCTCCTCCCAACTGCCCAAAACATTGGATTGTCTCTGAGTTAAGGACACCAGACTAACCCACAATCTCTGCTCCCAGACCCTGGTTGTCAAAAGCTATGTCATTTTTCTGTACTTGCCCTAAAGTTGCACAGGAAAAGCCCCATGTCCCAATGTGTGCACACACCCCTCAAAGATGAGGTGTCCCTTGCTGCAGTTCATACCTTGGCTAGAAGAGTCAGCGTTTTGTGTCCTTGGCTACCCTGAGAGGCTTAAGAAGCTTTGCTCTATTATTTTGGAGAAAAAAATCAGGATGAGTGAGCTGCCTGCCCCGGGCCACAGCTCCCCAAAGTCTGGCTCAGGCTGGCTGCTGAGGTGCAGCATTGAGGAGCCCGTTTATGATTTTGATCACTGCTCATCACAAATGTCCACAACCAGACTTCTCTTTGCTCGTAGGCAGTAGACAAAGCAATCATGCACATTTTATGGAGGAGGACGCTGAGGCTCTGAAAACAAGTACTTGTTTGCACTTCCTGGTGCTTTGCTTGGCTGAAGTTTGAGATAAAGAACGGGAAATCCCACCCACAGACTGTCAGGGTTGTCATTTCAATGCCATTCTCAGGTAGAGAACTGAGCTAGCACATCCACCTTTGGAAGAAATCGCCCCCTGAGTTTAAGGAGAAGCCTGCACATTGCAGGGGCTGGCAGAGGGGAGCAGTGCTGGGAAAGACTGGAAAGGCTTAGCTTCTTGCCAGGAATTTCCATTGGAACATGCCTCGTGCAGACTCTGGAAAGACAAACTGGTTCTTAAAATATCTTCAGGTCTGGATGGCTGGGCTCGCCAATCCTTCCCTCCATGTGGCAGCTCCTTCTTGACTAGCATGCTCTCTGTGGTTCTTAGATCATTAACAGAGAAAACCAGCCACCACTGGGGACTGTAGAAGGTGGATAAAGAATATTCCATTGTCATAGAGCTTTACAGGGATTCTGGAAATGACAGCCCAGGATAACTCCCTCATTGTATAGATAGGCAGGCTGCAGCCTAGAGAGAAGGAAGGGGCTCTTACTCCCATCGACCTCTTCAAAACTCCGTTACTCCCAGATTGTTCATGCTCTGATGGCCGTGGCGGATTGAAGCCTGGTTTCCAACCAAGTGCCTTGTGGTTTGAACTAGGGGCATGCACTTACCTCAGTGGGACTACCACAGTCTTTCTCCTCACACTGTAAAATCTGGACTCAACTCTGATTGACTGGTGGAGGCCCTGGAGCTTTGAGATCATATAGAGTGTGGTCCAACCTTCTTCCATCCCATGGATGTTACAGGAGGTAAAACCCACTAATGAAGGGAATGGATGGAAGCCAAAAGGAAAACAACCCAGTCAGTTGCAGAAAGGCAGTGAGCGAGAGTCCTCTTGGTTCCTTCTGCTTCTAAGGACCTCATTCCACCTAATGATTTCACTTGTGGGTCATCCTCAGGCTGCTGTGGGCACAGGTTGCACGGCACAATCTGGGGATCCTTTGGGTTCTGGCAGCCTCAGCTGGCAGCCCCTCCAATTCTGTTTTGTATTGCCCTGACACAGATGCAGAATGTACATCCTTTCTTCAGTTTCCACAACTAGTCACTTAGAACATTCTGTGCACTGACTTCCCTAAAGTGTCTTTGGAGAGTTAATATGAATGTCCTCATGTCAACACAATGGACAAAGCGAATATGGACAAAGCATTCACTTTTAATACCCTCGTCCCTAAAAGAGATGTGGCCACTTCCATAAGTACACCACCCCCACCATCTCCTTGCCCAGCTGTGGCTCTCCTGCCACTTCCGAGGGTCTGATGATGGAGAGGGTGGCAGTTGAGGTACCTTCCATGGCTGTCCTCTCTCTCAACTCCTCTGCTCCTCAATCTTACCCTACACGCTGAGTTTTATGGAAGAACTTTGATCCAATGGCAGTGGTCTTTGGAGGGGGATTTATTAGGCAGGGGTTGCTGAAGCTGTTCTGAACCAAAGCTCAGGCATCCTGCCATAGCAGACTCGATACCTGGCAATATCAAGTAGGTTGGTATTTTACCCATTTAAATGTACAGTTTTGTGATTTTTTATATGTGTATACAGTCATGCAATTGCCACAACAATGAAGACATTTAAAACTTCCATCATTCCAAAAATTCCCTTGGGTAGTTCTGCAGTCAATACAACCCTCACCCCTAGCCCTGGAGAACCACTGATCTATTTTCTGTTGCTATAGAATTGTACATAAATGAAATCTGACAGCATGTAATATTTTCTGTTGGATTTCTTTCACTTAGCATAATGCTTTTGCAGGTTCATTCATGTTGTAACATGTATCGGTGCTTTTTCCTTTTTTATTTATTGCTATATATTATTCCATAAGATAGTTATACCACAATTTATTTATTCACTCACACGCTAATGGACAGCCAGGTTGTTTCCAGGGTCTGGCTATTATAAAGAAAGCTAGAAAAGACTTTTGTGTACAGGTCTTTGCACAAGCATATGTTATCATTTCTCTCAGGTAAATAAATATCTAGGAGTAGGATTGCTGATCACAAGGTACATGCATTTTCAATCTTATAAGAAATTGCCAAATTGTCTTCCGAGTGGCTGTGCCATTTTGCATTCTTATCCTCAACATGTGAGAGTGACAGTTTTCCCACATCTTCATCAACACTTAAGATTGTCAGTCTTTGTAATGTTAGCTGTTTTAGTGAGTGTATAGTGGTATCTCCTTATGTTTTATTTAGTGAGAACTACATATAGTTTATTGCACTTGGTGGTTTATAATATACCACAAAGATATATAACATATAAAAGGTTTTGACGATTGTCTAAGTTTTTTCTTACAAAAACTAATAATTTTTATGTTTTTTTATTTTGACACAAAATAGTTGTACATATTTATGGGATACAACATGATGTTTCAATTCATGTATACCTTGTGCAATGATCAAATCATGGAAATTAGCATATCTAGCACTTCAAACATTCATCATTTGTAGTCAGAACACTCAAAATCCTCTCTTCTATTTTGAAATATTCTATTTATTTATTTTTTTAATTTTTTTACTATTATAATTTAAGTTTTAGGGTACATGTGCACAACGTGCAGGTTTGTTACATATGTATACACGTGCCATGTTGGTGTGCTGCACCTATTAACTCGTCATTTAGCTTTAGGTATAGTCACAGTGCTGTGCAGTAAGACACCAGAACCTATTTTTTATATCTAATTGTGACTTTTACCTATTGACTAATCTCCCACCATTCTCCTTCCCCGACTCTCCTTAGACCCTGGTAACCACTGTCCTAGTCATTAAGAAGTATGAGGACGTCTTTTTAAGTTCCACATAGGGATGAGATCATGTACTATTTGTCTTTTGGTGCCTGGTTTACTTCACTTAACATGATGTCTTCCAGGTTCATCCATGTTGTCCTAAATGACAGGATTTCATTTTTTTTTAATGGCTGAATGGTATTTCATTGTGTGTATACACCACATTTTCTTTAATCATTTTTCCACTGATATTTAGTTTTTTTCTAAATTAATTAATTATTTTTTATTTCAATAGGTTTTTGGGGAGCATGTGGTGTTTGGTTACGTGAATAAGTTATTCAGTGGTGATTTCTGAGATTTTGGCGCACCGATCACATAAGCATTGTGCACCATATCCGATGTGTATTCTTTTATTCCTCATCTCCTTTCCACCCTTTCATTATATCACCCTTATGCCTTTGCATCCTCATAAGTGCTCCCACTTATGAGTGAGAATGTACAATGTTTGGTTTTCCATTTCTGAGTTACTTCACTTAGAATAATGGTCTTCAATTCCATCCAGATTGCTAGAAATGCCATTATTTTGTTCCTTTCTATGACTGAGTAGTATTCCATGGTGTATATATATACTACATTTTCTTTATCCGTTAGTTGATTGATGAGCATTTGGGCTGGTTCCATATTATTGCAATTGTGAATTGATTGATGGGCTCTTAGTTTGATCGCATATTTTGGCTACTGTGAATAGTGCTGCAATAAACATGGGAGTACGAATATCTCCTCAACATACTTATTTTATTTCCTTTGGATGTATACCCAGTAGTGGGATTTCTAGATCATATGGTAGTTGTATTTTTAATTTTTTAAGGAACCACCCATTGTGGTTTTGATTTGCGTTTCCCTAAATGTTAGTTACGTTGAGCATTTTTTCATATACCTGTTGGCTATCTGTATGTCTTCTTTTGAGAAATGTGTATTAAGGTCTTTGCCCATTTTAAATCAGATTTTTTTTGTTTGTTTTTCTATTGAGTTGTTTGAGTTCCTTACATATTCTGAATATTAACCTCTTGTCAGATGAACTGTTTGAAAATATTTTTTTCTCATTCTATAGGCTGTCTCGTTATTCTGTTGATTGTTTCTTTTGTGTAGAAAAATTTTGGTTTGATCTAATCCTATTTGTTTATTTTTCCTTTTGTTGTCTGTGCTTTTGGAGTCATATTCAAAATATTCTTACCCAGTCCAATGTCATGAAGTTTTTCCCGTATGTTTTCTTCTAGTAGCTTCATAGTTTGGGGGCTTACATTAACCCATTTTGAGTTGATTTTCTATTTGCTGAAAGATAAGGGTCCAATTTCCCTCTTCTGTATGTGAATATCCAATTTTCCCAGTACCTCTTATTTAAGAAATTGTCCTTTATCCACTGTATGTTCTAGACATCTTTGTGGAAAATCAGTTGACCATAAATGTATAGGTTTTGTTCCTGGGGTCTTTATTTTGTTCTATTGGTCTGTGTCTGTTTTTGTGCTGGTACTGTACTGTTTTGATTACTATGGGTTTGTAGTACATTTTAAAGTCAGATACTATAATGCCTCCAGATTTGTTCTTTTTGCTCACATTGCTTTGGGTATTTTTAATCTTTCATCTTTTATTTTTATTTTATTTTGTCTCTTTCAAATTTTTTATTTACTTATTTTTAAATTTTATATTTAAATTATTATTTTATTAAATTTTTATTTGTTATTTTATATTTATTTTTATCTTTTGTGATTCTATATAAATTTTAGGATTATTTTTTCTGTTTCTGTGAAAAATGTCATTGGAATTTTGATAGGAATTGCATTGAATTTATAGATCACTTTGGGAAGTATGGACATTTTAACAACACTGATTTATCCAACTCATAAATATGAGATATCTTTCCATTTATTTGTATCTCTTTCAATTTTTTCTCATCAACATTTTATGGATTTCAGTGTACAGGTCTTTCATCTCAGTTTCAGGATACAAAATCAACATACAAAAATCAGTAACATTTTTAAATGCTAATAGTGAACTATTTGAAAAAAAATCAAGAAAACAATATTTTTTACAATAGCTACTAAAAAAGTAAGATATGTAGGAATAAATGTAACCAAGAAAGTGAAAGATCTCTACACTGAAAGCTACAAAACATTTATTACAAAAAATTAACATTTATTTAAAAAATTGAAGAAGAGACAAAAAAATGGAAAGATATCATATATTTATAGATTGGAAGACTTAATATTGTTAAAATGTCCATACTATCAAAAAGTGATCTACAGATTCAGTGCAATCTCTATCGAAATATTAACACTATTCTTCACAGAAATAGAAAAGTCATCTTAAAATTTGTATGGAACCACAAAGACGCTGAATAGCCAAAGCAATCTTGAGTAAAAATAAACAAAGCTGAGGGCATCACACTATCTGACTTCAAAATATATTGCAAAGCTATAGTAACCAAAACAGCAAGACACTGGCATAACAACAGACATATAGATCAGGGAAACAGAATAAAGAGCTAAGGACAAAATCCACATAGTTATAGTCAATTGATTTTCCACAAAGGTGCCAAAAACACTCCATGAGGGAAAGAACAGTCTCTGCATTGTGATTTTAGCTTGCACTTCCTGAAGGGTTAACAATATTGAATCTCTTTCGATATGCTTATTTGCCTTACTTAAATTATTTTGGTTGAAGTATATGTTGAAATCTTGTCTATCTTTTAGAAGGTTTTTTTTTTATTAATAGGTTGTGCAAGTTCTTTATTCTTGCCTTTTGATTTTCTCAATGATCTTTTAATTAGAAAAAGCTTTAAATTTTGATGAAGCCTGTTTTATTATATTTTCTTTCTTTTATGGCTTATGCCTTTTGTGTGCTGTCTGAGAAATCTAGCTCGAGGTCACACAAATTTTCTCCTTTTTTTTTCTAGAAGCTTTATGGTTTTAGCTCTTATATTTAGGTTTATGATTCATTTTGAATTGCTTTTGTGTATGGTATCAGGAAAAGGTGAAGGTGATTTTTTTCCCAATAGTTATCTAGTTATTCCAGCATTATTAATTGAAAAGACTCTTATTTCCCCCATTGAATTACCCTGGCACCTTTGCCCTGGTATCTAACCTTTACTTGAAAGTTGGTTGAAGCAATCACAAAAGACCGCTTTACTCAAGGTAGAAGGACAGCTGAAGAGGAGAAACGGGACTTCCCTTCTGAAGTGGAGACAGTGTCTAAGACTCGGGCCTCCGTTCACAAACTGTCAGGAATGATTTTGCTAACAATGCAGCTTTCCATAGCTTGATATCATCCTTTAATATAGCACAAATGTTTTTGCCTTTCCCCCTCCTTCTGGGGAGCCCTCGATGCCATAGTTAGAAGTTGAAGTAACTCTCAGGAAACCAGGTAGGAGAATTTAGAATCTTTAGATATCAAAGCTAGAAGGAACCAATAACCTAATAAAGCACACACTCTTCATTTGCAAAAAAAGCAGGAAAGAGGCCCAGAAAGGTTAAGTGACTTTTCCAGCATCACACAGCAATGAAATGGCAGAGATAGGAGCAGATTCCAGGTCTCCCAACTGCTCCCTGCTGTCTGACACTCATCTTCCCCACAATAGCCTCCCTCCTAGTGATTTCTCTGAAGATGAGTGGTTCACCATGTATTGGAACTTCACAAAATCATCTGCAGGAGGCGTGGCCTCAAGTGGAGCTTGACGTAGCCCTGGCTGTGGAAAGCAAGGAGGCAGGAGGCTTTAGTTAGTTAGCAGCACCAACTCCTCGCCATAGTGGTCATCTGAAATGGCTCAGTTGCCTTCTAATTGCTCCCAAACTGTTGCACATGCCAGGCTTTGGGTGTTTCACATCATCCAGGTTTCCCCAGCCCAGGACCCTTGCTCATTCATGTGGCTGCTCCATGGCCACAATCTGTTGCAGACAGAATGCATAGCAGGCATGCATGCATCACAGCAGTGGTGGGTATGTGTTCTGTCCCTGTCATGTTTCTTCAGAGTCTGCAGAGCAAGTGCAAGGCCAGGCTGGAGGAGCCACCCAGGATGGCAGCCACCCGCTGAGGTGGTGCATTGGCTGAGATCTCAGCACGGGAAACATCAGCCCTGACAGTGACATCACAGATCCTTGTGTTCAATTCCCTTCTTTGCAGATGGGAAAACTGAGTCCTAGAGAAGATAGGCTATGTTCCCAATGTCATACAGCAGAGTTGCATAGCAAGCACTTTGACAGAGAGAAATTCAACTCTGTACACCATTGATTCTTTGCTTCTGTTTGATGAGACTTAAAATGAAAATTATATTTTGTATTTGCACTCCTTATTATATACTTCACAATTGCATTGGCATTTATGCATCCAAATTACTGGATGGTGTTATCTACATAAATCCATGTATACTGTGCTTTATGAATGTTTTATAGTACATGCAGCCAAAATAACCCTTGAAATGTGATTTTCATCTTACCCAGTGTCTTAGAACCTCGTTCCCTCTGAAAGATGTGGCTTTAATGTGGAGCTATTTAATTGGGCGGGGAAGAGGGGATCCTGACTCCTAGTTAAGCACTCTTTCCCCAGCACCAAGCTGCCTTGATCTTCCAGTGAAATGTCCAATTTTTGTCGGAGGTTCCCCCTCCCCAAGACAAAAAAGGGGAGTGCAGGATGGTGGTTTTGCCAGGAAGTTAGCGATGAGGGAAAATGCAAGTAGCAAATGTCCATGAAATGGAGTTTCTCACCATCTCAACAATAAGGGTTTAATTTGCAAAGTGCCCCCCGACCCCCACTACTTTCCAGTCAGCTACAGCAAGGCTTCCTGGGGCTGAGAGCAGCCTGAACCCTGTCCCTTTAATGTGGGGTCCTCCTCTGGGCTCTTCCTCTCTCTGGGAAGTGACTGTGCACAGGGAAAGTGTAATTGGCAGGCTGTGACACTGCTGTCTGCAAGTGTCTCTCTAAGTGGAACGCATTTCAGCTTTATCTGGTGATGTCTGCTACCTGAGAAGGGCCCTGGGCCATCTCAAAGGGCTTGTAGCAGCTAATTGTGCCTGTTAGGACCAGCAATTAGCTGGGGATCTCTGGACTTCGAAGCTCCAACACCCACCAGCTTTCCCTTCCTTTCTCTCCCTTTCACTTAACTAGCCCAGCCTAATAGAGGCAGTGAAGGACAGGCAGGTGAGGGGCAGACAGGACAAGGAAGGTGGAGGCTGGCAGGGCCTCATCCTATGCCCCTCTGAGTCCTGCACTCCACCCCTGCTCAAGAGAACCTGCGAAAAGAAACAGGCACCAGCTCTGCTCTCATGCTGTAAATACATCCTCTTTATTGCAGGACCAGGGCTAGAAGCTTATTAATCGGTATCGGGAGTCATGCTGCCCGTTTGTACAGTTTAAGCGGGAGTTGGAAGATGACAATAAAAAGCTAATTAGGCGCAGGTCATAAAGGAGATCACACATGCATGGTGTCTGCTGGTTACTATGGGCACACGATGGTTTCGGTGGAAACACGAGGCAGAACGTCTGAAAATTAAGACAATAAATCAGTTTCATTGAATAAAAGCCATGCATTTACCCATTAATTAAGGATAATGGTATCCTATAAGCTTTTTGTGTACCACAGGTAATTTGTTGTACTTTGCCGTAATAATATACGTTGAAGATTAAAAATTCAGTATACCTTACAAGTAATGGATGCACACAGCTCTTCCTCTGTTCTCAGAAGCAGCTAAAGGTTCATGCATTAGCACAATCCCATATTCAGGCTCACCTGATCTGCCTTTGTCCAGTGACTCAGACTAATTATTAGGCATGTTCTTTCTCTGGTGGCTTGCAGTGAGAGGGGAGTGACCCTCCGTCCCACTGTGTCTGCTAATGTGCCATTTGGGTTTTATTTTTTAGCAGCTATCACCCATCTCCTTTCTTCACAAAACTGTACCCTTATATTTTTGGGGGGGATTTCCCCCAAGTTTTGCAGTCTTGAAGGGCTGTCAATCAAGGTGCCCAAGGCAGGATGTAATCAGAGCTCAGCCAGTCAAGCTCTGTGTCCCAGGACTCAGACGCAAGCAGAGTAATGTAAGGGCAGAGGAAAACAAGGTCCTGGGAGCTCTATTTAGGATAGAGCTGATCAACCCAGTTGACAGGATGATCAACTAGGTTCTGCCTAGGAGATCTCTAAGATTCCCAACAGTCACTCTTCAGGGTAGGCAGAAGAATGCCCTGGGGATTAGGAAGACACCCACTTCCTAATCCCCAGAACCTGTGAAAATGGTACCCGACATGGAAAAAGCAACTTCACAGTTGTGATTAAATGTGCTGACTTTGAGATGGGTAGATAATACTGGGTTTTCCAGGAGGAACTCATGTAATCACGAGTCCTTAAAAATGGGGAACCTTGGCCAGACGTGGTGGCTTACGCCTGCAATCCCAGCACTTTGGGAGGCTGAGGTGAGAGGATCGCTTGAGGCCAGGAGATCAAGACCAGCCTGGGCAACCTAGTGAGACACCGTCTCTACAAAAATAAATAAATAAATAAATAAATAAATAAATAAATAAATAAATAGATAGATAAATAAATAATTAGTTGGGTGTGGTAGCACATGCCTGTAGTCCCAGCTACTTGGTAGGCTGAGGTGGGAGAATAGCTTGGGCCCAGGAGGTCAAGGCTGTAGTGAGCCATGATTGCACCACTGCGCTCCAGCCTGGGCAACAGAGTGAGACCCTAAGAAATAAAAAAGAAAGAAAAGATAAAAGGCAAAGAAAAGAAAAGAAGGAAGGAAGGAGAAGGAAAGAAGGAAAGAGAGAAAGAGAAAGAGAAAGGAAAGGAAAAGAAAGGACAGGAAAGGAGAAAGGAAAGGAAAGGAAAGGAAAGGAAAGGAAAGGAAAGGAAAGGAAAGGAAAGGAAAGGAAGGAAAGGGGGAGGGAGGGAAGGGAGGGAGGGAGGGAGAAAGGGAGGAAGGAAGGAAGGAAAGAAGGAAGGAATCCTTTTTCAGCTGAGTCAGAGAAAAAGATGACAATAGGAGAAGAGTCAGAGTCGGGATATGAGAAGGACTTGACCACCATGACTGACCATTTTTGAAGATGGAGGAAGATGACCACCAACCACAGGATGCGAGCAGCCACTAGGAGCTGAAAAAGGCAATGAGATGCATTATCCACTGGAACCCACAGGGAGGAGAGCAGCGCTGCTGACACTGCGATGGTAGCCCAACGACACCTGTGCCAGACTTCTGATCTATGAAACTGTAAGATGATAGATTTCTATTGTTTGAGCCATTCACTTTGAGGAATTTGTTACAGCAGCAAGAGAACGTTCACACTGTTGAGGCTCTGCCCTCAGACTTAGCCAGATTGTGTGTCTGCTGCTTGTAACCAGCTCTACCTATCAGAACTGGAGAAAGCAACTTTGCCTTCTGTTACCTCAAGTAAATTTGGATGGGCCATAGGTATAATTCACAGCTCAGGGTAGGCTGGCTGGCCTGGCAATGAAACAGAGCTGGAAATGAAAGGTGCTGCCTATTCTGTCTTCCCATGTTTCCAGTGCCAAACCACACCCCAAAACATCCACGGACACGTTGATGTGGGAAAGACCTCTTGGTCTCCCCTTCCCTCTCTCCTTCCTCTCTCTCTTCCTCTTCCCTCTTCCCTCTTCTTTTTTGCTCTCTTCATTTTTACTCTTTCATTTTCAGAACATGAATGCCTGGATCTCCCAACCATTGCCACACCAAAACTCCATTCACTGGTTCTGGGAAGGCACATGGATGTATGATTTTTATAAAATAAGCTCACCTAAGAATTCTGATGCACATGAGATTCAGGTGCCTGGGAAGGGCCAATGGCCTAATTTAAAGCCAATATTTCCAGATAACATAATGAAGACTTAGAGGATGTAAGTGTCCTGCCCAAGGTCACACAGCTGGCCAGATGCAGAGAACACCAGGTTCAGTGCTCTTTCCATGACCAGGGGCTGCTGCCAACTCGAGGACATTAGAGAATTCAGTGACCCTCTGACATCTCTCAGTTTAGAAACCTTTCTCTTTTAATTGGAGCATTTCATCCATTTACATTTTAATGTAATTATGTTATGTTGGGGCTTTAATCTACCATCCTCCCAGGTGCATTTGATTCGTCTTCTTACCCACTCAGTGCCCCTTTTAGTTTTGGGGGGTTGGTTATTTCTTTAGTTATTCCAGTGTTTCTTCTGTCCTTCAGAAGATATACACTCAGTTACTCTTTTCTGCTTACCTTAGTGCCATGGTTGTCCACTGGGGCAATTTCAGCAGATGTTTGACAATGTCTACAGACAGTTTTGGATGTCACCATGGCAGTGGGTGGAGGGGAGGGTGTTGCTAGTGGTGACTAGTAACTGGAGGCCAGAAATGCTGCTAGACTTCCTATAGTACACAGGAAAGTCCCTTCCAATAAGGAGTGTATGGCCCCAAATCTCAACAGCACTGAGGCTGAGAAACTCTGCCCTAGAGATGACAACTTTTATCTTTGACTCATGAAAATTTAATGTCAATTTGGTAACTTTACAAGTTTCCCAGAAAGTGTAATAGAATACTGCAACTCCTTTGCCCAATTTCAACTCATGTGCTATCAGTGTTGGGCATTCTCCATATATTTTAAACCCCACAAGATATTATTGTTATTTTTGATATAGTCAGTTCTTCATTTAGACTTTCCCAGAGCTCTGCATTTCTTCCTGGATCTCTGACCTTCCATATGGAATCCTTTTCCTTCTGCCTAAAGAACTCCCTTTATCTCCTGGAGTGTTGATCTATCTGCTGGTAAGAAGTTCTTTCAGTTTTCGTTTGTCTGAAAATGTCTTCATTGAACTTTTTTGTTGTCTTTATGATTACTAGTATGTTTATTGATGGCTACATGTAGAAAACACCACGGCCTTCACAATGAAATTGTTCTGCACAACCACAATACTATTATCACACTTAAGAAAATTAAAATTGATTAAATAATATCTAAAATAGAGTGAATATTCAAATTTCCACACTTGTCCCTGATACATTATGATAGCTGGATCCTCTTATAAGGATTCACCTGATTGTCAGGTCTTTTGTCTTTTTCGAAAGTCTAGAATACACTTTACTTATTTTTTAAATTATTGTTATTCCGTTTGCAGTTTTTGGAAGAACGAAGCTAGTTGTTCAGTAAAACATCTCACATGCTGTATTTTTCTGATTATTTCTCCAGATTTGATTTAGATTTAGTACTTCTGGCAGGAATACTACATAGGGAATGTGCATACTTCTTGTTGTCACATGTCAGGAGGCACATAATGTCAGGTTGTTCTACTAGTGAGGGTCACTTGGTTAAGGTGGTTACTGCCAGGTCTCTTCCATGCAAATATATTTCTTTGGTGGCTAGCATGCTAATAAGCAAGTATATTTTGTGATCAGTAAAATGCCTTACACTGTGAGACTGTGACATGTCACCATCTCCAACATTTCACCCAGGGTTTTTAGCACCTATTCATGATTCTTGCCTGAATCAATTATTGCACTGGGGATTACAAAGTGGTGATTTTCTCATTTTATACTCCCTTCTATATTGAGTAGTGGTTAATGTTTTTTGGAAAAGAAGAGTTTTGAGCACTGTCTTGCTTTTTGGAAAAACAATGTATCTCAAGCTTATTTTGTATTTCCCCTGTCCCAGGTGTGCAGTCACTTTTCAAAGGAGCCTTGGGGTTCTTTAATGGGAAATGGTATTTAGGAGCCAAGATCTGGGCTGCAGGTGTGCTCCTCATCCACCAGCTGTTATTGTCTTTAGCCCACTTTAATGGCAGGAATTAGGAAATACATTTTCCCCTTAAAATTCTGAATTCATATTGATAACCTCCAATTCAATAGGAAATTGATTCATATTTGCACTTTCCTTTTACCACACTGAGAACCCTACTTTGCAGCAACATGTTTACACTTTTTCTGTAAAATCCTGAATTTATACTGAAAATCTCCAGTTCAGTAGGAAAGTGATTCATATTTGCATTTTCCCAACCACTTTGCAGCAACATGCTTATACATTTTCCCTATTCTAGAATGCACACAATAGTTTCAGAATTGCACACGAAGACAACTGCCATTAACAAACCTCCCAAACAAAGGTCAAGATTCCTTTGCAGAATTAAAAGTATATGTATTTTTAACTTTAGAATATAGCCTTCCTGTAGGAATGTGTGATTAGAGTAATATGTTCAAAAGTTACTTGAATTAATTTTTTATTTCTATGGTTATCAGTTTGAAGTACAATTTTATTAATTCGCATCTTCACATTTCCTTTTTATCCCTTTGATATAATTTTACTTTTGCATACATAAAACATTTACAGTTTCAAAATTCAAAGCTATATAAAAAGATAAACTCAGAGGAGTCTCACACATAAATTTCACCCAATCTTACTCCTACCCATCACCAGAGGAAAATCTTTTTATTATTTTCCGGTATATTTTTTCTGTGTTCCTTTGTGCCAAATAAGTAAGGATGTATATATGTAAGTATACAGAATATATATGTATACATATGCACGAGTATGTATACATATATGTTATTTCCCAGTGGTTTTTAATAAAAGTATGATGTAATTTATATAGCTTCCTTTTTGCCATTGATAAAATATTCAGGAAATTACTCCATTATTCCATTATGCTTTATACAGGTATTCCTCATACTTTGTTTGAGTTGAATATTGTTTTATTATGTGGATACAACAAAGTTCATTCGAACACCTTTTCTATGAATAAACACTTGGGTTGTTACTGCTTTGTATTACTTCAGGGTAAATTCCTTAGTGGACTTGCATTGCCTTTTTTTTTTCTTTAAGGTTTTGTGGGTTTATTTTGTTTTCCTATTTTCATCTGAATATTAAAATCCTTGTCCAGATGTAGGAAAAAAATTTGTTGGTATATTCACTGTGATTACTACAAGTGTATGTAACTTAGCCAGATGATATCTTTATGATGTTATTTTTTCCCCAAGAACAAGGAATTTATTTCCACTTCTTTGGGTGTAATTTCAGGTTTCTCAATGTGTTTTTGGTTTTCTTCATCTAGGTTTTGCACATTTCCTATTACATTTATTCATATAAATTTATCTTTTTTTGTTATTTTAAGTGGATTTTTCTCTTTCATTACATCTTCTAAATAATTATTATTTGGATATTTAAAGGCTATTGTCTTTTATGATAATTTTACATCATTCTACCTTATTGAATTTTGTATATTTGTGTGTATCTTTGTTTGTGTATTGGTTTAACTTCTATTTATTAGAGTTTCCAGGTACACTGGCATATCATATACAGAGAAAAAGTTTTACTTCTTTTCCAAGCTTTATGCCTCTTCTTGTTCTTAAAGTATTAGCCAATCAAAGCAGACAAGAGAAAAATGTACATTAGCTATAGCAGAGATGTTTGGAATCACCGTCTTTTTCTGGAGCTTGATAGAAATACTTCTAGTGCTTATCCATTAAATAAAATACTACTTTAAAAACTAAAGCATAAATACTTTATCATTAGGAAAGTATTTATAAATTCTGATTCTATTGAGTATTTCCTGATGAAAACAGGAAACATTAAAGTATTCATTTAAATATTTCAATAAAGCATTTATAAAAATTTCAAACTTTCAGAATATTTTTAATACAATGGTGTTTCTTTACCCAGACTCACCAATTGTTGTTAACAGTTTGCTACATTTGCTAGTGTGTATTTTCTAAAGAAAAGAACATTTTGTGACATAACCACAGCACAACTAAAAAGTCAGAAAATTTAATATTGATATAATACATTGTTTAATTTATAGTCTAAATTCCAATTTTACCAAATGTTTCCATAATGTCCTCTGTAGGAGTTTTTACTCAGTTCAGTATTTAACTCTGGACAATTACCTAAAATTTAGTTGTGTTATCTCTTTCATTTTCTTTAATTTTGGACATTAACTTATTACTTAATTGTCTTTCATGACATTGACACTTTTGAAGAGTAAAAGGACAATTATTTTGTGAAATATCCCTCTCTTTGGTGAATGCTTCCCAGTGATTGGATCTAGGTGACTTTTTGGACTGAAAAACTACAGAAGTTACTTGAGCTTCTTTGCAGTGCATTGCTTAAGGAAGCATTTGGTGTCAGTTCGCTGCATTATTGGCTAACTTTGTTCACCAGCCTTCTCCACTGTAAAATTACTATTTTTCCTTTTGTAATTACTAAACACTTTCTGGGATGAATTTTGGCTGAATTATTTTGGACTATGTAAATATCTTATTCCCATAAAATCTTTCACCCATGGTTTCCAATATCCATTGATTTCATCAATTATCCTTATCTAATAAACTGTGCATTTTTTAAATTGTGCTTTTCTAATTCGATCTTTGTTCAGTGTTTAATAGCTGGCATTCTTCACTATAGAAGAATGTTACTCTGCATTTTAATTTTATTTTTAATGTATTGAATTATAATCCATCTCCTTAACTATTATTTATGCTATTTTTTTCCTATATCTGGACAATGGGAGTCCCTGCATGCTGCTTTTTCTTGTTGTAGTTTTGACAAATCCTCATCCTTCTTTGAGTACTTTCACCCTTTTAGTTATTTTCATGCTATGTAATTTTTCCATTCTTTTACTTTCAATTTATCTATGACTTTTTATATTTAAAGTGAATCTGTTATATCATTTGATCTTGCTTTTATTAGTCCTTTCTCTGCCTTTTAATTGAGTTGTTTAGTTCTTCATACTTAATGTAATTATTTAAGCTAATTTAGATGTTCCATTTTACTATTTGTTGTTGGTTTTTGTTCTTTTGGTCTTCTCTTTTGGATTTTTTTTATTTCGGTCTTTTCTACCTTTGGTTTTTATCTTCTTTTCCTGCCATCTTTTGGCTTAGTTGAATATATTTTATGGTTTTATTCCAATTTATTGGTTAGTTTTTAGCTATACTTTATTGATTTATTTTTACTAGGTGTTAAAGGCTTTAATATATACAGCCTTAATTTTTCAGTCTACTTAAAGTTAGGCCCATTTATCCCCCTCTGTCCCTGCTCTGTTTGTTGTGCTCTAGTTGTTTTATATACATATACATACATTACAGTTACATAATTTAAAAATCTCCAGATATAATGCCATATGTTTTGCTTCAAATAGCCTTAAAGGTTGTGTTTTTAAAAAAATAAAAAGTAAAAAGTCTTTAATATTTTCTATATTTTTACCAGTTATAGGATTCTATTTATTCCTAGGTATCTAGGTTTCCATCTAGTATTATTTACTTTTGACCTGGAGAATTTCCTTAAGCATTTTTATACTATTGTCTATTAGCAAAAATTCTCTTAGTTTTAATATATCTGGAAATGTCTTTATTTCAGCTTCATGCCTGAAGAATATTTTCACTGTATAAAGAATTCTGTATTGAAAGTTTTTCTTTCAACATAGTCATGTGTTGCTTAATAACAGGGCTATTTCTGAGAAATGTGTTGTTAGGTTAAATGTATCACTGTGTGAACATCATAGTGTGTATTTACACAAATCTAGATGGTATAGCCTACTACACACCTAGGCTGTATGATATAGCCTATTGCTCCTAGGCTATAAACCTGTACAGCATGCTACTTTGTTGAGTAATAAAAGCAATCATCTTTCATTGACCAAGACATCATTATGCATTGCATGACTGTATTTTAAAGATGGCATTCTACTGACTTCTGACTTCCAGCACTTCTGACCAGAAGTCAACAGTTCTTTACATTATTGTTTCCTTTAATATAATGGCTGTTTTTCTCTGATTTCAATATTTTCTCCTTTTAAAGCTTTTTAAAAATGATACATAACATTTGTATGTATTTGTAAGGTACATGTGGTTTTTTGATACATGTAGGATGTGTAATGATCAAGTCAGAGTATTTAGGATATCCAACACCGCAAACATTTATTCTTTCCATTGGGAACATTTCAAATCTTCTGTTTTAGATATTTTGAAGTACACATTATATAACTGTAGTTACCCTACTGTGCTATCAAACGTTAGAACTCATTCGTTCTATGTAACTGTATGGTTGTGCTCATTAACCTCTCTCTCTTCATCACTCCCCTCAAACACACACACAACCTTTCCAGCCTCTGATCATTCTACTCCCTACCACCATTGAAACAACTGATTTTTCCTTTATATTAGATCTTTATTAGTTTGAACAAGATATGCCTAGATGGAATAATTTTTCTCTCTCTCTCTCTCTCTCTCTTTCTCCTTCCGTCTGTCTATCCCTCCCTCTCTCCCTCCCTCCCTCCTTTCCTTCCTTCCTTCCTTCCTTTCTTCTTTCCTCCCTCCCTCCCTCTTTTGCTTCTTCCTTCCTTCTTTCCTCCCTCCCTCCCTCTTTTGCTCCTTCCTTCCTTCTTTCTTTCCTCCCTCTTTCCCTCTTTTGCTCCTTCCTTCCTTCTTTCTTTCCTCCCTCTTTCCCTCTTTTGCTCCTTCCTTCCTTCCTCCCTCCCTCCCTCCCTCCCTCCTTCCTTTCTTCCTTCTTTCCCTCCCTCTTTTGCCCAGGCTGGAGTGCAGTGGTGTGATCACAGCTCACTGCAGCCTCAACCTCCTGGTCTCAAGTGATCCCCTACCTCAGCCTCTTGAGTAGCTGATGCCACAGGCATGCACACCACCATATCAGCCTAATTTTTGTATTTCTCATAGAGATAGGGTTTCACCATGTTACCCAGACTGGTCTGGAACTCCTGAGCTCAATCAATCTGCCCCCACTTAACCTTCCAAAATGCTGCGATTACAGGAGTGAGGCCCCATGCCCAGATGAAATTTCCTTTGCATTGCTTTTCTTGGCATTTGTTGAACTTCTAGAATCTATAAATCTGTGTCTTTCACCAAATTTGGATAAATTTGAGGCATCATTCATTTCTTCAAGTATATTTTCTGTTCCACTTTCCCTGTCTTTTCATTCTGGGATTCCAATGACATTTATGGTAGAAATGTTGGTATTGTCTCACTGTCCTTGTCCTTTAAACAATTACTATTGTTCTGTCTTCAAGTTCAGGGACTGATTTATATGTCATCACTAACCTATTGCTAATCAAAGCCTGTAATTTTTTAAAAATTTTATCCAGACTATGGGTCTATTTATGAGAAAATTAGTGCAAAGGAGCTACTTTACCATTACTGAAAGCAGAACTCGCCTGAAAAAAAAATGATACTAATGCATTACTTTTAATTTTCACTTTCATTCCCTAAGGATATTTTAATGGGTATAGACATCTTGTTTGGCAGTTATTTTCTCATAGCACACATACACACAAAACAAAAATTTGTTTTCTGGCTTACTTTTTTTTTAATTCAGAAAGTATTTCTCAATTTTGTTGCTGCTCCTTTGAAGGTAACTTTGTTTTACTTGGCTCTTGAAGGATTTTGTGTTTTGGTTTATTGTTTGGTTTTATTTTTATATGCATAAATATGAGTCTATTTTTTAATTTATCTTCTTTGGCATTTCTTAGGCTTTTTGGATCTGTACTTGATGGCTTTTGTAAATTCTAGAGAATTCTCAGTCTTATCTACTGAAATACCTCTGCCACATTCTCTCCTCTCCTTTTGTAACTGTAATTAAATGTATATTAGACTTCTGACTGTATTATCTATATTTCTTACCGCCATTCATTCCTTTCTTTCTTATTATTTTTCTATCACTTCCTATTATTTTTTCTCCATCCTGTATATTTCTTTTGATATGTTCTCTTTTTGCTAATTTGCTTTTTAGCTACATGATATTTGCTATAAAACTCATCTACTGATTTCTTAATTTCAGCTACATTTATTGTTCCAGAATGTCCTCTTAAATCTGCCATATCGTTACTGGAAAGTTCTGTTCTCTGTAAAAAAATTCAATATTGTCTTTTATTTTTTTGGTTTGAACATAGAAAGAATAATTATTTAGCATAATTATTTTAAAGGCTGTGTCTTACGTTTTCCTTGTAAGCCCCTGTGAGTCTGTTTCTAATGTCTTTTTTCTGCTAGTTTCCTTTCATTTTGTTTGGCCAAGCAGCAAAACACAATCTCTTATCTCTTTTCTATGTATGGCATCTTATGGAGCAATATTTTTGATCCTATGTGATTCTCTCATCAACTGTATTATTATACCCATTCTGAAAATGAGAAACCTGAGGCTTAAAGATGTTGAGTAGCTTCTCAAAGCCACATGGATATAAGGAGATCCCCGGAATTCAGAACCGGAGCTATTTGCATTTAAAGCTAAAGGCTGAGCTTTTAACCCTTGGCTACCTGGAAAAAGTTGGGCTGATGAGATCCCATTTTTCCCAAGTGGCAGAGCCAAAATCAAACCAAACCATTGTTATGGATGGATATGGTGGTCAATGACAGTTCTACATTCTTTTTCAAGTTCTCTATGCAGACAGATTTTGCAGCAGTGCACTGACTGTGAGCTGCTTTTGATACGTGATCTGGGGCTGGACAGCTGGCTCCTTGAGTGATGAAGTTGAAATAAGGAAATGAATAATTTTATGCTCATTTTAGAGAGGCTTCTCTGAGGTTTGGGGTTAGGCAGTGGTAAGGCACCTATCACTTTCTGCCAAGGCCAAAATCAGCCGGTAACAGCCAGCATAACTGACCCCAGTGTTTGCTTTCTTGCCAGACACTCCAAACCTCTCTGTATAGGCTATTGTCAAAACAACAGCAGCAACAGTAGCAAAAAAGAGATAACATTTATTGAATACACTGTGTGCTTGTCATTGTTCTAGAACTTTGTATTTATTGATGCATAAACATCACTGTAACAATGCTATGAAGTACATTGTATTAATATTTGGATTTTGCAGATGAAGAAACTAATGCATAGAGAGGTTATTTAACTTGCCCAAAGTCATCTGAAATAGCACAACTATTTAGAGTAAGACACAGAGCTCACATTCAGGGCCCACGTCAGAGTCCACACTCTTAACTACCAGTTAATTACATTGTTAATTCATTCCCTTTTGTGTTGGTGGTCCTATGGTGGGGGAGAAATTGTGTAACTATCCTAGAAATAAAATGCAGGATGGGAATGGGAGTCTGAAAGAAGTCAAGTCCTGGATCAATGGAGAGCCAAGAGCCAGGAGCTGAGGAGGGGTCAGTGGTGAGTGAAAAGAGTCAGTGGTGAGTGAAAAGCTCCAGACTGCCCAACACTTGGTGCAGTGGCTCACGCCTGTAATCCCAGTACTTTGCTCACGCCTGTAATCCCAGTACTTTGAGACTAGCCCAGGCAACATAGTGAGACCCTCCTCTCCACAAAAATAATTAAAAATTAGCTGCACATAGTAACATGTGCCTGTGACCCCAGTTACTTGGGAGGCTGAGGTGACAAGATCCTTTGAGCTCAGGGGTTTGAGATCAGCTTGGGCAACACAGCAAGACTCTGTCTCTACAAAATATTAGAAATTAGCTGGGCATGATGGCGTGCACCTGGAGTCTTAGCTACTCGAGAGACTGAGCTGGGAGGATCACGTGAGCCTGTCAGGGTCGCTTGAGCCTGGGAGGTCGAGGCTGCTGTGAGCTGTGATTGCATTACCACACTCCAGCCTGGGTGACAGAGCAAGAACTTGTCTCAAAAAATAAAAAAAATGTTAAAACTACACAGTCCTAGGTGGTGGGGTATAGAGGTGAGTGTACTGCCATAGAAGATTGCAAGAAGAGGACATGGAAATAACTACCAGCAATGGTCGTGCCTGAAAAGCTGTGGATCCGGCTGCATCCTGGAGGCTAGCCAGAGTTTCTCTTATTTTTTGCTTTTTTGTTTTTTATTTTTTGATGACGAAGTTTCATTCTGATGTCCAGGCTAAAGTGCAGTGGTATGATCAAGGCTCACTGCAGCCTGGACCTCACCCCGCTGGAGTCTGAATTTCTACTTAGCTACTCCCAATAAAAATGTGTATGTCTTTGGAAAGCTGCCTTTTACAACAGATTCTTCACTGATTTTTTTAATAATAAATTAAGGCTTTCGCTCAGAATCTCTTATGCAACAATTCTTCCATATATGCATAGATGTGTCAGAACTGACTCAAGCGTTTTATTGGTGAAGAATCTCAGAAGCTGGGCAATTTTCACCTTTATGAAGTATGCTACTTTATTATTTATTTATGGCTTTTCTCCTGATTTCCCACTTGCTTTCCTTCTTTGTCTAGTTGGTGGTGGGCCTACCCACTGCTACGGGCTCCTTTCAGCTGATAATTGCCCATCAGTTTTTACTTACACTGAGTGGTGGCTCTGGAATTGAGGGGCCCAGCTGGGTTCCTAGGTAATAGACTGTGGAGGTTCATGCCCTGAGCTGGGCTTCCCCACCTAGGCATTCAGGCTGAGCCCAGCCAGGGCCAACAGTCTAGTGGGTACGGAGCCTGAACACAGTGCCTGTGCTCAGAGCCAGCAGATGGCTAGATCTCTCAGGAAATGCCACCCTACTTGGGGTCGCCTGGCCTCCTTGGCTGTGTGGGGCTGGCTCTCCTTTCTTGATGGCACCTAGGAAATTCCAGCTTCCCCAGGCTCTAAAGTCCCTGCCCCTGCTAGCTCTAGAATACAGAAATTCACATAAAAGCTAGATTCAGTCCCAGCCTAAGCTCTCAGGCTTCTCACTCTGCCAGACACTCCTGATGTCAGATGAGGCCATGTGGGGACATCTAGGCTTGTTCAAGGCCCCTTGCCAGGCTTCACATAAAGCCCACCCTTGTGTGGGTGAGGCATGGGCGTGGATGATCTGGGTAGTGAGTGGGGAGAAAAGCAGTGAGGTTTGGGGGAGGAGCACTGGGCTGGGAATCGGGAAGTTCAAGCTCGGCTTGCCTCTGCATTAACTCTCGAACTTCTCAGGTGCCGAACTGCTGGAACCAAGGAGGTCCTCAGATCTGGCCACATGAGAAAGCAGCAAGGTGCAGGAAAACAGCCACAGACATTACAGTCCACCAGACCAGGGTCCGCGACCATTTGTGCCTGTCACTCACTCATGGCTTCGGCCAAATCATTTCAGTGTCTTCATATATAAAATGGAACTGGTGATGCCTGACATGCTCCTCAGGTGCCCAACCAGGAGGCCCTAAGACAACATTTCTCTAAGCTTCAAGCAAGATCTTGACACAGACATGGACTGCCATGCATTACTGGGAATGATGACCACATCAAAGGTGCAAGGATGTGGATTAAGTGTCAGCTGTAGCTCTCATTCAGGCTTCACAGCCACCGTGTGGGGCAGGTGGGACCACACCTGGCAGGTTTCACATGGGAACTCCGAGAGCATATTAGGTTATGGGCACCATTAGAACTGAAAGGATTATTTTCAAGTCCCATTTCTAGCACACCTGTAGGGTCTCAATGCGTGTTTGTTGAGTGAAAGAAGGAACTTCCCCACCCCACTCATCCTATATTCTACTGTGTCAACTATTCACCCTTGGAGGGCAAAGAGTGGGGCAACTCCTGGGCCTTCATTCTGCAGTCACTTTTCATGGGGAGAGTGCCCCCTTTCTGACCTCCTGAGATTCCAGTCGCTGGCATGAAAACCCATCCTTGGCTGCCTTATTCCCTGACAGGTGGGGAGTGATGCCTTTTGCCATTCATGAAAAAAAAATGTAAATGGTGACAAAAGCTATTTTTATAATGTTTTTATCTATTCCATGACTGACATCAATAACACATAACAGTTTCATTGACATTGTATCGCATCCAATGGGCCCAGTGACCTGATTCAATGTCAGTAGAAAAGCCTCGTACATCATCCCCGTGGCTGAATTGCAACAGATCCATTACCAATGCTTCAACCTCAGAAGTGTCCCGGAACCGACGCCAAGTCCATTTCAAGTCCTCCTTCCCAATCTTCCTGTTTTGTAACTGCCTTAGCTATCTTACCATGGACTCAGTCACCCTTTGGCTCACCCCCTTAAGTTGTTCCATCCCTGAACTTACCGAGTTTCGAGGGTCAGGACAGGTCTGTGCATTTGGTACTATGTGTCACATAGTAGGAGCTCAATTTATGAATAAATGAGAGGGGGAATGGCGGGGAGGAGGAAAGAATGGAATGTGGGTCTACACCTCAGTTACAGCGTGAGTGCTTTTGCATGGCTCTGTGTTCCTTGCAGCACTAGGACTCAGCTAGAACATCCATAACAACTCAGGGTCCTTGGAGGAGTAAAACTTATTCTCATTGCACCAGCTGGCTCTGCTGGGACTGAATGTAATCAGAAAAGAGAGAAGGCTTTAGGACATTTTTGTAAAATGAAAACCTACTGTGGGAGAGAACTCCCTGCCCCAGACTTCAGCCCCAGGACCTGGAAGCCAGCCAGCACCTGAGGAAGAGGAGGCCGCCCAGCCAGGTGCCTGTGCTGGACTCACAGAGAGAAGCCTCCCAGCCAGACCCACCTTGGTTCTCCTCATCTTCTCAGCTACACAAAATGGGAACGGACATTGACTCTGCAATCTTATTACATGGGTTTAAGAGAGCCCTCACTAATATAGCAATATATGTGTCATTTGTCTCACTAGTAAGGCTGTTTAGTAGTCAAAACTGTAGAAAATTGAATATACACTTACTGTATAAAAATGATATGCTTGGTTAGTGATAGTTTAAAAGAAATAAGTACATCTATCATAGAAGAACTGGCTGTCAGCTCTTTATATGTAAGAAAAATATTGAACACAAATGTGATAAATGTTGGGCACTATTTTACAAAAGTTATCCAACGAAGTTGGTTTACAGTAAGTTCTTCCCAGCAAAGAGGAAGATAAAAGGAAAAGAGAGAGACAATGGATAGAAGAAAACAAGACAAAGGGGGTGGGGAACAAGGAGAGAGACCGAGGGAAAGAAGAGCTCCAAAGTGTTGAGAGAAAAGGCCCCAAGCACTGTCCTCACTCTGGCATCGCGTAGCCCTTGCCTGCTCCTGCATCCCTCTATTTGGGAAAAGTTTCCTCCCCAAAGGGAGCTCAGATGGGGAGGGGTAAATCCAGTGCAGAAGATTCCACGTCATGGAGAATGGCTGATGAACACTCGGTAGTTCCATCCCCAGGCCACCAGAAAAGGCAGTTGGAATGGATCTTGCTATGGTCCAGAGGCAAAAGTTGGGTAGACTAAGAGAAGAAAGTTGAACTACTGATCAACAGTAGTACTTGGGGAGTGGCTCCATAAATAAGGAAGTTCCAGGTGGGAAGGGAATTCTAAAATAATGTGAGGAGCTCCCAGTGGGGTGTTAGGGTGCTAAGGGGGCTGGTTGTGTGACCTCTAAGCTGGGCCCTGGGATGGAGGTGGGCCCCTGTCTGGCGATGGAGCAGTGAGGAGGTCAACAAGTCCACTGGGGTCAGCTCCGAGGAGCCCGGGGACAGGGAGTGTGGTAGAGGAGGACAAAGAGGACAGAGGAGGTGGGAGGCCCATTCCTGGAGGACATGGGACTTGACTGAGCTTTGAGCCTGAGTGGGTAGAGAGTTCTTCCAGTCAGAGGAGAGTCCAAAGCAGAGGGTGTCCATCTCCATTTGGTTGGAACAGAGAAAGGGTGCATTTGAGGGCAGGGGTAACAGAGATAAGACCAGCAAGAGCTAGCTGGGAGCGTCTATCTTGGCATGCAAGAAGGGCTTGAAATCAAATTCAAATGGACTCCTTTGAGATCCGGTAGATAGAGGGCAGCCACAGAGGGTGTCCAAGCCAGGCAGAGTGAGAGTGGGAGTGTGACAGAGCGGGGAAACTCATGATGAGCCGGAGTGCCCTTCCTCCCCAGGGCTTTGATCTCCAGAGATCAAAGTGCCTCCACCAGCATGCCCTCCTCTCCCATGTGCGCCCTGATACACCTCTGCACTGTCTGGGTTCCCCATGAGGGCAGAGCTTCAAAGTGGGACCCAGGGGCTGAGGGGAGATTCAGAAGTACTCAGGAGAGGAAGGTGCAGGGATGGGCCTGTGGAGGCTCAGGAAGGTGAATGTCTTCTCTGCCCAGCTCGAGCTTAGGAGAAAGTGGGAAGTGAGCTGAGAGTTCTGTGCCTCGCTTTACCTCTTCCCTATTTTCCCAGTCTTACCTTCATTCCATTCTTCCTTCCTTCTCGCTCTCTTCCTTCCTTTCACCTTTTTCAATTTGAGCCAACACTGGCCTAGTACTGACTACCTGCTAAGAGTTGTTAGAAACAACTTATGGATATCATCTCATTTAATCCTCATAACAACCCTGTATGTGGCAAGTGCTGTTACTGAGAAATCAATGGGCTCCCTGCTTAAGGCACATAGATTGGATCTTGCAATAGGGTGATGCCAGGAGGCATGATCCGATTGGATCCTGCCATGGGGTGATGCCAGGACTCAGTATGATTGAGTCCTGATCCTGCCATGCATGTCCACATCTTAATTCAGTCCCCACTCCTTGGGAGTGCTTACACTCCCTCCTGCTTGCACACTTAGCTCATGTGGGCATGCAGAGGTTATGTGACCTTCAACATGTGGGTCCATGGCAGCTGAACAACAACTCACGACTTTGTTACATAAAAGTTGAACCAGATGGGTGTGGTGGCTCAAGCCTGTAATCCCAGCACTTTGAGAGGCCGAGGTGAGAGGATCACTTGAGCCACGGTTGAGGCTGCAGTGAGCTGTGACTGTGCCACTGCACTCCAGCCTAGGCAACAGGAGTGAGATCCTATCTCAAAAAAATAAAAATAAAAAAGTTGAATCAGATTGGTCTAAAGCAGTTACAGTACTACAATTATCCCCTTTTTATAGATTAGAAAACTGAGGCTGGGGGGAAGTTAAGCATTGTTCCAAGTCACCCCGTGAGTAAGTGGCAGAGCTGGGATTTGAACCCAGTCTGTCTGGTTCCACTGTCTGAACTTTGCTGCCTCTGAATAATTCTCCTCCCCAAAGCTGCCCCCATCAAAAAACAAAACAAAACACACAAACAAAAAAAACACCAGTAATGTTCCGGAGAGACCCCAGGTGTTCAGCAAGAGTATTTTGACTCTGTCTTTTCCTTTCTGGAGCTTGTCTTTATTGGAGCTGGGAAGGTGGTTCCAGGGATGAGGGTGGTAGGGTGGGATACAGGAAGCTCCCCTCAGTGAAAGGCAGGAAGACTAAGCCTTCACCCAGCTCTGGCAGTCCCAAGCTTTATACCTCTGGGCTTATATTCACTGTTCCCCCTTCTGAGTATCCAATGTCCATCATACCACTCTGTATGCCCCTGCACACCTATAGCTTAGCTTCCACTTATAAGTGAGAAGATGCAATCTTTGCTTTTCTTTTCCTGAGTTACTTCACTTAGGATAATGGCCCCCAGCTCCTTTGAAGTTGCTGCAAAAGACATTATGTCGTTCTTTTTTATGGCTGAGTAGTATTCCATGGTGTATATATGTCACATTTACTTTGTTTGCTCATCAGTTGATGGACATTTAGGTTGATTCAGTATCTTTGAATTGTGAATTGTACTTCAATAAACATATGTGCAGAAGTCTTTTTGATGTAATGAATTATTTTCCTTTGGGTATCCAGTAGTAGGATTGCTGGATGGAATGGCAGATCTACTTAGAGTCTTTGAGAAATCTCCATGCTGTGTTCCATAGTGGTTGTACTAATTTACATCCCCACCAGCAGTGGATACGCTTGGGGATGTGTTTTTTAAGGAAGGGATGACACCATCATTACTGATGTATGGTGAGTCCCAGTGTGGGTAGAGCCCTGGGCCAGGCCTGGAGGAGGAAAAGGAGGAAAGGTGAGGGGAGTCTTGATTTCCTATGAGTTCATATTTAGGCAGCCCAGCCACTCTAAAAGTCTGAGGGTTCTTATAGTATCAGAGCTAGGAAATCTGGTAGTCACAAAGTTGACTTCCATCTTTTCAGCTGGGGAGACAGAGGCATGTGACAGGTTCGTCAGTGCCAGGGCCACTTTGGGTCAGCAGTGGCAGGGATTTCTACATGTCAATGCACACTCAACATTCAATTCACACTCAGCTCATTCCTCAACGAGGCTTCTCCTCCATGGGCAGGCTCCCTGCATCCTTCCTGGTCAAGCCCTCTCTTTCTTCATCTTCAGTGCTGAGGGGAGGAAAGAGGAGGAGAAGAGAAGGGGTGATTGCCAAAACCCTGGAGCGCACCCAAACCAAACGGAGGAGATTCTATCTTCACTTTGCACAAGGGATGGAAGAAGCTGAGAGAAGGGCCCAGTGTGGGGTAAGCAGTGGCCCAGGCAGAGTCTCCATGCAGGATATTCACATCACCCTTGGGACAGCCCGGACAGCAAACCTGACTTTAGTGCATCAGCGACATTCTCCTGGGCCCTGCAACCAGCGCATCCTTACTGGAGCTCTGGCTTTCTTGCACAAATACTGATGCCTCCTGAGATGTCCTCCCAGCTCACTGCCCCTTCCATCATTGCCCACCCCTCCTCCACACAGGGAAGTTGATGTGTGGAGTGGGACTCATTATTAAGTTGAACCCTTAGCCTTTTTCTTGGAGAAGGGTCCTGCCCACCACTGGCCCTGCTATATGTGTCCCTTCTCTGGTCCATCTTGAGCCACACAGACCCCAGACCACTGTCCTGAGGTCCTTCCTTGTCTGTGTGGCTGACTTCCCATCTGGGATCATTCTCACCTCCATCCTCCCACCCCACAGGTGTTCCAGAACTGTCCTCTTCCTCCTCCTCTCTTATCCTGTCTTATTTGTAGGAGTTCTTTATATATTCCAGTTAATAACCCTCTGTCAGTTTGATGTCTATTTTCTACACAGTCTACTATTTTAATTTTGCCTATAATTTTTTGTGGTTCAGAGTTTTACAATTGTGTTTCACTTATTTATTCAACACATATTTATTGAATGTCTAATGATGTCAAATTATCAGCCTTTTCTTTGTCTTTTTACTTCTTGTTTGAAAAGAACTTTCTTATCTTCTTCTCTGATTTTATAGTAGTTTTTTATGTTTAGATTCTGTAATGCCTACATTTATTTTTTTCAAATGGTATGAGATAGGAATTTCAATATATATTTTTAAATGTATACTATATTTCATAGGCCCTCCTGTCTCTAGTCTTTACTAAGTTCTCATATGGACACAGATCTATTTCTGAATTCACTTTTCTGTTCTACTACTCTGTCTATTCTAGTGCTGATACAACTTGCTTTTTATCAAAATGGGATTAAAACATATTTTGGACAAACACTCCTTCTCTTTTATCTTTAAATTTTTTACAGTTTCTTGGCTCTTCTTGCACAGAAAGTCTTCTATTTAAATATCAGAATCAGATTGTCAATTTCCATGAAGAATTTTGTTTGTCTTTTGATAAATTCTAGGTTGAATTCATGAATTTATTTTGGGAAAAGGGGTAGATTTTCCATGCTGAAGCCTCCCTTTCATGAATACAGTTTCTGTCTTTGTTACTCCAGTTTTTGGCCCACCTCCTCAGGGTCTTCCTGGGCAGGACCACTTTCCTCAGATGTCTGTATTTCTAAATCTTTGCCTTCCTACTAACTATACTGTCTCATTTCCCACTATTGTTATTCCCGGGCAATGGAAAGAATGCAAGCACCCAAAAAAATCTAATGGCCCATTTATAGTTACAAAACAAATGACAAAGCCAAGACCAGAACTCAGGTCCCTTGACATTCACCCACCTCATGGCCAGGCCCCAACCACTGAACTACCACACCCCTGTAGCTACTACCTCCTCCAGTGCTTCATCTCCATCCCTCACACCTCCCTGCTACCCAGCCTTACAAAATACAGTACTTTAAGCTACTGTATATGCAGATAGCTGCCCGTGAGGTCAGGACATTTATTTGAATGCTTACTTAGTGCTTACTGACAGCCAAGTCCAATGTTATATGCTGGATATACCAAAATGAATAAGACAAGACCCCTGGCCTAAGGGTGTTCACAGGGAATTAGATGTGTGCAAACAAGTTACAGGTGTCACAAGTGTGAGAGGATGTCATAGTCTGTTTGCACTGTTATAAAACCATCTCATTAATGTGTATCTTATAAACCACAGAAATTTATTTCTCACAGTTCTGGAGTCTGGGAAATATAAGATTTTATTTTTTTATTTTTATTTTTATTTCATTTTTTTTGAGATGGAGTCTCACTCTTTTGCCCAGGCTGGAGTGCAGTGGCATGATCTTGGCTTAATGCAAGCTCCACCTCCCAGGTTCGTGCCATTCTCCTGCCTCAGCTTCCCAAGTAGCTGGGACTACAGGAGCCCATCACCATGCCCAGCTAATTTTTTTGTATTTTTAGTAGAGATGGGGTTTCACTATGGTAGCCAGGATGGTCTCGATCTCCTGACCTTGTGATCAGCCCACCTCAGCCTCCCAAAGTGCTAGGATTACAGGCATGAGCCACCGTGTCTGACCAGGAAATATAAGATTAAGATACTGGCAGATCTGGTGTCCGGTGAGGGCCCACATTCTGGTTCATCTATAGTGCCTTCTTGCTGCATCCTATATGGTGGAAGGGGCGAGGCAGATCTCTGGGCACAAATCTTATTCATGAGAACTCTGCCCTCATAGTCTGATTACTTCACAAAGGCCCCACCTCCAAATATCATTACATTGTCAACTAGATTTCTGCTATTAATTTGGGGGTGACACAGATGTTCTGATTATAGCAGAGGATGTGTCTGGGTATGCCTGATGAACTGGTGAGTGAACAGCTAGACGTTGATTTGCAATGTGGGTTTTGTCGGGGGTGGAGCTGTTTACAAGGGAGCCAGGAAGGAATCAGGATATACTACCAGATACTGGCTGAGCTGTACCCACTGTTTCTTGTGGACTTATAGCTTAGCCCTGTAGAGAGAGGTGCTGTTGGCAGAGCCTAAGGGAAGGCTCTTTTGCAGCCTTGGAGACACACAGGACCCAAGGAACCCTGCTTGATCATCAGTGCCAAGCACAAACCAGAGTAGGTGAACTCAGAAGAACTTTGGGCAGTGAAGAGCCCAGGGAACATGGCCACTGTGTGACCCTATCAGCCATGCCCAGGCTGAGACTGGTATACCACCAGCACCTGTCTTCTCCGGAAGGCTCTGAGCAACCGCAGCAAAGGGAGACCCCACTCCGGGGGATATCAATGTCCTCAGAGGCAAACAGACTCAGGTTTGAATCCCAGATCCAACAATGAAAGCTTGTGGTCCTCATTACAGTACCAAATGGTAGAGTGGACAAGAAGAAGCAAATTCCTTGATTCCTATGGGAAGGGGATTCAAACAGTAGCTCAGTGGACATCTGACTCTGAAACCCGCATGTCTGCCTTGTGTGAGGTGTCCAGCGACCTTAGCGACAGATTATTTGCCACTTTCCACGTGACCTGGTTCCAACAGAGGGTACAACCCTGGGGTGGTTGTGTTGTTTTTCTCGGAATCACTGGTTTAAAGCAAACTTTAGGCAAACTTGACTGGCACAACTTATGTCATGTCTCTGTAGCACTGGTACTTTGAATTACTTAATGTTATTTAAATTGATATTTAATTTATGGTAAGAGGGAACTTGTGGATCAGATAAAATAAAGGCAAGGGTAAAGGGTAAAATAGACACATGACCTCAGCTACAAAGTTAGAGGACAGGAACCTACAGGACCTGGATGGCCAGAATGGGTCCCAGAGAAGAGACTGAGATAGTAGAGGGAGAAGTAGAGAGGTGGCCAGGACTGGAAAGCAGCAGGGAATGTGCAGTCAGCCTTGGAGGATAATGGGGTGCAACCTGAGAGTGAGGACTGGGGACTGAGGCTGGAGCAGAAGATCAGAGGGAGGTGTGAGGAGTAGTGGGAAGTCGATGGGGCACAGGATCGGACCCTGAGATAAAGGGGATGCAGGTTAGGGAATGGGAGCCCAGCCAGTGTTGAAACCCATGGGAAGGCTCTGGCAGGGTTTTAGGAAGGAAGACTAAGGGTGATTGTGGGTTAATGAGAAAGATCAAAGGAAATCAATACGTTGAAGCAAAGTGGGTCCAGGCCTGTGTCAGCAGACAGACCTTCCTAGAGAAAAACGAGACCGGCTGGAAGCTCCGGGTTATGGTCTGGAGACCTGTCTAGTCAAACCTTGATCAAGGCAGAGGCCTCACAGACTCAGACAGAGAGAATGAGAACTCCTGCATAGAGTCAAAGCCAGCCATGGCTTTTCATTCAATTTACATGTACCTGCACTGTAGGGCACTCATGAAAAGTGATTGGGAGCAAATTGAGAAAGATGAAAGAACAGAGTTCTTTCTGCAAAGTACAATCACTGTGCAGGATTCCTTTCCACATTCAGGCTCTGAGAGGGTGGAAGTCCAAGATCAAAGTATTTGCAGGGATGGTTTCTTCTTAGGCCTCTCACCTTGGTTTTCAGATGGCTACATTCTCACTGTGTCCTCACATGGTCATCTTTCCATCTGTGTTATCTATGTCCTGTTCTCCTCTTTTTTATAAGGACACTGATGCTATTAGATTGAGGTACACTCAAATGGCCTCATTTTTAACTTAATTACCCCTTTAAAATCCCTATCTCCAAATACAATCACATTTTTGAGGTACTAAGGATTAGGGCTTCAATATAGAAGTTTGGGGGTACACAATTCATCACATAACAAGGACCAGGTGGGATTTATTCCAGGTTTGCAACTTTGGCATGCTACATAAAAATCAGTTAACATAATCTACCATACTAACAGGCTAAAGAAGAAAAAGCATATGATAATATCAATTGTTGCACAAAAAGCATTTGACAAGCTTGCACAGCCATTAATGATAAAAAACTTTCAAAAAACTGGGAATAGAGAAAAACTTTCTTTTTTAAGACAGCGTCTCACTGTCGCCCAGGCTGGAGTGCAGGTGGAGTGGCGTAATCATGGCTCACTGCAGCCTCAACTTCCTGTATTCAAGTGATCCTCCCACTTGAATAGCTGAGACTAAAGGCATACACCACTGCAACTGGCTAATTTTTTGTATTTTTTGTAGAGACGGGTCTCAGTATGTCCCCCAAGCTGGTCTCCAACTCCTTGCCTCAAGCAATCCTCCCACCTAGGCTTTCCAAAGTGCTGGGATTACAGGAGTGAGCCACTGCACCTGGCTGAAAAACTTCCTTGACATAATAAAGAACACACACACACCCTACAGTTAATATCGAGGCAAGAGTATCCACTCACATGACACCTATTCAACATTGTAGTGGAAGTTCTAGCTAGTGAAATAGACAAGAAAAAAACTTACTGACTGGAAAAGAAGAAATAAAATTGTCTCTATTTACAAATAACATGATTTTCTATATAGAAAATCTCAAAACAGTCCTCCATCTAAAAAGAAACAAAAATCATACACCTAGAGCTAAAATGTCGGCCATGTTTACAAGATCAATACGCAAAAATAAAATATATTTCTATATACCAGCCATGAACAACTGGAAACCAAAATATTTTTAAAAATCATTTACAATTATTAAAAACATACCTAGGTTTAAATCTAACAAATTATGTATAGAATCTTTTATTGAAAATTATAAAATGTGGATTAAATAAAAAAGGCCTAACTAAATGGAGGGATATAGCATGTTTATGGGTTGGAAGGTTAAACATAGTAAAGATGGCAATTTTCTTTAAACTGATCTTTAGATTTAATACAATTTCGATCAAAATCTCAGCAAGGTTTATTGCAGACAAAGGCAATCTTATTCTAAAGTTTATATGGAAAGAAAAGGGATCTGAACAAATGATCTAAAACAACTTTGAAAAGAAGTATAAAATAAAAAGAACCAGTCTAACCAATGTTAAGGGTTACTATGTAGCTATAGTAATCAAAATAGTCTGGTTTTGGTATGGGGATAGACACATGGGTCAATAAAACAGAAATAGAACCCTGAAATAGTTTAAAATATGCCCAAATGATTTCAACAAGGTGTAAAAACAATTCAGTGGACAAAGGGATAGCATTTTCAACAAATAGTAACGGTGCAATTGGACATCCATAGGTAAGAAAGTAAGCCTTCATCTAAATCTCACACCTTATAGAAATTCAGACCAAAATGGATCACAGACTTAAGTGCAAAGCTTTATCTATTTTAGAATAGGAGGAAATCTTTAGGACCTAGGACTAGGCAAAAGTTTTTAGACTTGACACACACAAACACACACACACACACACACAAGCACATTTTATGAAAGGAAAAATTGATACATTAGACCTCATCTAAGTTAAAATAACTTTTGCTATTAAAAAATTGTAAAGATGAACAAACTGAGGGAAAGCATTAGCAAGTCACATATCCAACAAAGGCCTCGTATCAAGAATGTATAAGGAAGTCTTAAAAGTCAATAGTTAAGAAAATGAACAATCCAATTTGAACATGGGCAAAAAAACATGAACAGACATTTCACTGAAGAGGACATACAGATGGCAAAAAGAAAAGAACATGAAAAGACATTCAACATAATTAGCTATGGAAGTAATTCAAGTTAAAACCACAATGAGAAAAACTCACATAACATGCAGAAGAGAAGGCTGTGTAAAGGCAGAGGCAGAGACCGGAGTAAGATCCATCTCGAAGACAAGAAATGCCAAGGACGGCCATCTGGCAACCACCAGAGGCCAGGCGAGAGGCATGGAGGATTCCTTCACCCTGAGCCTTCAGAGAGAGCATGGCGCTGCTGACATCAATTTGGGACTTCTAGTCTTCTGAGCTACTGTGGGCAATAAATTTCTGCTGTGTTACAAAATTACAAAAACACAATGATATCTCACTACTCACCTATCAGAATGGGTAAATAAAGAATCTTGATTTTAACATATGCTGCTCAGGATCCAGACAACCCAGACCGCTCATCCTCTGTTGGTGGGAATGTAAAATGCTACAATCACTCTGAAAAACAGTGGGGTGTGTCCTATAAAACTAAGCACACACTTACTATACAGCCCAGCAATTATACTCTTGGACATTTATCCCAGAGAAATGAAAAATCTATGTTTACATAAACACGTTTATGTGAATGTTTATAGCAGCTTTATTTGTTATAGGCAAAAACTGGAAACAACCTAAATGTATATGTATGTGTATGTATATGCATATATAAACGTGTATATATAAGGTTTCTTTTTGAGATAATTTTTTTTACTCAATATAATTCTTTTATACACCCTCCATTTTGTTATTTATATCAATAGTTCATTCACTTTTATTGTGCACTATTCTGTGGTATGGATGTAAACCGGTTTGTATGGTTAAACTAGTTCGTTTAACCATTTGCCTCTGAAGGGCATTTAGGTTGTTTCCAGTTTTTGCCTATAACAAATAAAGCTGCTATAAACATTCACATAAAGGTTTTTATGTAAACATAGATTTTTCATTTCTCTGGGATAAATGTGCAAGAGTATAATTGCTGGGCTGTATAGTAAGTGCATGCTTAGTTTTATAGGACACGCCCAACTGTTTTCCAGAGTGATTATACCATTTTATATTCCCATCAGCAGTGGATGAGGGATCCGGATTGTCTGCATATTTATATATCAAATATATATATTTGAAATAACAAAAGTACAGAGCTCAAGGATAGAATAGTAGAGTTAGTGATAGGACAGGAGTGGATATAGCTGTAAAGTTCTAGCACAAGAAAACCTGTAGTAATGAAACAGTTCTTTATCTACATTATGGTGGTGGTTACAGGAATCCACATATCTGACAAAATTGCACAGAACTACACACACAGACACACACACACACACACACATAAGTAAATAAATAAGCACATGCAAAACTCATAAAACCCAAATAATCTCTGTGGATTATATCAATATCAATTTACTGATTTGTTACTGTATTGTACTTACGCAAGATGTTACTGTTGGGGAAAACTGGGCAAAGGGCATATGGAGCTTTTCTCATAAGTTTTTCTTCAACTTCCTGTGAATCTGTAATTAATTAAAAATAAAACATTTTTAAGAAATTCAAGAGGAGACTTAGAGAAGAACTTTGTGTGGATAGGAGGGGTTCCGGCAGAGTTATGGGTTGGTGAGTCACCAGTATTTGTTTAAACCAAGGATTTGGGTAAAATCACTCCAAGAGTTTGAAGAAAGTTTCCACCTCAGCATTTAAACATCTGGTGGGGTAGGCCCTATGGAGTGGAGAGAGATGTAAGGGAAACTCTACACAAGGGAAAGACCTGGCTATGAGAGAAGAAAGTATCTCAATTAGGAAGGAGTGTGGACTGAGTGGATGCAAGCGAGAAGTTCAGTAAGTTGGAGTGAAGTGTCTGTGGTGTTTAATGATCTTGACGAGCTGTGTCAGGGTTGTGAAATGATGGGATGATGGAGTGATTGAGGGAAAAATGGAGTGGTGAGCACAGGATGTGGAAAAAAAAAATCGAAGATCTCTAGAAACTGGTCCTTTGCCAAGCCTTGGTGTTGGGCGAGGGGGACAGCTGGACCATTTATTAGCTTGTTTACTCTATTACTAGAATAAACCTAGCAATATTCTAGGTTTGAGGACCTGAGTGATCCTGGGGAAAAGCTTCCTAAAGAAAACATTGAGGCATCTCAGGCTTTAATGACCTATTTACTCAACACTGGAATTAGAGCAGTGTGATATGTGTTTGATTCAATACCTAGTTCTGCCACTATCTTGCTCTGTGATCTTGAGCAAGTTACTTGCCTTGTCTGGACCTAAAAAGTATGCGTGTTTTTCCTTTTTTTTCCCATCTCTTCAGTACCCTTTTCCTCTAACAGTGCAGTTCCACCTCTAGACAAGAAAGAAGACTCCCATCCTTGCTTTGGTACTCCTATAGCTGTACGCCTCCTGACAGGACAAGAGAATGTGACTGGATAAAGCCAATGCCTTCTGCTCTAGACCACACCAGCTAGGTGGGCCCCCGCCCAGATGGTCCTAAGCCCACTTCTAGAATTTCATTGACCTCTTTTTTGGATCTTACCTCCCAACTGCAGACCACACACTGGGCTAGAGTTGTGGTGAAGGGTCTGCTGTTTGCAAGTGTAGACAGAGCTGGAACTTGTGAGCTTGGTGTCCATACATAAAAAATTGGAGGCTCTTTATGAGGCAAGAGAGAGAAGAGTGGGAGAGGGAGTAGTTAGTAAGCTGGAGTGAGAGGGTTGGGTGCATTCTCCATGTATAGCTAAAATTCCAAGGTGTTGGTAGAAATTCTAAATTCAAGCCTGACCTTCCAGTTGTTATGAAGCTTTATTTGTCAAGGTGGGAGTATATCGCATTTTAAAAAATAGTTTGTAACATGATTTGTAACATTTAGAAATGTTTATACTGTCATGCTGGGCTCTGTAAGTGTTCAGATGGGGCCTGTGACAGTCCCCTTGGAGGAATGTCCCCTCCCTGATTATGTGCAGTTTGGAGAGACAGGGACTTCATTGCACTGCCTTCCTTCTATGGAAGCAGCAGAAGACCCTTGAGCCTGCTTCTTCCAGAGTCTTCTTTTTTTGTCATTGATGATTGACATTTCTAATGTTGGTAGTCAGGTATGTGACTTCAGCTCAGACAATCGTATTCTTTCTTACTGGACTTGAGACTTGGGTGGAATGACTTTGAATAAAATAAATTTCAGATGATGTTCATTCTAGCAGGAGTGGATGCCTGGGTTGGGGCATACCTGTTCTGACTCAGGTCTTACAGCTGGGCCCCACCTCCTTCTCCAGACTCTCTTTCCCATAGGCTCTGGAAGCTCCTCAATATCCTTCTCATTTGTGCTTCATCCAGCTGGTGGGTTTCTGTAGGTTATCATCAATTAATCCTGTGGCTATTTTTTTTAGGCCTCAGATTTCTGTTTTGTCCATGACCTCACAGAGTCTTTTCAGCTCTGATGTCCAGTAGCTCATGTTGCAGAAGTTTCAGAAGCTACTCAGCTTTTCCAAAATAACAAGTTCATACTTGTAAATGGGAGGTTTCTCAGCTATTGATGCCCCCCAAATAGCATGAGCTGGGTAGAGCTCGGGGACAGGAGAATGAGTGGGGAAGGACATTGGACTTGGGGGGAAGCTGATAAGTCCATGGCCTTGAAGTGGACTACTGTTGAGGAATTTCTGGGCTTGGTCTTTGTACCAAAGGCAACTGTGTGACCAACATTGTTTAATGGGTTCAGGGTGACCCTAAGTTATTCCACCTGAAGGCCAGAAGAATACAACTCCAGCTATGTACTTTTCATTGAATGATCCAATTTAACCCAATCTAATTAGCTCACATTGGTGCCAGTTGAAGGCCCTGAACATCACTGGATTCTTCAAGGTGGCGTGAGTTAGTATCTGCCCCAGGGAGCTCATAGGCTGCACACTGGTTTGACAGGCTTTCCCAAAGCACCTCTCCCGTCTTCTCGCTCTTACTCCTCCTGAGCAAGAGAACATTTGCACCAACATCCGGAGCCTAAGAGATGCAACATATGCAACATATACATTTTAAGAATAAAAAAAAGTATCTGATTTTTCAGAATCTATATAACCAAAAGTGCTAGACCTTTCTACCCCTCTCTGCCCTCCTCCCTCACCCACTCCAAGCATAAATATGGAAAGAGGGTGATTCAGTATAATTCCATTTGGCCAGGGCTGGAGTGGTGTCTGGAACACTCCTTCGGAAAGATGGTAGACAAAACCTCTGTGCGATCCAGACTCTGGGCTATGTGACTGGATTGCAAAGTGGTGGTGGTGTTGTCCTCCTTCTTAGTGCAGGGAGGCTCTGGCAGTGAGTGCGGATGGGGAAGTTTGTAGGCTTGATGAGTTTGTTCTTTAGTACACAGCTCACTCTGTTCCTAGCCCCCTCTGCAGATGACAGGAGGTGCTAGACGGTGGAAAGTAAGATGTGTAGTGCTGTAGGCAGAAATTTGATATGGTGTAATTACTGTACATTAAAATAGATGGAATTTGGATTTGAAAGCAGAGCAGACCATATCTTACGTGATGATGAGAAGGGACACATCACCCCACACTGCGTCGCATGTGCCTGAAGGAGCGTTCCAGCCTCTGAAAATGGCACATGGACCAAAACGTCCAAATAAACACCTCATTGCCGAGAGCAGGAGGGGGAGGAAGTTCTCACCGAGGCAGTTGAGAGTAGACGTGAATCAGAAACTACAATCGTATGAACCATCTTTTGGTTCAAACTTGTACTTGAATATAAGGCATTGCAATTCTCTTTTCAGAACCAAACTGGAGCCATGCTAATTCTTTTCTGTGGGGAGGATAGAGAAAAGCAATAGAATCTCCCAAGGTTTTACTGAACCACTTGTGCCAGGTTAGGTCAAGAAGACATATGAGGAAGATACATGTTCTAAGGAGTTTGATAGTTTATTTGGCAATCTAAGGACCAGTGCAAATAATTTTTCAAATATAGTCTGTAATTGAATATTATTACACATAATGCAAGTAGGAATGTCCAAAACGAAAGCATATGTTGGGAAGGTTCAACTTGAGTGGAGTGGATTCAAGTAGACAGAGGGCAGGAACATGTGCTATCTGATTGAAAGTGGGGGAACAGTTTGAGAAATAGTACACAGGTGAATACGGAGATGCTAGATGCATGCAGACGTGGGAGGAAAAGAGGGAGACCACTTTGTTGGCATAAGACAAAGAGAATTCAAATGCCGGATGGGGACCTGACTAGAGAGTCTAGTGATTCTTTTCTGCCTATATCAACCCTCAGAGCTTCTGATCATGAAATACCAGGTTAAATCCTGGGTCAAGCTTCAGAGGGTGGGAAAGAACCATGGGAAGTGGTGTGCAATGACATTTTATTAGGAAGAGTGCCATCCTACTAGTACTGATTCTCAGGTTTTGATTGGGTTTTGGATTTTCTTTTTGTTCATCTATTGATCTTACTGCCTCAGCGAATGGAAAGACAGCATAAAGTTGCCTTAATTCCTCTGCAAAGCATTACTGAATTTTTAGAAAAGAAGATGCCACGCTGGGTGTCCTGGCCACCAGGCTGGCTTTCTCTGAGTCTAACACTGAATTTCCCGACCTCTCTCCCACATGGCAGAGCTCACAGCTGCCACCACTGAGATGCAGCACCTGTTAGGGTGATTTTCTGAAACTGCTCTTAAAAGACATTTTAAATATATAAACGTCACTCCTGGAGGTAAGGCCATTTTGAATGCAAAGTGATCATCACATCTTTTGCAATCTATTTTTAGACTTCTTTCCTGGAGCCAGAAGAATATGGGCCAACTAGTTAAGAGGGAACTGAAAATAAAGCTTGGACTGCAGATGCCATCACCAGCATTCACAAGCTGAGATAATATAATGGACCATGTGTTTGCACTTGCGCTTTACCTCCCTTTTCCTCACTCCCTCTCCTTGAGACCTCTGCCAAGGTTGACACCTGGAGCATGAAGGGTGGAGAGTCAGCAGGCCTGCAGAAGGCCTCTTGGCCAGCTTGCTGTTCAAAACAACATCTGGCTAGGAGACCATGATTTAGCTCCACCCTCCACCTCCATCTTACACACACACACATACACAAACACAAACACATAAACACACAATTCTGCCCAAGTACCAATGAAGACAAATGGGGAGAAGAGGAAAGTCGCACCGTCACCCAAAAAGGGGCTAACAGACATTAATGTCAGCCGATGAAAGGCATTGACCCTAGTACCAATGTCTTTAGAAATACAAAGCGGAGTGGGAAAACACAGTTATAATGACATCCTTTTACTTGCTTTTATTTGTCTTTGACAGATCTGCTAGAAAAAAAATGAGAAAACCTAAATAATATGACTTTTACCTTACGCAGAATATATCTTTGTTTCTAACACACATATAGGAACTTATATTAGTTAACAAAAACTCAATAAACTTAAAAAATTATAAACATGTTTCACACATAATGTATTTACTTATTAAGTATAACTAAAGTAATAATGACAAATATTTTTAAAACAATAACAATTGTTAGGAAATTAAGCAATACTCTATGAAATACCTTTTTGCCAAATAAAAATTCAAAATTTTAATTACATATTTCTATTATATTTATAGAAAAGAAACAATGCAAAAGCTACATATCGAATCTCAAAAACAGTCAAAATTCCTCTCCGAGAAAAATTTAAAATATTACATACATACATTATTTAATAACATTGTTAATGAATTAAGCATTAACTCAAGGACATAGAAATATAACAATAAAAACTTCACAGAAAATACAGAACCAAATCGATAGAATCAGGGTTTAAATACATTAGAAAAAGTAAATAAGTAAAATAAATTATATATATACTTATTCTGTGCATATATATACGTACACAAACACATGCAATATTTTAAAACTTTTTGTTTTTGGAAATGCTAAGGATTGCAAAAAAGAGGAAAAATACATGACCAGTATAAATATTGGAGAAGACGAAACAAAATTATCATGATTTGCAGTTAACCACATTGTCTTTGTCTAAATGTTAAGACAACTGAACAATGATTCAAAGTAACATGAAATGTAATTAAAATAAATGTCAAGATTCTCTCTGAAGTTCAACAAAGTGATTTTAAAGTATATGAAGAAATCAATTCACCAAGAAAAAAAAGTTATATCCAGTAATGCAGAAAGTCTTGCCTATATACATTATAAAGCTACAATAACAAAATCAGTATGGTTTGGCCTTTTTTTTTGACCAAGCCAATGGACCAGAAAAAAAAATTCAGAGGCATTCCTGGGTTTATGTCAAATGGAATTTAAAATCTGTAGTTAAAAATTATATGGCTCAATCAATGTGTTGAGACAATGACCAACCACATGCAAAAAGAAATTTGATGACTAATTTATGTGAATAAAATGTTTAAATGTAAATTATAAAATTAAAAAATTTAGAAGCAAATGTGGGTGTATATATCATTGACAGATAAAAGAATAAAGGGGGAAGCTGAGAAAACTTTAATTATAAAATGTGTAATACTTTGCCCAGTTTGCTCTTTCTACTTTAATTATAGTAAATTTTAATCCTAATACAATTAAAATGCTTTCTATTGTAGCAAATATATAAATTAACTCATTTATGGTAGGTTTGTTGTCTTGCTTGGAAAATCCTATGTGTGTGTGTGTGCCTGTGTGTGTCTCTGTGTGTGTATGCATGTACATATTAAAAACAAATACCCCCTGAAAATCAGACTAACATAACGTTTAAGAGTATGGATTCTGCCAGTGCGGCAGACTTAATTTCCAAGTATGTGTGACCTTAGGCAATTTAATTAATCTTTTTATGCTCAATTTACTTATCTGTAAAATAGAAATAACATTTCCTAACTTATTGGTGTGTCCTGATAATTAAATTACTTGGAATATGTAAGGCACTTACAACAGTAGTTGGCAAATTTAAGCATTATATTTGTGCTATTATAATTATTAAAATACTACTAATGAACATGAGAAGTTTCTTTAGAATTGAAAACGCACACTAACATTACTAAAATTATTTTACATTTATTTTGTTCAAATAAATGCAATTTAAACATTAATGAATTCTTATTTTTAACCATAAAATGACAAAACCAAAACATTTCAACTGTCAGCAGGTTTTCAGAGAAATAAACACTGTATTAATTGGTTTCAAACTGATTTTATTTTTGTCTTATTCTTAATTGAAACTTAATTTCAAACATAGCAGTGCAACTTGGCAATACCTAATAAAATATTAACAATACATATACTTTTAATCCAACAATTCTTCACCAGTAATATATCCTATGGAAATTATACATGGACAAATGTTTAGCTGCAAGAATGATCTTTCCAGTGTTTAGAAAATTGGCATGATTTCTTTTTTAAATGTCTGATAGAATTCACAGGTAAAACCATCTGAGCCTGGTGCTTTATTTTCTGAAAGGTTGTTAATTATTTATTCAATTACTTTAATAAATATGGGCCAATTCAGATTGTTGATTTCTCTTCTTGTGTGAGTTTTGGCAGACAGGCTTTTAAGAAATTGGTCCATTTCATCTAAGTTATCAAATTTGTGAGCATAGAGTTAATTCTAATGTTTATTTATTATCTTTCCAATATGTAAGGGATCAGTAGTGATGACTCCTCTTTCATTTCTGATATTAGTAATTTGTGTTTTCTCTTGCTCTTTCTCTGCCTCTCTCTGTCTGTCTTTTGGTTGCCCTAGCTACAGTTTTATTACTTCTAAAAATACGATCAAAGTGTAACTTTTGAGTCTGTTGATTCTCTCTATTGATTTTCTATTTTCAGTGTTATTTATTTCTACTATAATTTTTATTATTTGTTTTCTTCTGCTTAATTTGGCTTTGATTTTGTTTTCTTTTTCTAGCTTCCTATGGTGGAAGCTTAGATAATTAATTTTAAATCCTTCTTCTTTTCTAATATGCACATTTAATGCTATAAATTTCCCTGTAAGCACTGTTTCTGCTGCATCCCACAAATGTTGATAAGTTGTAGTTTCATTTTGTTCAAAATATGTCTTAATTTCTCTTAGTATTTCTTTTATTCATGCTATTTAGAAATGTGCTGTTTAGTCTCTAGATATTTTAAGATTTTTCAGCTTCTTTCTGTTGATTTCTATTTTAACTTCATTATGATCTGAGACCAGACATCATATTATTTCTATACTTTTAACTCTGTTAAGGTGAATTTTATGACCCAGAATGTGTTATATCTCAGTCACTGTCCCATAGGAACTTGAGAAGAATGTGTACTCTGCTGTTGTTGGATGAAGTATTTTATAAATATCAGTTAGAGCCAGCTGATTGATGGTTCTGTTCAGTTTGACTATATTCTAACTGATGTTTTTGCCTTAGGAAACTAAATTACTGATAGAGGGGTGTTGAAGTCTCCAGCTATAATAGTAAATTTATCTATCAACTTTTGCCTCATGTATTTTGGCCCTCTGTTATTACACACATACACATGAAGTTTGGAGAATTAACATTTTTATTATAAAGTGCCTCTCTTTATTCTTGATAATTTTCCTTGTGAAGTCTGTTTTATCTGAAATTAATTTAGTGTTTTATTTTTATTACTTCTAGTTTGGTATATTTTTCTCCATCTCTTCACTTTTGTGTCTTTATACTGAAAGTGAAGTTCTTGTAGACAATGTTTAGTTGGGTTTTGTTTTTATATCCACTCTGACATTCTCTGTCTTTTAATTGGTGTATTTAAACCATGCAAATTTAAAGTGATTATAGATACAGTTGGAGTAATAGCTACCATATTGTAACTATTTTCTATTTGTTGCCCTTGTTCTTTGTTTCTTTTCTTTCCTTATACTCTTTCTGGTTTGAATTGAGTATGTTATATGAGCCCATTTTCTCTTCTCTCTTAGAATATCAAGTATACTTCTTTTTACATTTTTAAGTGATTGCACTAGAATTTGCAACATACATTTACAACTAATCTAGGTCTACTTTCAAATAACATTATACCACTTCAAGTTTAGTACAGTACTGCATAACACAGTATTCCCATTCCTCACCAGCCCCTTACAACATTACTGTCATTCATTTTCCTTATATACAAGCTATAGACACTCAATATGTTGTTGGTATTATTATTTTGAACAAGTTGTTATCTCTTACATCAATTAAGAATAAGGGAAATAAAATACTTTATTTTACCATTACTTATGCCTTTTCTAAAGCTCTTCCATTTTGTATGTAGATCCATGTTCCTGACCAATGCTCTTTTCTCTAAATTGATGTTGTTTACAAGAGTAAAATTTGGGAAACAGAATAAATATTCATCAGTAGGATAAAACCATGGTAAATTCATATAATGGAAAACTATTAAGCTGTTGAAAATAATTGCAAGCTTCCACACTTCACCTGTTCTCCACCTTCCCACTGGTAAATGAATCAGAGCTGAGGAAAGTTCACCAGGAAAAAAATTCCAGGCATCCTGTGAGCGTATTTCAGAGAGAATTAACCATCTCTACTTCCTCTTGTGCTTCTGAGAGTGTTTTCCACTGCTGCTGAGGTGACAGAGGCTGTGAAGAAGGAGAACAGAGTGCCCAACAGCACGCAGCAGGACACAGAATGTAGACTGGCAGCCTTGAGTTGTGGGGGTGCTTAGAGTAGGAGCCCCCATTAAGGTTTGCAAAGTGCAGCTCTCACAACACGGGGTCAGGTGGCTGGAGAGGGGCTATTCCTTTGTCCTGTTAATTACTTGGGTTGTTTCTAGAGGCATTGGAATATGACTGATTTCCCCCACCAAGCGTTAACTTTGCCTACTCCTCATTCAGAAAACTAGGCTTTGTTGTTCTCCCAGCTTCAGGAAAGGGAGAAGTTTTTCCCAGAGGAAAAGAGGGGGAAAAAAAGTATCTTTCTTTCTCCATAATTTCAGCACAACCTAGACCCTTGGAAGAACTTCAGAATTCTAGGTATGGGCAACATTTTAAAGAAAACTTCAGGACTCAAAGTTTCCTCTGGAGTGCAGGGAGAGAAGCAGAGAGATCAGTGTTCTCTGCAGGGGTTCCTTCGGCCTGTACCCTAAGCTGAACCTTAATAGGAGGAAAGCAACCCAGAAAAGTTCCTAGGAAATCTAAAGCAGTAGTACGTGGCACAGATTCCTTAACAACAGCCAGGAAAGGCAAGAAAGTCAGTGAAGGCAGCAAGGATTTAAGTAAGCTGGTGGAATTTCTAGACAGTGGTAAAGCCCAGGAGAAGCATGCATCTCAATCCCCATGTGCTTGAGGGCAGTGTGGATCTTAGGGATGGACCCCCTGTAGCAGTGGAATGGCCCAGTGACTCAGACTAGACACGGGGATAGGCACATTGGTGAATGTCAGATGGTATTGAGTATCAGACACCCAGCCTTCACTCTATGAGCCCAGGCTATGCATAGCCCTAGAAGCAACCTGTGTGGAATAAGTGAAAGAAACCCCCAGTTTTTCTTAACTTAAATTTCTATAATTCTTATAAAATGGCTGCTCAAAATGGATGTTAATTGAGTCACAAAAAAAAAATTATATTTATTAAATTCTTGTGGTTTTAGACTAAGATTCCAATTTGATCATTTTAATGATAATTTTAGGCCCAAACTTTCCTGGGGTGATGATGTGAGGAGAAGGGAGAATAAAGACAACTATTACCAAGTTGTTGGGTCTGAAAGTCCCATCTCACTAAGGGTTAAGGCAGACCATTTCTTACCCAAACTGAGGAAGCTGGCAGCCCTGATTGTAAATAAGGAATTAATGAGTGCATCAAAGACAATGTTGAGATTGCATAAAAAATGAACAGTTCACACCTTATTTTTTCAAAGTTAACTTTTTTCAGCTTAAAAACCTGATAAATGATTTCAATTAACAGTTACAGAAAAAGAAAATTATATTGCAAATTCATGCAAAATCTTCCTTCAAAATCACTTGCTTAATTACACAAATCAATTCTTCAGACTGAAAATTTAGTTCTAAAATAGAAAGTAGGAATGTTTCAGAAGCAGTCACATGGGTAAGGTGAAAATCGCAGGGTGGTCGGCTCTGGCCTTTGTTTTATAGGGATGAAACATGATAAATATCACAGAAATCTAGTGTTTTATGACCCAAAGTTGCTCCATAAATAACTTAGAATAGTGTAGTACATTAGAGGTCTAAGGAAGTACTTCAGACCTGGTTCATTCTCCTCTTTGGGCGAAAGTAACAATAAACCCTTTAACTCTGAGACAGCCCCAGAATATGTTAGTTCTGGAGCAATTACGAGTTGCCAAGCAACTCAAACAGGCATGTGGATGCTCTGTTATGATCCAAAGAAATCTTTGTCATCATCATTATCTTCATCATCATTGCCATCATCACTGCCATTATTATCATTACCATCATCATTATCATCATCATTGCCATCGTCATCATCATCACCACCTAAGAACCTTGCAATCATTTGGATGAACCTTGATGTGATAGAAAAGGTATTGGGGTTAGAAGGCCCAGATACTAAACTGACTCAGCCTGTAGCTGGTGGTTTAATTTTGGCAGGTTTCCCTGCTCTGGGCCTCCCTTTATGCATGTGTGGCTGAGGGGATGGTCTCGATAAGCACAGAGGACCCTTCTCAGCATTCTCTGTTATCCCATGCTTGCCCCTGCTTTCTTAGTTCATGAATCTTTAAGGTCTTTGAGGGCAAAGACCTTGTCTTGTTGACCACGATATCCCTCAGGGAGCTTGTCTGTGCTTGTCTTAGAGTATGTGACTAATACTAATTGGCTAGTGTAAATTAGAGTTGAGTCTGTTTTGTTTTGTGGGGGATTGGTGGTGTGTGGAAGAGATGGAGAAAGACAGAAGAAGCAGTAAAATGTATTGACTGTTTAGAGATGTAAGTTTTTCTCACCCTCCCCTGATCACCAGGCAGGTAACATCCTGGGACCTTGGTCTCTAAACCCCGGAAAACACATTCATGTTATGCAGCATGTTTGCTTGTCTCATCCAATATGGTGTCATACTCCAAATTTAACATCTTTTGATCTATATCTACTTGAGTTCAAGGTGCTCTTGATTTTGAGAATTATGAATTATAAGGCCAAGCTATCAATCCCCACACACCCTACATACAATGTTGAAGTGGATAGTAAAATCACAATAAATGCTTCCTTTGAAAAGAGGGAATAATGGGAGGTATGTAGCAGCCAATGGTTTATGGGCATTCTGAAACCCTACTGTGCAAACAGGGAGAGCATTACTTGACTAGGTCATGGTTCTGTTTTCTGAGAGTGGTTTCCCATTCATTGTTTTTCAAAGATCTTGACACCACTGTTTGAGATCCCATTTGTTTTCTATCATTCTCTTTGACTACTTCTAGAAAAACTGGCCTGCCTTGGCAATGAGTTGCTTTTTCAGCCTGCTTCTTGACCTTAAGAAGTTTGGGGCCCAGGAGTGTCTTTATAATTCAAAATAAATATCAGTTTTTTTTATTATATACTGGTGGCATTTTGCCAATTCAATTTCATTAAAAACCTCATGGACCTTCTATGTATCTAACTAGTTTTTACTCCATGCTTCAGATTCCAAAACTAAAATAGCCTTTGAGAAAGACTTTTCTCTTTTAAGTTACTAGTTTGGGATTAGGCCTCCATGTTTTTCATCTTCTCTTTAGTCTATCTGAGAACATGTATATAACATTTACAAGGTAAGTGACACCTATGTTTAGTTTCTTGTACTCAGGGCTCATTTTATTTTATTTACTTTAAAAATTAATATACAGTAAAATTGACTTATGTTGCATCTACAGTTCTATGAATTAGAAAACATGTATAGATTTATATAACCACCATGAAGTCAGGAGGGAGAACATTCCATCACCTTAAGAAAGCCCTTTTATAATATTTCTTTATAGTTACATTTTTCCCAACTACTAACTTCTGATAACAACTGATCTATTTTTCAGCATTGTATTTTGCATTTTCATGAAAGTCACATAAATGGAGCCATACAACATGCAAGTTTTCAACACTAGATATACTCACTCAGCATAATGCCTTTGAGTTTTTGCTCTTATCAACAGTCCTTTTGTTTGTGCAGATAAGTAGGATTCCAGTATATAAATGTACTGCTGTGTGTCTAACCATGAAACCACTGAAGGACATATAGGTTGTATCTAGTTTGGGGCAATTATGAATAGAATTCCTCTAAACATTTGTGGACAAGTTTTAATGTGAACAAAAGTGCTTTAAAAACATTTATAAACATTTATAGGATAAATGTCTGTGAGTGAGATTTCTGGGTCAGTGGATAAGTGTATGTTTGCCATTATACAAACAGAACACTCTTTTTTTATAATGCTTATGTAATTTTATATTTCTACCAGAAATGTATGAGTGTTCCAGTTGCTCTTCATCCTCACTAACACTTGGTATTGTCAGTATATATTTTTAAAATTTTTAACCAGTCGTACATGTGCAGTGGTATTCATTTCAGCTTTAACTTGCATTTCTCTAATGGCTAGTGATGAAGGTAATTTTTTGTGGCTTATTTGTCACACATGTATAATCTTCAGTAAAATGTTTGTGTCTTTCATCATTTTCTCATTGGATTTTTTTTTCTGTTTCTTATTGGATTGTTTTCTATTTTATATGAACTCTGTATGAATTCCTTGTCAGCTATATTGTTTGCAAATATTTTTCCAAGCCTGTAGATATTTTCTCATCCTCTTAACAATGTCTTTCAGGAAGAAAATATTTTAAATTTTGACTAAGTGCAATTTATTGATTTATTTTTATTTGATGAATTGTTATAGGTGTCATGTCTAACAAGTGTTCACCAAAATCTTGGTCCTCAATATTTCCTTATATGTATCTTTTTTAAAAATTTATAATTTTACATTAAATCCATGATTGATTTTGAGTCAATTTTGGTAGATTTAGATCAAGGTGTGAGTTTTATATCAAGATTTACTTATTTATGCATAGTGATATCTAATCTCTAGCATTATTTATCGATTCAATTGCTTTTATATCCTTGGTTGAATTTGAAAGTGGCTATTTCTTATTTTGCTATTCTATTCACTAATCTATCTGTGAACCCCTCCAGCGACAGCACATTGTCTTGATTACTGTAGCTATATAATAACTCCTTTTTTTTTTTTGGGGGGGAGGATGGAGTCTCACTCTGTTGCCCAGGCTGGAGTGCAGTGGCGCGATCTCAGCTCACTGCAACTTCTGCCCTCCGGGTTCAAGCAATTCTCCTATCTCAGCCTCCAGAGTAGCTGGGATTACAGGCGCCTGCCACCACGCCCAGCTAATTTGTGTGTTTTTAGTGGAGGCAGGGTTTCACCATGTTGGCTGGGCTGGTCTTGAACTCTTGACTTCAAGTTATCCACCCACCTCAGCCTCCTAAAGTGTTGGGATTACAGGTGTTAGCCACCACGCCCGGCCATTTTATTCTTTTTCAGAATTATTTTCGCTATTCCAGTTCACATATATATATTTTTATATAGCATATATTTTATATAATAAATATAAAATTATTTTGGCTATTCTAGTTAATATATATTACATATTTACATGTAAATACAACATATTTCATAAACATAATATATACTTTGTATATAAATATAAATATATTATAAATAATTATATAAATCTGTAAGTATAAGATATAATTTATATTAAAATACAAATATATATAATTTATATATTATATATTATAAATTTATATATATTATATAGTATATTACATATTTATATGTTAAATAAATAAAATATATATTTATGTATGATATATATCCATAATGCTTATATATAATATATATATGCATATATTTAAATATATAAATATATTATATACATAATTATATATAATTTCTTACATATATAAGTTCATGTATATAAGATTCATATATATATGAATAATTTTGCCTGCATCTAGAAAACAATCTTGTTGGGATTTTGATAGGAATTAGGTTAAACCAGTATATAAATTTAAATTTGGGAAGAATTGACAGCTTTGTTGTATTGAATTTTCTAATCCCTAAACACGCACTGTATCTCTTTAACTTAGATTGTCTTTCATTTTTTTCATTTACAATATGCAGCTTTTGGCATACATACATAGTTAGATTTGCACAAAAATATTACACCAATTGAGCAATTAAAAATGATATTGTATTTTAAAATGTATTTCTACGTGTCAAAAATACAATCAATTTTTGTATGTTGATTCTATATTCTACATATTTTGTTGAAGTAACTTATACTTTCTAAAGTCATTTTTGTAGACTGTATTCTAGATCAAAGTAATTTAATGTCGACAACAATACCAACTCAGTTATTTCAGTTGTTAAATTAACTAAGTGTAATGTCACAAATGGCAAAAACAGTTTAGACAATCGGTCAGAAAATAACCAAAGACCTCATACCCTTAATGGTCTGGATTTAATAATAACTACAAAGTGCTTAATATGTAAGAGTAGGAAATAGCTAATTTCCCTCCAGATTCTTTATTATTTTCTATGTAGAAACTCATGTCATGTAGAAATAAGCACAGTTTTCTTTCTTTCCAATCTGTACGCTTATTATTTCCAATTCTTGCCTTATTGCTCTACCTAGATCTTCCAATATTATGTTGAATCAATTATTAAATATGGTTGTTGAATAGTAATGATAAGAGTGGATGGTATTAGTTTCCAATCTCAAGGGGAAAACATCAGTTTTTCACTATTAAATATTACATTAGCTGTAAGTAGCTTTTATAGATGCTCTTTATCAACATGAGCACATTTCCTTTTATTTCTAATTGACCAAGAGTGTATATAATGAGTGGGTGTTGAATTTTGTTAAATTAGTTTGTATCAGTTGATAAAATCACGTGATTTATTTATTCTTTGACATGATAATATGGTAGATTATATTGACTGAGTTTTCAAATCATGAACCAACCTGGTATTCCTGAAATAAACTTCACTGGGCAAGGTATGTAATTAACATGTGTTATGTATTTATTTTGGGGGGGCGCTATGTTTTTTGGTGTGTGTATGTATATAATTGTTTATAATTCTTGTTAAATTGATCCTTTTGTCATTATGAAATATATTTTATGTCTATATTAATATAGGCAATCCATCTGTCTTCTGTTTACTGTTCGCATTGTTTATTTTTTATCTTCTCTTCCAAAACTTGTTGTCTTTAAATGTAAACGGAGACTGTTGTAGACAGCATATGGCTTGATTGTTGTTTTCCTTTTAAAATTCATTCTGCCAATATCTGCCATTTAATTGGATAATTTTATTCATTTACATTTAATATAATTACTTGTACGATAATATTTACATCTGTCATTTTGATGTTTGCTTTCTTTATATCTTGTCTTCGTTACTCAATTTTTCCCTTACTGACTTTTTGTGTTAAAATATTTTTTCATCTGTACCATTTTAATGCGTTCATCGTTTTTTTCTTATGTATTTTTGAGTTATTTTCTTGGTGGGTTTCCTGAAGATGGTCAGTAACATTTAATTTTATAACAACCTACTTTGGATTAATACCAATTTAATTTCAGTAGTACACAAAAACTCTGTTCCTATATAGCTCCATTTGTCTCTTCCTTTGTGCTATAATTATCACAAATTACATCTGTATACATTGTGTGCACATCAGCATAAATTTACAATTATTGCTTTATGTAGCTCTCTTTTCAATTATATAGCAGAAAAAAGTTACAAAAATATTTGTACTATATTTTGTATTTAGCTATGTGATTACCTTTATCAGGGTTGTTTAATTCTTCAAATATATTCAACTTACTGCCTGGTGTTCTTTCATTTCATCTTAGACTCCTTGCCATATTTTTTATAGAGTAGGTCAGCTAATGATTAACTTTCTGCTTATCTGAGAATATCTTAATTTCTCCTTTATTTGTGAAGGATTTTAAAAAATATATATAGAAATCTGTTTTGATAGGGTTTTTTTTTTAGCATTTTGAATATGTCATTCTACTGCCTTTTGTCTCATGATTTCTGTTAAGAAATAAGATGTTAATCTTATTGAAGATCTCTTGCACATAAATTGCTTATCTCTTCCTGCTTTCAAGCTTCTTGTTGTCTTTGGCATTCAACAGTTATGATATTACTTGTGGATACCCTGAAGTTTATTTTTCTTGAAGTTTGTTAAGCTCTTTGAATGTGTAGACTAACGTTTTTCGTCATATTTAGGAAATCACCCCCCACAGTCTGAACTCTCATTATATGTATATTAGTATGCTTGGTGTTGTCCTACAGATCTCTGATGCTCTGTTCATTTTTCTTCATTCTTTTTATTCTTTCTCTTTCTCAAATTGGATACTGTCAATTGATCTATCTTCATGTTTGTTACATCTTTCTTTTGCCTTCTTAAATCTGCTGTTGAGTTTGTCTAGTAATTTTTTTCAGTTATTGTACTTTACAACTCCAGCAATCATATATACATATGGATATAATTTCTATATATTTTATTATATATTTATTTAATTTGTTTAATGTTTAATTTACCTACTTTATTGTATATATAATTTCTATCTCTTTATTGATATTCTATATTTGTTATGTAATGTCATGCTTTAGGTTTTTAAACTTAGTTTCCTTCAACTAACAAAACATATTTAAAATCACTGACAAAGTATTTGCTAGTAAGTACAATGTCCATACTTGCTCAGGTTCAGTTTCTATTTGTTGCTTTTTTTCTATGTATTAGGGACATTTTCTTGCTTCTCTACATGTCTTAAAATTTTTGTTGAAAATATTTTAAATATTATAATATGTCAACTCTGGAAATAAGCTTCTTCCTTTTTTCTCAGGGTTTACTTTATTTGCTGTTTGCTGTAATTGCTGTTTGTTTAGTGATTTTTCTAATCTACTGTTGTAAAGTCTGTATTATTTATTGTGTGTAGCCACTTAAGTCTTTCATTAGTTAGTTTAGTGGTCAGCTAATAATTGGACAGCTATTTCCTTAAACACTTGAAAGCAATAATTCTCTTGGTTTTTGTTTAAGGTCTCTGTATGAACATTGAGGCATGCCTTCAACACTCATCCAGACAGTTGACAATTATGCCTTTCTGCTTGTACAGAGCCTCAGGTCCAGCCAGAGGTGAGTGCTTAGGGCCTTCTCAAGTCTTCCTTTATTATACACATAGCCCTATGTATCTGCATGACTTTCTGGATTTCCAAGAATATGTCACAACTTTTCAAAGCTCCTACGGATGTATTATTACCCAGCTTTTCCTTTTAAGTTAGTCTATTGTTTTTCCAAACTGTCATCCATTTCCTTGGGCAGCCATAGTGTTAAAACATTTGCCTGTAAATGTTTTTGAGAAACTCCCTCTGGGATGAAATTTCTAGTATTGAGTATCAAGTTAGGTCAAATAAAGACAGGATGTTGTAGTAGGATCTTACAGGGAACTATCAGACAAGTCAAATTCTGACAATCCTTTGACCATTTGTTCCCTTTGGTACTAGAAATGGAAGCTATTGTTTTTCAAGGCTACTTCTTTGCTGAGGACTGGGGGATAGAACTAGAATAACTTAAAACATCATAAAATTTGCTGTTAAACTAAGAGTCAACCACTTTTCTTCTATAAACACTTTGTGATTATTGAAAGCCTTTAATTAATTTCCAAAGTTCCATAAAAGCTGATCCTGATCATATATTTTGCCAGTTCCTTTTCTTTGGTTTTATGTAGGGGCAAAAAATTTACAGAAGTCCTTACTGCACCACTTTTACTGACATCACCCATTTCTATCAATTTGTGCTTCACACATTTTGTAGCTCTGTTGTTTATTTATCTACAAGGTTAGTATTCCTATTAATTTTTGATAGAGGGACACTTTTGCCATTATTTAATATTGCTTTCTGCCACTGGAAATATTCTTTCCTCAAAATCTACTCTATATATTAATGTAACCACTCCTTTAATTTTCTCTTCATTTCTAAAGGATATTTTCTCTGGATATAGAATTCTTGGTTGCAAATTATTTTATTTTAGCACTTGAAAAATATTGTGCCACTTTCTCTGGCCTCCCTGATTTCTGATGAGAAATCTGATGTTATTTGAATTTTTTTTCCTCCATAGATAATACATTGTTTCCCTCTATCTGATTTTGAGATTTTAACTCTGCTTAGTTTTTAGATGGTTAATGTGTTTTGGCATGAATTTTTTTTTGTTTGTTTTGTTTGGGTTTGCTTCACTTCTGGAATCTGAAGCTTTATGCTTATTGTCAAATCTGAGAAATTTTCAGCTACTATTTCTCCTAGTACTTTTTAAGCACTTACTTCTTTTTCTAGTCCTTCTTGGACTCTAATATTAGACACAAATATTGAATCTGTTGTTACAGTTTTCATAATGCAAGTTGCCATTTTTCTACCTCCTATAATCAATTATAAACTATTTTTTCTGCTTTTGTTAAAGGGTTCCTCACTTTTTTTCTAGAGCTCACATTTCATCCAGCCCCAAAGCCAATGCTACATATTTCAGGGTTTTGTTATGACACTTGCTTTTACATACCAATTTCTATATGTGTTCCCTCTTAAGGCATAACCATTCTAAAATTAAAGACTTAAAATCACAACCATTTATAACTTTTCATAAGTCTAAAGGTAAGCTGGGTCATTTTGTTTACTGGCTCTGCTAATGTATCTATGGCTAGCTACTAGACAAACCAGAGAGTGCCTGGTATAGAGTAGCATCTACAAAAGAGGCTGGCTGACTTGGCTCTGTTCTATATGTTCTTTTATCCTCTATCAATATAGCTTTCTTTTGTTTCATTAGTGGTGGCAGAGTTCCAAAAATTGCTAAAATCACACAGTCTTTGTGAGGTTTCGTCTTGGCACTCACACACTCTCCCATCTTCTGCATTTCATTGGCTAAAGAGATTCACAAAACTAGTTCACATTCAAGGGGTAGGAAAATAGACTCCATCTCTTCGTGGGAGAACCTACAAAAATCACTTTTCAAAAAGAGCAGATATAGTGAGAAAAAAGTAAGTCCACTTTCACAATGAACCTACATTATCAATAACAGTTTGGCCAAAACAACAACAACAACAACAACAACAAACACTTAGAGGCCTTCTTCATGTGGCTGGGTCTCAGACAAGGCCAGGAGCTCAATATTGAAATCAGGTTCTGGGAAGAAAAGTCAGTGGACTTTAAAGGCGAGAGATGGGTGTTGCAGAGGTTCTTTGAAGAGCGTGGAATACACCCAAACTCCAACATTTGAAGATACCCCTGATTTGGGTTACCAACTTGCAGGTTTATTTAAATGCAAGATTTAAAGCATAGAGTATTGCTAATGTTGCTGTTTGCAGTCCTGGCTCTCTCTGGATGAAATAATCAAAGAAGCTCAGAGAGCAAGAGGAAAAAAAGCAACATAAATAGAGGCAAAAAATAAGAGAAAAGCAATAAGCAAGTAGGCTAAGGCAAAGAATTCAAGCCCAAGGGTGTAGAAACGGTAGTCGAAGACCTAATCTGTTAGTATCCTGATGCATTGTGTGGCTGTTGTGGCCTCATTAAGACCTTCAGTCTCCAGGACCATATAAAGCTGGACTGCATTTGGAATGGTCCTGGTAATGCTTTCTGAAAATACAGTGTGTTGGCTTCTACTGAGAGCCTGGAGCTGTCAGTTCCTCAGGAGCTTCCAGAGGAATTGGGAATTTCAGTAGGCTTCTGTGGCTAATAATAGAGCTAGAAAACATATGGACTCCCTGCAGGCTAGGAGCCCACAGGTGATGCAAAGAGGACATCATTGGCTTTTGAGAGCAGCAGAGAAACCTTTTATTGGAGGTCACACAGCAAGATCATGGATGTTGCTCAGTGGGTCTGCACTCATGGGAAGCATGTGATCATGGGCAATGCAATGTTTTCTGGCTGCAGAGAGTCTAGAATCTTAAAGGTCCTCTTACCCATCATGGGAATTCATTCCAGAACATTCTGGACCCCTCTCAGGGGCAGGTAAGAAATGTCTATTCATTGAAACCGTCTAATGCATTTTGGGGTGGTTTTTAGAACCCACTTATTTAGTCTGCTGTGACCTCTGATAGCTCACTGGGGACTATCCAGAGACACCATGAAGCTGCACCTGGCAGCAGATATGCTCTTGTTCTAATGAGTTCCTCAGTTTCTGCTCTAGTGGCTTGAGCTATGCAGCTTAACGTAATGGCCCCAGACATGGAGGGATTGACTGTTCCTTCTGTAGAGACTCCAAGATAATAAAAACCCATATAAATGGTCACAGATCCATTCACAGTGGGGTTGGATGTCAGAAAGCGCTCAGGGCCTTGGAGCAGGGAAGTCATCCCCAGGCAGTGGGCTTAGTGAACCATTGTCCTAGACGTGGAACACATTGTCCTTCTTCTTTTTACTTTAGTTTGCCATTTTTATAAGAAAAAAAAAAAAAACTGTGAGATTGGGTCATTGCCTCTGCACTTCTTTCTCAAGAACTGACATATCCAGTGCGAATGAAGCTAATGATGAGAGACAATATTTTAATGTTAATTAGACATTCCATGTGTCTTAGTTCATCAGAGAACTATTGCTCTTTTATGTATCAGATGAAAGCAGAGTTCTTGCTTGGAGAAAAACAGAGTACACAGTCAGAAAGGAGAGTATTTTCAGTGTTGTAATTATTCAAATGATTGTTGCTTTTTAGAAAAGCAAAAGATTTT